>NC_000012.12:88710128-89335128 GCF_000001405.40 Homo sapiens
TTGTTTTTGTCAGGTTTGTCAAAGATCAGATAGCTGTAGATATGCGGCGTTATTTCTGAGGGCTCTGTTCTGTTCCATTGATCTATATCTCTGTTTTGGTACCAGTACCATGCTGTTTTGGTTACTGTAGCCTTGTAGTATAGTTTGAAGTCAGGTAGTGTGATGCCTCCAGATTTGTTCTTTTGGCTTAGGATTGACTTGGCGATGAGGGCTCTTTTTTGGTTCCATGTGAACTTTAAAGTAGTTTTTTCCAATTCTGTGAAGAAAGTCATTGGTAGCTTGATGGGGATGGCATTGAATCTGTAAATTACCTTGGGCAGTATGGCCATTTTCACGATATTGATTCTTCCTACCCATGAGCATGGAATGTTCTTCCATTTGTTTGTATCGTCTTTTATTTCCTTGAGCAGTGGTTTGTAGTTCTCCTTGAAGAGGTCCTTCACATCCCTTGTAAGTTGGATTCCTAGGTATTTTATTCTCTTTGAAGCAATTGTGAATGGGAGTTCACTCATGATTTGGCTCTCTGTTTGTCTGTTATTGGTGTATAAGAATGCTTGTGATTTTGGTACATTGATTTTGTATCCTGAGACTTTGCTGAAGTTGCTTATCAGCTTAAGGAGATTTTGGGCTGAGACAATGGGGTTTTCTAGATATACAATCATGTCATCTGCAAACAGGGACAATTTCACTTCCTCTTTTCCTAATTGAATACCCTTTATTTCCTTCTCCTGCCTAATTGCCCTGGCCAGAACTTCCAACACTATGTTGAATAGGAGTGGTGAGAGAGGGCATCCCTGTCTTGTGCCAGTTTTCAAAGGGAATGCTTCCAGTTTTTGCCCATTCAGTATGATATTGGCTGTGGGTTTGTCATAGATAGCTCTTATTATTTTGAAATACATCCCATCAATACCTAATTTATTGAGGGTTTTTAGCATGAAGTGTTGTTGAATTTTGTCAAAGGCTTTTTCTGCATCTATTGAGATAAGCATGTGGTTTTTGTCTTTGGCTCTGTTTATATGCTGGATTCCATTTATTGATTTGCGTATATTGAACCAGCCTTGCATCCCAGGTATGAAGCCCACTTGATCATGGTGGATAAGCTTTTTGATGTGCTGCTGGATTCGGTTTGCCAGTATTTTATTGAGGATTTTTGAATCAATGTTCATCAAGGATATTGGTCTAAAATTCTCTTTTTTGGTTGTGTCTCTGCCCAGCTTTGGTATCAGAATGATGCTGGCCTCATAAAATGAGTTAGGGAGGATTCCCTCTTTTTCTATTGATTGGAATAGTTTCAGAAGGAATGGTACCAGTTCCTCCTTGTACCTCTGGTAGAATTCGGCTGTGAATCCATCTGGTCCTGGACTCTTTTTGGTTGCTAAGCTATTGATTATTGCCACAATTTCAGATCCTGTTATTGGTCTATTCAGAGATTCAACTTCTTCCTGGTTTAGTCTTGGGAGAGTGTATGTGTCCAGGAATTTATCCATGTCTTCTAGATTTTCTAGTTTATTTGCATAGAGGTGTTTGTAGTATTCTCCTATGGTAGTTTGTATTTCTGTGGGATCGGTGGTGATATCCCCTTTATCATTTTTTATTGCGTCTATTTGATTCTTCTCTCTTTTTTTCTTTATTAGTCTTGCTAGCGGTCTATCAATTTTGTTGATCCTTTCAAAAAACCAGCTCCTGGATTCATTAATTTTTTGAAGGGTTTTTTGTGTCTCTATTTCCTTCAGTTCTGCTGTGATTTTAGTTATTTCTTGCCTTCTGCTAGCTTTTGAATGTGTTTGCCCTTGCTTTTCTAGTTCTTTTAATTGTGATGTTAGGGTTTCAATTTTGGATCTTTCCTGCTTTCTCTTGTGGGCATTTAGTACTATAAATTTCCCTCTACACACTGCTTTGAATGTGTCCCAGAGATTCTGGTATGTTGTGTCTTTGTTCTCATTGGTTTCAAAGAACATCTTTATTTCTGCCTTCATTTCCTTATGTACCCAGTAGTCATTCAGGAGCAAGTTGTTCAGTTTCCATGTAGTTGAGCGGTTTTGAGTGAGATTCTTAATCCTGAGTTCTAGTTTGATTGCACTGTGGTCTGAGAGATAGTTATAATCTCTGTTCTTTTACATTTGCTGAGGAGAGCTTTACTTCCAAGTATGTGGTCAATTTTGGAATAGGTGTGGTGTGGTGCTGAAAAAAATGTATATTCTGTTGATTTCGGGTGGAGAGTTCTGTAGATGTCTATTAGGTCCACTTGGTGCAGAGCTGAGTTCAATTCCTGGGTATCCTTGTTGACTTTCTGTCTCGTTGATCTGTCTAATGTTGACAGTGGGGTGTTAAAGTCTCCCATTATTAATGTGTGGGAGTCTAAGTCTTTTTGTAGGTCACTCAGGACTTGCTTTATGAATCTGGGTGCTCCTGTATTGGGTGCATATATATTTAGGATAGTTAGCTCTTCTTGTTGAATTGATCCCTTTACCATTATGTAATGGCTTTCTTTGTCTCTTTTGATCTTTGTTGGTTTAAAGTCCATTTTATCAGAGACTAGGATTGCAACCCCTGCCTTTTTTTGTTTTCCATTTGCTTGGTAGATCTTCCTCCATCCTTTTATTTTGAGCCTATATGTGTCTCTGCATGTGAGATGGGTTTCCTGAATACAGCACACTGATGGGTCTTGACTCTTTATCCAATTTGCCAGTCTGTGTCTTTTAATTGGAGCATTTAGTCCATTTACATTTAAAGTTAATATTGTTATGTGTGAATTTGATCCTGTCATTATGATGTTAGCTGGTTATTTTGCTCGTTAGTTGATGCAGTTTCTTCCTAGTCTCGATGGTCTTTACATTTTGGCATGATTTTGCAGTGGCTGGTACCGGTTGTTCCTTTCCATGTTTAGCGTTTCCTTCAGGAGCTCTTTTAGGGCAGGCCTGGTGGTGACAAAATCTTTCAGCATTTGCTTGTCTGTAAAGTATTTTATTTCTCCTTCACTTATGAAGCTTAGTTTGGCTGGATATGAAATTCTGGGTTGAAAATTCTTTTCTTTAAGAATGTTGAATATTGGCCCCCACTCTCTTCTGGCTTGTAGGGTTTCTGCCGAGAGATCTGCTGTTAGTCTGATGGGCTTCCCTTTGAGGGTAACCTGACCTTCCTCTCTGGCTGCCCTTAACATTTTTTCCTTCATTTCAACTTTAGTGAATCTGAAAATTATGTGTCTTGGAGTTGCTCTTCTCGAGGAGTATCTTTGTGGCATTCTCTGTATTTCCTGAATCTGAACATTGGCCTGCCTTGCTAGATTGGGGAAGTTCTCCTGGATAATATCCTGCAGAGTGTTTTCCAACTTGGTTCCATTCTCCCCATCACTTTCAGGTACACCAATCAGACGTAGATTTGGTCTTTTCACATAGTCCCATATTTCTTGGAGGCTTTGCTCATTTCTTTTTATTCTTTTTTCTCTAAACTTCCCTTCTCGCTTCATTTCATTCATTTCATCTTCCATTGCTGATACCCTTTCTTCCAGTTGATCACATCGGCTCCTGAGGCTTCTGCATTCTTCACGTAGTTCTCGAGCCTTGGTTTTCAGCTCCATCAGCTCCTTTAAGCACTTCTCTGTATTGGTTATTCTACTTATACATTCTTCTAAATTTTTTTCAAAGTTTTCAACTTCTTTGCCTTTGGTTTGAATGTCCTCCCGTAGCTCAGAGTAATTTGATCGTCTGAAGCCTTCTTCTCTCAGCTCATCAAAGTCATTCTCCATCCAGCTTTGTTCCATTGCTGGTGAGGAACTGCATTCTTTTGGAGGAGGAGAGGCGCTCTGCTTTTTAGAGTTTCCAGTTTTTCTGTTCTGTTTTTTCCCCATCTTTGTGGTTTTATCTACTTTTGGTCTTTGATGATGGTGATGTACAGATGGGTTTTTGGTGTGGATGTCCTTTCTGTTGGTTAGTTTTCCTTCTAACAGACAGGACCCTCAGCTGCAGGTCTGTTGGAGTACCCTGCCGTGTGAGGTGTCAGTGTGCCCCTGTTGGGGGGTGCCTCCCAGTTAGGCTGCTCGGGGGTCAGGGGTCAGGCACCCACTTGAGGAGGCAGTCTGCCCCTTCTCAGATCTCCAGCTGCGTACTGGGAGAACCACTGCTCTCTTCAAAGCTGTCAGACAGGGACATTTAAGTCTACAGAGGTTACTGCTGTCTTTTTGTTTGTCTGTGCCCTGCCCCCAGAGGTGGAGCCTACAGAGGCAGGCAGGCCTCCTTGAGCTGTGGTGGGCTCCACCCAGTTCAAGCTTCCCGGGGCTTTGTTTACCTAAGCAAGCCTGGGCAATGGCGGGCGCCCCTCCCCCAGCCTTGCTGCCGCCTTGCAGTTTGATCTCAGACTGCTGTGCTAGCAATCAGCGAGACTCCGTGGGGTGGGCGTAGGACCCTCCGAGCCAGGTGCGGGATATAATCTTGTGGTGCGCCGTTTTTTAAGCCCATCGGAAAAGTGCAGTATTCGGGTGGGAGTGACCCGATTTTCCAGGTGCGTCCGTCACCCCTTTCTTTGATTCGGAAAGGGAACTCCCTGACCCCTTGCACTTCCCAAGTGAGGCAATGCCTCGCCCTGCTTCAGCTGGTGTACGGTGCGCGCATCCACTGACCTGCGCCCACTGTCTGGCACCCCCTAGTGAGATGAACCTGGTACCTCAGATGGAAATGCAGAAATCACCCGTCTTCTGCATAGCTCACGCTGGTAGCTGTAGACTCGAGCTGTTCCTATTTGGCCATCTTGGCTCTTCCTCCATCTATCTCTTTTTTAATATCCTGAATTATTTTTTGGATTTCTTTGTGTTGGTTTTTAGCTTTCTCCTGAATCTCATTGAGCTTTTTTAAAAATCAATATTTTGAATTATTTATCTGGGATTTCAAATATTTCATTTCTGTTAGGATCTATTGCTACAGAGGTAGTGTGATCCTTTGTGTGTGTTGTAACACTTTTTAAATATATATATAATATATACAGTATATAGTATATAATATATACTATATACTGTATATAATATATACTATATACTGTATATAATATATACTATATACTGTATATAATATATACTATATACTGTATGTTATATATACTATATACTGTATATAATATATACTATATACTGTATATAATATATACTATATACTGTATATTATATATACTATATACTGTATATTATATATACTATATACTGTATATTATATATACTATATACTGTATATTATATATGATATATACTGTATATTATATATGATATATACAGTATATATTACCTGTAATATATACTGTATATATTACCTGTAATATATACTGTATATATTACCTGTATATTACCTGTATATATTACCTGTATATTACCTGTATATTATATATAATATATACAGTATATATTATATATATATATCTCAGAGTTGTTTCTCTGGCTCTTTCTCATCTGAACAAACTATTTCTCCTTATTTTTTGAATTTGCTTTCATTTGGACAGAACTTTTCTTCCTTGAGGAGGTGTCTATATATGTGTTGTGTAGGGTCGTTTGGTTTGTTTTTTTTTTTTTTTTTATGCTTTCAGTGGCAAATACTGTGTATAAGTTCCTTGGTTATAGACAGCCTTTGTATGCTGGCTTTTCCGAATCCTGGTCATAGTAGTGATGTATTGGGCATTTGAACAGGTTCACTGCCTCCTGTGAGGCTGTGGTAATGGAGATGTCAGGAAGCTTATCTCGTTTCCTGGTGCTGTGCACTTGTGTTAGATATTTCCTATTGGGTTGTGCCAGTTAACCTCTGGACCAGTAAGTGGCACTTATGGGTAAGACCTGGCTGTGGACAATGCAGATGTGCATACACTTAATCCCTGTTTGCTGGAAGAAGCCCTCTGTTCCCTTAGACAATGTGCTGATCTGTGGAATGCACAGTGGTATGAGGTTCCTGCTCAGCCCAAGTTGGTGGACCAAAATGGGTGGGGCTAGACTAGACAGGCCCACCTACAAGTCCCCCAGTGGTAGGCATAAGCACCAACTTTGAGGGGCTTCTAGTGGGTGGTTGCCATGCACTCAGAGGTGTTCCTAGGTATGAGGTTGGAAAACTGTTGCCCTACATTCTCTGAATGGAAACCAGAGGCAGCCTAAACTACTAATCTAGAAGAGTGGGTGCTCCAAATGCCTGGGCATCAAGCAGAGAGAGTGGAACTGCACCAGAATCTCTGCACCTGAAGGGAGAGGTGACTCAGGCTCCGGATCCAGGCAAGTGGGTGTACCCAATGCCTGGAAATATGCCCTAGCAAGGAGTAGAGAAAACAATGCTGAAACAAGGTCAAGGTCTTTGCAGGGGAAAGGAGGGGTGGCACAAGCTCCTAATCTGAGGGAACAGGTATGCCTCAAGCCAGGTGATATGCCTGGGGAAGGAGCACAGAAACAGCTGCCATGATAAGGTCTTTGCAGCTAAAGCTGCAAAGCTTTAGGGAGGAGCAGCTAAAGCTTAATCTGTGGGAGCAGGTGTGCCAAATGCCTGGAGTTATGTCCAGGTGTGGAGTGGAGGGACTGCCACTTCACCAAATTATTTGTGTGGGTAGGAGATTCTACAATATATTTTCTGTATCTTCCTTTTACTTAGTTCCTGTTCTCTTTTTCAAGCACTATCTGCCTAAATGTAGTTTTACTGGGTTCCTTTCTTACTACTACTCATGCTTGAATGAGGCCAGTTACTTGATGAATATTTATTTGTGGAAGGGGAGGGGAGTGTGCACACATAATCTGAAGCTTCAATTTTGTTTGCTTATCTTAAACAAATATTTTCACAAAATTATCTATTTTGTCTTCTCTGGGATGCCATTTCCATTAGTTATTTTTTCTTTTTTTTTTTTTTAGTTTTAGTTTGGTGAGTCTTACAGCAAAGGCCTTCACATCATAGTCTTTATGGTTTCCCAACAAATGATAACTCCTTTGCTTCCTCTGTTTTATTCTGCCACTCATAAACAGACTTCTTGTCAAAAACTAAGTTGAAGGCAATGAAAATGACATGTGTCCATTGGAAAAGGATCTAAATAAACATTTCTCCAAAGAAAATATACAAATGACCAACAAGCTAATGAAAAGATGTTTGCACATCATTAATCATTAGAGAAACATATCAATACCACAATGGGATAACATTTTACACCAGTTAGGATGTAAAACAAATGTAAACTGGTGTTGCCACTTTGGAAAGCTGTTGATCAGTTCTTCAAGATGTTTAACATAAAGTTGCCAAATGATCTACTCCTAAGTATATGCCTAAGAGAAATGAAGCCATATGTCCACACAAAACCTTGTACATGAATGTTCATAGAGGCATTATTCATACAGAATTATTCAGTTTTGAGAAAAAGTGGAAAAATCTAAATATTTATTGGCTAATGGACAAATAAACATGCTATATGCATGTGGAATATTATTTGATGATAAAAGAATGAAATATGGATATATGCTACAACCTGAATGAATCTTGAAAATAATACGCTATGTGAAAGCAGCTAGTCTTCAAAGACTACATATTGTATTATTGTATGATCTTATTTATATGAAATGTCCAGAATAGGCAAAACTACAGAAAGTAGTTTAGTAGTTGCCTAGGGCTGGGAGGAGGGAGAGGTTGGGCGTGGAATTTTTTGTGTGTGGATGTTGAAAGTTTTCTAAAATTAGACTGTGGTGAGACTGTGGTGATAATTGTACAACTCTGTGAATTTACTAAAAACTGTTGAATTATATACTTTAAATGGGTGAATTGTATGGCATGTGAATTATCTCTCTGTCTTTATATCTTTATTAATCTGTTTTTTAAAAAGACTGAAGACTCTTGAGTCAGAATCCCCAGCTTCAAATCCTAGCATCTCCACTCATGTCCATGTGACCATGGGCAATCTCCTCCACACCTTCAAGCGTCTGCATGATGTGGGTAAGGATAGAGCCAACTTCAAAGTTGGGTTGTAAGAACAAATTAGTTTGTGCTTAGAACATTATCTGGTATGCTGGTATGTGGTATCTGGAAATACCCAGGAAGTGTCAGTTATTTTATGAGCGTATAGAGTACATTTTAAAAATCTCAATGACCACATTTTTCATTTCTAGAAGTTCTACTTTGTATTTTCCAAATCAGCTTGTTATTCATATTACCTTTCTTACATTTTAATGTCTTATTTAAAATGTTTTTAAATTTATTTTAAAAATGTTTAAATTTTTATTTTTTTTAGAGGTAGGGTCTTGCTCTGTCACCCAGGCTCGTGTGGAGTTCCACGATCATGGCTCACTGGAGCCTCCACCTCCTGCTCAAGCAATCTTCCTACCTTAGCATCTGGAGTAGCTATGAGTGTATATCACCATACCTTGCTCAGTTTTTATTTTCTATTTTTTATTTTTTATTTTTATGTATTCTTTTTTTTTTGAAATAGGGTCTCAGTCTGTTGCCCAGGCTGGAGTCCAGTGGTGCAATCATGGCTTACTGCAACCTCCACCTGCCAGGTTCAAGAAATCCTCCCACCTCAGCTTTCTGAGGAGCTGGGACTACGGGCACACACCACCATGCCTAGCTAATTTTTTGTAGTGAAGGGGTTTTGCCATGTTGCCCAGGCTGGTCTGAAACTTCTGGGCTCAAGCAATCCACTCACCTTGGCCTCTATTTTTTTGAAGTTTTTCGTAGAGATGTGGTCTCCCTGTGTTGCCCAGGCTGTTCTCAAACTCCTGGGCTCAAGCAATTCTACTGCCAAGGGCTTCCCAAAGTATTGGGATTACAGGTATGAGCCACTACACCCAGCTTAATTCCTTCCTTTATATCTTTAATATTTTAAAAATTCTTATTTAATAGTTTATCAAAGACTTTTTCTAAGTGTAATTACTTTGTCTAATTAAATATGTGTAAATATCTGACACAACGGAGGTATTCAGTAAATATTTGTTGAATTTGTGAATGACTGCCAGTAGATAATACTGCTTTCCTCAGTTTTCCACTGTGTTTCCTTAAGGAAATTATTCATTTACTGTAACATTCTATCTGTAACATAGAAACAATAATATCTACTTCTTCAATTAGTAGTGGGGTCTAAATGAAATCATGTCTAGTTTAGTGCTTGACAGTAATACGTGCTTAACTATATTAGTTCCCTTTCCTTCCAGCCTAATAATCATCTTTCTATGTGTGTTATTAGGGACGTAAATTATACTCCCTTAGGAGTTGCTAAGTGCTCAGTTTTCTACTATTTCTGTTTGGGCTTTGCTGCCCTCTCTGCAAATCCTTATAGAGTCTGTTTCTCACTCTTACTCTTCTCTCATTGTTGGACTCTTTGAGGGTCCCATATAGTCTTATGTTGTCCTATATACTTTATCTTTAATCATTTTGTTGCTCTTGCTGCTCTGGCTCTTTAGCTACTGAATTAATTTCTACTTTCAGAATGATAATAAATGCAAACATACCTTAATATCTACTTTACAGAGTAGAAACTCAATATGAAACAACGGAATGTTAAATAGGTCTCAAATTCTGCAGTCATCCCTGATTCTGCTGCCTGTCACTCAGTTTCCTTTGGTGCTCCACTCATTGCCCCGCTGAGGGAGTGCACAATAGCATGCTGTACTCTAGAGGATCTTCTATTGATTCTCTTTCTAATCCTAAATGACCAGACTTGAGGCTTTTTTCTTCTGCATCTTTTGAATTGAAAAGAGTCTGAGTTCCTAGCAAAGAGGTATCAGTGCTACTCATTGGAAGGAAAAAGCCAAACAACCAAAAATCTCAAATTATATGTTTGGTACTTTTCAGTTCTTGCCTATAATTTGGATTAAAAGTAATCAGCTACTCTTGGATACAGGGATCTATAAAATCCTTCAATCTTGTATTGCCCATTCCCTTTGGTGATGAAAATGCTATATATGGTGCTTAACAGATGCTACATCATTATATGAACTGCTTTCTTACTAAAACATAAGGTGAAATTTAGCTTAAGTTTTGAGTACTATCCACGCAAACATATTACTAGAAGGATACTATGAGAACACTGTTTTATCAATGAGTACTATTTGTAGCTTTGATATTGTAGGCTTCAGGGCTAATAATAGGTGTTTTCTTTATTGTTAAAAAAAGTTCAAAGCAAAGAACAGGGAGAAAATAGGAAAAATTTTTCTGCAGCATTCCAGGGTGCCCCTGGAATAAGCTTGCAGAGATTACTGTCTTTATGAGAAAGAAATCCTCACTTGTTCACCAAAATTCAGGAGATTTAGAAATAGGGTATAATCCAGACAAACTCTGACATGAACACATTACATAAGGTGTGACAATGGGTAATGGAATGTATAAGTATGTGGAGGTGCAGGAAATTAAGAAACTAGAAACTTAAGTCTAAGTTTCTTAGACTATCTAAAGTGAACAATTTTATGTATCAAAATAGACAATGGGACTATATTTTTCAAGGTAAAAGTGTAGTGTGAACTCTGAAGATATCTAGTACCATTGTCATGAAAGTGTAATTTGACCATTGCTTCTACAAGCAACCAAAAACGCTTTCTAAAATTTCGAGTCATTTGATAACCATAAATCCTTAAAATTCTTATGGGGTAGGGCCTATGTAGAGATACTGTTTCACCTTGTTCAGATGTCCTCCTTAAAGATAGTGCTTTTGCGCATAATAAGCATACTTTGGCCTTAGGTCTTGCAGCTAATATTGCTCTTCAAATGATTAGGACTCTCTGAGAAGTGTCATAGTCCCCTAGAAATGTACCGTTTAGTTTTTCTCAGGGCTGTTATAAAAATTACTAGGAATGCAAAAACTGGAATTAAGGAACAGTGTTTCTTGCCAGTTAAACGAACAGAACTAATGTGTATATGTTCAGTCATGTTTGCTGTACTAAGTACAGCTTGAGACAATTTCTTAATTGAATTGTTTAAACAACACTATTTGAGTCCCAAGTCTTTTTGACTTTATTATAAAATCAATATTATGCAATTAACATTTGTTCACAGTATATTTTTTTTTTAAAATGATGGAAAAGTGACAGGATCACTCTTACATAATGAGGGTGTGAACAAGTTGTTAAGAAATCACTTGACATCTCACGGGCAGATGCAATATAAATCAAAGCCATTCCTGTTTTATTTGTTTTTCTTAGATTTTTCTTCCACTTCTGCTATCACAGTGAGAAAATTTAGTAATACTAATCTAGTTGAGATCACTGTCTTTTTAATGCTCTATTAAGAAAAATATTTGAGTCAAGATCTTGAACACTTTGCTTTATAAGAAGAGAACAGTGGTTGCATAACCAAACATTTACATTTTAAATCCGTAACCCCATCTTGCAGATAGAGAGTACCAGCAAAACCAACTCTAGAGACTCCTTCCCTGCCTGGACATACTCTACTTCCCTGACTCCAGCATTTCTTTAATTTCACCAGACCCTGCCATCCAGAATCCAGTTTTCACTGTCATCACGCCCTCATATCCTTTCTGCTCTCCTTCTACACTTAATTCTATGATCCATCATTATAATCACTTCCTTCTACATCCTCAAGTCTTTTGAGACTCTCTTCCTGAATCAAGATTACCTTGAAAAAGACCAACTGCTGTTCAATCAAACTTTTGGTATACCCTATGTCTGCACCCTCACTGCAGAGCTTGACTGAAGAAAAGCATACAATCAGGCCCACCTTCTTACTCAAATGCATGACCATGAATCTGGGTCTGAACCTATGCCTACATACTTTGCCTTTTCTCCACTTACCATGGATAAACAATTCCTACTAAGAGATAACGTCACCTCTAACTAGTGCATCAGGCCCTCTGCCTTGTCACCAAAGAACTCCTATCAACTTGATCATTCATGTTATCATACAAATGAATAACAGTTTCTCTATCTTAAAAAATATCCCCCAAGCTCTTCTCATTCCTGTTGAGGTCAGTTTCCTTTTCTCTGTAGCAAAACTCCTCCAATGAATTATCTATATTCTCTCTCTTCAATTGCTTTATTCTCATTCTCTTTGAACTCTTTCCAATTAGGCATCTAACTCCATAACTCCACGAAAACTGCTTTGGCTCAAGATACCAAGGACATGTATGTTTCTAAATTCAGTGAACAATTCTCAGCCTTCATCTTACCTGAGTACTCCATTGCATTTGACAGAGTGGATTCCTACCTCCTGCTAGAAACACCTTTCTTTAATTAGCTTCCAGGATAATATAGGCCTCTGGTTTTTCAAACCACTCTTTTTCTTGTTCGTTCCAATTCCTTACCTTTAAATGTTCGAATGCATCAGGGCTCAGTCTTGAAGAATTTTTTTCTTTTTTTTTTTTTGAGACGGAGTCTGGCTCTTTCGCCCAGGCTGGAGTGCAGTGGCGCGATCTCGGCTCACTGCAAGCTCCACCTCCTGGGTTCATGCCATTCTCCTGCCTCAGCCTCCTGAGTAGCTGGGACTACAGGCGCCCGCCACCACGCCTGGCTAAATTTTTGTATTTTTTTTTAGTAGAGACGGGGTTTCACTGTGTTAGCCAGGATGGTCTGGATCTCCTGACCTCGTGATCCGCCCGCCTCGGCCTCCCAAACTGAGAAAAAAAAAACTGTGGCCAGATTTCTATGGTGATTTTCCTTAAACATCACATGACTTTTAAAACGATCTGTAACACTGATGTCTTCCAACTTTACATCTTAAACTCTGCCCCCGTCCCTTATCCCAGCTTCCCACTCACTATAGGCACTTAATACCTAGCAGATACCTCAAAATCACCATGTCTAAAGCTGAGCTATTGACCTCTCCCCTAAACTGTGTTCTTCTAGCAGTTTTCCCCAATTTAGTAAATGGTAGCTTCATTATTCCAATTGTTCACACCCACAACTTTTGTCACAATATAATTTTTAAAAAACAAAGGATTATGACTCTTATACAAATGTAAAGTGAGCATGTGTCAAAAATGTGTTAGTTCGCATGCAGGGGAGCCAGCAGAGTAGAAAAGTTGATTTAAAAAAATCAAAGGACTCAAAAAAGATAAAGCCGATTCAAAGGAGAAACGGACCTTATGGAGTCATCCAGGAACGCAAGCAAAGTAAGTTTGCTAAGTTAGAGAACAAAGGGGTTGATGAACTTCAGGAAAATAACACTGTTGAGATTATCTTCTCTACTGGATGAAAAATATTTTCATCTCTACTGGGCAAAAGTTTCCAAGCGAACATACAACTCCACATAAAACTTCACAGTAGTGAAGTTATTTCACAATAGTAAATATTAAGTCAACATGGGTGCATGTCTTAGAGAATTAAATCATCCTTGCCAGTGCCTGTGAGACAATGTTCCAATACAAAAAGACACGCTGTCATCCTTTTGTCTTATTTCCAAGCTGCGGATATTTCCTAACATCTTGAGTCATCCTTGAATTCTGTCTTATTTTCACACTTTTTATTATCAAATCTTGCTGACTCTCACTTCAATATATAGTCTGAATCTTATCACTCTCACTACCTTTGATAAAATTTATATTTTACAGTAGACATTCTTGTTCTTTAAATATAGTTAACAAATTACTGATTTTAAAAAATAATCTGAAAAACTCCCCAATCTGTAGCAAAATTTTAATTTAAGTATTGGATATTCAGTTTTCCCAACCTTTTTTCATTATTTCTATGTTACAGTACTTTCCTTTATAAATGTAGGTCAAATGAAAATCATGTTTCCTCTGCTTTCTCTAAAGGTAGTCATGTTAAATAGGTAGAAAATAATGAATCCTTAGGTTATCTGTGGCAGCCTAAGGATATTACCCTGGTCCAAACAACTATCATTTCTTGCCTAAATTGTTGACATTCCTCCTTTCTGGCCTTATATCTAGTTTCAAAAAAGCAGAATTAAAGAATAAGTCACATCATGACCCTTCTCTTGTTAAGATCAAATAAGTTTACATGACACTCTCTTGCTCCCACACAATAAAAATAAATAGTCCTTCTAGTGGCCTCCAAGGCTGTACTTTTACCTCTCTCCAAACCTATTGGTTCTCTGAGTTCATCTCCTACAATACTGTCTCTCCCACAGTGGTTGGCCCACAGGGGCCGCCTTGCTGTTTTGTGAGCACACATAACATGTTTCCACCTCATGGTCTTATTTGTTCCCCCTGCTGGAAATCTTCTCCCAGATACTCTCCTGGTTCGCTGCCTACCTCCAGCAGCTCTTGCTCCAATACCACTTTCTGAGTGAGGCCTTCCGTGACCACCCTACTAAAAATTCAATCCATTCTCAGAATAGTTCTCTCTGAACACTCACTTTACCTCTTTTCCGCCTTGTCCATAGCACTTACTACCCTCTGACACATATATTAATTATCAAGGGCAAGCGTTTTTGTCTATCTTGTTCACCAATGTTTCCCCAAAGACTTACAACACTACCTGGCACATGAAAGTCATTCTAATATTTTTGAATAAATAAAAAGTATTAATTTCTTATCTATTCCTGTTATAATTTATTTTCTTCCTAGGTGGTTCATGTTAACTTTAAAATGAAGCCATTGGTTATTACTGATTTCTATCCTAAGATTGTTTCTTAGGTTTACTGGCTTGGCCCTAGGCTTACAGGCTTGGCCCTAGGGAGGACACAAGGAACATCAGACACAAGGGTTTGCAATGTAGTTAGGGATATAACTACATTACATCTATATATATCTATATAAGATGATAGAAGACTAGCAGATAAAAAGTTAGATGCTAACAAATGATATAAGTGAGTATCATTTCAAACCAAAAGTTTGATGAACTATCACGAGACAAAAATACTTCATGATCAAAGTAACTTGCTTTCTGAGTCTCACACTTAGATACTATAGAATCAAAAGTTTGCAGATGATAACATATTTCTCAAAATAGAAGAAAGAAATGCATTTAAATATATAATAAATATATAATATATAAATAAAAATATATAAAGTAATGATGAAACTTACAAGAGGTCACTAAATGACATGCTTTTGTAAAAAGCAACTGAGAAACTCATTGTGAGATGCAAATGTAAAGTGAGAAATATTATGTTCCTAGTTCCTGAGCATTTATGTGATGTCATTGGGAAGACCTATTTGGGAGCAGGAGACTGGCCATTTTGTTCACAATATTTTCTTCAATGCTCTCACATTTCTCCTGTTTAGGATTTGTATGTGTACTGAATTCCTTGTTCTGCTCATTGTTTTTTGTCCTTTTTTTCCCCATTCTCTCTCCTCCCCTATACACACACAGACAGACAGACACACACACACACACACACACAAACACACACACAACTTCTTCTGATTGCATTTAATGGAGTAATCCAGTCCTCCTGTAGTTCTGATCATAGAACTAGAGGCTCGTTCACTAAATAAGTGAGCTTTGATTCAAACAAGTCTTCTTTCAATGATTTGCCTTTTTTGGTTTTCCAATCTTGTCACAAAAAAAATATTTAAAATATATCTGCGTTGCCCCTCTCACCATAATCTAAGCACCTCAAAATTGTACCTAGATAAGTTGGATATCCCAATATAACCAGTACTCGCTCTGAAAGGAATGTGCTTTGCTTAAGGAAAATGTTTATACTTCATTCCCTGGCTTCTTCCAAAAAAGGTTTTAAGCTACTTAGGTAAATGGAGAACAATGAAAGCAGCTTTATCTGCACAGAGTGTTTAATTTCTTTTGAAAGTAACAGTGCTAACCTTTCTGCAGTGTATTAGTTGATACTACAGAGAAAATGCCATTTGTGCTGAGAAGCTGCCAAATATAGCCAAAGTCAAAAGATAAATATAATGTACTTATTAAGGCTGTGTTCTCCTCCCATTTTGAAGTTTTTTTTTTCTGCCCTTAGGGCAGGCACCAAGCTGTCTCTGTTTGATGCAGTACTAACTTTATCAGTCATGTTAAATATATAGAAAATAATGAATCCTTAGGTTATCTGTGGCAGCCAGAAGACATGTTCCCTGTCAAAACTGATTTTAAGCAACAATTAGAGACAAAATTTCTTTTTGAATAACCAAATCTTTAAAATTTATGTTTTACAATAGACATTCTTGTTCTTTAAATATAGTTAACAAATTACTGATTTTAAAAAATAATCTGAAAATCTCCCCAATCTGTAGCAAAATTTTGATTTAAGTATTGGATATTCAGTTTTCCCAACCTTTTTTCATTATTTCTATGTTATAGTACTTTCCTTTATAAATGTAGGTCAAATGAAAATCATGTTTCCTTTGCTTTCTCCAAAGTCATTCTTAATTTCTTTTCCTTTTTGTCTGAGCTATTTCTGCTTCCCTTGATGCTTAATGTTCCAAAGTAGTTGAGGAATGTCAAAATATATTGCCCTAGATATGTACATTGCTAACTATTATTGTGCCCTGTCATCAAAGTTCTTTTAATTCTAGGAAGAAATTATATAAATCTTCAGAATAATTTATTGATACTAGCTTCAAATATACTCAACGTGTTAATAACAATAATCAATTCATTTTGTTATGTATTTTATTTTTCTCAAAAGTATAAATTTTTGTTTTGGAGAAGTTATTCCTTTACATGTGTAATGAAGATCTGGAACCTTCTTTGTAATACTGCTTTCTAGGGTCATAATCACAGGTTTCCTTGTAACCTATGTCATTAATAATAGTATTATTAGCACCAAAAATTATTAATAATAATAACCACAACAAACTATTATTTACTATGTGCTGATTGCTGCTACATCTTTTATGTGCATTATCTCATTTAATTGTTTGGAGGTACTAACATTAAATTCTTAACAGATGAGAAATATGAAGCTTGGGAGATATTATACTTGCTCTAGGTAACAATGAAAGTAGGTGGCACTGCCAATAAAAGTGGAGGAATAGGGATATAAACACAAGTCTATCACACAACATTTCTTGAGCAAAGAACTGTGTTGGATGATGTCATTTAATTCTTTTACAAATCTTAGGAGATAAGTATAACTTTATACCAATTTTATAGATGAAGAAATAATGACAGTTAAGTATATTTGCTCACTAATGTAGTTTGGATATTTGTCCCCTCAAAATCTCATGTTGAAATGTATTCCCAATGTTAGAGGTGTAACCTAGTGAGAGGTATTTGAGTCATGGGGGCAGATCTCTCATGACTGGCTGATGACGCTCCCATGGTAAGGAGTAAGTTCTCACTCTATTAGTTCATAGGAAATCTGGTTGTTAAAAAGAGCCTGGCACTACCTCCTCTCCCTCTTGCTCCCTATCTTGTCATGTGACACACTGACTCCCCTTCCCCTTCTGCCATAAAGGACTCAGCCTGAAGCCCTCACCAGAAGCTGATGTTGGTTCGTGGTTCTTGTACAGCCCACAGAACTGTGAGCCAAATAAGCCTCTTTTCTTTATAATTACCCAGACTCACGTATTCCTTTACAGTAATGCAAAATGGACTAACACACTCCCAATTACATACCCATCAAGTAACTCACTCTGTATTTATTGAATGACTCAGTAAACAAAATACTTTTTGAATGGCTATTATGTCATTGAAAATGGTACTAGATTCTGAGTTTATAAAGATAACACATATATATTCACTGTCCTATAGGGATTTACTGCCTAAAGAGAAACAAACCATTTCAGTATGGTGCTTAATAGAGGAGATATCCACAGTGGCCTATGAGAAGCCACTGGAGAGGAGTATCCTAATTCAGATAGGGCATGAGATGGCTTGGAGAAAGAATGGTTTCTGAGAAGAAATGCTGCTTGAACTGCAACTTGAAGAATAAATAAGAATTAGCTAGGTGAAGGGAGGGAAGAGAAAAAGGATATTCTAGAAAGAGGGACAAAAAGCATGTGCAAAGTCTGGAGATGAAAGCTTGACAATTTCTAGGAGTCATCAGAGTAGCCAGCAGAATAATGAGGAGATAGTAGGGAGAGGTGAGGCAGAAGGAATAAGAAGGCATGAGGCCATGGATCTCCTAGGATGCATCTTAAGTTGTTTGGGCTTTTTTATTCTGAAGGCAATAGGAAGCTGTAAAAGTACCCGTAAAACAAAAGATCAGAAAGATTGGTAAATACGAAGATCAAATTGGAGGTGGAAGGCAGGAAGAGGAATAACTTATAAATCCATTGTAGTAAATATCACAACATAATGTCACACTAAATCATTGACTGCAGGAATAAAAGACATTTGCCAGAATCAAAGATATGAAGGTGGTAGAACTGACAATATTTGGTAAATGATAAGCTGAAGGGGCTGAGGGTAAAAGAGGACTTTAGGATGACTTCCAAGTTTCTGGAAACTTTTTATGGTTTCTTGACTTTGTGTAAAGTGCATGTTTATGTGATATAACTAAATCAGCTACATACACTGCCTACTAGCCTATGTGTCATGAAAATTTGAAGTGAATAGATTAACTGTGCGGTTATTATTATCTGAATTGTATTTACTATGGAAGTAGGGTAGCTGAGATGCCAAATAAATTGTTCTAATACCTGAACTAAGTGAATTAGCCAAGGGATGATTCCTTAATTATTCCCACTAAAATTTTTATTTAAAAAATTTGCAAATTCCTGAGTATCTTTTGTATATCTTTCACTACCAAAACTTCTTTTTACTTCAGTGACCAAGCATCATAATCTTATACTGTGAAGGTTGAAAGAAGATTTTTTTTAAATTAAGTTGATCAAAAGAATTTTTAGAAACTGCCAGTTTAGTTGATATATTATTTTTTTCCTTATTCAATCTTTTGTTTCAAAGTTCTGAGATGATGTTTACATAATCTGGGATTAAAAATATGAGTCTGTCTTTCTAAATTGTGTGTTTGTTTGCAGGATGCAGGATACAGGCTTGGAATCTCTTGAGATTTCGCTATTCTATCCTAAACACTAAGGGGCTGTTGAGGACTCATTCTTGATCTAAGAATTCTCTGGGGGTCTTAGGGTTATCCTAGCTCCATCTCAGGCATCATGATTTGTTCTAGGCTACTGTTGAAGCCAGGAGCTGTTCAGAGGGTTGGAGAAAGAAAATTTCAAGATGCAGGTATTAGTGTTCAATGCACTGGGTTTCTGAAAATTACTCATTAGCCCCTTCTGAAAGTCAAAAGCTAGTAAAACTGCAGAGGACAGAGATGTCCTGCCCTTCATGTGGAACTCAGGAGGATATAGGGGTATTCATTTGGCCTATCCTGCCACCTATTCTACTCAACTGTTGCAGTTCTAGTTTAGAACAACTAATTATTTAGTTGTTCATCCCAACTTCAGTTGTTCATCTCAAAGTAGAGCTGCAACAGTTGAGTAGCACAGGTGGCAGGCCAAATGAAAAAGAGGACTGAAAACTGATACTCAAGTCTCCTTATCTATGTGACAAAGAAGAAAGCCAATGAGTGGTGCAGGAAAAGAGCTTAAAGATGAGAGCTAGCATAGCTGCTGGAGGTCCCAGAGGTCCAGGGCTTCTGTATCAGGGGATGAGCAGAAGGTGGCTAAATCTGGGCAATGACAATGGTCATTTCCTGCCTTGCCTGAGCCAATGGAAGAGTGGAGTATCCTGAGGCATGTACACTAGCAAAGAAGCAGTCATGAACCAGGTCCCCCTCTGCCTACATCCAGAGTCTGTGTAAGCCCCTCACCCTCACCCCAGAACCCCCAGAGCTTCATCACCCTAAAGAGAAGAGATAGAAAAAGAAAAGAGGGAAAAGTCCTGAGAGAAATTCTGAAGTGATCGAGTAGTTTCCCAGGAGAAATTCAGTTTAAACCAGAAGTAACTAAATTGTCTTAAAAGAATTCAGTTTTGCACTATCAAACAGAATTGAGGCTTGAGAGCTAAGTGTGGCTATAGAATACCAGTGAGGGTGAACTGTTAGTGGGGTGGTAACTGCAGAATTACTGTCAGGATATGAGTGCTGGCTAAAAATCGATGATTCAGGGCTCATGAATAGTGCAAAGTAGCAGAAAGAGTATCAACTTTAAAACAGACAGATGTGAATCTTCCACTAGATCACCTTGGGTAAATTATTTGGTTTCATTGAGCTTTTGTATCCCACCCACCATAACATGGGCTTAAAAAAAAACCATATTTTTATAGAAATACATGCTTTGTCAAACCAGAGCGAATCAGACTTGCTGTACAGTAAGAAACAGTAGAACATCATTGGCCTGTGTCATAGCTCTGCTCCATGCTTAGCAGGTAACTTTGTCTCCTGTTTCTAATATTTTGAGATGAATTAAGTAAAATGAAAATTATTTCCTAAAAGTGTGAGAAAAATAATGAGTATTAGTACTGGCTCCAAAGTTTTTCTTGTGGATACATATTTTTCAGGTTTTTTCCCTATATAAATGATCTAAGTGGGCTTTATACTTCTTATTAGCCAATTTTAATAATTTATATGTGTTCAGAAAACAATCTATTTTGTGGAAATTTAAAAATTATTTGTAAGCATGTACATATTATGTACATATTCCCTTAAATGTTTTAAATTCCCTTTTCTGCTGTTTGCCTAGTTCCTTTTAAATTTTTCTTTCTTCATTAGACTTCAGAGACTGTGCTGTCACTGCTTTTCTTTGAAAAAAAAAACACTGCATGTGTATTTTTTAATTTTTCTTTGTTTCTGCTTTTTGAATTTTTGCTCTTTATGGTACTTACTCCCTTCTGCTTTCCTTGGGTCTTTTTTTCTCTTTTAAAATTCTTGAATTGGATATTATTTCTACTTATTTTCTCTATTTTAAAATAATAATACTTAAGAATATCAATTACTTATAAATGCTACTTATTTACTCTATTAATAAAGTATTAAAAGCATGAAATGATCTATAACTACATTTTATTGTACTTCTTAGATTTAAGATGTGGCATTCATTTTTGTTAATTTCTAAATAGTTTGTTATTGACCAAATATTTATGTTTTTAAATCTCTAAGCAATTTACTTTTCAAAATATTCTAGTTAGACTTACCTAAAATTTCTACTTTATAAAATAACATTTTGCCACCATATATTTGATCAGTTTTTACTTGTTCCATTGACACTTGAGATGCAATTGTATTTTTGTTGCTAAAACAACATCATTTTTAAAATTATAACTTACTAATTCTGTTTTATTAATAATAATAGAGGTTTTCTCTATGTTTTGATTTATGTATTTTATTTGATTTTTATGGGCTGATAATGGATTGTTAAAATATTACTATTGTCTGCATATATATTTCTCTTTTTTATTTTTAGAAGTGGATTTTTAAATATATTTTAATGCTATATTATTTACCTATAAGAGTGGATCTATTAGGTTTTCAGTTTAGATGTTGCTTTTTAACATAAAAAATGGCCTTTTATTATACCACATGCTTGACTTTGGTTAACATTAATATTGTTGTTTCTGTTTTATTTGGAGAGTGTAATTATTTGCTGCTATAATTCTTGAATATTTATGATCATCTTTTCAAATCATACTGAGTGTTTTTCCTTTAATGAGTTTTCTCCATGCATAATCTAACTCATTATTCATTAAAGAACAAAAAATGCTATCATGAATACAAGCTTATTAAATGTTTCCCCTGCTTTTCACATGCTGTATTATTAAACATGCCATATCTGAATACATCTAAACCATCCCAATTTCAGCACTTTTCAGCTGTTTTCTTGTCAAAAGCCTGCTTCTTAATTTTGATTTATTATAAGATTAATATTGGGGAGAATAGTTAAATTAAAAGCATTTACTAGCAGAAGGCCTTTGGTTCTTTGACAATTTTCTTCTTGGCCTTGAAGTAAAATAGCCTTAATGACAAGAATTCTTACTGTTTTCTTTTCATCCATGTATGAAAAATGATCATTCCGGAAGCTAAAAAACACTTAGTCCTTCGAAATAAAAAGAAGTAAGCACCCATGAAAGAAGAGAGATGCCCTAGAAAAACAGGAGGATTAGAATGGGAGTGCCCTGCTTTTTATTTCCCATCTGCTTTCAAATGTGTGGATCACCCTTTGAGGTCTGCATAAAATAAAGCAAGTGGATGAGGGCAGAAGTTCATTCTTGGTTAGAAAACCTTTATTATACTTGTCAGCAAGAGCTGCAATCAGGCTTATCATTGAGAAAGACGTTTTCTTATACTTATTCCCAGATCGCGATTATCCAAATAGATATCTTCTTTTCAAATTTGAGATCAGTATAATGTAATTTTTGAGTTCCAAATCAATAGTCTTTCTGTTATTTCCCTTTCCCACCCAAATTGGAAGAAAAATGATATAGATCTCCCTTAACCAATTTATTTATGGAAGGTGTTCACTGTACACACTACATGCTTTGGTTTAATTCTTAATGGGTTTCATATTTACTGTAGCTTCACTCTCAGGTAAGCTAGAGGTTAAAGTTTTCTAACATAAAGATGAAAAAGCATTGACTCATTCTAATATGTCATGTCTTTTTAGCTTGTAGATCTTTACTTTTGACCCTTAGTGACTCTCTTGTCAGAATAGTCCTACCTCATCCAGAAGACAACTAATGAGTGATGATTTTCCTAAGTGGCCACACAGGGAACAAGTTTATTAGTAAATATCCACATTTTAAAAATATGGCTAGTTTTACTTATATTCATTACATTCTAACTGCTTAAAAAACATCCTTTTAGATCCTTGTCCTAAGTTTTATTTTTTGCCTTCTGCTTTTTTAGGGGAATACATTTTCTTATATTTAATTTCAGTAGCTTCTAATTACCTACAGTTGGTCATTTCTCAGGGCTCTTTCAGAGCTGAACAATGGGTAAAGGAAAACATTCCTATCATTAGTGAAGCCCTATGTATACACAGGGGTCACAAAATGATAGAGTGAGCTTCAAAGAGTAGACATAGGTCACACATATAATGAGATGGTGGCAAGAAAACAGTTAACGACAACAACAACAACATTACATTGAAAATCTAAAACATACAGCTAAAAACATTTCAAAGATCTGGAGAATATACCAGTTCAGAGAAAACACTCCTGATACAGACATATTGTGCTTGTTACAGAAGTGATAAAAGAGCTTATGTAGCTATATTTCGGGTTTGTTGGCTACGAATATCCACTTGTCTCAGATTGCACAGTTGCTAGAAATGTGATGTTAATTAGGCCAAGGTCACAGGTTTAATTCCTATGTGAGTTGGTTATTCAGTGTGACTGGTTGGATCAGGCATAGCAGTAGGAATCTTTCCAAAGGCATGGCTTCCAGTACCATGTCTGTATTTATTAGACAAGTGACTCTGGAGAGATCTGTTAAATTCTCTGAGCTTCAGTTTCATCATCTATAACATAAAGGTCATAGCCTCTTTCCTTTCTATCTCAAAGGATTGTGAAGGAACAGGGAGATGTTATTGTTGAATGATCTCTTAAAAACTAGAAAGTATGATCCAAATGTAAATTATATTACTACAATTCCAGTCATACATTGTAATGTCTATTATCCTGCAAATCATGCCTCTCATTTGCAAGGATGACCAACCATCTCAGTTAACCCTAAGTAGTGAGAATCCTTTGTTCCTGGGAAATGCCTAAGTTCTGGCCAAACTGGGACTGTTGATCACCTATAATGAGTAGGAGACAAGAGTTCACAGCATACCTAATTCTCAGCTCAGTGGTGGTTTCCCTCCTGAACGCATGTTCATTAATAAGTTTACCATAACTTTTAGAACATCTACAGTGCAACAGCACTTTGTGAGACATTTAATATATAATAGGAAACAAAACAAATTGGGTTTCTTCCTCAGAGAAAAGTAATTCTATTCTAGCAGGGACACATCAACAAATAAGAATATAATGGCATGTTGGGAGAAAGGTATCCAAGATAAAAAAAAAAAAGAGCAGATTTCTTTGAGAGAAAATAGAAGGGGAGAACATCTTTATGGAATAAAGGGATACGACATAAATTAAAACTGAGGCCTAAAGGATTTTAAAAAGCCAACTGAAGGACACTGCAATGTATGCATGTGGTGGTGGCAGAGTGAACTCATAGAGGAGGGAAGGGTAGAACATATATATGCTAGATTATCTTTTTCAGTTTTGCATTCTTGGCATAGCACAATACCTGTCATAAAGTAGGTAGGTGTCCAAGGACAAATTGAATGAATGAATAAATAAATGTGCCCAAGAGTACACTCTCAATACATGGTAATTAACTCTAGAGTTTCAATCCCTCTCACCCCTTTTATGGGAGAGATTTTCTGGGACAAAGTGGTCTTCCTGCCAATCATTATGTCACACTGAGAGGATGTCTTTTGCCTCTACTATCCTTTAACACTGTGTGATCCAGGGATTGGGGCACACTACCCAATGCCATCTCTGTTGGCTGTCTGTGTATGCCATGAAGGCCTGTGCCTGATGTCTCATAGGCTACTAAAATTAGAAACCTTAGGGGAATTTGGCTGCCTTTTAATTGTATTTATTTTAAAGAATGAACAGATTTTGTAGATACATACTTGGAAGTGCTACAAATGATGTTATTCTCCGGTTTCTCTACCACTCCCCACCCCCATTTATCTCTACACTAAAACCTTTAGCTTTTCTGCCTACAAGTTTGGTTTCTGGTCTATCATGAAGCATTTTGCTTTTGTAATTAAAGAAAAAAATTGCTCCTAAATGTTTCTATCTGCCTTGAAGTCTTTCTGTTAATCACACCATGTTCAATTACTCCATGTCCTTCATTGCCAGGTTCATTTCTATTCTTCCATGAACTCTTTAAGTGTTTGTCATTGCTTTCTGCCTTGAGTTTTCTAAATGTTCTTTTTGTTTCTTTCTTTTGGTAACAATTACTATTTAAAAACCTCATTAGATATGGTTACTTATGCACATGGCTATGCTAGTTTGTAATCACCTCAAGAACATGATCAATATTTGTTTTTTCTTTTTTTTCCTTTTTCTTTTTTTTTTTGAGACGGAGTCTGGCTCTGTCACCCAGGCTGGAGTGCAGTGGCACGATCGCGGCTCACTGTAAGTTCTGCCTCCTGGGTTCACGCCATTCTCCTGCCTCGCCTCCCGAGCAGCTGGGACTACAGGTGCCCACCACCATGCCTGGCTAATTTTTTTTTTTTTTTTTTTTTTTTTTTTTTGTAATTTTTAGTAGAGACAGGGTTTCACTGTATCAGCCAGGATGGTCTCAATCTCCTGACCTCGTGATCTGCCCGCCTCGGCCTCCCAAATTGCTGGGATTACAGACGTGAGCCACCGCGCCCTGCCCCCTGTTTTTTCTTTAAATTAAGCCTCCTTCTCTCCCTCTTCTCTCTCATCCCTAGCTATGCCATGCATGTGGTGGTACTAAATAAATAAATATTTATTCAATGAAAAAAATGCTTTTAGGTGATACAAACAAACATGGAAATATTTTGAGAATAATTGGAGCAGAGAATTGAAGTTTGGGGGAAAAAAGAGGGTGAGCTCTAACTGGGTAAAAAGTGTAAGTGGACATTTTTGCAGTGTGACATCTAGCAAGATAAAGATAATTAATTAGGCAAAGTGGATAAACCAGCACTCTCACTTATCAAAGAAGGGTGCAACGGGTCTTGTATAAGAGGAGTCGTCATCAGGTCAAAATGTTCCAATATGTTCTGGGGTGTTCTTGTTTGAAGTCATCAGTCTTGGAGATAAAACTGGCAAATCCTACATTTAAAGAAAAAGGCAGGGTTATTGCAAGCTATGTTGTGTTTCTCTTGAGGCTGCCTCCCCAAATGGACTAGCACCTGAAGAAGCTCAATTATTCTGTGCACGATGGTAATCCCTTATTCTTGGAGGATAGTTGCCAAGACCCCCAGTGAATGCCTGAAACCGTGGTTGGTATCAAACTCTATATACAGATTTTTCCTACTGATAAATACCCATGATAAAGTTTGGTGTATAAATTAAGCACAGTAAGATATTAACAACAATAACTAATAACAAAATAGAACAAACATAACAATATACTGTACTAAAAGTTATGTGAATGGGGTCTCTCTTTCTCTCCCTCTTTCTCTCCCTCTCTCTTTCTCTCTCTCTCTCTCAAAATATGGTACTGTACTCACCTATTTTCTGACTGCAGTTGACCACAGGTAACTGAAATCTTGGAAGGCAAAACCACAAATAAGGGCAACTACTGTATTCAAGCGCCACCAATAGTAATCAGAAGGGTGGAATTAACAAAATCATAGGTTTTAAAATCATGATGTCAGCATATAGGTTACTTTATCTAATTTGATTGTTCATCTAATCATATCAATTACCATAATCCAATCAGATGACTGTATCTAATAGATTGGGAGATCCTATTTTAGTTTTGCATTTATAGATTGGATGAAATGATGGAGTAAATCTTTGTTTGGATTACTAAACTGATAGGTGAATAGGACAGGTGAATAGGACAGCCACTTTGAGAGCTACAGTATGACCTACACCCTCTCCAGGCCCCCAGATCTCTCTGCTATCATAGGATGAGCACTTTTCACTGTATTGAAGTCTAATGGAGGAATTTTCCTTTCTACAATATATACTTTTCTAATGTTTGATTTTTAAAATAATACATATGCATTCCACTTTTTGTACATTTCTGGAAATAATCATATCTTACATGTTTTAAATGTTACAGTAAATATTGAGCAATTAATGTGCGTGTGTCATTTTAAGAAGAAAAAATAGAATTTTTTTTTTTTTTTTTTTTTTTTTGAGACAGAGTCTCACTCTGTCACCCAGGCTGGAGTGCAGTGGCGTGCTATCTCGGCTCACTGCAAGCTCCGCCTCCCGGGTTCACACCATTCTGCCTCAGCTTCCCGAGTAGCTGGGACTACAGGCGCCCGCCGCCACGCCCGGCTAATTTTTTAAATATTTTTAGTAGAGACGGGGTTTCACCGTGTTAGCCAGGAGATACCAATCGATCTGCTGATCTCGTAATCTGCCCACCTCGGCCTCCCAAAGTGCTGGGATTACAGGCGTGAGCCACTGCACCTGGCAAAAATAGAAAATGTTTTAAAGAAAGGAGCTCATTATCAGAAAATAATTATGTAGAAAAACCTAGATTCTCAATTTTTTAAATCATCTATTACTCCTTCCTCCTTTTGTAGACACCACATTTAGAAAAAGCCTGGACACTACCAGATAATAAAGTGTTTTTTCATTTTTTAATTAATTTTACATACATGAATCAGAAATTCTGGTAAGCATGAAATATCTAGAGTTACCATTAAATTGCCACAATCCCTGCCAATTGCAAGAAACAGTCTTATTTATAACACATATTATTTTTCAATAAGTGTTTGTTAAATCAAATGTCAGGATAGAAAAATAGTAAGATTGCTAAAAATGTGTTGATAGAAACAGTGTTAGTGTAATTTCTCTTAAAGAACCATTCTATCCAAGCAGCCATTTTAATTTAAACAGTACTCTTATTTTAATTTTATTTCAGAGTCCACAGCAACCAGTTGTATTTTTCTATGAACTAAAGACACAATGTGTATCCCACTTATTTTTTCATACTTAGCTATATAGTGCTTTGTAAATAATTCATGCTTCTTTATGAATGTATGTATGGTTGATTCATTTGTTTTTCTACTTATTTTATCCATCCAAAAATCCTTCAGTGGTGGGCATGGCATTAGCACAGAAGGGTCAGTAGAATAAGACTCAGCATATCCTATAGAAAAATAAGACACAGACTTGTCCTAGAGGGACTCAAAGTTTAGTAGGGTTCATGGTCCCTGAAATACAGTAGATCACGGTCTCACACTGTCATCCAGGCAGTAATGCAGTGGCAATCTCCACCTCCCAGCCTCAAGCGATCCTCCCACCTCAGTCTCCTAAGTAGCAGGGACTACAGGCGTGTACCACGACAGCCAGCTGATTTTTGTATTTTTTATAGAGATGAGGTTTCGCCATACTGCCCAGGTTGGTCTTGAACTTCTGGGCTCAAGAGATCCTCCCACCTCAGCCTCCCAATGTGTTGGGATTACAGGCATGAACCACCGTGCTCTGCCAAGCATTGCAGATATTAACTTACATAAGGCTAACAACTTTAATATGATAAACTTTTATTTATTTGCTTTTCCTTCTCAAGACTTGTTCCCGTAGCTTTTCCTTCTCAAGACTTGTTCCCGTAGCTTTTCCTTCTCAAGACTTGTTCCCGTAAGTAGTTAAGATAAAAATGAGATTAAACAGAAACATTAAGTATCCTCTACTTGGACCTATCACAGAGTGCTCATTTATTAAAAAAAATAGTTAGATTCTGGTAAATATTAAACATATTAGCCTAATCAGCTACCTCTTACTCTAGTAAATAATTAACACTTCTCTTCACGCTTACAGAAGGAAATGCCATAGCTCCTCTTGCTTGTAGAAAATCAATCTTCCATTGAGGAAGTGCCTTTTTAAAGTAAAACACTGCTTGTATTTGAATGAAGTGGGGACATCTTAAAGGAAACCTATTGCAGATTGGTTAAGGACTTGTGCTTTTCAGTCAAGACTTAATAACTATATATGTAGGCCCAAATAACAAATTGAGGGCACAAAAGGGATACCAAGTTCCCAAACTCTTAAAGCCATTTAGGATGTCAAGTTCTGAGAACAAATGTAATTTCAGGTCATTGTTAAAAACCCAAGAGTGGCATTCTTTCATTTAGCACTTCCCTTACCTGTTTTAACTCCTCAACTTTGTGAACCTCCTTCATTTATTGGCTCTTTTATCCCAGCCTAAACTGTTGTGTTCAGGGGTATATGTATATATGTATGTGTGTATACATATATAAACATAAATAATTGTATATTTAAATATATTCAAATTTTAAATGACTTCTTGTCTCTTTCTATAACCAGATCTCTCTAATTTTCCTCCAGAATACCTAATCTAGACTTGGAAATTAATTAATCGCAGTTAAAATAATTTGTGCAAGACATAATGCTTAGAGTACAACATGGATTCTTCTTACATAACCATCACAACTACTCTGTGTGGGTTGAGACAGTATATTCTCATTTACAGATGGAAAAAATGGACTAGCCCAAGGTTTTAGAGGAAATCTATGATAGTGCTGATGATCTGAAATCTATTGCCATTGCTCACTTTAGCTGACAGTACTTGAAAGACAAACCTTTGTTTGCTTTATAAAATGTATTCAATCTGAGAAAACTGATTGCAAAAAGGGTAAAAAGTAAAAATGGAAATAAATTTAAAGTGTGTCTAATTATTGGCACTTTGGTACTGTTTCTTTATATATCAAGCTATTACATGCTACACCTTCTGGCTAGAATGCTCTTCACTCCCAGTACTTTACTAGGCTAAATTTCTTACTAATTTTTCAAGTCTCAACTCAGGATTGCTTCCCTGAAGAAGATATGTGTGGCAGCCAAACTGCGTCAATTTCTTCCATAACACCTTGCACATAGCTGTTTCTTAAGTACTTTTAACTGAGGAAGAATTGGATATTGATTTCTTGTACGGTCAGCTCCTAACATAGACCTGTCATAGAATAAATATTTGTTGAATGAATGCATGATTGAGTTCCCTACATATCAAGTTGTTTTGAAATAGATTAGAATTATATGTCAGGTATGCAAAGTGTTGCAGCAACAGATGAAGGAGCGAGAACATACTATACAGCAAAAAGGACAGAGCTGATGCATGAGGCAAAATAGTTTGAAGAGATCAAATATGTTCATAGAAAAAAAAAAGCATATATTTAGAAAGCAAAAAAAGCCCAAGAAAGACAATTGAACATGTAATTGCTGACAGTATGCAGAGTAAAATGGAGACAAAGATGAAGTTAAACTGAAGATATTTCCTGGAGAAAGTTCTGAATCCCCAAATTCCCCCTTCTTATACAACCAGGTGTTTTGGAACGAACGTTGATTGTAGAGTTAAATTGTGTTCTTAACCCGTTCTGCAGCCAGAAGCAGATGGGATATTGTATCTTTTTTAGTAGTATGGAAATGACTATAAATATGCTAAACATTAGTTCACCAACTGCTTATTTTCTTACTTCATTAGAGAAGAAAATTACCCCATTTGTAGAATGTTTCATTTCCTTTTCCACAGAGCTGATCACTAAAGCGTAGGTCTTACTGACATGGAAATTATTTCGGAACAATAAGAAGAAAGCTACATAGCACATTATCTAAATTATTGAATTCTTACAAAATCAAGGTAGAGGTCAGAAGTAGGATGGAATCTTTTTCCAGCTGTTTAGGAAGACGTATTATTAAGGTTTTTATACAATGGTATTATGAGAAGATGTTAGGCCATAAAAAGTGACCTGGGCTCGATCTTCTTTATCTTCTCTATCTTGGACTCTATCATGAGGACACTGCACAAAGTGATCTTGAAGGTCACCCTCACTTGTAAAATCTATGCACTATCCTGCTTTTTGATATATCTTCCTCCAATTACTTGTCCTTTAGTTATTTTGTTGATCATCAATGATCAACATCTATGATGGCCTAACACTTCCTAATCATTTAATTTGAATTCTTGTTAGCAGTTCCTGGGTGGGAATAGTTAAAAGAATAGGCTTTGGAAAGGTTGAATAGTACATTCACTGGAATTTGCCAGTTTACCAACTATATGAACTCAGTTAAGTTTCTCAACTTCTACTAGCCCAGATTTCCTCATTTGTACGTTGGGGTTAATGATAGAACCATGCTCATAGGGTTGTGGTAAGTATTAAATGACATAATGCATGTAAAGTAGTACACATTTATTGACTAACAATAAGTATTATTTTTGTTAGTTTTGTGGGAAAATATGTTCATAGTTTCAGATATTTGGATTTTTGTGTGTGAATTTCATTTATTTACATGTTCTTTCCTATTATCCCTGAATAAAACAAGAGGTTATTTAAAAAATAAAATTTGGTGGGTCGATGATTATAAGAAACACACATGGAGTCTAAATGCTTTATAAACCCTACAGTGTTATTTTTTTATGCCAAGACCTCAATTAACTTCAGCTGAATACCTGTGAAGTATAAGTCTGTACTAATTATGGATAAAACAATTGGGTATGACACAAACGTGTCATTGACTAAATCATGTTTTCTTCCAGTTGATTCAAATCCCTGGCAGCACATAGCCATAATAACAGGCAGGCATGTTGTTACATTGCTTATAAGGTGATTCCAAGATCTCGGCCATCTGCTTTGAATGGCAAACTGTAGACACTCTCATAAATTAATGTGTGAACTTTGTTGCTTGGCTAAATTATGTTTATCCTGAACTGTATCTGTAGCTTCTTTGTGCCTTGCAATTTTTTTTCTGTGGAGATGGTTTGTATTAGTGATGTAATGCTGCAAAAGAAATTCTTCTAGGAGCAAATTATTTGTTGTTTGGTAAAGGCAGTCTATGATCCTGAGACAATTTCATAGACAACATGAGTTTTATGAATTATTTTATTCACAGTTATGATTTCCTAAATAAGGTATAAAATATGAAATCCTGTACAAAGTAGAAAACCAAAGTCACTTGTTCTCTATTTAGTATTAATCTGAGTTTGTTAAGGATTGGAATTAGTATTATGAAAATTCTTTCTATGTATTGGGTACTATATATATATGTTATTTATTATTTACAACTACAACCTTGGCCAGTTAAGTTGCTTACATTTTGAATTTATCGATGTTTATATTGACACTCAAAGAAATTAGGATAACCTATCCAAGATCACACAAGTACATAAGCAAGCATGCATTTGAACCCAGGTTAATTTTATTCTAGAATATGTGTTTCCAATATACTACAATGGCATGTTGTGGTATATTCGTGTTTCCATTATACCACAATGGCAAGTATTATGCACTCATGGAGGTCTATCATGGTCCCTGAAATCCAGACTTCCTGTAAGTGTAAATTTTACAGTATGTAAATTATGCATTTACATCCTCTAAAATGCATATGTAAAGTATAATAAAAATATACAAAAAAAGCATATGTATTAAATAACTCTGTAATATAGGGTTAAACACATAAAATAATCCTACAATAAATTTTCGAAGAAAGAATGTAAGGAAAATCTGTGAAAAGAGATGTTTGATTCAAAAGTAGATAGCAGATTCAAAGTGGATCAAATGATGCTGATTAAGTGAAGAGACTTCTTATTCATTCATTGGATAACTGTCATTCCTTCATTTTCTGCCTTACTCTGTGACAATAATTGAGCTGGGTGCCAGGGGTACCAGAGTAATCAAAAGCTAGAATAGTGCTCATACTGTAATTTCTTAGGATCTTATTGTGGAGATATATTAATAAATAAAATTATGAAATTACATATACTTACTGTGATCTGTGTTTTAATGGAAAAATATGAGGGACTATGAAAATTATAAAATGGAGATGTGGACACATATTTGCTACAAGAGAACCAATTTAAAATCATTATGAAAACACAAAAGAATTTTACCTATCATGTACATTTGAATATTCAAGTTTGTAATGAGGATGTAATAATGATATGGATAAATTCATATAATTGAACTGTTATTTAATCGTTATCGTTAAATACAAATATTTTCCTAATTTCATGTGTGATTTATTAGAATGTTGAGATTATAGATTTTTTTCTCTTTTTTGTTTTCTATTTTTAAAATATATATGTAGTTACATGATATTTTTTAAGTAGATGTAAAATGATCTCACATATTAATACATTTCCTAAGAATTCTGACTGAATTTTGGGAAACACTGTGGGGTGGATGTATGGGTATGTTGGGGGGGTGTAATTAATTTTTTTCTTCCTTGTTTTGGGCTAAATGAACTTTGTACTCCTGATATGCCTGATCTTCAGTTTTGAAGGTAAGGAGCTACAGCTGCAACTTAGCTGCAATGATCTCCTTTCATGGTTTCTGGCTCATCGGCTTGATTAAAAGGAAAATTGAAAACATATCCAACCTTGAATTAACACCTGCAAGATTAGGGCAAGGCTATGGAATTCAAACTTTCAAGGCACTAGCTCATTTCTGCTTTTGCTAAGTAATCAGAGTACAAAATAGAAATGAAAACTATTTCATTGATCATTTATTTACAATCCTATCAACCCAGGTTCAGATGCATTTTTGTGTGATGAGACATTTTCAGTGATATATCTTAAATTATATATGAACATATCTATCTATATATATACACACATACATATGACTGCATGTATATGTATATATATATATTTTAAAGATATTTTTTCTGGAATGACATAAATCTTAAAATATATTTAATTTCCTTATCTCATTAGAAAAGCAATACTGTAACATGTTTACTATAGGAATTTTTTAATGCTATACATAAAAAGGAGACACTAATAACCATCTATAATACCAAGGCATGAAGATAAACCATGTTTCTGTTTTTGTGCATGTCCTTCCAGTATTTATCCTACATATAAATATATATTCTACTATATATATACACACACAATAAATATATATACATGTATTTATTTTATAAGTATAAGGTAATATTTTATGATCTTATTTTCCTACTTACAATGAAATTTTTCAATATTTTTTAATGGCTATTTAACATCCTGCCATATCAGCATCCTATATTGATCAATTAATCCCTTAGGGTTAGACATCCAATTATTTCCACTTTTTTGCTGTTACATACAATGCCATGATAAACATCCTTACAGAGAAATCTTGAAGTCCCAACTTGAAGATGGAGTTTTGATTTAGCTGCATAAATAAGTTACAGAACTACATGGGCTAGAAAAAAAAAATCCCCAAGTCTAATTCCCTTCCCTCTTTCCATATATGCACTCAAACCATCTTCAAACTGGCTTCTAGGGTAGCTTAAAAAATAAGCTGAATTACTTTAAATAATGTGCATGTCAATGGGACCTTAAATGAAAATTATATAACTACTGACTATATAATTTTGATTCTTTTTTTCATATTGTTGCCAGGTGTAACTTAAGTTAAAAAAATACAAATACATTAAAGCCCATTTGCTCTTGAACATTCCATGACTACCTTGAAGTTATTACTACTGTTATACACTAGGTATACTCTATACATTAGAAGATTGCAAAATGAAGACAGAACGTAAGTGATAGAGCCTTTTAGAATGTTACTATTACCGGGGTAATGATAAAGGCTTTATGAATGCTAGCTTCCTCTCTCCTCCAGCAAGTTTGCATTCTCTACTGTCTATATCAGATTTCGTTGGCCAGCATTACTGACTGAAAAATGATAGAATTACTTTTCTTTCGTTGTTATTTTTTATGACTGTGAATATAAATCTATTGTAAATTGCCCAACTAAAAAAGTAACATTGAAGAAGAAAAACAAAGTAAGTTTTTTATGTGTGTGACATTAAAGCACTGAAAGTCGATTAGCAGACTCTGCCTCACTTTGTTTACTCATCCCTCATGGGGTTAATATATAGGGCCAGTGCTAACGAGTTAGTTATATGGCCAAATAACGCCTGCGGCAAGAGAAACGGGAGTTGACGTCCTGACATTTATTTTCAAAATAGCTGAACATTTTCCAGGCACATTTTGTCGGTTCTACTGACAAAAGTTCTTCTGTTAGCCATCTAGACTAAAATTCTTCTCGACATGACATAATTGAGGATCCACCTTAAAACTTTGAAAAATAAAGATCTTTTCAAATTCAGATTGACTTTCTGACTCTCTCTGTTTTTACTTTGTGAAGACACTGAGCTTGAAATGAATGTAGCTCTTTTAGTGAGTATGAAAAAGTTGAAGAGCAAAGATCCTTTAGCAACTGCTGTTGAATAGATTGATATTTTAAAATTTGAAATAAAAGTGACTACATAAAAATGATTGTATTTGTTCATGTCTTACAATTTTAATATTTAATATTTTGTACTGATTAACAGCTGACAGAGAGGGTTATGTAAAAAAAAGGGTCCCAGGTTTTAAGCCTAAGCAACTGACCTTTTAGCTTAGCAAAGCTGTTAAGCATTTTAGATAGTGAACTAGAATAAAGGTTTTTCTGGAAGGGATAGCTTGGGGTGTACATGGGGACATCATAACAGAAAGGTCCAATAAAGTATGCCACAGACGATCAAGGGCCTGCACACTAGGCTGAGAGCCAAAGAAAGTCAATGAAGAAATTGGCATTAAGGAAGTCACATGAGGCTGGGCATAGTAGCTCACACCTATAGTCCCAGCACTTTGGGAGGCCAAGGTGGGAGGATCGCTTGAGCCCAGGAGTTTCAGACTAGCTTGGGCAACATGGCGAGACCCCATCTCCATAAAAACTACAAAAATTAGCTGGGTGTGGTGGTGCATGCCTGTAGTTCCAGCTTCTTGGGAGGCTGAGTGGGGAGGATCCTTTGAACCCAGGAGGTCGAGGCTGCCCTGCACTCCAGCCTGGGTGACAGATTAAGACCCTGTCTCAAAAAAATAAAATAGAAAAGAGAAAGAAGAAAGAAAGAAAGAAAGAAAGAAAGAAAGAAAGAAAGAAAGAAAGAAAGAAAGAAAGAAGGAAAGAAAGAAGAAAGAGAAAAAGAAAGAAAAAGAAAGAAAGAAAGAAAAAGAAAGAAAGAAAGAAGAAAGAAAGAAAGAAAGAAAGAAAGAAAGAAGAAAGAAAGAAAGAAAGAAAGAAAGAAAGAAAGAAAGAAAGAAAGAAAGAAAGAAAGAAAGAAAGAGAAAGAGAAAATTGCATGGTCAAATTGTGAAGAGGGTGGTGGACTGAGGTGATAAAACCTAGAAAGAGAGATAAACTAAAATGTAATTGGAGCATTCTAGGTGAAAAAATAATCAAGGGTCTTATCATAGTTCCAAAAAGAAATAGACAGAATTGAGGGCTATGTAGTTTAATTCTTTTTTGAAAATGAAAAACAGTTGGGATTTGGAGTCTCTTAAGTTAAAATGGATATCTGACCTCGGTTGCATTGTGTAGAATGCAGACCCAATCTACACTGACATTTTGTTTTTAATTATATGACAAAACCTCTTTTTTTATATACCTTTATTCTCTAAATTTACCCATAACCTTTACATTTTTGAAACTTAGAACAGAATTTGGATGATGTATTGTAATCCATCAACTTGTGACGAGATGGAGAAATTATATGTGTATTCTAATCTTTTCCTCACACACTATTTGACCATTTGCTTTCAATATAACTTTAGCATATTTACTTTATATGATTTAGTGAGCCATATGTCTTCACCAGAAGAAAACTAAAACAAAATTAAAATTAAAAATATAATGTAATGACACCCAATTTCATCTTTTTCTGAATTGATTGTAGTGACTTATTATCCTAGTATATTTGACACTGAAAGATATCTGTAGCTGCCTTTAAATTTTTGTGACCCTCTGAATTACTTTCAAAGCAAAGTCTTTTCCTAAGGAAGAACAGATGTGGATCTAGATCTAAATCTAGGTATGTCTTTGAGGAGTTCTCTCTTTGGGCCTCTCCTTCCTAATATCTAGCTCAGAGTAATGTCTCTGGGAAAGAATCAAGCTTGACAATTTCCATGGTGACACCATTCCTTCTCTAAAAACCTTTATGAAAAAAAGTGTCCTTGAAGCCAACTCCATGGTAAGCTTGGAAAAAAACAGAGGCTGAGCTGCTTAAATAATGAAGCAAGGTCATCCTCTGTTTCCTTAGAAAATGTTTTTATTACTCTGAAAGGAACTTTGGAATTGAATCAAAAAATGAATTGCAGCCCCTCCCAGCTTAGAAGTTGTATTTAGATTATCAAAAAGACTTAGCTAGTGTTAGTGAAATTAAAATGGGGAATATGCAGTGCCAGTTCAATATAAAATCTATATAAGTTGCCATAAGTAAATCATATATTAATACTTATTCACATATCTTGTAAGATTTATTTATATTACATATATTATTAGAATAGTGACATTAGAAAGTGATCTAACCTCAATAGTTGTAGAAGAATCAGATGCAGATTTTAGTATGAAATGATTTAATCATGTGTGCATTCTCAAAGTTTTGTTTTCCACATTCTCTCCTTATATTGTCAAAATTTGTTTGACAAGTACATGATAATAAAATACAAAATAAAGTCACAGTAATACTATCAATTTAACTTTTCATTTCTAATTGTACTGTTTGACATGTCATTATAGTTAATTTTTGTCAGACAAATGCACAGATAATAAAATGAATGCACTATTTTATGTTGCTTGTTAATACAAAAAAGTGAATTCATTGGAAAATATTCCAGATAATCAGAAACTAAAATATTGGGGAAAAAAAAACCCAGCTATTTGTAGAATTCTATATTTTCTCTCTCACTCATTCTTTTTCCCTTTTTTTTTCAAATAATTGTTGTCTTCTCAATGAATCTCATATATTACTCCTGCTTTGAAAACTAGCTTTAGGCACATTCCAAAATAATTCTGCACTTAGATAATCATTAACAAATGTTACCCGAGCCTGACCTTTCTGGCCAGACAGCCAGCAAGAGATAATTTTTTTTTTTTTTGAGACAGAGTCTTGCTCTGTCACCCAGGCTGAGTGCAGTGGCGCGATCTCGGCTCACTGCAAGCTCTGCCTCCCGGGTTCATGCCATTCTCCTGCCTCAGCCTCCCGAGTAGCTGGGACTACAGGCGCCCTCCACCATGCCCAGTTAATTTTTTTTTTTGGATTTTTAGTAGAGATAAATGTTTTATGAGACTTCGTCTTTTAAAGAGACTACATCCACCCTCAGGCACCTATACCCCTGGAACCTTTCTTTTTGTACAAACCTGTGTCTTTCTTTGCATTTCAAAATGAAATGATTCATGTTGATTTAAAGATTTTCTAAATGTTGGTACAACTATAGGTTTGATACAGTGAGTCTCTTTTGCCTACCACATATTCCCTAACCCTAAATCTAAAATGTGGATTTGAAATGTTTCCCAACACAGCATGTTGGTGGAAAAGGACATGTACTAGAATTAGTCTTATTCACACAAACTCCCTGGCCAAGTTTTGTGAACCTCAATTATGCCAGAACTGGTCTCTTCCACTAAATTGAGCTCCTAGAGCACACAGGTCATGTCTTTTTTATTTCTTCGGAGTGTGTCTGCTTTGCACAAATTAGGTGCTCAACACAACTTGGCTCTGACTGTCACTGCTGGTGAGTTTTCCTCTTGGCCTTGGTTATTTGTCAGACGATTGCATGGCTGTCTAACTGATTTCCTGGTTTCTAGGCTTTTTCTTTTCCAATTTAACTCACATAGCACTACTAAATTGGATGACTGCATTAATTATGTTATTGGGCTGCTCGGCAGCCCCTCCATTCTTGTTGGAATTTCACCTGATTTTTCACATTTCTTCTTAGACTTTTATGTATTGTTTAAAATTTTTACTACGAGTATGTAGTTTTACTTAGATATAATTAAGAAAAAAGCTGTTTTTATTCTGAAAAGATATTCAGATATTCAAAGGAACAAACACCTACTCTAATAAAATAATTCTGAATATAACAGCATCTTTGGTTTCAAAAGGAACGTCATCAGTCTCTGCACTTGAATCTGCTGCTGTAAATGACCAAATATCAGTCATTGTGGGGAGGAGGAGATACCTTCACAGATACACATAAATATACACACATAAAACTAATAGATGGATTTGTAGAAATGCACCTATATATCCATAACTAGACATGGTCTAAGCGATGTGTACCCCCATGCTGACACTAGTTGTGTTTGTACAATAGGATAATTTAGTGTATTTGCATTTATATAGTTTTCTGAAGTGAGTTCATAGCATTCATTAGAGCAGACAACCAAGCAGTGAAAGAGGTGAGAAGCTGGAGAGGCACAGTGGTCAAACTTAGAGGGCAGAGTGCACATACTCAACAGTTATATGCAGCACAGAGGCAGTTGATTAGACTTAAACAACATTAGTAATAATAATAAGAATAATAGATAGCACTCATTGCATTGTCACTTCCTGACACTGAGGTAAGAGCTTTACATATACATTATATTTTCTAATCTTTCTAGTTATCCTATAAGGCAATATTTTAAGCCCATTTTACAAGTGAGGAAAGTAAAGCTTTGAGAGATTAATCTATTTGCCCATTGAAAGCTATTAATTGGTTGATTTAAAATTCAAACCCTGATCTACCTGAAACCAAAGCTCATGTTCTTAACTACTACATTTGATCAGGTCCCAGTGGTAAAGTGGAAATTGTAGCTTAGGCTATATTTTAGAATTAGAAGGATTCATTAGCTAATTGAATAATTTTGTTTACCTATGTGTTATACAATAATAATTATAAACACATGTTCACTCACCTAAAGGTTTATGTTCTTACGATATTACAGCAACTGTATGAGAGAGAGAATTTGTTTTCCATTTGGATTTAGAAGGGTGAATTTGAAATTCTTGGTCTTTATAATTTTTTATTATCTTGAATCAAAGATACTCTTAAGAAAGGTCTTTCAGGTGATTTATCTTAAAACCTTATTGGCACATCTGCTTACCTTGAGTCTTAAATATGCATATTTCTGTGAAGTACTCAGATATGAGAGACACACCCTTCTCCAGTAACTTTATGGGTTCTGCAGAAAATGATAACATAAACATTGAGTTTAAACATTTACTCTTTCCAATACTTGGAGAATAAAGTGTTCCTATCTTATTGAAAATATTTCAGATGTCACAGGTTTTCTTTCCCTTATCAGATTAGAGAAATCAGATCATATCTCAAATATTATTTATTAGTTGTACCAATATTTAGAAAACCTTTAAATGTGAAAGGAACACAGCTAGAGGTTTCCCAAGCTCATCAGGCTGTTTCAAGCCTTCTACAGCATTTCATACTCTGTCTCCTCTGAATGGAACACCTCTTCTCTTTCACAGTCTTACTCTTCCCTTTAAGGGATTCCTTTTCTCAAGAAATCCTACCTTGATGGTGAACTCCTAAAGATACGTCAGCTTATTCATTCTTCTTTATGTTTCTGGTGCCTTACACAGTGCCTGGCACAAGTAGATTGCAAATAAGTGTTGATTAAATTTTTAACTGAAAACAGTGTAATTGTCCAAGGCACTATATGAGTTCAGAATCCCAAATTCCCCAATATTTCCTAGCATTTGAAACAACATGAGACTAAAATCCAGCAAAGGTAGGAGTTTTTGAGTCAAATAGATGAATGTGTATTCTTTGCTACCTATATAATTTGAGGCAAGTCATTTAAACCATCTTTCTGAATCTACAAACTGGTGTTATTTAAAGCTGTCTAATAGGATTGATGAAAGGGAGTAAAAGAAAGCATGTAAAGTATTTAACACAGAGCTTGGGACATTCTAGATATTTAATAAAATGCTGTGTTGTGCTGTTGCTGTTATTGTTGTTGTCATTTCTATAAGATCATTCTTATCATTATGCTCATCAGTATCTTCATTATCAAACCTTCTCACTATCAGCAATCAGGAAACCCATTGTAAAAGGACCAGAAATGGAAAATGTTAAAGCATGGAGTCTGCCATTCCCTCTGCATGGGGATTTAAGACACATGGAGAGATGCTAAATGGAAGGCACAAAGGAATTGAGAAGTAGAGAGGAGGTATGCCTTGGTGACTGAGAACAATTAATAAGAGCAGGAGGTTGGAAAATGAAAGACACAGTGTAAAATCAGTTAATTGTCTCTTGACGAGAGTCACTTTTACCTGGAAGAAACTAATGAATGTGAGATACAGTCAGAAAGATTAGATTGGAGTAAGACCTCAGAAGGTCTTGTACAGCAGGTTAAAATAATTAGAATCCATTGACATGATGAACAATCATTTAGACAAATGATTTTATTAGTTTTCTATTTCTGCACAGTAACAGAAATAACTTAGTAGCTTAAAACAATACCCATTTATTATCTCACAGTTTTGTAAGACAGAATTCAGCACAGGGTGACTGGATTCTCTGCTCAGGGTCATACAAGGAAAAAGTCAAAGTCATCTTGACCTTTATCTGTCAGTTGGGTTGGGCTCTTGTCTGGAGGGCTTGGAAAAAGAATCTGCTTCCAAGTTCATTTAGGATGTTGGCTGACTTCAATATCTTGCAGCTGTAGGACTAAGGTCTTGTTTCCTTCCTGGCTGTCATCTGGGGTTTACCTTCTGCTCCTGGAAGCCACCCCTATTCCCTCTCTTATAGCTCCCTCCAACTTCCAGGGCAGCAGTAGAGCAATGAGTCCTTCTTGTGCTTCCAGTCTTTTTGACTTCCTGTTCTACCACCATCCTGAGGAAACTCTGTGCTTTAAAGGGTTCATGTAATTAGATTATCCCACTTAGATAATCTTTCCTAATTACATCTCCCAAATCCCTTTTGCCATGTAAGGTAACATAATCACAGGAGTAACAATAGGACACTAAGGACATGGAAGTCATCTGGAATTCTGCTTACCAGCCGTGTGCAGTGGCTCACACCTGTCATCCCAGTACTTTGGAAGGCCAAGGTGGGAAGATCACTTGAGCCCAGGAGTTTAAGACTAGTCTGGACAACATAGAAAGAACTGGTCTCTACAGAATTTTTTTTTTAAATTAGCTGGGCATGGTGGCACACACCTGTAGTCCCAGATACTTAGGGGGCTGAGGTGGGAGGATTGATTGAGCCCAAGAGTTAGAGGCTACAGTGAGCTGTAATCATGCCACTGCAGTGCAGCCGGAGTGATAGAGCAAGATCTTGCCTCTAAAATAAATAAATAAGCAAGTAAATAAATAAATAAATAAATAAAAAGTCTTCTGCTTAGCTTACCACAATGATCCTTGCAATGATGTACAGGATTGTAAAAGAAAGTTCCTAAATGCTTGAGGACCACTCAGGAGCTATTCTGGCAATTTGAGCTGAGGTGTTAAAAAGTTCTAGTTAGCTAGTAATCACAGCTTGCTATGCACTATACCTTGTTTATGATTTTAACTCATAAAATCTTCACAATGGCCTTATGACATAGGTGCTATTATTTTTCTTATTTAACAGTTGAAGAAATTGAAGCTTAATGAGGTTAGGAAATGTGCTCAACTTCATACAACTTGTATTTTGTAGATATGAGGTTTAAGACCAGAAAGACTGACTCCAGAGCCCAGGCTCTCAACCATCATACCAACTGGCCTCCTTTTGTTGAAGGCTGAGGACCATATGGCAAGCATGAAGACAATATGATTGGCACCTTGGTTCTGTTTGAATCGTCCTCATATTACAAATCTCCACTCTGATTTACTTTGTGTATTATTAAACACGCACCATATATTGTTTTTTGCTGGATTTTTTTTTTGATGAAATATAACTCATTCAATTTTCACAGCACTAGAATTTTCCCAAAATTAGAAATAAGAAAACAGAGCTTGGTTACGTATCTTGTATCTTGTTTCAGGTCTCAGAGCTATGGGGTAGCAGATGTAGACTTTGACCTCGAGTTTGCCTAACTTTAAAGGCTTTTTATTACACTGTATGATTAACCTCAGGACATCAGGCACAGCATGTTCAAAGCTCTGAGAAACAGAAATATGTACTAGCTATAAGCATAGAAGCTGATACCACATTAATACTACCTGTATTTGAAGTCCAGTTCTTCTTATTTGTCTATTCTTACTTGGCCTCAGTTTCCTAATTTTTAACAGAAGGATATGACCTGTTTTATGGTGACTCTGTGAAAATTAATGGGTCATTACAGGTAACACTCTCAGAACAGTACCTGGTACATAGTAAATACTAAAAAATTATGAAATATTGGAAAAGTCTGGGAGAAATGCATGGTATAGACAACTATGAATTAGTTTTACCTGTTCTTTGTGTTATTTGCACGTTTTAAAGTTGGTAGTACCAGGCAATAGGGATGGTTAAATGATATAGCATAACAATGTTGCTCAGCGGGGCTATCTAATTAGGCTAGTGGTGAAGAGAAACTTAATTGTGAGTTGAATTTTGAAAACCTGGAGGGCATATAAAAGTAGCAGAAGGTAAGGGGAAAGCACTGTATGTAGGTCACTTGTGAAAACGATCATAGAAGGCAGTTTACGCTCAGGACAAATGAAGTAGACTTTTTTGTTTGGAATGGGGAAGATAGTGAATAGTGTGTCATAATTCTTGTCAGATTGTTAAGGCTGAAGTAATGAATACATTGAAGCAACTTATATCTTTGTATGTATTTGTTCATCTATCCAATTATTTATTCATTTGATAAACACTCCTAGAGCTCCAAAGTACAAGATGCTATTAAAAACACCAAAGTTAATTACACATCTCACCTTTAAAGGACCGATAAGCTAACAGAGGAAACAAAACATGACAATACTTACAACCGAAAGTGGAAAATTGCGTGAGTCATAAGTGAGGCATGGATAAAGTGCTAATGCTGTTCACAGGCCAAAGAGTTTCCTTCAAGCACAGATAAATTGGGAAAAGTTTGTGGGGATGATGGTAAGTATCAAGGAGGGAATTGATGAAGAGATGTTTGAAATAGGAATTGAAAGGTGGCACGGGGTTTTGCCTTGGCCCACCAATGTGTGAACAAACATGGACTTTCATTAGAGAAACAACAGTGACAATGGAGGTTAAAAAGCACATAGGAGAGACATTTGGGGATAGAATTGATAGAAGTTGACAACAACATGCATTTTTGGCATAAAGAGGAAAGAGAAGGAAAAATTAATTTGAGTTTTGGCTTCAATGACTAGGGAGTTGGTAAGATTAGCAGAAACACTGAATACAAGAGTACATTGGTAGGGAAAGAAATGGATTTTTGTTTTGCACAAACTCTATTTTGCTACCGGGTAGCCAAATTTGTCTAGAATGTAAGATAGCCTGGTTGAATGAGTTTTGCTGGCAGAACGTGTAGCTACTGCCTGATGCATGAGAAGAGGAGTCACCTGACCTCTACATTGGCTCTAGACCAGTGGGTTTTCATCTGCGTTCTGTAAGCTCTTCGGTTATGTAGCAGTGCCTCAGAGGTATGACGGCCATGCAGTTAATAAAGGTGAAAGGGGAAACTATTTATAATTACGTCAGAACAACTGGTGTAAACCGGGACTACCCTGGAGCAACGGGGCTCCAGGTTTATACTCTCTTCAGAGGCCACAGGAGGAGGATGGGGATAATGACACAGAGGCAGTTATTCCTGCAGGGATTCAAATCCTCTGCCTCAACCAGAGCTGCTCTTCTTTCATGTTTTCTGTGGGTGTTGGTTCTGCAAAAAACCGTAATTTGAAAAATGGTTTAGATTACCATAAGAAATGTTGAAAACCATTGGCCTAGGCAATAGTTTAAGGTTCACAAATAAAAAGGTGGAAATGCAGGATGTCTGTTTTTCTGGGGGAAAAAAAAGAACAGCTTTTTTTTGTCCCCCTCTAGCTCACAAGGAAAGGAGTGTTAAAATATTGTGGTAGCACATGTCCTTTTTAAATCACAACTATATTTTTAAACAAACCATTTATTGGTGATGCAACTGTAAAAGGTATCTAAAATTATCATGTCTATATTTGATTCATAAAATTGCATGTACAAACAAATGAATAGATTCTTCCAGACTGTTTAAAATTCACTTGTGAGTTGTGACTTTGTAAGCCAGGTTTCATCCTGGATCACGTTTTTTAATATAACGCTGTGAAAATGAACAATTTTAACAATAGCAGCAAATGTGGTGTTATAATCAGTTGCTGAAGAGCATAAGGTTTCCTTTCATAGTTCACTAGTGTTGAAAGGGAAAAAAAAGTGTCCATGTAACATGTGAATGCCCATACAAAGACCTTGAAAAATCCATAATATATAAGAACTAAAAATTCCATAAAAATAAGCAATGAAAAATTATGCTCTAGAAAATTATTAAATTCTGATTTTAAAAACTTTTAATTCCCAGACTTTGTTTTTCCTATATTCAATTTCATTGAAAATCTGAACTTCGCACCGGGAAAAAATGATATTTTCACTTGGGTCATTTTTAAAAGTTTTTAGATTAATTATATTTGTTTGGTGGCATGACAGATGAAGTGCTACAAATAATTTTATTAACTACTTTGGAGTTTTAAGTTGTAATTTTGTGTTTATGTTTAAAGAAAGTCAATTTAAAATTATGATAATAATATTGTATATACTTCTCCTCTTCCTATTTTATCTTTTTCTTATTTGAACATTTACTAAGTTTGGTATATATTTCTTTCTCAAGTCTTTGGTTTTCAAGTGAGGCAAAAAGATAAGTACCATTCCCTCAAATTGAAAGGCTATTTGTGACAGGAATTCATTTCTAGATCCATTTGGTGAAGAGTCTTTTTCTCACAACTCGAATCCATGAGTCGATAATCTCTCAGAAGTATCAGCAGTCACAATGTTATATTTATTTGTTTATAAGACACTACCTAGAGGTTTTAGAGTTAAGACACAGCCCCTGCCCCTAGGATGCACACAATTCTGTGGGAAGACAGAGAAGTTGATAAATAAACAGGCAATTGCATATGATGGTAAGAGTCAGGATAGGCGTAGGCACAAGGTCCCACAGAACAACAAACAGGGCTCTCCTAACTTAGTATTAGGAAGTAAAGGAAGACTGGGAAGGGAATGTCTGAGCTGAGTCCTGAAAAAGTGAAATTTCTACATAAAAATCGATATAAATAGGGATTCAAGCATTTTAGCAAGTTCAGCCTCATGTTCATTCATTCTCACATCATTGGAAAGGTGGAAGTGGAGAATAGACATTTTTGAGAAAAAAAAAAAGTTCTCCTTAAGCAGCTGTCTCCATGCTGGAATCTGCCATACTGAGACAGCTACATTCTGATAGGAAGTAAAAGGAAGGGTAAGGACAATATTTTAACGGATCACACTTCAAGGGACATGAGATTGAGTAAAATACTCAAGCAGGGTCATGACTTTAAAAGAAGTCAGAGGTCAGGCTGGGTGTAGTGGCTCATACCTATAATCCCAGCACTTTAGGAGGTTGAGTTGGGAAGACGACTTGAGCCCAGGAGTTGGAGACCAGCCTGGGCAACATAGTGAGACCTCATCTCTATGAAAAATAAACAAAATTAGCTAGGCATGTGCTTGTGGTTCCAGCTACTCAGGAGGCTGAGGTGGGAAGATTGAACCTGAGAAGTCAAGGCTACAGTGAGCCAAAATCATGCCACTGTCCTCCAGCCTGGGCAACAGAGCAAGACCGCATAATTTTTTTCTAGAAATCTTGTTTTAAATAAAAGGCAGAAAGACCTGTTAACATTTCACTGCTTCTGTTTGGCTCTGATCAAATCCTTGAGGCCATAATTACAAAGCCTGGCTGCCTGCAATGAACGGGGAAGAAATGTAGAAGCAGAACATGTACAATTTAACCTTCCAGTAAATTATTCTGCCTTTAAGAGCATGGTCCATGGGAAGGATAAACCGAAGGAGGTCAGTCCCAGTTAACAAAGTTGGGAAAGTGCCATGGTGCCCTGGGCACTTGTGGTCATCTGCACATTTCATGATATCATCTTGCAGCCTTTAGCGAGCCTGGTACAGGTCACCAATACTTGACCTGCTGCTTCTTGAAAATGGTCTGCCTTTGGGGATTTATACTTTATGTACTTGAAATCCCCAATGTCTTTGTCTCTTTTAAATTGGCAGACTTTTGGTTTACCACTTTGGAATTATGTTCAGTTAGTCCATGTGTTCTCCAGGTGCCCTATATTTCAAAAACAGAGCTGGATTCTCCACATGCCCATGGGTCAGAAGTGTATACTTCGTTTCCCTACTGCCAAGGACACCTGACTTTTTTCACCAGAATTGTTGTCATTATTGACTCTCGTTATTATTAATAGAATTTTCCACTCTATAGCAATTAAGGTTTTAAGGCTTTTTCACTCTATTATCACATCTGATCCTCATGAGAACCCTGAAAACTAGGACAAATGTTATTATCTATGCCCCCTATAACTATTGTCTTGATCACAGCCCTTAAAAGCAGTAGACTCACTGAGGACTTGTTGATGAAAATTTAAGTTGCTAAAAACATATTTCAGATAACTAGAATAAATTGTACCCAAGTATTTATGTCTTATTTTAGCTGAGGACAAACTATTGCACAGTATCTGAGGCATTCACATATTAATCTATTCAGAACATTACAGAAATTGCCACAAGGTTTCTGAAGGACATTAGTTATACACTTTACCCTGAATCAGATTACATGCCTTTGACGCCAGTTAAAATCTTCATGGCGCAGTTGTCCTCCATGTAACAAAAGGATCACTATGAACTTTTTTCTTGTTTCTTTTCTTTCCTACCCTCCCTATTTCCCCTCCCTCCTCCCTCTCTCCCTTCTTTCTTCCTTTCATCTCTCGTTCATTCATTTGCTCGTTATTATGCTTTATTCTTTCCTTTCTTCTTTCTCTTTCTTCCTTCTTACCCTTTCCCCTCAAGCATATATGAAAAACATCATTTTCTACTTCCAAAGGTCTAAAAATCCTAAGCAATAATAATCTCTAAAGAACTCATTTGCATTAATTTACTCAAAAAGAACAAAACCTATAGTTATATGCTTAGGACTTACTAGGGTTAAAGAATTTTAATTTACTGTTCGCCTATTATGTGTCAGACATTGTGCTGAATTTTTTCATATATTTTATTATTTAAACCTCACAATCACCCTTTGAAATAGATATTACTGTACTCAATGAAACTAAATATATTTACTAATATCATATAACTGAAAACTAACAGAACCAGAATTAAAAATTGGTTCTTGAGGGACTCCAAAGTCAATACTTTTTCATTCCAGAAGTATGTATTGAAAATGGTTAAATTTGAATTTGGAGCAGAAGGATAGAACACAGAATGTTAGAATAGGAAATGACTTTACATTCAAGGTCCCCTTGAATGTAAAATGCTGCACCTCTAAAATTCTCTGCCAAATTATTCCCCACTTTCTACTAAAACAGGTCTGGTGAGGTGTTGGATTATTTTCTTTCAGAGTTCTTCCTTGTTTTGAGCCAAATTATGTCTCTCTTTTTTCTCTGTCCCATCTTTTGACACTGGTTTTTCTCCTGTGTGTAGAGTGATCATATGTCCTAGTTTTCCTGGGACAGTCTTTGTTTATATAAGCTTGTTGTCCCTACAACAAGTTAATACTGTCCCCCTCTAACTCTCAGCAATGCCCTATTTTAGATGACAAATTATATGTCCACCCACCTATGAGGACACATAGATTTAACAGTTTTCCAAATATTTGAGGAAAGTCATCACGTCTCTCATCTCCTCTGCAGGCTAAGTATTCCTGGTTGATGTTTGCCACAAATTACAAGTTTTCCCCCAGACCCCTCACTATGTTGACCATAGAGTTGCCTGGACATTTCTAATTCAGATCTGTTTAACTTAGGCTTCATGGACCCTCAGGGAGTCCACGCAGAGAGTTTGAAATATTATGCGAAATGCTGCATGTAAGAGCGTTGTGTTTGTTTCCTGGGGCTGCTATAACAAATTACCACACTAGGTAGATTAAAAACCACAAAAATTTATTCTTTCACAGTGCTGGAGGCCAGGAGTCTGAAATCAAGGTGCTGGCAGGGTTGATTCCTTCTGGAAGCTTTAAAGAAGAATCAAATCCATGCCTCTCTTGTAGCTTCTGGTGGCTTTCAGCAATCCTTCGTGTTTCTTGGCTTGTGGCAGCACACTTTCAATCTCTGCCTCCGTCTTTTCATGACGCTCTTCTCTGTGTCTCTATGACTTCTCCTTTGCTGTCTCTTTTGTGGATATTTGTTATTGGATTTATGGCCCAACTCAAATTCTGGATAACCTCATTCAATATCCTTAAGTTAATTATATCTGCAAAGATTTTATTTCCAAACAAAGTTATATTCACAGGTACTGGAGGTTAGAACTTGGATATCCATCTCTTTTGTGGGGTACATCATTCAACCCAATACAACATATATGTATTGTCCTGAAAAGTGGCCCATAGGTTTTCTCATACCATAGGCAAAAGTTTAGTAATAATAACTAATCCAGATTGTCACTATCCTGAATACAATATTCTAGGAATCCTTAAGAATAGTTTCTACTGAAGTTATATTGCTTGGCACATAGTAGACAATAAATATTTCTTTCATAAGTGATCGAATTGAATGGTTTGATCATTTTAGAAGGTAATCACTTCTTCCTAAAAATTTCTTACGGCAGACAATGGTTATGTTATATTTGTTTTTGAAGGGTGAATACTAATGATAATTCAAATTGAGTTGATTTATGATTATAGCTACTTGGAGTCACCCACAGTTCAGCTAGTCAGCATAATAGGAGAATCCTCTTGGAAATGAGACTTCTTACTTTCTTTCTCTTATGTGGTTCAGGTGGAAATTGATGAGGATTAAGTTTCTATCCATAAAACACATTAGGTCTGTTGAAAATGACAGATTTCTGTGAGAACGAGCATATATCTCTTATCTATCTCTCTCTCTCTTTTTTTTTTTTTTTTTTTTTTTTTTGCACCAGTCCCTGGTGCCTCTAAGTTTAGACCAGGGATGCTTCACCCTGCATTATTCTTTTTTCTTCCTACGAGAAAAGCAGCTTAGTGCCGCTGTCTTTACTTTATGGCAAAAACCTAACTGAATAAGGCATCACTCCTTTTGAGGGAGTTTTGGTAAAGTCATTCAATTGACAGTTACACCCCAATTAACTCTATGCCACATGAGACATCTTCTTTTACATTAGATGTCCAATTGTGTGCTTCCAATATTCAAGATTCTTCTCTTAAAATGGGACTGAATAGGGGCCTGATTTTAGCAATTTAATTCTATTGTTTTTCTCTTCTCACACTTAATAATTCATGCCTTCAGGAAAATCAGATTCTAGAAAATAATTTCAGGTTTTTACCCCACAGTGGAAAATCAAGAAAGGTAGAAATAAGAAGATATCAGCTATTATAATCTCAGTTATAATAGAGGGATTCTTGCTGATTTCCTAGTAATATGTAAATAGAACTTCTTGGGTTTTTTTCCTCATATCACCTTTTTTATTTTCTGCATAACACTCCTTGAAGTCATCTATTCTTTTTAATTATTTACTTGGATAATGTCTCTCACCCTCCACCAGCACGTGAGCTCAGGCAAGAAGGGATCCTGTCTGTCTCGGTCATCCCCAGTGCCCTGAGCATAGTAGAACTTCAACGGAAATTTGGTAATAATGGAACATAAGGATCAACCCTTCACTGATTCATGGACTCCAAAAAGAGCCATCAAGGAAAAAGCCCCATATAATTATTTAGTAAAGTTCAAACAGATCCATAGGAGACCCAGCAGGTGGGGAAGGGGAAGGGATTCCACTTGCCGACCCATCCAAGGTTGTTAAGGAGCCTCTTCCTGTCCCATAGGTCTTCAGGAGAGGAGGACTTCCAGAGATGGGCCAGTTTTTAGCCTGAGGCCAAAGCATCCTTTGACCACCAAGATGAGCTTTCTAATGGACATAACACAGCATTTGGAAAACCAACTCATCTTACTTGATAACTAAAAATAAGTCATTATTATACCAAAAAAAGAGAGAGAAATGCTACAAAGTTGGGAAGGGAGTTCTTGGTCTTGATTCTGACACTGCTAAAAATATATCTTAATTAACAGCTTTCCTTATAGTGTTCTTCCAGGTATTTGGCAGAAAGCGGTCATGCCAATACCAACCCAGACTTTCCACACAGCTTCAGGAGATCTACTGTACTCCCTGATAGAAGAAACCTATGAGTTTGGCTCCTTCTCCAACAGCACACTTCTTTGTTTGTTTGTTTATATGTTTGCTGTTCACCTACTATGCACCCAGTAGCATGCTAAGCACTGGGGCCTGCAACAAGGGATTGGGGCCACACACTGCTCTCCCAGACCTCAGAGTCTAACAAGGATACTCTATGATTAAGCAAGTAATTTAAACAGAGGATGATGAGAGCAGGGATGGAAGATATAACAAGTGGGATGGAAGACAAAGTAAGAGGCGCCAACCTAGCCTGGGTGCCCAGGGAGGGCCTAGGAAGGCCTTAACTGAAAGGGGCCAAGGAACTGGTCAGGGAGAGAGAAGAGTGTTCCAGGTAGAGGGAAGGGCCCAGTGAAGGTCAGAAGGTGAGATCCAGGGACAGCTGGAAACACAGAGGTCCCTTGTGGATGGACCACTGTATTAGTCTGTTCTCACACTGCTAAAAGAAATACCCAAGACTGGGTAATGTCTAAAGGGAAGAGGTTTAATTGATCCACAGTTCCACATGTCTGGGGAGGCCTCAGGAAACTTACAATCATAGTAGAAGGGGTAGCAGGCACCTTCACAAGGCAGCAAGAGAGAGGGTGAGCAAGAACCAGCAAGCGCCACACTTTAAAACCATCAGCTGTCATGATACCTCACTCACCGTCATGAGAACAGCATGGGGAAAACTGTCCGCATGATCCAATTACCTCCCATCTGGTCTCTTCCTTGACACATAGGGATTATGGGGATTATAATTCAAGATGAGATTTGGGTAGGGACACAGAGACAAACCATATTATTGTGCCCCTGGCGCCTTCCAATCTCACATCCTCACATTTCAAAACAGAATCATGCCTTTCCAATAGTCCCCCAAAGTCTTAACTCATTCCAGCATTAACCCAAAAGTCCACAGTCCAAAGTCTCATCTGCAACAAGGCAAGTCCCTTCTGCCTATGAGCAGTTAAAATAAAAAACAAGTTAATTACTTCCAAGATACAATAGGGATACAGGCTTTGGATAATTACACCCATTCCAAATGGGAGAAATTAGCCAGAAAAAAAGGGGGCTGCAGGCCCCGTGCAAGTTGAATTCCAGCAAAGCAGTCATTAAATCCTAAAGCTCCAAAATAATCTCCTTTAACTCCATGTCTCACATCCAGGGCATGCTGATGCAAGGGGTGGGCTCCCACAGCCTTGGGCAGCTCCTTTCCTGGCTGGGGTTAAGTGTCTGAGGCCTTTCTATGTGCACGGTGCAAGCTATCGGTGGATCTACCATTCTGGGGGCTGGAGACTGGTGGCCCTCTTCCACTAGGCAGTGCCCCACTGGGGACTCTGTGTGAGGGGTTCCCACCTCACATTTCCCCTTTGCACTTTCCTAGCAGAGACTCTCCATGAGGGCTTTGGCCTTGCAGCAAACTTCTGCCTGGAAATCCAGGCATTTTCATACATCCTCTGAAATCTAGGTGGAGGTTCCCAAACCGTAGTTCTTGATTTTGTGTGCACCCACAGGTCCAACACCATGTGGAAGCCACCAAGGCTTGGGGCTTGCACCCTCTGAAGCAACAATTGAGATGTACCTTGGCCCCTTTTAGCCATGGCTAGAGCTAGAGTAGCTGGGACACAGGGCACCAAGTCTTGAGGCTGCATAGAGCAGGGGGACCCTGGGCCTGGCCCACAAAAGCATTTTTCCCACTTTGGCCTCTGGGCCTATAATAAGAGCAGCTGCCACCAAGATCTCTGACATTCCCTGGAGATATTTTCCCCATCGGTTTGGAGAGTAACATTTGACTCCTCATTACTTATGCAAATTTCTGCAGCAGGCTTGAATTTCTCCCCAGAAATTTTTTTTTTCATCTCTATCACATTGTTAGGCTGCACATTTTCCAAACTTTTAGACTCTTCTTCCCTTTTTAACGAATGTTCCAATTTCAGATATCTCTCTTAAGTTCAAAGTTCCACAGATCTCTAGGGCAGGCACAAAATGCTGCCAGTTTCTTTGCTAAAGCATAGCAAGAGTGACCTTTGCTCTAGTTCCCAAGAAGTTCCTTATCTCCATCTGAGACCATCTTAGCCCGGACATCATTGTCCACATCATTATCAGTATTTTGGTCAAAACCATTCAACAAGTCTCTAGGAAGTTCCAAACATTTCCACATCTTCCTGTCTTCTTCTGAGGCCCCCCAAACTGTTCCAACTTCTGCCTGTTACCAAGTTCCAAAGTCGCTTCCACATTTTCGGGCATCTTTATAGCAGTGCCCCACTCCCGGCACGAATTTACTGTATTAGTCTGTTCTCACACTGCTATACAGAAATACATGAGACTGGGTAATTTATAAAGGAAAGACATTTAAGTGGCTCACAGCTCCACATGGCTGGGGAGGCCTCAGGAAACTTACAGTCATGGCAGAAGGGAAAGCAGGCACCTTCTTCTCAAGGCAGCAGAAGAGTGTGTGAGTGAGAACAGGGAAGTGCCACACTTTAAAACCATTAGCTCTTGTGATAACTCACTCACTATCATGAGAATAGCATGGGGGAGACTGCCCCCATGATCCAGTCACCTCCCCCGACCCATTTCTCCCTTGCCACATGGGGATGATGGGAATTACAATTCAAGATGAGATTTGGGTGGAGATACAGAGCCAAACCATATCAACCATGGGGTTTGGGGAAAAAAATGGAGTGAGGGGAGAGAGGTCAGTGGGACCCAGATTATAAAGGGCCATGTAAATCATACGCTAAACATTGGGGGAGATGCAGGAAGTAAAAGCAGTAGCAGATCTGTGCTTTACAAAAATTATTCTGGCTGCTGCTGTATAAAGTGAGACCAATGTGCTGGGGGAAAGATGAGAAGTACAGAGACTAGTTAAGAGACAAGTTGTATTTCTGTTGGAGGAAAGGCACCACTGAGGGGGAAGGCAGAGGCTTTATTGAACAGGATTCATCTCCTCACACCTCAGGAGCAAGATTTAGGTAAAGCTATGCCCAAACAGCAGGCATTGGCCACATGGCAAAAGTATTCTTTCATCTTGGTAGGCAATGTTGACTGAGGATGAGAACCAAGTTCCAGCCCTATACGACCTTGGTATGTGCCCAGGGGCACTGCTCTACACACCTCTGAGCTTTAGCTGCTTCTTCTACTCTGGATGAATCACATCCTTCAAGCTGTGCAGCTAGGCAAGGGCCTAAGGGAAAAGACCAAGATTGCTGTAAAATGTTGATGCCTTTACAGATAAAAGGTGGCAACAACACTTAATAGGATGACTGGCAAGCATGGAGAGACAATTTTGCTCTACATTTGCTTCAGCTTTTTGTTTCCTTTGTCTTGGCTTCAGAGGCCTTTGCTTTCTGCCTTATGAAGCTCCCTTTAAAGCTGGACACAAGAAACATTTTAACAAGAAGCAGATGGTGACCAGGCCAGAAAACCTGATTTACCACAGTAAAGTCATGATCCCCCTCTTGCCTTCTGGAAGCTTCTTTTGTTTAGGGTCATCACTGTAATCAAAGTGGGTGAAAAATGATCATCAGCTGGTTCCTAAATGTGAGCTCTGGTGGCTTTGATCACTCCAAGAGCCTCTAGGATTGAAGACCAGTTGCAGGAAGAAGTTCCAGATTCAATCACTGCTCTGTGAAAGGCTAGGATTCAGCTCCGGGTCTACACTTCTGAGACACCATTTATCACCTCAGAAGCTGCAGTTTCAGAAGTTAAGATTGGTCCTCTACAGGAAAACATTAAATGTTATTTTCTAGGGAAAGCTGGAGAAATTTCTGGAGTTGATCCAATATTTTCAGTCTGTCCTGTGCTGCTGCTCTACTCCACGCTAGAAGATGATGATGGTCAAACTAAGTACAGGTTTTCATGTGGGCAGAGCAGAAAGAACAGGATTATAGGAAGTGACAGTTGTGAAATGGGCAAGCTAAGGACCTAAAATGCTCTCCACAAGTGTGCCCAAGCCCAGCCCAGCTAATTATTCTTATTTTTATTTTTTTTTTACACTGGGCACTCCATGTGATTAGGAACTGTGTCTTACTTATTCAGCTTCATCAGTACCTAACAGCTGCATTTCATTGGGAGAATGGAAAAATGTGAAAGCCTATCAACTCAGGTGCAGGAGATGCCCCTTCTTGTCTCAATGGAACTCCCAAATAAGATGGATGTAAAATTCCATAATGTTTATATCTTCCTGCCAAGGTACCAGTTGTTTGTTTAGATATATGGCTACAATTCAACAATCTTGTGAATTCCATTTAGTCCAAGTATCCGACAGATGAAATAAATATTGTTGTGGACTTGAATGCCAGGGAGAATAGTAGGGTTTTGAGGACTAAACTCTGACTTTTTTTCCTCTCTTGCTCAAATTCCTATCTAAGGGGCCTGGGGAGTCGTGCCCTACAAACCACAAAATCTCATCAGATGGGTTTTATGTAACCCTATATAATGTGGTTTACATTCCAAGCTGATTCTGGCATAACATCACATGAGGGATAAAGAAGAAAATCGAAATATTTTACCCCAACATATTCCATTTTGCCATATTTTGAAATGGCCCTGAAAAGCCATCTTTTGTAGAGGAAAACTTGCATCTGTAAAGACTCTCTATTAACATAACTAAATCTTTCCCCTTCCAGGCCCTCCCAATCCTGAAGAGATTAACTGAGAGTCTAGCATGTTTTAAAGGTCTGAATAGGAAATATTTGCCATCTATTGTCTCTAAAAGTGTCCACCTATGAGACTTCATCTACATAATAAGAACCTTGGTCTCCATAACCCCTATCCTAACCCAGACATTCCTTTCTACCAGTTCCAGGTTTTTAGAGAATAACTTAACTCTTTTGACCAACTGCCAATCAGAAAATCTTTCAATCCACCATGACCTGTAAATCCCACCCCACCTACATGAACCCCCTTCCCCACCCCCACTTAAAGTTGTCCCCTTTTTCTGGACTGAACCAACATATACCTCACATATATTGATTGATGTCTAATATCTTTCTAGAACACAAAATCAAGCTATAATCCAACAGCCTTGGGCACATGTTCTCAGGACCTCTTGAGACTATGCCTCGGACCATGGTCACTCACATTTGACTACAGAGAAACTTTTTAAATATTTTACAGTTTGACTCTTTTCATCAACATTTTTCAAAGCCTTTCCTGGGCTCATTTTCAAGTAAGGGGATTGCTTCCTCAAGGGTTATTCCTCTAAGTGGAATGTTTCTCTTCAAATACATTTTTTCCCCTTAGGTTGACCCAAAGAGTTAAAGGGAACTCACATTGCCATTTTATTATTTCCTACCCCTGCCAATATTTAGTGTCCATCTGACATTAGCACAATCCTAGATATGACTATTTTTTTCTCATTCTGTTCTCTGAAATTAGAGTGTTAAATATAACTGAGTTGTTATAAAAGGTTCTCCAAATTTAAAAAGGCTTTTTTATGGTCTGCAGCGTTCCTGAATCTCCATTCTTATGCTTTTTGAGTCACTTATCAAGAAATTGACATTCTGAAATTGTCTTATTTGTTCTTTGTAAGACTCATGTTAAGCCCCAGTTTGACAGGGCTTACCAGTGGGAAATAAAAACAAAATTCTAAGCTTCTCAACTGACTGAACGGATACCCTCTTGGCCAAGAGAACACCAGAGAAATCTTGGAAGCTGATTTCAGGGCTGGGAGGGGCTGGGAGATCAGATAAGCTTCATTATATCCCCTCCCTTACTAACGGTCATTAGGTTTTCTTCCCCTAAGCGCTAAAAAGAAGCCAGCTTCTTCAGGTAAGCTTACCTTCCCAGGCACAGAACAAAGACAAGATGAGATTTATCTTCCTTCACCCCTTCTCTAAGATGTGTGCTTCCTCTACTCGCTTTCTCTTCATATATTCACCTTATTCTATATAAAATGTAGATTTACTGAGCACTAGCCAAAGTTTCAGTGCTACCTTTTCTTTTTTAAGGAAAGTGTATGAATATGAAACCTCCTGAAAACATCTTTGGAAAAAACAGCCACAGATGCATCTGAGGCTTGCATTTTTCCCAGGTGTGCTCTCAGGCTGATTCAATAAACCTCAATGATTAGAGGCTTATGCCTCAATCACTCATTTTGGTTGTTTCCAGGATACTAAAAAATAACAGTCCTAACTCTTTTAGCAAGTTGATATGGAAAATGACAGTGAAAAGAGCTGTTTGACAGTCTAATAAAATTTAAATATTTCTAATCTTCTCAGCACTTCTCAGAAATCTAGATATCATAGATTTCTGCAGTGATTTGTGAAATTGGCTGTTGGGGAAATAAGGATTGTCAACTCAGGGAAAGAATTACCTACTTAATGTGTTTGTTGAGGGAGGGTGTAGAAACAGGACTTTTAATAAGTATCTGGGAGGGACTTTTTTCTCCCAGCTGTGTAGATCTGTGAAAATAGCCCAAAACCTTATCGCTCCAAGAATGGGACACAAAAGCACCAGATAAAGAGCTTTCCATCAGAAAAGCTCAAAGCCTATGATTTGAACATTCATCTCTACAGTCTTTGTTCTTTCAATTTTTTTCTTCCCTAAAAATAATTAAAAGCAATAACATTTCACTGAATATATTCACAGATATTAAAGAAAATAATTTAGTAAATATTTAAATGTAATTCATTCTATAGGTGCATACTATTCTATAGAGTATATAGTAGATGCCATAATTTTTTCAACCATCCTTGCATTAGCGAAAATTCATGAGTTTTTCTATTGCAGACAAAAGTCCTTCAATATCTGTATATGTGTTCTTACATATTAGCTCTTTTGGGTGATTTTTTGAGCTACTTGTAAGCTTATTTTAAATTTGATTAGTTATTGCATGGATATTTCCATAAAAATTGTACCAACTCCTATCTTTTACAACGTGGCCACGTAAGTAACAATTCTGACCTAATACCAACTATATGGTTTAAGAGACATGGAGGATAGACCCAAAATAACATTTCTCTTATATTAGAGTTTCCGAAGGAAAGAATAGAGAAAATATAGAATAAATAATAAAAGATAAGATAAACATATCCTTGTGATTCCAAAGGGAAAAAGAGATTGCTTAAAAGAAAGGAGAACTACCTCACATCTGAATTCTTGGCTGTGATGTAGGTTGCTAGAAAACAAAGTCTCCAAGGTGCTAAAGAAAAACTATTTAGATCTTAGAGTTCTTTGCTCAGCCAAACTATCATTCCAATGTAAGAACAAAAGAGAATTTCTCTTGCTCATATTTCTGTGAGTGGGTCAGTGCCTGCCCTACTACCATTGTGAGGTGGAAAACAGAAAAGACCTAACAATAAGTTCAGACGTGAGTGTTCTCTGTTCCCCTTTTACCTCTCACACCACAATAAGTAGATGATTATACTTGAAGAAGAAGAATGAGGGAAAAGCATTCCTCTAGGCATTAATACTGGATGGCCTCCTAAAGGGAATGGTAACTTAGTAGAGGGATGGCAAGGTAGGAAGCTGAGGCTGTATTTTAATATGTATATGTATGTGTATCCCAGAGACTCTCTCCCCTCAGGCATGTAGGAAATAGGGTGTAGGGTTTCACCTTCTCTTGAGATATATTTCATCTGCTGTAACTGTTATTTATTGTTGTGTAACAAAATTACCCCCAAAACCTAGTGTCTCAAAACAATAAAATTTTACTATCTCACAGTTTCTGTGGATCATAAATTTGGGTTTGGCTTTGCCGAGTGCTCTACCTTAACGCCTCTCATAGTGTTGTAATCAAGGTGTCAGCAAGAGCTGTGGGCTTACCAGAAGACTCAGCTAGGCGAGGATATGCTTCCCAACTCCCTCACATGTTTGTTGGCAGAATTTAGTTTCTCACAGGCTACTGACCAGAGGCCTTCCTCAGTCCACTGCCATGTGGCCTCTCCATAAGGAAGCTCAGCACTTGACAAATGACTTCCATCAGATTGGGCAAGTGAGAGAGCAATAAAGGACAGAACTTAGTTTTTAAATAATCAAATTCTGAGAATATTCCATGCCATATTCTCACTAGAAACAAGTTGCTAGGTCTAGCCCACACTCAAGGAGAGGAGATTACACAAATGTGAGAATACTGGAGGCAGATGTCAATCACTGGCAGCCATCTTACAGTCTGCCTGCCACACTTGCTATTGTAAGCTTCTACCCCTAGGAAAATATAAGCATACAGAGAAAATAAGAAGAATCTGAGGAGTTCAACAGAAGAGAAAGCCAACAAACCAAAGAGCTTATATCACAAGAAAAACAATGGATCAGAGAGAACGAGGATGTAAAATAAGCTTAGTATCTTTAAACAACTAAGAGCAGACATTGGTAAATATGAAGCAGAAAACAAACATTTATAAAAATAACCAATTGGTTTTGAAAAATGTGAGAGTTGAAAGAATCCCATATGTGGGATTTATATCAAAATGGATACAGCTCAAAATGAATGCATAGGTTTAAAGAATTGATGGACATAACTATCCAAATGGCATTATGGAATGACAGAAATGGAAAATATAAGAGAAGACTTGAGAGATTAAGAAAGTATTCATACTTGAATAATAGGAATCACAGAAGGAAAACTGTATAAATAGAAGGGAATAAGTATTTGAAGAAACAATGAGTAAGAATTTCCCTGAATTGTTTCTAAAAATGTAACTCAAATGTTTCCTCAGTCCTCCTAGTGAGTCCATAAAACATTTAGAACTCTGTAATTAACTGAAACTAGCTAAAGAGAATTTTGTTCTTAGTAACAAATGCTGGATAACATTATGATAATTGCCAGTAGAATACAAGAGAATATATAACTTTAAGATTAGCATAAGAAGAGTTAATCTACCCAATGGAAGGCAGAAAAGGAGAAAAGGATTGAAAATAGAAAACACAAAATAAGATAGAATGTTGTCATGGTTATCTGTTGCTGAGTAGCAAACTACCCCCAAAACTTAGTGACTTAAAACAACCATTTATTATCTCACAGTTTTGTGGGTCAGAGATTTGGGCAAGACCCCCTGGATGATGCCTTTATTCAACATAGTATTAAATGGGGTCACTACCTGGTATTTAATAGTAGAAAGGTTGGTCTGCATCACACAAGACAGCTTCACTCACATGCCTGGTGCCTTGGCAGAGATGGCTACAAGATTAGACCCAACTGGGGCTGTCAACTGGAATGCCTACCTGTGGCCTCCCCAGCATTGCCATTTCAGGGTAGGTAAACTTCTTACATACATGGTATTTCAGGACTCCCACAGAGGACAATCTAAGGCAGTAGAAAATGCCAGTTTCTTAAGGCCTGGGTTCTGAAACAAGCACAGTGTCAATTCTGCCATATTCTATTAGCCAAATATCTCACAGAGCCCACCCAGAACTGAGGTAAGGAACTTGCATCTACCTCTTCGTGGGAGGAGTGTCCATGAATTTTTGTCCACTTTTGATCTGCCACACATGAGTTAAGACACAATATTGATTAAGGAAGACAGAAGGTCTGTATTACAAAAACTTCCACGGCATATGTATGTTTCAGTAGTACACATATGTCCAAGGCCACATATTAGACACACTAGGGTGGAAGCCTATAAATACGAAGGAAAAATATTGACGTTAGAGGACACATAAGAAAATAATATAAAGCTAGAGGGGCTTGTATATAACAGGTATAATGTATGCTATGGATTTCAGAGCGTTCATGTGGAGGGAAATAAAAAAATAAGAAAAAAATGCATGGCAATTCCTTTCTTAAATCAGTTACAGGACTATATCTTTGAACTGTGTGACTCTAGCACTCATTAATTTAATTGCATTTAAAATTATGTTCTTTTATAAATTTATTTATATACTTAAATTTGTTGTTATGAGGTTTTTCCTTGGCATCTTTGAAGACAATGTGATCTCTCTTATCATATTCATTTTTCCTTTTGAAAATTTGAGTTATTTAGAAGACAGAGGAAGTGTGGGGGATGTATATGTACATGTACATGAATGTGTGTTTAGTGTGTGTGAGAGCTGGGGCAGTATTTATTATTTCTTCCTCCTTAATTGTAGACTTGGCATAAAAATCTGCCACGGCTTCTTCAGGGTGAGGCTCTACCAGCTGTTGAAAGACAAGAAAATCCTCCTATTTCTAATTTGATTTTCACATAATGTTTTGGCATTTGGCTACTAAATTCAACTCTTCTCACTTCCCTAGCTCCAAAGAAATAACTCTGGTATTTCAAAAATAAATTTTAAGGCTCCAAATGTTAAATGTGAACAAGTTTATCAAACAGGAAACATTAATTTCTATTGTTTGGATGTTGTTCATATCTAAGAAAAAAATCATAACTATATAGACCATCTTTAAGTATTTTAAATTTAAAAATGAACAACACAGTAAGTGAATATCTGAATAGAATTTGTTCATCAATAATTTATCAGTTATTTCCGGGTCAGTCCCGTAAACACTTGAAAATAAGGGAAATGAGATTGCTCAGAGTCAAGCAGTTAGAAACACATCAGGGGAATATGAAAAGACACTGCAAAGAAGAAAAAATGACATACATCTGCAAAATTTGACAATTATTAGACTAAAGATGTTAACATAGTAAAAAGACATGTCAGCTGGGAGTTGGTCAGGTGCAAAAGCATAGAAAAAGGAGGCTCTCAAAGGCACACATTAGCACATAATGAGAGAGAAACACCAAAAAATAATGATGAATAGGATGTATTTAACACATGTATACTTGACTACTAAAATCTATGACATACAGTTTAAAAATCTTAATCATGGCCGGGTGCGATGGCTCATGCCTATAATCCCAGCACTTTGGGAGGCGGGTGGGTGGATCACAAGGTCAAGAGATCGAGACCATCATGGCCAACATGGTGAAACGTCATCTCTACTAACAATACAAATATTAGTTGGACGTGGTGGCGCATGACTGTAGTCCCAGCTACTTGGGAGGCTGAGGCAGGAGAATCACTTGAACCCGGGAGGTGGAGGTTGCAGTGAGCCGAGATCGCGCCATTGCACTCCACCCTGGCAACAGAGTGAGACTCCGTCTCAAAAAAATAAAAAAATAAAATGAAATAAAAATCTTAATTATGTTTTACGACAAAAATCATGAAATCATTTGTGTTTAGAGTTAGGAAGAACTTCAAGGGCATCTCGTCTGCCTTCTCCTTCATACATCATAATAATTTCTTTTCAGAAGTATCCAAACTATTTTTGAGCACCTTCAATTTTTGCCTCATAAGTTAACCATTCCCCTCGGGATCCAAAGTACCAATGTGCCATTGATTCTGTTAGTTACTTCTGGCCCACTGTAAAAGTAGCACACACAAAACCAACATTTATTTACTAGTTAGATGAATTGTTTTCTAAAATAAATGGGGAAATGGTTCCTGTAAATAAATATTGAAAATGGGGATTATTTGCAGACGCTAATCTAGAATTCTGGATTTGGATGGCACCTCGGGGAGAATGGATGCATTCTCTACCACTGGCTCTAGATTCTTTAGGGCTTCTTTCCCTGGGCTAATAGTGGTGGCAGTTACTTCAGACTGAGTATAGGAAGGCACTGGTGTTGATGAAAAGTGAAGGATTTATCACATCATAAAAGATTATATCAGCCTACTTATCATTTGTTTGCCATTACCTTTGTGAGAAACATGGTGCTACTTGTTTTTCGTAACCATCTCATCCAGTTTCTATAAGGTGCCTTGGAGATATCTCAATTTTACAATTAGACAGCCTTGGAGATGTCGAGGAACTTGTCCATATTTATCATATGGAGCTTGAATTTCAACACAGTTCTACTGTTTCCAAACGTCAGGGAACGCATTGGTTCCCATGTCAACATTCTCTTACCCAGGCTCCTATCACCAATGCTTGCCTCTCCCCTTATTCTCCACCTGCATGCCTTCCCTGCCTCCACAATCTCCTGCCTCTTTTCTTCTTATTAGGTCAATTACAATTCATGTTAGTTTTTTAAAGTCATGCATTCATTGCATATCCACTGTAAGAAAAAAATTCGTAAATACAGAGAAACAAAAAAGTGCCCAATAAAGTAAAACAAAGAGAAATGCTTGAATCATAATTCTACTACCCAGAAATAGCTATTATTGGCATTTGTAATATTGATACAACATTGAGTTGCTCCTGTTTTACTGAACATATAAGTAAGTGATATTATATTATAAAACTGCTTTATATCTTGCATTTTATCATCTTTCCATTTCTGTAAGCAGGCATCTTCATTATTATGCATATTTGGATTTTTAAAAGCTGTTATATTAATTGACTTTTATATCAAGTGCCCCTTAATTTACTACTTTTAAAAATTATTTATTTCTGAGTATAGAATATTTACTCATTATAAAAAATAATTAATTATAATAAATATAACATATCACAAGGAAAGTCTTGCTTTCAGTTTGGTGAATATAAATCTAATTCTTTATTCACTTCTTTCAGGTGAAAGAGAAAACACAGCTTGGTGATAACTATGCAAAGATATGAGGCAGAAGGATATAAAAAAAACTTGGAGAATATGCCAGTATCCAGAATTCGCTTAATTTTTATTCCAGCACAAAAAACAGAAGACTGGGAATTTTTGTTGGAGGGTAATGGGGAAGTGAAAATTCTGCTTTATTATAGATCTTATGATTGCATTGATAGAATTTATCATTTTTTTTTTACCACTTATCTACCAAAAATGATGGGACATTTCTTAAAACAACTTAGCATGCCTTTAACTTATCTTCATATCCTCTTTATGTAGTATATTTGGGAATAAATAAATAACAGTAGTAATTAATATTAATATATAGCCATTTTCTTTCCTAAAAATAAAACAATGAACACAAATATCACACAGTAAAAAAGATCTGACTTCCAAGAATGAAAATTTAAAAAAAGAGAGAGACACAAATACACATTCAAACACAGGGAAGAGCAAGCAACATGAGAATAATGCTTCAAAATATTCCTTCCCTAAGAAACACATATTCTCCAGAGAGAAGAAAAACAGTTCAAATGAGAAATATTTTAAATCAAGCTATGCAAGAAGTCAGTGTTCTGATATTTAACAAGTCTACACAGGACCCAGACTGAATTGGTTGACTTAGGCAGTCCTTTATTATCTTTAAGATTTAAAAAAATTGAAAAATATCTAAATGAATGCTTTATTGCACCTCTTATTAAATGCAAAGCAATCTTTTCAGAGCTTTGAGTTTAACATAATCAAATAAGTTATTAACATTTTGTTTCATGTTTGATGAAACCAAAATAGTACAACATCAACATTAATGAGAGCATTCTCCTTAGCAGATAAGTTCAGGCGTATTATTTACTATGTATCAAGCTGTTTATCCATAACAAACATTTATCTGCTTATTTAGCTCATTAAGAAAAATATAATTTGATTTTTATCCTGCATACATTAAGATTGTTTCTCCCACTTATTTCAGATGATGAAAGATGTCTACTGGCTGGATGAACAAGATGAATCTTCCATATTTATGCTTTATAGTTACAGTTTTATGATTAGAGAAAGAAAAAGAAACTCAAATAGACCCAAAACACTAGATCTTGCAGAACCCAAAGGGGAAACAGCAGAACTCTTCAAAGCCAGGAACAGAAAAATTTTAGAACAAAATGCTAAAATAAATTGTAAGGAATTTAAAAAGTATAGTAAATATTTACAAATTATTCCTAAAACAGTGCTTTTTTGCTGGTAAGGAGAGAAAATTACATTTAGCAATTTTTTATTCCTCCTGTCTCTGATCTACATGACTACACATACCAAAGATACCCTCAGCTTGCAAAATACCTTTTATGAATAGTTCTGCTTAAAATATTACTTCAAGTTGTACAAAATACATTTTTAAATTTGGAATACACAGTATTCTATGGAACAATGCTGTCATTAAATACTCTGAGAAAAAAAGGATTGCATGGTCAATTTTTCAGAAAATGCTACATATATTTTACTCTTGGAGATTTACAATTGGATTTTTCTTATTAAGATTTCAATAAATCTGGCAGCAAAGATTCCCATAAATCTGGCAGTAAAGACTTTGTATAGCCTAATATTTTTCAAATTTATTTAAACAGGAAGCCCTTTTTAAATTTAACATCTTGTGGAACAACTGTTTAAGGAAAAAATAATATATTTGAGAAAATGCTACTGTAGATCCATAATATTTACATTGGTTACAACTCTAGACCTTTGAGAATTCCCAAATTTATAAAATCCAGAAGTTAAACTAAGAAACAGATGTTTGGAGATTAGCTAGGCTAGCTAAGTTACTTGCTTTATCAAAACCAACATCACAACCCATAAGATTCATTCGTGCTAGATGCCCTCATTATAATATTTTTATTTCTACAGATGTTTATATCTCAGAGCATATGGCAGCAATATCTTTGTTCTCATTTTAATTGACTATTACTGATTTTTTATGGTCACTGATGAGTAGTTGAAACACAAATGATAAATCTACAATGGTTAAAAATTCAAGATATAGTACAGTGTCTAAATAGCTGTATGACCTAGTTATTTAACATCTCCGCGCCTCAGTTTCCACATCTACAATTTGGGATAATGGTAGCTCCTACCTTGTAGAGTTTTTATGATATTTAAATGGATGGATGCTTGTTAAGTTCTTGGAACTGTCCCTGTCATATAGTAAGCACTACTTAAGGGTTGCTAAATTAAATATACAATGTTTTCTCCATCAGTCTTATACCATAACATAGATATCATAGATTTGGATTTTGTTAACTGTGAATAGCCATCTTCTCTCCCCATGTGTTGTACGAAGACAGAGGAAGAGAAAGAGAAAGAATACTTATCCTGCCTACTATAGCAAACACATCAATTGCTCCACATCCACAAATTTGAGAGAGTTTTTTATTTTCGACATTCATTAAATTTGGTTTGTTTGTTTAAATGAAGGTTATCTTAGGACCACATACATCAGAAAGTAAAGTTGGAATTCCTAGGTGCCATTTAGATGACTGGAATCAGAATCTGAACCTACGAGGGTGTTATTCAGAAATGTCTGCTTCTTCCAGCCTGTTCAGGTTCACACCATCAGTTTTCCCAAGTAACACAAATCTGAAAACAAGTGGCTTAATTAAGGAACCTTTCCCTCCAGTCATGAGAGGTCTCAGATGGACAGTGTAGGCTGGCAGGCGGAACTACTCCATGTTATCTCAGGGCTGCAGGCTCCTTGCGTCTTTCTGCTCAGCCCTTCTGAGAGTGTGCTTGTTGCTATATGGTCACAGGGCATTGTTCTTCCTCTGGGCATCGTGTTTATATCACAGGCAGGAAGAACAGAAGGCCAAAGTGCAAAGGGCAAAAGATTCAGTCCAGGTGAGCCTCCTCCTATTGTAAGGAGTTTGCCAGGAAGCCTCACTATACAACTACCAATTATAATTCATTAACCAAGCCTGGGGCACATTGCCACTGTTCACCCTTATCTGTAAGGAAGGACAGGAAATGCCATCTTGTAGCTGGGCACATTTTTATGCCCAACAAAACTGGAATAGGCTCTTTGGCATACTCTGTATTTCACGTTTTAAGAAACTTTGCTTGCTCAAGCCTCCACTCCTTTATCTGTACAGTTCACTTGGACAAGACTGCCTTTTCCAACTTAACTATTTCACATGCTTCTATTCCTTCCACATTCAGTACAAGTTATTTACTCTTCTGAGAAGCATTCCTATCTGACCCTGGGCAGACTCAATCCCCTTCCCTTATTTCATATTTGCATTACTCTATTATAGCATTATCATATGTATAACTCAGTAGACAGATCACTTTGAAGGCCAAGATAGATGGTTTAAGTCTAGAGGCCAACTACAGCAGTGGACTCAGTCATTGCTTAATAAATGTTTATGGAATGAATGAATGAACAAATGAATATGTAAAAATTAGAATGAACAACTAAGCATATAAATGAAAAGCAGAATCATTAATCTTTTGGATAATCTTTTGGATAAAATAGTTATCCAAAAGAAAACTACGAGACTTAGACTCTGCTATTCATTTCTAATCATCATTCAGAGAAATATCTGCCATAGATTTGGGAAACTGTTATATTATGAAATTAAATGAAAGTAAGGAGGAAGATAGTATAGAAAATACTTGGTATACAAAAGTATGTGAGTTCCTCTGATTGAGGACCCATATTTATTATTTCTGTTGCTTTACCCATGAAAGGCTTGGTTCAAAGCAGCTTTCTAACAAATACTGAATGAATATTGTATTAAAAAGAAAAGAGAGAATATGAAAGAATTAGCAGGCTGTCTTTATCTGGTGAAATTCCAAGCAGTATACTATTAATGTCATGGTTGTGAGTAAATAATTTTAGGGTATAATAGATAAGTAATTAACAGTAGTAATAATTATTGCTCAGAATGATGCTATGTATGAAGCTGGCATTTTTAACTTCTTTTAAGATATGTGGGGTATCTGCAATGATCGTTGATGCTTAAGCTTTGCATTTTTATAGCCATACATATATGACTGTATAATTGTAAGAAATAATTTTATAATTACATACTATTAGGATCTAATTATGAAAACCAATGCCTTCACTCAGGAGTATATTTTGTGAGAAATTTTTTCCATCAATGAAAAAGAAGAGGTATTCCATTGACTTTGTGTATAATCAAGATATTTATTTTTTAAATATAATTAAATTGATGGTATTAATTTGCTTTGTTAAATCTGGTTTAGGGCAGGAGAATGCTGGGACTCGGTCTCCTTGTAAGACAATTGTAATGAAAGGCTGGCTTTATGTGCAGGGAGGTTACGTTCTCTTTAAACACTTCTAGGCCCCAGACCTGGAGACTCCAGCTCCTAGAGTGCCTAGTCCACTGCTAAAACCAGGAAGAAGGAGTATAGATAGAGGAAAAAAAGCTTACTTTATTTTTCTCCTGTTCAGAGGTAAATAGGGAAAAGAAAATGGAAGTCAGAAGTAGAAAATCAAGGCTTCCTTTCTTTCTTGAATAGAAATTTTTAAAAAAGGCAGGTCCTAGAATTTGAGGGAAACAGCAAGGTGGAGTGCCTTTCACTGTAACCTACGTAGGTATACTAGAACAGAGCCAACTTGTGATGGCCTCACAGTGACATGGGATGGTGGCCCCCACTTTCCTGAGGTTTAAAACTTCTGACCCACCATGTATGACCATGTATCACAAGTTCCATGGATCACAGACACTGAATCAAGGACCAAGGTGACCAGGCAAGAAAGGCTGATGGTAAACAGCCAGGCCAGTGAACCAAATGGAGAGCCCAGCAGACTCAATTTCCAGCATTGGCCGTGTGTCTTCACAGGGCCAAGAGGACCACGGAAGGAGACAAAGGAAGAGGCAGAGAATATCACACCCAAGGACTGCTATTTTATACCACCTATAAACCCCTCACCTCCCATCTCCTCTTTTAAGAGGACATTAGCTAATGAAGTATATCAGGTAACCAATCAAGAGACAGAACACCCATTCAGTGCACTGTTTACATTTTTAAATCACATTAAGTACACCAGTTTGAATCCTTAATCCCCCTCCCTGAATTAATCAACAAGAGGGCTTCAGGAGGAATATTATTCATGGCCTCTGAAGATCTATATTGTAGTGGGAATTACATTTGCATTACATTTGAATTAAATTCACCATCCCCTCCACCCTAAACATGCAGGTTTATGTAAGGCATTACATTCGAGCTTAAAGATAGAAACATATAAAAGCACAGGGAACAACACCAGATTTACATTTTACCAGGAATAATCCTGGTCAGAAAATTTTTGTATATGAATCCATTATGCATAAGAAAGCAAACTCTGTGGCCATCTGAGAATGATTCTGCTGAATTGGGTAGACTTTGAAGACTGAGAACAGTAATAATACCTCACATCTTGGAATGTATTTGTTTCACTTAGTAGGGAGAGAATACCATTACTTTAGGTTTTACAGGGTAGATACTTGTGAAATGAAAATAGATGCTTGATTTTTTTTTTGGTCTTCTTTTGGTTTTTAGAAGTGGTCAAGGGCAAATTAAGCAGGAGTGGAATAAGAAGAGATTTTGCACCTGTGATCCCAGCTACTGGGTAGGCTGAGGTGGGAAGATTGATTGAGTCCAGGAAGTGGAGGTCGCAGTGAACTGAAATTACCCCACTGCACTTCAGCCTGGGCAACAGAGCCACACCCTGTCTCAAAAAAAAAAGAAGAGATTTTGATGGGAAAGACACATCTCTCATCATATATTCAAAAATACCCTTATGTGAATGATATATGACACCCCATTCTGTATCCTCAAGGAATTAACAATCTAGTTTAAGGAGAAATTGTTTAAGAAAACAAACCTGAAATCATGGTAGCAAAAGAAAACATGAACTCAAAAGCTTAGTGGTTTGTCAAGGATTCAATGTAAGATTATTAAGAAGTTCAAAGAAGAGTTCAGTATCAGGGAAGGCTCTAAAGATTATACAGTAACTTGATTAGGAAAAAAAATAAAAGGGCATGATGTAGATGTGGATAATCAGTACTTGCAAAAGCAAAAATAAATAAATAAAAAGGAAGGAAGGAAGGAAGAGTATTTATGGAAAATCCTGAAAATCCAGCGCTGTAGTTGGGAACAGTAGAAAATAAGAACAGGTAGGTACATGTAGATCAAGCTGGTCCTAAAGAGCCAGAAAGAAAAGTTTATTTATTTATTTATTTACTTTTTTTGAGACAGGGTCTCATTCTGTTGCCCAGGCTGGAGTGCAGTAGTGCAATCCTGGCTCACCACAGCTTTGACCTCCAGGGCTCAAGCAATCCTCCCGCCTCAGCCTCTCAAGTAGCTGGGACTACAAGTACGCACCACCATACCTGGCTAATTAAAAAAATTTTTTTTGTAAAGACAAGATCTCACTATACTGCCCAAGCTAGTCTTAAACTTTTGGGCTCAAGCAGTCCCCCCACCTTGGCCTCCCAACGTGCTGGGATTACAGGTGTGAGCCACTGTGCTCAGCTGAAAATTTCATTCTTTTGGGGAGAAACATTGAAGACTCATTGTAGGTTCTTGAACAAGAGAGTAACACTCAAAATAGAGTTTTAGGTACATTTGCCTGTGTCAGGATGGAATGAAGGGAGAGGGGCAGGTGACTAGCAAGAAAGTACAGAGGGTGCAGTTGAACTCAGTGTGGGGATTGATACAGAAGCAATGAGAGAAAAAGGAGAAAAATTAAGATAATTAAAATAAGGAATTGACAGAACACAATGACAGAAAAATTGAATAGTGTAACTGTTAGCCCTGTTTCCCTAGAATCATCCAATTTATATCTGTTGTCCCAGAAGAATTATTGATAACACTCCTTTCACTTGGATGATAAATTATTTAGTCATCTTATGTGTATTGGAGAATAGTTTCAGCTCAGGCAGCTGTGATAATGGAACTGCCTTGAAGTGCCTCCAACAAATATAGGGAAGACAGGCATTCAGAATGAAGCAGAATTTCATTGTAGACCTGATTAGAGGGAAGAGTAGCAGGGTTTCAGTGTAAGTGCCCAACAGACGGTTGAGATAAAAGACAAACAGATGCACATTCCAGAAACTTTGATTTTGCAGTCATCTGCATCTTTTGTAAAAGCCAGTTTGTACCAAGCTCTGCATTTTGATTCTGAATATGAGGCAATGAATCAAACAAGGGCATTGATGACATCCAGCACACTCTACCAAAGTCAATATACCATCAGAGACCCGGAGAGGAAGTGGAAGACTACCATTCAGGGGAAATTTTCAATAAAGGTCCAACTGGAGGAGTCCGAAGCTTTCTTCAGCCTAACATTCCAGCCCATTTTCCACCATTCTCCCTCATAAATGTTTGACTATGTCCAGATTAATATAGTCACTGCCTGGTATTAATGGTGGATTCCCCCTTCTCCTTGCCCTCAAGTCTTACTGTAACCTCCCTCTACGTCTCCCTCTCCCCTTCTGAAAACCTATCCCTTGCTTCTCCCTCTGCCCATTTCCTCCTGCTACTTTAATGCCACTTAATTTCTCATTTCCCCATGAAGCCTTCTTGACCACAACAACACACATGCACTCTGTAGCCTATGACCTCATAGCATTTAATGTCTTTACTACTAATTAGATTTTAATTTAATCATACATTTGCACCATGACATCCATTTTCTGTGGTTTTATATGTTCTATAACTCCTTATTCAACCACTCGATTATTTAACTGTTAATGCACATATCTAATCTCCTCAAGGTTATATGCCCTTTGAAGGGGGGCTGCTATTTTTCTCTGTATCATATAACTCTTGACTTGGTGCTAGTCCTTATTTCTCAAAAACAAAACAAAATATTTTAATGCTTTTTATGTTGATGAGTGAATTCAAATCCTATTACTAATGCATTTTCAGAGTATTTAACGTTTACTATGAACTATGTCAATTGTATCCTTTTTCATACTAATAAGAATCACAACAATATCAAGAAGTTCTGGTGTTTGGAGACATTTGATACAACATATAAATTCCTTCACTTGTTTGGAAGACCTTTTTTTAACTGGAAATATAATATTAGTACTTTTTATATTAAACATCATACTTCTTGCTTAATCTGCTCTTTAATGTCATATAATACAGTGTAATGAAGTAAACAGAAAATATTCAGTTTCTAAATTTAGAGCTTATATTTCATCAAATTAACAAGAATACCAATGGATTCACATACCCAAGGTGGCAACAGCATTGAGTCAGGGTGTTATTTCCTCCCCTATTCTTTGTGAACGTATTGATGGTGCTTATCACTTAATCAACAGACAAATGCAAGATCTTTTGTCTGTCCCCCAAGTCTACTGCTGCTACAACTGAAGTTACCACTAGCAGCCTCATAAGTTGTTACACAAAACGGCACCTCTCTGTAATAATACAGGAAGTGTGAAAAAGGATTGCTACCAGCTTTACAGAGAAATTCTGCTTTAAGGTGAACGTTTATAATGAATGGAATGGCAGGATTTGGACCACAATATATCTGACACATATGTGATTTAGAAATTTATTACAAAGGATTCCATTGAATTTTCAAAGGGACTTCTCAAATTCTGAATGTAGGTGTTTCTTGCATGATCTGTTTAATCTAAGCTTCAGAATATAGACGGTCATGGGAGTTAGCCAGTGCAGATAAATCAAGAAATTAAACTTCATAAGCTTCATCAATAGCAGCTTCTATAGAAGGTGTAATTTACTGAACATCCATCCATCTTTACCTCCAGAAACATGAGTAATGTCCTTGTGTTTTTAATTTGCACTTAGTCTATATGTTAAAAAGCTGGTGTAAGTAGCTAGAAATTAAATGAGCAGACATGTATGCTTTAAATTCAAATAGTGGCATGGGAAAATATTTTTACTGTAATAAATGCATCTCTGATGTCTGCAGGGGAAATTGAATAGTATTTTATTGACTCAGATCAAACAATCCCTAATTACCACCCAGAGGCACAAAGTAAAATTCCAGCAAGTAGAGGCAGCATTAGGTTGCATCACACTGTCAGACACTATTCTGGTATATGCCCAGGCATTTCCTTGAGGAGTTAACACAAGGTTTACCAGAAAGTCCATCCCACCAAGGCATTGTATGGCAAGGTCTCAGTTGCCTTTCTCTGCCCTCTCTGAGTTTGTTTTTTCTCACAATTGAGGTCTTCAATCAATCTCAAACAACTGGAAAACAGAAAATGAAAACAGGCATTTCTGGTTAGATGAAAGGCATAGATTTTTTTTCTTTCCAACTTTTTATGAAATATTTGTAAAATCTGTCAATCCATTATCTACATTCATAATTACAATATTATGAATACAAATGAATCTTTTTAGCATGATTCTTATGTTCTGAACATATAATCTGTCAAAGTGACCTCATTCCCTGGTAGATAAACTATACAAGTCTTACTCCAAAACAGATGGGGCTTCCTTCAGGATCTGACTCTAGCCTATGTTTCCTGTGACTCCCCACCGCAGACTCTAAGCTCTAGCCTTATAAATTATTTTCATTTGCTGGGTATTTTGTGTCTTTCTCATCCCTGTAGCTTTTCCCATAGAGTCAGAGTGGTTTTTCAGACTACAAATTTCATGGTTCCACTTCTCTCTCTTTTTCAATCCTTCAATGTCTTCATTGAGGTTGCCCACAAAGTCTTCCCTGAACTGGCCCCACTTGTCTCTCTAGTGCCAGTTTAAGTAACTTCCATCCCCATTGTTTATGTCCAAGCCAAGATCATCTTTATACGCAGCAGATTACAGCTCAGAGCCATTAGCCATGACATGGCCTTTGCCTCTTTATGTTCTTCCCTCTCAATATGCCACCTAAGGTATTAACTCTCCTACTATCCTCCAGGAAGTATCCCTGCTTTCCTCTTTTCTCCACCCCCAAGTCAAATCTCCTTACCAAACATTTCATTGCACTTTTCAAAGACAACTTACCTGTAGTTCACCCTTCAAATAAAATGAACAAAAGGTGCACAAGAACAGAGACTTTATCTTTGCTCACTCTTGTGCTCCTGTACCTAGCATATGGCCTAGCTCATAGTAGCTTTTTAATGAGGATTTGATTATTGATCTCTATTATAATTTCTATTGTCTAGAACACCCTGGTGAAAAGCTATTCATTTTTCAAGACACAACTCAAATGTTACCTCCTTAGAGAAATTACTCTGGGTATCTCCCTTAGGTTTTGAGACTTCTTTTCTCCCAGAAGCACATTATACAGGTCATCATGGGCTGTGATGGGCTTCTCATTCAGCATGGAGGTTCTTTATGTTCATGTCCATCTCCTTCAGTATGGCTATCTTTGAGGACCAGGACTGTGATTCATTCATTTTACATCACCAAAACCTAGCATGGCAGATATATATAGTGGGCATTCAAAAACCATTTTAATTAATTAATATGTTCTTGAGTTTCCCAATCATCACATTAACATTTATTTGTTTTCGAATAAATGCAGTGGAAGAAGTGCAGCGACACAAGAATAATGTGTGTCCTGGATTTAGCTGAAGCTTTGTCATTAAGTGACCAAAGGAAAAATGGGTAGACTCTCTGAGATTTAGTTTCTTTATTTATAAAACAAGGAAGAGGTCAGTGATGATTTCTGAAATTTCTTCTTGGTACTTAAGAATTGTAATTAAAATAGTAAATGTAAAAATTGTAAGATATAGGACTAATTCAAAATATGTAGTGAACTTAAGCTTTCACAAATAAATTTCTAACAGTACTTGGTTTAATTTTAAAATGCTCTTTCTCCTAAAATAAAATTTGGAAATATATTAATTAATTGGAATTTGAGGATTCACTGAACAAAAAATGTCAGGTAGCGAAACTCCCTCTATTCAGTACAATTAGTATACACTGAAATTCTGGACTAACCCCCTGGATTAAAAAAAAATAAAAAAAGGACTCCTGGTTTATAGTTTGGCATGTAAAAACTTAGAAGTTTCCACTCCATCCTAACAACAAATAAGAGGCTGAAAAGAACTGAAAAATCAATATCCTTTCTTAGATTCATAGAGAAGTAAGGTCACAGGTCAAACTGTTGCCCCAACAAATACAGAGAATCACATCTTACCTGAGCAGAAACTAATGAAGAAAACCTAAATTATACTTGATGAATTGCCAGAAGTTCCATGTGGATGGGTCTGAGAGCTAAAGGCTTCTGGGGGACTCAGTCTTAGGAAAGACCTCATGCTTTTATGGGTTTTACTTCCTGGATCTTTATCAAGTTCTCGCAGTGATTACAGGAGAAAAATTCCTTTGTGCTTCTGACAGAGGAAAGGGAAGGAACTTTTTTGAAATACACCAGTGCATTCTGTTCTTAATAAGTTCTGCCCTCAGGAGAAACCATTTAGCTAGTTGCTGAAAATTAAAATTGCTAGAGTTTTATCAGAAACTAACTGACCTGGGGGGAAGAGGTGTCCCAACCCTATCTGGTCTTCCATGTGGAAGAAGGAAAACACCCAACTTCAGCTCACTCTAGTTATCTTATCCCATCTAAGTTGAGGGGATGTGACTGAGAAGCATGTGTGAAGTTCGCAGCCCAGAGACACAGGCTTACTAAAAGACTGAGACCTATTCATAAGACTATAAAACACTTCATTTCCCCCACACCTTACCACCACATTAATAAAGGCCTATTTATAGCAGTTTCTTTTACTCAAGGCATCATGTTCAGCTACCAAGAAAAAATTACAAGGCGTACCAAAAGGCAAAAAACACGGTTTGCAGAGACAGACTAAGAATCAAAACCAGACTTAAGATATGGCAGGAATGGTGCAATTATCAGACTGAGAATTTAAAACCACTTTCATTAATATGTTAAGGGCTGTAGTGAATGAAGTAGACAGCATGCAAGAATAGATGGGCAATATAAGCAGAGAAATAGGGATTTTCTAAGAAAGAAACCCCAAAATGCTAGAGATCAAAAAACCAGAAAACAAAAACAACAACAACAGAAATGAAGAACTCCTTCAATGGCTTTAGTAGACTGGACAAAGCTGAGGAAAGAGTCTCTAAGCTTGAGAACATGTCAACAGACATCTAACTGAAAAGCAAAGAGAACAAAGACTGGGAAAGAAAAAAAGGACATACTATCCAAAAACTGTAGAACAATTCCCAAAGCATAAATACACATAATGGGGATATCAGGAGGAAAATAAAGAGAAAGAAAAACAGAGGAAATATTTGAAACAATAAAGATTGAGGATTTCCTCCAAATTAATGTCTGACACTAAACCACAAATCCAGGAAGTACAGAGAACACTGAGCAGGATGAATGTGAAAAAATCTCTATACCTAGGCATATCATCTTCAAACTACAGAAAATCAAAGATAAAATTTTGAAAGAAGTCAGGGGGTTGGGAAGGGGTGGAACAACAACAAAAAAGAGAAGTCAGAGGTGAAAAAACTCACCTTACCTATAGAGGAGAAAAATAAGAATCTCATTTGCATCTGACTTCTCCTTAGAAACAAGTAAAGCAGGCCAGGCGCGGTGGCTTACACCTGTAATCCCAGCACTTTGGGAGGCCAAGGTGGGTAGATCACCTGATATCAGGAGTCCAAGACTAGCCTGGCCAACATGGCAAAAACCCATCTCTGCTAAAAAATACAAAAAAAAAATTAGTTGGGCATGGTTGTGTGCACCTGTAATCCCAGCTACTCAAGAGGCTGAGACAGGAGAATCATTTGAACCCAGGAGGTGGAGGTTGCAATGAGCTGAGATCGCACCATTGCACTCCAGCCTGGGTGACAAGAGCAAAACTCTGTCTCAAAAAACAAACAAACAAACAAAAGAAACAAGGAAAGCAAGAAGAGAGAACAGTGAAATATTTAAAGTGTTGAGAGATAAAAACCCCACTAACCTATAATCCCATACCCTGTAAAAGTGTCCTCTAAAAACAAGCGAGAAATGAAGACTGCCTCAGACAAAAAAAATTGGAATTTGTTGTGCCTTGCAAGAAATGTTCTAAAAAGCTCTTCAGCAAGAAGAAAAGTGATATAGGTCACAAACTTGGATCTACCTAAAGAAGAACATTGGAGAAGGAATAAGTGAAGGTAAAATAAAAAATAAACTCTTATTTTTCTCATACCTAATTGATCTAACACATAGCAGTTTGTTAAAAATAACAATAGCATAATTGTATTCAATTATATGTATGTATGTGTCTCTGTGTGTGTGTTACACACACATATATAAGGATATATATGAAATATATATAAAGTATATATATACATACACACTTATATATGCTTATATATAAGTGAAATAAATGACAGCAATGTTACGAGAGACAGGAGGGAGGGCTTAGAACTATTTTGTCATTATAAGGTATTTGTACTACCTGTGAAGTGGTATAGCATTATTTGAAAGTGCACTTGGAGTCATGGTAAAGGTATATCATAAATTCTGAGATGACCACTAAAAATGTTTTGTTTTTTAAAATGGTATAAGTGATATGTTAAGAAAGGAGAGAAAATAAAATTACATCAAATGCTCAGTTAAAACCACAAAAGGCAAAAATAAGTGGAGGATAAAAAGAGAATCAAATAACAAGCATAGAAAATAAAAAAAACAGTAACAAATATGATAGATTCTAATAAAACTGTATCAGTAATCACTTTGAATGTTAATAGTCTAAATGGACCAACTAAAAGACAAAGATTGTCATAGTGGATAAAAGACAAAGATCGTCATAGTGGGATTAAAACCCAACTATATGTTGTCTACAAGAAGCCTACTTTAAATATAAAGAGATATGGATTAAAAGTAAATGGATGAAGAAAATTATACCATTCTAACACTAACAAAATGAAAGTGGAAATTGATATATTAATTTCAGGCAGAGCAGGCTTCAGAACAAGGAACATTATCAGGGATAAAGAAGTGTAATACATGGGTAAGCACAGGCCCAGAGTTAAAAAATTATCAGAAAGGTATTACATAATGACAGAAGGATTAAGTCTTCAAGAAGACATAATTCTTAATTTGAATGTAACTAATAATAGAGAATCAAAATATATGAGGCAAAAACTGATAGAACTGCCATGAGAAATAGATGAATATACTATTATAGTTGAAGACTTCAATGCCCTCTGTCAGAAATGAACAGATTCAGCAGGCAGAAAATCAATAAGGACATAGTTGAACTCCATAACACCATCAATCAATTGGACATAATGGACATCGATAGACTACTTTATGCAACATCAACAGAATACACATTCTTCTCCAGCTCACATGGAACATTCACCAAGATAGACCATGTTCTTGACAATAAAGTACACCTTGACAAATGTCTAAAAACACAAGACATACAATGTCTGCTGTCAGGCAACAATGGAATTAAACTAGAGAGGAATAATAGAAAGGTATATAGCTGGAAAATACCAAACTATGTGGAGATTAAACAATATACTTCTAAATAACTCATGGGTCCAAGAAAAAAAACTCGAGAAATTAAACTAAGTGAAACTTAAAACATAGCTTATTAAAACTTGTAAAATGCAGCAAATGCAGTGATTAGAGGGAATTTTATAGCACTAAGTGTATATAATAGAAAAAAGAAATGTATAAAATCAATTATAGGTCAACCAGTTTACAACACTGGAAAAGAAAAAGCAAATAAAATACAAAGTAAGTAGAAAAAAACAAATAAAAACTAGGACACAAATCAATGAAACTGAAAACAAAAAATCAATAGAGAAAATTAATGAAACCAAAAGCTGGTTTTTTGAAAAGTTCAATAAAATTCATAAACTTCTATAACAGGGTAAGTGGGAAAAAAAGCATAAGAGAGAGAACACAAATTACTCATATCAGAAAGGAAAGAAGAGAAATTACTACAGCTCCCATGGACGTTAAAATGATAACAAAGGAATACTATGGGCTGGGCTTGATGACTTAGGCCTGCAATCCAAGCCCTTTGGGAGGTCAAGGCAAGAGATAAATTAAGGCCAGGATTTGAGACTAATCTAGGCAAGATAGAGAGAACTTATCTCTACAAAAATAATTTAACAAAATATCTGGGTATGGTGGTGCACACTTGAAGTCCTAGCTACTCAGGTGACTGACATGGGAAGATTCCTTGAGCCCAAGAGTTTGAGGTTGCAATGAAATACAATCATGCCACAGCACTTCAGCATGAGCAACAGAACAAGACACTCTCTCTTTAGAAAGTTTAAAAACACAATTAAAAAGAAATACTACAAACAATTCTAGTCTCACATACTAGCCTAGGTGAAATGAACCCATCCCCTGAAAGACACAATCTGCCAAAACTCACACAAGAAAAAACAGACCATCTGAATAGGCTTATATTTATTTAAAAAATTCAATCAATAGTCAATAACATTCCAAAACAGAAAGGATCAGGTACAGATAGTTTCACTATGAATTTGACCAAATATTTAAGAAAGAAATCATACTAGTTATCTGCAATTATTTTAGGTGATAGAAAAAGAATGAATACTTTCTAATTCATTCTATGAGGCCCAGTATTATCCTCATACAAAAACCAGAAAAAGGCATTACAAGAAAACTAGAAATCAATATCTCTAATTAACATAGATATAAAAATTCTCAACAAAATAGGAAATCGAATCCAGCAATGTATAAAACAAATTGTATGCCACCACCCAGGTGATTTATCACAGGTATATAAGGCTGATTCAACTTCTGAAAATCAATCAATATAATTGATTCACATTAACAAGCTAAAGAAGAAAAGTCACATGATTACATCAATAAAGGCAAAGAAAGTATTTGACAAAACTCAACACTCATTCATGTTAATAACTTTCAGTAAATTTGGTCTAAAGGGAAAATTTCTTAACCTGATAAATAATATTTACAAAAGCTCTACAGCTAACATTACATTTGACAGTGAGAAACTTGAAGTTTTCCACTAACATCAAAAGGAAGGAAAGAATGTCCCCTTTCACTACTACTTTTCAATATTTTACTGGAAGTGCTAGCTAATACAACAAGGAAAGAAAAGAAAGTGTATACAGATTGGAAAGGAATAAACAAAACTGTCTTTGTTTGCAACTGTCATGATCATCTGTATTAGTCTGTTCTCACACTGCTATGAAGACATACCTGAGACTTGGTAATTTATGAAGAAAAGAGGTTTAATTGACTCACAGTTCCATAGGCTGTACAGGTAACATTGCTTGGGAGGCCTCAGGAAACTTACAATTATGGTAGAAGATGGAGAAGGAAGCCCATCTTTCAATGATGGAGAAGGAGAGAAAGAGAGTGTAAAAAGAAGTGACACACACTTTTGAACAACCAGACATCATAAGAACTCACTCATGAGACAGGACTAGGGAGATGGTGCTAAACCATTCAAAACTACTCCCATGATCCAATCACCTCCCACCAGGTTGCTCCCTTGACACTGGGGATTACAATTCAACATGGCCCCTCCCAAATCTCATGTACTTTTTCTATTTTAAAACCAATCACGACTTTCCAATAGTCCCATGAAGTCTTAACTCATTCCAGCATTAACCCAAATGTCCAAGCCCAAAGTCCCAACTGAGACAAGGCAAGTCGTTTCTTCCTATAGGCATGTAAGATCAAAAACAAGTTAGTAACTTCCAAGATACAATGGGGTTACAGGCATTGGGTAAATGCTACCATTCCAAAAGGAAGAAACTGGCCAAACAAAAGGTACTACAGGCCGCATGCAAGTCCAAAACCCAGCAGAAATTCATTAAATCTTAAAGCTCTGAAATAATCTCCTTTGATTCCATATCTCACAATCAGGTCATGTTAGAACATCCCATGGCCCATCCCATGGTCTTGGGCATTTCTGCCCCTGTAACTCTGCAGGGTGCAGCTCCTTCAGCTGCTTTCACAGGCTGTTGTCGACTGACAGTGGCTTTTCCAGGTGCACGGTGCAAGCTGTCAGTGGATCTACCATTCTGGAGGCTGGAGGATGATGGCCCTCTACTCACAGCTCCACTAGGCAGTGTTGCAGTGGGGACCCTGTGTGGGGGCTCCAACCCCACACTTCTCCTCCACACTGTTCTAGCAGAGGGTCTCCATGAGGACTGTGCCTCTGCAGCAGACTTCTGCCTGAACATCCTGGCATTTCCATATATCCCCTGAAATCTAGGCAGAGGTTCCCAAAGCTTAACTCTTGTCTTCTGCACACCTGCAAGCCTAACACCACATGGAGGCTGCCAAGGCTTGAGGCTTGCAACCTCTGAAGCAGTGGCCTAAGCTGTACCATGGCCCCTTTTAGCTGGAGGAGCAGGGATGCAGGGTGCCATGCCTCAAGGTTGCACAGAGCAGTGGTGACCCACAAAACCATTTTTCCCTCCCAGGCCTCTGGGCCTGTGATGGGAGGGACTGCTGTGAATGTATCTGAAATTCCCTGGAGACGTTTTCTCCATTATCTTGGCAACTAACATTCAGCTCTTCTTTACTTATGCAAATTTCTGCAGCCTTCAATTTCTCCCTAGAAAATGGGTTTTTCTTTTCTACTGCATGGTCAGCTTGCAATTTTTTTAAATTTTTATGCTCTCCTTCCCTTTAAAACGTTTCAGTTTCAGATCATTTCTTTCTTTATGCAAATGAGCATAGGCTTTTAGAAGCAGTAGACCCTATCTTGAACACTGTTCCTTAGAAATTTATTCTGCCAGATTCTGTAAACCATCTCTCTCAAGTTAAAAGTTCCACAGATCTCTAGAGTGAGGCAAAATGCTGCCAGTCTCTTTCCTAAAGCATAGCAAGAGTGACTTTTACTCCAGTTCTCAACAAGTTTCTCATCTCCATCTGAGACCACCTCAGCTTGAACTTCATTGTCCATATCGCTATCAGCATTTTGGTCACAACCATTCAACAAGTCTCTAGGAAGTTCCAAACCTTCCCACATCTTTCTTTCTTCTTCTGAGCCCTCCAAACTGTTCCAACCTCTGCCCATTACCCAGTTCCAAAGTCACATCCACATTTTCATATATCTTTATAGCAATACCTCATTCTCACACCAATTTTCTTTATTAGTTTGTTCTCACACTGCTATAAAGACATACTTGATACTGGGTAATTCATGAAGAGGTTTAATTGACTCACAGTTCAACAGGATGTACAGGTAGCATAGTTAGGGAGGCATCAGGAAACTTCCATCATGGCAGAAGGCACTGGGGAAGCAAGCCAATCTTACCATTGTTGAGTAGGAGAGAGAGAGAGGGACAAGGGAAGTGCTACATACTTCTAAACAACCAGATATAATGAGAATTCTGTCATGAGACAGCACTAGGGGGATGGTGCTAAAGCATTAGAAACCACCCCCATTGATACAGTTTGGCTATGTCCCCACCCAAATCTCATCTTGAATTGTAATTCCCATAATCCCTATGTGTGGTGGGAGGCACCAGGTGGGAGGTAATTGAATCATGGGAGCAATTTCCCCCATGCTATTCTCATGATAGTAAATTGTCACAAGATCTGATGGTTTTATAAGGAGCTTCACCCTTTGCTCATTTCTTATTCTTCTCCTTCCTGCTGCTATGTGAAGAAGGACATGTTTGCTTCCCCTTCCACCATTTCCTGAGGCCTCCCAGCCCTGCAGAACTGTGGGTCAATTAAACCTCTTTCCCTTATAAATTACCCAGTCTCCAGTATTTCTTCATAGCAGAGTGAGAAGGAACTAATACAGGAAATTGGTACTGCAGAGAGTGGGATGCTGCTGTAAAGATACCCAAAAATGTGAGAGCAATTTTGGAACTGGGTAACAGGCAGAGGTTGGAAGAGTTTGGAGGTCTCAGAAGAAGATAGAAAAATGTGGGAAAGTTTGCAACCTCCTAGAGACTTGTTGAATGGCTTTGACCAAAATGCTAATAGTGATATGGACAATGAAGTCCAGGTTGAGTTAGTCTCAGATGGAGATGAGAAACTTGTTAGGAACTGGAGTAAAGGTCACTCTTGCTATGCTTTAACAAAGAGACTGGCAAGTTTACCCCCTGCCCTAGAGATCTGTGGAAATCTGAACTTGAGAGAGATGGTTTATGGTAACTAGCAGAAAAAATTTCTAAGTGGCAAAACATTCAAGAGGAAGCAGAGCATAAAGACTTGCAAAAATTGCAGACTGACAATGTGATAGAAAAGAAAAACCTGTTTTATGGGGAAAAATTGAAGTTGGCTGCAGAAATTGGCATAAGTAAAAAGGAGCCAAATGTTAATCACCAAGACAATGGGGAATATGTCTCCAGTTATGTCAGAGACCTTCATGGCATCCTCTCCCATCACAGGCCCAGAGGCCAAGGTGGGAAAAACTCACCCTGGAGCCAGTAATAACTTCCCAGCATGTGAGTGACCCATCTTAAAAGCAGATCCTGCACACCTCAATTTAGTTGGTATTGCGTAGGGTAGGACCCAGCCCAAATCACAGATTCATGAGAGAAATAAATGACTTTTATTGATTTAAGTCACTAAATTTTGGTATGAAGCAAGAGATAACTGGAACATATTTAAATCAAGCAATACATATAATGTACTTAATACAGTATGTGATATAAACTTTCTTACCTTAAGGTGGCTATTATATTAGGAATACTATAAAGGAGAGGTTAAGATCACAGATGTGGGAGTCAGACTGCTTGAGTTTGAATCCTAGATCTGCTACTTTTTTAGTTGTGTAACATAAAGAAAGTTACTTAACCTCTCTATAATTCAGTTTCTCATTTTAAATGGAGATAATAATTGTATCCACTTCATAGGGTTGTGGTCAGAGTTAAATGAGTTGCAGTTCCCCAAATGGGCCATAATCTTCATCATAACCAAGCCTTTGTAGTATATGTTCCTGCACCTCACCACTCCTTCATTTAGGTCCAGGTTAGCTAGTCCATTCTCTAAGAAACTTGTGATCTCTCAAGTTCAGATGTGCCTTCTCTTTTCTTTCTTTTCTTTTCTTTTCTTTTCTTTCTTTTCATTTCCTTTTTCCTTCCTCCGTTCTTTTCTCCTTCCTTCCTTCTTTCTCTTTTTTCTTTCTTCTTTCTTTCTTTCTTTCTTTCTTTTTCTTTCTTTCTTTCCTTCCTTCCTTCCTCCCTTCTTCTTTTTGTGCATGTGCATGCACTTTCTTGAAAAGGACCCAAAGCAATGTTACTTATGACTCAACATCATACCAAGATTCTGAGAAACTGCCCTTTCACATTAAACATTCATATTTGAAGACTAAGTCAATCTTTGAGGACTAGTCTAGCAGACAATTAGAAAGGGCAGCCTGGGTGCAGTGGCTCATGTCTATAATCCCAGCACTTTGGGAGGCCTAGACAAGAGGGTCACTTGAGCCCAGAAGTTCATGACCAGCCTGGGCAACATAACAACATCTCTACAAAAAATAAAACACACTAGCTGGGCATGGTGGTGCATGCCTGTGGTCCCAGCTACTTGGGAGGCTGAGGCAGGAGGATCACTTAAGACCAGAAATTTGAGGCTACTGTGAGCTATGATCACACCACTGCACTCCAGCCTGGACATCAGAGTGAGACCTTGTCCCAAACAAACAAACAAAAACACAGAAACGGCAAATTCCCTCCTGTCTTCAATGTCACCTCACCTCTCTAGTAACCAAAACTCTGCTACCAGCCTAAACTTGTTTCCCAGACTCTTTTTTCTGAAGATGGATTAACTCCTGAGGGCTTTGCAAATTCTTCATGGACGCAGATTTCTGGAGAATACATCCCAGCACTTCACTGAAAATGACAAACCTGGTCTAGATCTCAATAGATGCATCCTAGATTAAAGCTGGGATCGCCATTGTATTAACATAAGAAAAAAAATCTTCCCTACATTTTCTGTGGACTCTGTGTGTGTGTTTCTTTTGAGGTTGGGATGCTTTTTAATCTCCTACATTGTGATAATATCTATCCCTGCTTTTGAGCCAAGTTAAATGCAGCCTCATGTGCTGAAGGCATATAAGTCCGTGGCAAAAAAAAAAAGAAGACATGAAAAGGGAAGTTGGAGCCGAAGCTCACAAAGACATTGGGAAGAGGGAATGTACTGCCCAGAATGGTTCCAATAAAAGTCAGGAAATGATCCTCAAGTCAACAAAAGTTTAGAGTTAGTGACGCTTGTAAGACTTTAATATTTAATATAACCCCTCCAGTTTGATCAAAAGCATCTTACATTTTCTGGCATTTGAGTGAAAATAATTCCTGGCTTCATTACATTTTAAAAATTCAGCTAAAAGTCATAAAATAAAGTAGCACAAAATTTGTAATGTAAATATTAAATGGCAGTACAGTGTTCAACACAATCCACTTTCATTCTCACCATCATCCATGGCCATGAGTCCCTTCATTTTCATTCATTTATTTATTCACTATATATTTATTGAGGAGTCACCTTGCACAAGTCAAAAGAAAAATCACAGTTGACTCATAAGGGAAAAAGAACTGAAATACAGTGAAGGGAAACAGTAGATGAATATACAAGATATATTAGAGGAAAAATGTTAATACCGTTGACCTAATGAACACTTTTTATGTTCCAGGCACTATTCTAAACACTTTATTAACTATTTTGATCCTCACAGAACACCTATGAGATGGACACTCTTATTGCCTCCAATATACAGGTGAGGAAATTAAGATGAAGTCAAGTTATATACTCAAATTTTTAAAATAATTTCTCTGTTATGTGCTTTGGATGGTAGTCAAGGTAACTGTCTTGTTCCAGGAATATTTTTCCAGGGGAGGGGGCCTATAAGGAGCATATTGGAAATATTGGATTTGAGCAGAGGTGAGCAACCTTTTTTTGTGGAAAACCAGATAGTAAATATTTCAGTTCTGAGGGCTGAGTGGTCTCTGTTGTTTAGCTTTGCCATTGTAGTGCAAAAGTAGCTGTAGGCAATATGTAAACAAATGAGTGTGGGTTTGCTCTAAAAATATTCCAGTTATGGTCATTGAAATTTAAATGTGTTTTAATTTTTACATATCACAAAATATTCTTCTTTTGATTTTATTTCAACCTCTACTAAAGGTAAACGATTTTTAGTTCACAGGTCATACAGGCAGAGTTGGATTTGTCTCATGGACTGTAGCTTGCTGGCCTCTGGCTTAGAAAATATAGAATATGAGTCCCATTAAAGGATGAATGGGAGTTTTCCAGGCAGACAAAGGCATTCCAAATGAAGAAAATAGCAGCTGGCAAAGACATAAGTAGGTGAACAGGCCTGACTGTTTTGAAGAGCTATAAACGGCATCATTGTCACTAGGTGTTGGAGTGGGTGGAAGACACAGAGAAGGGAATGGAAGAATCTCTTGAGGGAATTTGACCTTTACTGTGTAGGCAGTGGGAAACCACTGTGGATTCTGTGATATAATGAGGTTTGCATTTTGGAAAGTCTCTCTGGAAGCAAAGTGAAAAACTGATGCTAGTAGTCCAAAGCAGAAGAAAAAGAAAACATTTAAACAATTTTGGTAGTACAGCAAAAGACCATATAGATGCAAGCTGCTCATCTCTTAGTTCCTTGGAATTTTCTGTTTTCTTCACACATACCATGTCCTTTCCTGACTCAGAACCATTGTAGATGATATTCTTCCTTCCTGGAATTTTTTTCTTCTCTTATATCACTTAACTCCTTTTCATCCTTTAGGTTTCAGTTTTAATGTCACTTCTCCAGGAAAGCTTTCATAGACCCCACTCAGATCAGGATTCACAGCCTTTTGAGACACAAAAGTGGACTTGTACTTCTCTTTAGCTACAATCGCATAACATTTGCTCAGGATCTGTCTCCTGTGCTAGACTGTAAGTCAACTGTCTGCCCCTATATTCCAGGGTCTTTCACAGTGCCTACTTCAGAGTAGATACTCAATGAATATTTGTAGTGACATGGGATTGAAAGAAAGGATACTTACCAAGCAGCATTGACTTGAATTTTGTGATTTAACAGTTGAATGAGGAATAAAATAGGGCTAAGGATAATTCCTAGATTTGGGTGACAAAATACTTGGTGGCACACACAGAGAGAATATAGGATGGAAGTTAAATTTGAGGCACTTATGGAAACGTTGATTTTGAATTGCCTCTGGGACATCTGAGGAGACATGTCAGGAGATGTTTTGTCTCCTCCTCACTGGACTAGGATGATCATTTTATATTTGATCCTGATTAAAACCTGATTCATCGTAATTCAGTCCTAATATCAGACTTAGAAATGCATATCTTCATAATTTAATTTAAAATATTCATTTTAAAATAAAATTTATTATTAGTAAACTCACATTGAAACCATCAGTTACCAGACAGAAGCTTTGGATTGCAAGTAGATTCTTATCTATCAGCTAGCAATTAGACATTGTGAAAGGCATATTATTAAACCATGACATGTCAAAGATTTGCTGTTTTAAAAGCAATATTGTCAGGCTGCAAAATTTACAAAATTATCCAATAAGTCGTTACTCAAATAAATAGTCTTTTTTTTTTTTTTCTCTCTGAGACAGAGTCTCGCTTTGTTACCCAGGCTGGAATGCAATGGCGCAATCTCAGATCACTGCAACCTCCCCCTCCCAGATTCAAGCAATTCTCATTCCTCAGCCTCCCAAGTAGCTAGGACTACAGGGACATGCCACCAAGCCCAGCTAATGTTGTTTGTATTTTTAGAAGAGACAGGATTTCACCACGTTGGCCAGGCTGGTCTTGAACTCCTGGCCTCATGTGATCCGCCTGCCTCAGCCTCCCAAAGTGCTGGGATTACAGGCATGAGCCACCACACTTGGCCTTAATATTCAATTATTTCTTATTGATTACAACTTTGTTTGAAGGTGGCAAGAGGTACAATGTTGCCACCAACAGTAAAAAGTGTACCATATTCAGTTTCTCAGAATTTTCACTAAAGTTTCTAGGGATGACTGGTTCTTAAAAATATTCCCAAATGTCTCTGTATCTCTTTCTTTCCCTTTCTTTCTGTTTTCTGTGGGGAGATGGATTGTCTAGAGAGCCTGCTTTTTTTGTATTAAATGATGGGTAGAATTTTAAAACTCCCTTGGGGGTAGATTCTTTGTGCCATCTATGTGAAAAGACTTTCTTGCTCTGTTCACAAAATCCCCAATTAAAAATTGAATTAATAGTTGAAAATATTCCAAAATAGAAAGCATCAGGTGCAGATGGGTTGACCTTGAATTTGACCAAACATTTAAGAAAGAAATTGTACTAATTTTCAGCAATGATTTTTAGAAGATAGAAAAAGAATGAATACTTTCTAACTCATTCTATGAGGCCCAGCATTATCCTCATACCAAAAGCAGACAAAGATATTACAAGAAAAGAAATTAGAATCGATATTTCTAATTAACATAGATATAAAAATTCTCAACAAAATAGCAAATCGAGTCCAGCAATGTAAAAAACAATTGATATGCCACTACCAAGTTGACTTATCACAGGTATGTAAGGCTGGTTCAACTTCAGAAAATCAATCAATATACTTGATTCACATTAACAAGCTAAAGAAGAAAAATCACGTGATTATATCAATAAATGCAAAGAAAGCATTCGACAAAACTCAACACTCATTCATGCTAATAACTTTCAGTAAATTTTCAACAACCCATGCCCTGTTGATTCTGGTTCCTGTTCCAAACTCCTCCCATCTAATATATGCTAAGATTTAGAGTTCCCTTCCAAAAATGTCAGTTCCATTATGTTATCCCCCCTGCTCCAAAAATTGGTAAAAAGATACTTCAAAAGTCACATTTTCTCAACCTGGACGCCAAGCCCCCTTCAGTTATTTTTATTTCACTGTTTTGCCTTGTTTCTTATGATTCTCCAACATGAATCTTCCCTGATCAGATTGGTGATCTCATCTTACTCCAACTTTCACCGTTCTCGTTCCTGTCTTTGCTTGTTCTTCCCCTCTGTTTGGAATTCTCTTTTTGGCTAATTTAAAGCTCATCTTCTCTAAAGGACAATTTAATTTTTATCCATTCTTTGATGCCTTCATAGACAGATTAAATATACACTGCTCTCCCTTCTCTGAGTTGACCTAACTCATATGGAGTCCTGTTCCTATAATAATAATGCTTTTCCTGGTTGGGGAAGTTTGACTCAGTCTCCCATGTGATTTCATTTTATCCATGCAACGACTCTTCCAATGTAGTAGTATAGTCTTTATAATATTAAGATTATGAAACTTGGAAATTTAATTTTAACTTCACCAAAGAATCAAAATTGGTAAGTAGTAGTTCCAGGTCTGACTCTATGAAGCCCACAGTCTGCTATGCAGTAATGGAAGACAGTTTCTTAATTTAGGCTTAAGAGAGGCGAGAGTCTCACAAGAGATTTTTTTTTCAGAGAGTCAATTTAATGTGATGGGCTCTGGGCTCAGAAGCCCAGCATTTGGATTGCTCTTTCCAGGGGAGTGACCATGGGGAAGTCATGGAGCTTTCTTTGATCCTAGTCTACTCACCTGAAAAATAAAAACTCAGATTGTGTCAAGGAAAAGGGAAAGTTGAATATATGATAACATTTTGACAATTGGGAAGCAGTAGATATTATACAAGTATTGCAGTTGTTATTTAAAGAGGCATTGAGTAGAATTTCAATGCAAATAAAAAGTTTAAAACTGCTACATAAAATAAAGCTGAAGACCATAAGAAATTGTCAGCAGGAGCACTCACCAAATAAAGTAATTTAGGTATTTACTGAGGTTTAGCAATGTGAAGAGTGATAATCTGGATTGAGTGAATGATTTAAAAAGTAAAAGTTCACGGTCCATGCTCTTAAGAAAATTTCTTCCCTAAGACAAATACTGTGTATGAATATACATGTATATTTGCAATATACATAAATAAAATGTTGTGTATTATACGTACATATAATTTGCTTAATTCTCTACTTTTGACAGTTTTCAACTTTTGCTCTCCTAGAACTTGGTAGAGAATTGATTGTATTTTAACGTATCTCCTTATATATGTGTCTTCCTCTATTCATCATTGTAGTCCTAGAATCTAACATAGAACCGTGCATATCAGTAATTAATTTATGTGGAAAGAAGGGAGAAAGGGAGGGATGAAGGGAAGGAGGACATGAAGAAGGGAGGGAAGGAGGAGCAGCAGGAGGAAAAAATAATCCAGTTTACTGTGTGAATCCTTGAATTATCCTTGGAAAGTATTCTCAACTCAGGACAATTTTCAAATTATAGAGCCACAGTGATTATCTGTCTACAGGTCTTCCTCTTCCTTTCCACGTAGCTATTATTCCCTTATCATCTTTTTTCTCATAGCTTTTCTTCTAGTTCCTTTTTTCGTTCAGCCCATATCCTTGCTGATGCATCATCTAAATGACCACAATTTTTGTTTTTATTTTTATTTATTTATTTTTTTGAGACAAGGTCTTGCTCTGTCACCCAGACTGGAGTGCAATGGCACAGTCATGGCTCACTGCAGCCTCCACCTCCCAGGCTCAATCGATCCTCCTGTCTTAGCTTCCAGAGTAGCTGGGACTACAGGCATGTGCCACCACAGCCAGCTAATTTTTCTGGGTATTGTAGACATGAGCTCTCAGTATGTTGCCCCGGCTGGTCTAGAACTCCTGTGCTCAAGCAATCCTCCCACCTCAGCCTCCCAAACTGCTGGGATTACAAGTAGTAATCACGGTGAGCCACTGTGCCTGGCTTAAGATTTTTATTTGATCAAAAGTCAAATAACAATATATTGAACAAATAAATCATAGACACCACGGGAACACCATACTAGCAAGTAAAATTTCAAGATATGCTTCCCTGACTGAAGACTTTCAATAAGGCTTGTCAGACAACCCCTAAACATGTGGTCTAGTAAAAAAAGCTGAGCTGTGGAGTCAAAGAGTCTCAGTTTAGAAAAGCCCTCCATTACTTTCTAGGTCTGTGGCTTTAGATATGTCATCCAGTGTCCATGAGTCTCAGTGTCTCTTTATAAAGTGCTGGTAATATTTCCTACCAATAAGAGATTTTGGAGATTAGGAATGGTACACATCAAACATTTAGCATAATACCTGGCTCTTGGGAGGAAATAAAAAAATATGTAAAATGCAAGACTTTTGGTCAAATGAATATTACAGATATTACAGGTAATAATTGCCTAGTAATTTAGAAGAGAGACATATAATTAGCTACTACCAGTGCCTGAGAATATGCTAAGAACAGTAAATATTAACCAATTGCTTGAACACTAACTATTGAATGTATTCCCAAAACATATGAAATAAGTAATTGCTATGACTTAATAATGATATTTCTGTTGGTCAGATTTTCACATCTGAGTCATCCCACTAGTTGGGGGAGTGTATTAGTCCATTCTCATGCTGCTAATAAAGACATACCCAAGAGTGGTTAATTTATAAAGGAAAGAGGTTTAATTGACTCACAGTTCAGCATGGCTGGGGAGGCCTCAGGAAACTTACAATCATGGGGGAAGAAAAAGCAAACAGGTCCTTCTACACATGGTGGCAGGAAGGAGAAATACTGAGCAAAGGAGGAAAGTCCCCTATAAAACCATCAAATCTTATGAGAACTCACTCACTATCACAAGAACAGCATGAGGGTAACCTCCCCCATGATTAAATTACCTCTCACCAGGTCCCTCCTATAACATGTGGGGATTCTGGGAACTACAATTCAACATGAGATTTGGGTGGGGACACAGCCAAAGCATATCAGGGAGTGACATAAAACATAGCCAACCATGCTATTAAACAAACAAACAAAAAAACTAGTCTGAAGATCTTAGAAAAATGCTACAAACAGTTAAACCTAGCGAACAATAGCAGCAGCAAGTTCTTGGGAAATTCTTTTTTTATGTAGAATAAATTGGGCTATTGTAAAATAGCATAAGTTCTATGATGGTTCAACCTCATAAGGCTTGAACGAAACCAAAAGGAAAGCAAGTACATGCATACTGGAAAGGGACATATGGATGAGGTGTTAAGGCAGCACTGCTCAACCTGTCCTCACATGAATTCCACTTAACATCGAAGGGCTAATAGTGGCCTTTCTCTTAGAAAATGCCCCCCAGCTCCCCAGAGAGAAAAACCCATATTTTCTATTTGCATGTTTAGTGTGTATATTTATTTTACTACTGACTTCCTGAACACAATCTGAAAGATAGTGATTCTGAACTCATAATGAATTCTAGAAATTATCTTTTATTCATAAAATTACTATCATGAAAACACCTTAAGGAATTCCTAAAGTGCATTCACTTATCACTCAGACAATGGGTTTATCTACTCTCTCAAATCTTGAAACTCTTATTTATCTTTTATGGCACTCATAAAGCCTGATGTTGTCCGTGTGAAAGTGTGCCTGTGCATGATTGTTTGCCTAGCATCTCTTCCACTTTTGCATGTTGGTTTTCTCTTAGCTCACTGGCTGTGGTCATTATAATTTTCCCCTATTACATCACAAGCTATAGGACAGCTGAGCTTAAAATCCTGTCTTTAACTGGAAGCCTAAACCTTTCAGCACTCTTTTTGCTACTCTGAACAGGGCTGAATTACAGAAATGGAATAAAACTGATCTTATTGCATTTCTTGACTGCACTTGTCAGTTAAGTGCAGAACCCTCCAAATCCAACCATAGGATGTGAATGAGCTGAGCATCCAAGCATATTTGTAAGAATCAGGTCTTAGGCCACCTGAAAGTATCTGATACCTCTCTTCAGTGAGTTTGCATAATTTCTTACAAACAGAACTACTTCTAAGCCCTTTCTACTCTACAATGAGTTCACATCAGGACAGACATTCCTTACTCAATGCCAAGCCTTTTCAGAGACTTTAAAGGTTGAGTATACTTACCTTGTTCATAGGACTGATGGCATCAAATGTTATTCTAAGATTGATTTGTATTTATGTAAGCTCTGGTGTTAAAACTTAAATATTTAAACCAATCCAAATGGAATATTTTTCCCTCAGGGCTACAATGCTTATGACCTGTAATGCCACATTGAGACATAAAGAATCTATAGTTACACTATAAGCCTGGAATGCGTGCTTGATAATGTTGTTTTTCGAGTAGTCTCAAAGGTTTAGCTAAGCTGCGTCAATTGGTTTGTAATTTCTGCCTCCCTGCTCTTCCTTCCCTTTCTAACTTCCTCATCTCAAATGACACTTGCATTGGTTAATAATCAGGAATGTTTGCTTTATAAAATGGCTTCCAGTTTTTCAGTTTTTCTAACAAATACTTTATTGTGTGTAGTGCTATTCTAATATATCTTTTAAGGTTTATGGAGAAAAGAAAGGCTATATAGGAACTAAGAATTTTAGAAAGAGTGGCAAAAATGAAAGAAAGAAAAGAAAAAAGAAACATGAGAATCATCTATTTCAGTCACTTGCCTGAAAGTTTTGTCAGAGGCCTTGACAACCACACCAGAAATAAAGCAGTGGCCTATTGTCACTTTCAGTGGTCCATGTGTCTGCCCTCTGTTGATGGCCAAGTCATGAGGAGAAAGGCAGATAACTTGTCCCAGTTCTATTACCACCTGAGAAGGTTGGCAATCTGAGATAGACTTTTGGGTGCCAGGGCTATAACATGAAGGAAAAATCAAAGGAAACATTAAATTTGAAAGCTAAAAGCTTAAACATGAGTGTGATTTTATGCCTTGGAACTAGAATAAAGCAAACAAATTAATAATAAAAGCAGTGACCCTTTAACAATAATAGTAATAATGACAATAATGACACTGAGTAAAACTGGCAAGCTTACTCTTTGCTAGTCACTGAGCTAAGTGCTTTACACATATTATGTCTTCTCTTTTAATCCTCACATCAACCTTATGAGATATTATTTCCATTTTGCAGGCAAAGAAGCTGAAGGATTGAACAGCTAAATAATAGTAGTAATAGTAGTCACAGTGACAACAATGATAACAATAAAAACATTGTTTTAAAGATTTTACATGTTACCTAATTTAATCCTAAATAACAAGCCAATTATATAGGTTATAGAATTAGAAACTACACACAAGAAAACTGAGGCATACAGAGGTTAAATTAATTTTCCAAGGTTACTAAGCAAATACATGATAGTGCTAGAATTCGGACTCAGGCATTTTGGCCTCAGGGTCAAGGTTACTAAGGATTATGGTCAAAGATAAAGTATAAGGTCACCAAGGTCACCAAGCATTATGGATCAAGGTCACCAAGCATCATGCTCTACCATCTCCCCAGAAGCAAAGTATAAATAAACGTAGATGTTGTACATCAAAACACAACTCACAACAGTTTCTTATTTGCTCTATTTCAGTGATGGAACTCAGTTGATGTTAGGCCAAATATGAAAGTATACTTCTGGTTGCTTAAGCTCTTCACATATGCCATATATGGATCAGCTAAAGAGACCCGCTTATCCTGATTTGTTCAGGGCTTTCCCAGTTTTAGCACTGACTATACCACATCCCAGGAAACCTTTCAGTTCTGGATAAACTGAGAAAGTTGGTAACGGAAGCATGGAATATGAATATTGCTTAATTGGTAACCCTAGTCCCACCCCAATATTATTTCCAGTTGAACATTACCAAGAAGAGAATTGAGACATTTCTTGTAGGAAGCCCAGCAAATATACCCTATCTTAAGCCTCCTGTTTTGGCACTTAGCAACTTTGTAACTTTCAATTCCTCCAACTTTCATGCCTAGGAAAGACTCAATGAAACTGGATTGGGATTAAAGAATTCATTGCTGCTAAGAAAGAAATATACTTACATGTACCATTCAGTTCTTCCTGATGTTTTTCCCTCTCTACCATACTCCACCAAAGCCAGCCCCCAACTCATCTGGGCAGACAGGCCAGATCCTAAAGGCTGTGACCTTCACTAAGATTACAGGATAAGAGTCAACAGGGTTTTCTGCCAAGGGACCCCTTATCTCTGGACAGCCTCAGAGAACAGCATCCCCAATTAAGTTTTTTGTGTTACATGGGCACTTACAAAAATACTTATTTCCAGTCTTTGAAAAAGCCAGTCTTGCCAGCAAATGTTGGAAAACACAAACATTTAATAGCACACCTGCATTTGGTAAATTTTGACAGAAAATAGAATAAATATATTTAGCAATATCAGTGACCATTCTTAGTAAATAAAGCCTTGCTATCTTGAAAAAGAAAACTGAAACAATTTTAAAGCACTGCATGAAAATCCATATTATGTTAAAAGCAAATCTGACTTGCTCAATAGAGTCACACATTCTCACACAGCATTTCTCAAGTGCCAATTATATGCTGGACACTAGTAGCTTGGAAGGGTATAATTCAGTAAGACAAAATATAAAATAAATAATACTAAAAGGACTGTGTCCAAAGTGCCATAAAACAGATTACCTCTGACATGGAAGCTTTGGAGTAGGAAATGAGAGTGCTAAGCAGACTAGGAAGAGAAGAGCCTTCCAAGCCAACAAATGTTATGTGCAAAGGAACGGAGCTTAGATGGGTTTGATGTTCTGGAGGAATCTCAAATCATTTTCTGTGGCTGGGATATAGCATGAGAGAGAGGGGCTGTAGGTAATACTAGAAAAACAAGTAGCTTTTAAAATTACTTTTGACAGCAGGCTTTCATATTTGTGTCAAGAATACAGTGGACATACAGTAATAATTTTATTAATGATGATGCTAATTAGTAACATTTATTGAGCACAAACTATTTTCTAGGTACTGTGCTACAAGCTTTACTTGGCTTTTCTCTGGTTAGAATAATTAACCTATTGCTATGAAAAATATGTTTTCTAAAGCAAAAACAAAAATATTATTGAGAAGAGGGGTAATATTTATATTCTTACAAATCTCTCTAATACCTGCCTTAAATATAGCTGGCTCTAATATCTATGTCTGCCTTAAAAATGTGATGTTTTGCTTGAAGTTTATCTATCTGTCAGGTATCAGGCTATATGCTGGACAGCAGAAATATGATGATGAAGAAACAGATGTGATCCCTCTGTTCATGGAGCCTGCAGTCTACTGAAAGATGCAGTCCATCAACCACAATTGTACCAATAACTTCTTAATTGTTACTGCAATAACAGCTAGAAAGGAAAATTGAAGAGTGCAGTCAGAATGTCTGACCAAGGGGAAATGACCTAGGATGAGGAATCTGGAACTGGGTTATTTGCAGATATAAACACAAAACAAACTTCAGAAAAAAGGAAAAACATATCTTCATATTTTAATTTAAAATATTAATTATAAAATAAAATTTATTATTAGTAAATTCACATTGAAACAATCAGCTACCAGATGGAAGCTTTGGATTTCAACTAGATTCCTGTCTATCAGCCAGCAATTAGGCATTGTGAAAGGCATATTCTTAAACCATGACGTACCAAAGATTTGCGGTTTTAAAAGCAATACAGTCAGGCTGCAAAACTTACAAAATTATTTAGTTTTGTATTACTTCCTTTATATGTCCCCAAAAAGCAAGATTTGGAAATTTTTCCATTTTAGTTTTTGCAGTCATGGGAGAACATTTTTTTAATTACACACATTTTTAGCTTCTTAAACTTAGATTTTTTCAAGTGGACTAAAGTTTATTAGCATATTCTTTTTCAGGGATCAAATGTTCTGTTTTCTAAGTAGCAACAGTGACAATAAAAGGAGTATGCTGAGATTTTGGAAATGTCAACACTCCTTCTGGATTCTGAACCAGGAGCCAGAGATAAATGAGCAACTCTATAATGTTAGACTGGTGAGCACAATGCAAACTGGGGGGTTAAAATGTGCCTCTGTTGCTTCCAGTCTCAAATCCAGGCCTAGAAGCCTATAGACTTTCAGAGCTTAACTATAGCCCTACTGACCACACAGGAAACCCCAGCCTGCCTCTGTAGAGCAAGGAGCAGAACAGAATGAGGGAGGCCTAGGGAGAGGAAGATCTTGAGAAGCCAGATGGGGTCTGGGCCTTGCAAGCAAGGTCTGGGGCCGTTTTTTTACTCTCACCAGTGGGTATGTTTTCTTCTCCTCCTCTTCTTCCTCCTCCTCCTATAGGAAGAGGCTAGTGGACAAAGAGAGAAAGGACTGAGGGAGGAACTTAGGAAAAGGAAGAAAACATTTGCTCTCTACAAATAAGATGAAACTTAAAATCCGGGTCTAGGAATAAGTAGGAATAGTTTATCTTTGTTACTTTCTCTGTGGCTAACAATTTAGAAGCAGAAGAATACAAAGAAGCTCTCCAAAGAACTGAACTTTTCTGAAACACAGTTTCCTTATCTATACAATTGGGGTGGAGGGTGGTTAAAGTAATATTAGCTCAAAACCAAACAAATCAATTGAGAGAATACATGCATACCCACTATTCAAACAAATCAGTACTTAAATAAATATTCAACTTTTTTTTTTTTTTTTTGAGACAGAGTATTGCTCTGTCACCCAGGCTGGAGTGCAATGGCGCAATCTCGGATCACTGCAACCTCCCCCTCCCAGGTTCAAGCAGTTCTCATGCCTCAGCCTCCCGAGTAGCTAGGACTACAGGCACACACCACCACGCCCAGCTAATGTTTCTTGTATTTTTAGTAGAGATAGGGTTTCGCCATGTTGGTCAGGCTGGTATCGAACTCCTGGCCTCAGGTGATCCGCCTGCCTCAGCTTCCCAAAGTGCTGGGATTACAGGTGTGAGCCACCACCCCTGGCCTTAATATTCAATTATTTCTTATTGATTACAACTTTGTTTGAAGGTGGCAAGAGGTACAATGTTGCCACCAACAGTAAAGAATGCACCATATTCAATTTCTCAAAATTTTCACTAAAGTTTCTAGGGATGAGTAGTTCTTAAAAATATTCCCAAATGTCTCCGTATCTCTTTCTTTCCCTTTCTTTCTGTTTTTCTGTGGGGAGATGGATTGTCTAGAGAGCCTGCTTTTTTGTATTAAATGATGGGTAGAATTTTAAAACTCCCTTGGGAGTAGATTCTTTGTGTCATCTATGTGAAAAGACTTTTTGCTCTGTTCACAAAATCCCCAAATAAAACCTGATTCATCATAATTCAGCCCTAACATCAGATTTAGAAATGCGTGAAGTAATCTATGTACTTGCAATTTAGGACTTAATAAATTACTAATAGAACTCTGAATTGAGGGCTTTTTACAATCCAACTAATTTGTTACACCTAGATATCACTACAAAGATTGCATATATTTTATAAAGTAAACACCAGTTTGAGGTTCTCGGGTAATTATTTTAATAAGTGCCATGGTTTCCACACACACACACAGATAAAATTAGCTGCTCATCATTATTTTAGACTTATCTTTTTGTGGTTTTAAAAAATGTGTGGTATTCTTTAAAATATAACCATATGACTTTAATGCACTACCAGTTTATTACAACTTTTTCACAATTTCCTTAGTGTATTTTAATTGCATCTAAGACACCCTGCCACACCGCCTTTTTTTCTTCCCTTATTTTTTTATTTTCTCCTCATTTTTCAGAATCTTAGACTATACATTTTCCTCAAACACATTTTGGCAAGAGTGTGTTAAATATTTTAAATAATAGAAAAAAATAGTGAGCCTATGAAGATATCAAAAGTCAGTGTAGGCCTGGGATAAAGTTGGGATGCATTTTCCCCAGTTTGCCTCAAATACATACTCTCTTTTGATTTTTATTTCCATAGAAATCAATGAGTCTATTTATAAACGTCCATATAGTGCGTCCATCCTCCAGAAGAAAAAATGTTCATTTTTTCAATTTTTTTTTTCCTTTTTTTTTTGAGACAGCGTCCCACTTTGTCACCCAGGCTGGAGTGCAGTGGTGCAGTATTGGCTCAATGCAGCCTCAACATCCCAGATTCAAGCGATCTTCCTGCCTCATCCCCTCAAGTAGCTGGAACTACAGGCATGCACCACCATGCCCAGCTAATTTTTATATATTTAGTAGAGACGGTTTCGAACTCACGAGCTCAAGCAATCTGCTCTCCTTGGCCTCCCAAAGTGCTAGGATTACAGGTATGAGCCATGGTACCTGGCTGGCTCATTTTTCAGTTTTAATTATTGATCTTAGAGCCCATTTCATGATTGATTCACCTGCTGTATATCTGCATAGATTAAGTAGAATTTCTGCCAGCAAAATATTTGTTTACTGGTTTACTGTGTAAAACAGAGGTTTGATATAGTCTAAAGCTGTGTTGGTTGGGAAATTCTGCTTTTGTGTCTACTCAGAAAATCTTTCTACCTCAATTACCAATATAATTGAATTTCAGCATGTATAGCACCAATTAGTGCATTCAATATGGTCATACTGCTTTGTTCCATCTCTTCCTTCTAGTCCCCTTCCATCTCCATATCGGAGAGAGGCATATGTTTCCAGATTCTTGTTGTGTATCACAGCTGTGTTAAAAGGCCCAAGCAAATAACTAGTTTGGATATTTTGGCTCCACAGTTTTTCTTTTGGTATCATTGTTATGCTCCTAACACAATTTGGGCAATAGCTCTGCCAAATTCCTTGTGGGGGTGGTAGGGGGGACGGCCTCTTTGTTTGTTTGTTTTAATGGATTAAAAAAACCTCTTAGTAAAATTAAGTCTAACTCTCGAACATGTTTGTGAAAAGATTGTTTATAGATGTTAAAGGATCTAGTGTACTGAAGTCATCTAGCAAATATTACAGCAGAGCAGCAGGTATGCTTATGTAATTTAAATTCAATTATACATATGTAGGAGACAGAGAGAAAAAGACATCATTTGATTTTGTCCTCTGTCCTCGGGATGAATTTATGGCTGTGAGTGAACATGAAATGAACAACGTGAATCTGTTGTTTCCCAAGTTATCTAACTTCTGCCTAAGTGAGAGTATCTTGCTACGGTGAGTGTGATCTTCATTTATAAATATGCAGTACATATTTTTTTTTTACAGCATGGTCCTTAAGTGCCTTCCATGCAAGCCAGCTATCACCTGGTGCTTAACGAAAGAAACAGAGCTTTATTCTAAGGCTGGAGGAACAATTGTATTGAACTTATTGAAAGCCAGTACCATACTGTATTTGAAGGTCATTTTCAAGGGCATTATTTTTTCTATTTTAATTAAACTTAATTTTGTTTGTAAATACAGTGTTGCATTCTGTCTCCCAGGCTGGACTACAGTTGGCACTATCATGGCTCAGTGCAGACTGCACCTCCTGGGCTCAAGCAATCCTCCTGCCTCAGGCTCCTAAGTAGCTGGGACTAGAAGTGCACCACCACACCGAGACAATTTTTGTGAATGTGTGTGTAGAGATGAGATCTTGCTTTGTTGCCCAGGCTGGTCTCAAATTTCTGACCTCAAGTGATTCTCCTACCTCAGCTTCCCAAAATTCTGGGATTACACCACACTCAATCCTTTATTTTTATTTTAAGCACTGAGATTAAAGTTTATTCCATGTGAGATGCTACTATGCTGTAAAGCCATCAATTAGCAGTCTAAACCATAATTTATCTTAGTATAATCTATAGTTTTGTGATGGTGCTGGGAAAACTGGCTAGCGATATGCAGAAAACTGAAACTGGACCCCTTCCTTACACCTTATACAAAAATTAATTCAAGATGGATTAAAGACTTAAATGTTAGACCTAAAACCATAAAAACCCTAGAAGAAAACCTAGGCAATACCATTCAGGACATAGGCATGGGCAAAGACTTCATGACTAAAACATCAAAACCAATGGCAACAAAAGCCAAAATTGACAAATGGGATCCAATTAACTAAAGAGTTTCTGCACAGCAAACGAAACTATCAGCAGAGTGAACAGGCAACCTACAGAATGGGAGAAAATTTTTTGCAACCTATGCATCTGACAAAGGGCTAAAATCCAGAATCTACAAAGAATTTAAACAAATTTACAAGAAAAAAAATCAAACAACCCCATCAAAAAGTTGGCAAAGGATATGAACAGGCACTTCTCAAAAGAAGACATTTATGCAGCCAACAAACAGAAAAAAAGCTGATCATCACTGGTCACTAGGGAAATGCAAATCAAAACCACAATGAGATACCATCTCACGCCAGTTAGAATGGTGATCATTAAAAAGTCAGGAAACAACAGATGCTGGAGAGGATGTGGAGAAATAGAAACAGTTTTACATTGTTGGTGGGAGTGTAAATTAGGTCAACCATTGTGGAAGACAGTGTGGTGATTCCTCAAGGATTTAGAACCAGAAATACCACTTGACCCAGCAATCCCATTACTGAGTACATACCCAAAGGATTATAAATCATTCTACTATAAAGACACATGCACACATATGTTTTTAACAGCACTGTTCACAATAGCAAAGACTTGAAACCAACCCAAATGCCCATCAATGATAGGCTGGATAAAGAAAATGTGTCACATATACACCATGGAATACTGTGGAGCCATAAAAAGGATGAGTTCATTTCCTTTGCAGGGACATGGATGAAGTTGGAAATCATCATTCTCAGCCAGCTAACACAAGAACAGGAAACCAAACTCTGCATGTTCTCACTCATAAGTGGGAGGTGAACAATGAGAACACATGGACACAGGGAGGGGAACATCACACAGAAGGGCCTGTCAAGGGTGGGTGGTTTAGGGAGGGATAGCATTAGGATAAATACCTAATGCAGATGATGGGTTGATGGGTGCAGCCAACCACCATGGCACATGTATACCTATGTAACAAACCTGTACGTTCTGCACATGTATTCCAGGACCTAAAGTATAATAAAAATAATTAACGTGATAACTGTTTTAGTCTTGACTACATCTTTTGTTGTTGTTATTGTGAGGAATAGTGAGAGTTGGTCTTATCTGCTTCACAGTTAGACACCAGGCTTGCATTGCAAGAGTGCAGAGGCAGTGCTCAGAGGGACAGAAGGAGGTCCAGCCACCACTTATTCATCAGCTGCAACTGTGGATCTCACCAGCATCCTGGTGCTCATTCTTCTTCACAAGTCAAAAGAGTTGTTTATACCCTCAGCCTCCACCGCTTCACCAATGTTTCATTTGTAGCATTCCATTATGACTTCTGAACCACTACCATCCTGAGACTTCTTTGCCAAGGTCACAGATCATCATTTTGTTGCTAAAGTAAGTGAATATTTTACATTCTTTCCCCAGTTAACCTAGCACCATCATTAGCTATAATAAATATTTCCTTTTTCTTGAATATAGACTCCAGATTTTTTTTTAATCGTCATAATTTCCTATTACCTTCTTGGCTGTTTTTCTTAGTTTTTTGACTCTCATCTTATACATGTATAGGTTACATGCCTGCAAGGGACATTTTCATACCTTCAATCTCACCACAGAGGTTGAACTGGAAATCTCCACATGACCCAAACCTGGTCAATTAAACTATTCCAGGATTTATGTGGGTAGCAGCCATCAATGAAGAATTATGTCTTTTCTGCTGACAGTGAGAAGAATGTTAGCACAGTACTTCTGGGGTTCAGAAAAATGAGACCACCTAAGTGAAAAGTAGACAGAGACTCAGTCCTGATGAATTCACTAAGTCCGTGAATCCAGGTGGGTCTGAAGCATGAAGTATACGTCCGCATTTTTTCATAACATGAACCAATACATTTTCTTGATTGTTTGAGGGAGGTTTTATTTCATTTGCAAATGAAAGAGTCTTTGATGATAGAATACTTCCCTCCCACCTACCCAGCCATCCCCACATATATGCTTATATACGTATATCTCCACACCCCTCACCCTTTGGGGTTTTATTTCATTTGCAAATGAAAGAGTCTTTGATGATAGAAAACTTCCCTCCCACCTACTCACCCATTCCCACATATGTGCTTATACACGTATCTCCACACCCCTCACCCTTTGTTTGGACTGCAGGCTCCATAGAAATAATTTTCTCTTAGAGATCTTAGTTTGGATGTCCACTGGCACCACGCATTTAACATGTCCACTTCTATTCACCCAATTTCCCAACTCAAAACTTGAGCATGATCTTTGACTCTCTCCTCTCCTTAGCCCACCCTCATATCCACATCAATTATCCAATCCTATTAATCTACTCCTAAATTGTTCCTTGTGCCAACTAATTGTCTTCATTCTCACTGCCCGATAGAGGGTACACCACTATTTCTTGGCTGGATTACTCTCACAGTGTAACTGCCTTCAGGCTATCCTTTGTGTTAGAGCCATAGTGATTTGTCCAAAGTACAAATCTCACTATCGCATTCTGTTTAAGACTTTATATGCCTCCCCTTTGACCACAGAGAACCATGAACCCAAATTCTTTAATGTGGCTCATAGGTTTTTTTTTTTTTATCATCTGTTGTCTCCTCACCTCTCCAACCTCAAATTCTGTTATTGCCTCCACCTACACAATCATCTTACACACATCATGCTACTTTTAATCCCTGAAATAGGCCATGCTTTCTCTGTCCTCGGGGACTGTCTATGCTGTTTCCTCTGCTTTAGAATACTCTTCTCCACTGCTACACCTGGTGGAATTCTACACACCCACAGGAAAATTTCTTCTCCTTGAGTTTTCACTCTTGTAGGACAACTTCCATGACTGAATGGAATGTCTTTTCTGTGTGTCTTTAGCTCCTGAACCACATTTACACATTGCTATTTTAATTGCCTGTTTATGTTGTCATTGTTGATTTCTCTCACCTACTCTGAATGCAGACCACTTTAGAACAAGGATCTCAGTGCCTACAATGGTGCTGCTTCAAAACTACTTGTGTAAATGAGTAAATGAACAGTGATTGAATAATCAGTTATGCCATAAAATTGGCATAGATTGAGTTTTCTGTTTACATAACTATCTAAGCCTCTCTCTGATATTCTAAGCAGCTCAGGCAGGAACAAAAGTAAAACAAAAAAATTAATAGAGTGTTTTGATAGAGGAATTTTAGCTCTTTCTTGAAACTTTTTCACTTTCCCAAACTCATTTGATTGATGTTACGTGTAAAATTAGGGAAAGGTTTATATCAAGAAAAATGAGGGCATGCCTTTATAATTTTCCAAATCTATTTTATTATCAAAACACAGACCTTTTGACCCCAGTTTACATATTCATTTTTAAGTTTAAAATAATAAAATTACCCAAGAGCTAGGTTGATAGTTCATGAAGAAAATTGTGCTGCTCTATGATAACTGACTAGGTGCTTTACACAAAATATAACAGTGGAGAAGCTGACCTGATAAGCCCTGATGTGAGAAGAAAAGGAAATACAGCAAGAGGAGAAATAAAGGACACTCTGGAAAGAACCCAGGTTTCACAGTAAAATAAGACAATCTCCTTGCTTTTCCTGATCTCGCCTCACCCCACCACCAACATACATGGCCTGTTCTTAATATATTACTGCTTGGTTACCAAGTATGGTTTCAGTAATTGGGTTTCTTGGCAAAATAAAGCATCAAACATAAGGAACAGAAAATGTAGCAACAAATTAGCAAATTGCTAAAGCCTATCTTCTGTGAATCTGCTTTTTCTCCCTGCCAATCTATTTTTCATAAGAAAGTCAAAGGAATATTTTAAGAATTCAAAACTGATCAGATTGTTCTTCAAACCTTTTAACATCTTCCCATTGCCTTTGGGATAAGGCCCTAAATCCGCAATATGCCTATTAGTCCTACACAACCCACCTTCTGCTGGCTACTTTGTGTAGATCAAATGTCCCTTCCCTGGTCTTTCTCCATATTCTGGCCAATATGGAAAAATTTCACTTTTTTGAAGGCACCACACTCTTTCTTGGCTCAAACCTTTTGTACATGCTGTTATTTCTACCTAAAACAGTTTGATACCAACCTCCCTATTTGCTTAATTAAATCTTATGTACCCATTACACCTCAGCTTATCTCACTTTCTCAAAGACTCTTCTAAGCTATCAGAGTGGCTTATGTCACTTTCACCTTGGCTACTCCCTTCCAATGACCTTGACCCTTTTGGGGTGTGCTTATCACTCTTAACAATTCTCTTATTAGATTATAAACTCCATGAAAACAAAGATTGTGTCTGGTCATTTTCATTGCAGCTCTGTTGGCTAGCACAGTGCCTTACAACTACTGGTGGTTAATAAATGTTTGTTGAATCAATAAGTGCATCATCAGGAGGAAGGGAATTAGACATGTATGTAGTTCACATATTAGCTGAGCCTGCTGAACCTCAGTAATGTTTTGTCATCAATTGCTTTGGCAGTAACCAAGCCAAATTTCCTAAACTGTGTTCCAATATATCTTGTCTCATGGCTCACTAAAAATGTTATTTAAATTTTACATATACATATAAATGTCTTTTAACAGCTTTTATTCTATGTTACTAAATATTCTTTAGCTACCAAAATGCATGCACTGACAACTTTAAGACCATGTAAAATCAGTAGTCCTGGATGCTCAAAACCTTTTACAATTGTGGCCACGTAGCCCATCTCAGAGTTATACCAGTCCTCTTCCATTTTATTGGCAGTTTTTAAGCACAATTTAAAATCATCCTGTATATTTCTGCTCCATCATTCTGTGCAATAGCTCTAGTTTCTGATAGCATATAGCCTCAAACAAAGGTATCAAAGCTCACTTGAAAGCCAGCCTTACCAGAGAAGTTTAGAAAAAAAGTCTTGTCTTGCCAGGCACAGTGGCTCACACCTGTAATTCCAGCACTTTGGGAGGCTGAGGCAGGAGAATCACCTGAGATCAAGAGTTCGAGACCAGCCTGGCCAACATGGTGAAACCCCGTCTCTACTAAAAATACAAAAAAAGTAGCCAGGTGTGTTGGCAGGTGCCTGTAATCCCAGCTACTCAGGAGGCTGAGGCAGGAGAATCGCTGGAACCCGGGAGGAGGAGGTTGCAGTGAGCCGAGATCATGCCACTACATTCCAGCCTTGGTGACAGAGCGAGGCTCTGTTGCAAAAAAAAAAGAAAGAAAGAAAGGAAAAAAGTCTCGTCTCTGCAGATGTGTCAAAGTAGTAACTTTAATCAATTACCTCATGCCTGCTACACACCCTCTTCCCTTCCAGGAAGGAGTCCAGTTTCTTAAGAATTTGCAAATCTGGTTGGGTTAATCCCCAATTTCCACCCTGGTCCTTTTACTTTTAATTTTTAAAAACTACTTACATAATTTTAAAAAGTAAAATGAGGCTTATATAGAAAATTTGGTTTATCTGTTCTTTCTAATAACCTACCTCTTTATTTTTTCCAGGATATTTTTGTTCAAATTTATCTTCCAACTATTCTTTTAGATTTTTTTTATTTATGGTTCTTTATTTTTTAATTTCCAAGTGCTAGCTTTTGTTGTATGAATCTTCCTTATTGCTTCCCATTTTTATGTAATATAATTTCTTTTTGTTTCTCTTCAATTACGTTTCACAAAAAGTTTCTTCTGTTCCTTTCATTATCTTTGTTTAAATTTCATACTTTTTTTTTTTAATTTTTGTCTTTTTCATTGTTTGTTTGTTTGTTTGTTTGTTTGTTTTGAGATGGAGTCTCGCTCTGTCACCCAGGCTGGAGTGCAGTGGCGTGATCTCGGCTCACTGCAACCTCTGTCTCCTGGGTTCAAGCGAGTCTCTTACCTCAGTCTCCCACCTCAGTCTCCCAAAGTGCTGGGATTACAGGCATAAGCCAGCACTCCCGGCCCCATACTGTTTATTTTATCTTTACTTTGCTAGAGAGTTTCCTCTGATGTTTGGTGATCATTGGCTGTCCATTCATCTTTAAGAATGGCTGAAAAGCTGACTGGGAGTTTAGTGTCTAAAGGCAGACTTGTTCACTCTGGGCTTCACCATAGTGTGATCTGGATGGGCTGTTTCTTTGAAGAACCAATACAAAGACTGTTGGTATCTGCAGATTCCTCTTCGTATGCTGGCCAGTTATTCAGGGAGGGGTTATACAATGACCTGCCTGGAGGGAATAAGAGACTGACTATTAGCTACTCATTCATAACTAAGTCAAAGAATCCCACTGTTTATATTAGAGTTTTACTTTGTTTGCCTGTATCTCTTGTGATACCTTTGTCTTCATCTTTATATGATGCCACTAATTTTCGACCTTTATAGAAAATAAATTAATCCTCTGCTGGAGTATAGGGGGTAATTTCCTTAGTGTGAGGACTACAGGAGTGAATCTAGGGTTTGAGCTGCTGTTTATATTGTTTCTTGAACAATCTTCCTCTTTTCAGATCCACTTGTATCCTACCCCACTTCAGTGTAACTGTTATTTCCAGTTCCTGAGCTTTGCTGGTCTTCCTCATCATGACTAGCTTGCTTCAGAGGTTTCCACTGGCTAAACTTCAGCTTTCTCTGGTCTGTTACAACTGTCATCTCTTGTCCATTTCACTTCAGCTTGTAAAATTATCACCTTTTTCCTGTGTACATTGTCATTGTTGGCTTGTGGCATTTTTGAGATCATTTTATGGCCACTTTAGTATGGTTTTAGAGAAAATACAGGAGTTTGTGGTCAATCTAGCATATTAATCAGAACTTGGTAACTTGATTCTTTACAGGAGAGTTCCTTAGACTCATACCAATATATTTACTTAATTCTGGTTAAACCAGTTCCACTTAAAATATTCTGATTCCAAAAAGTCAACCAAGGACAATCTCATAGTTGTTTTTAATATTTTCCTCTAAGCAATAGTATTCGCAGCACCACCATAGCTTGTCCAGGTGAGAATATGCTTTTCAACACCACGACTAAAATACATGGACACTAAACACACTTCTAAAGAATCCATGGGTCAAAAAGGCAGTCTCAAGGGGAATTTTCTAAAAATACATTGAACTGAATGAAAATGAAAGTAAAGCATATTATACTTTGTGGGATGGTGTTAAAATAATGCTGGGAGGAAAATTTATAGCGCTGGAGTCTCACATTGGAAAAGAAGAAAAGTTTCAAATTAACAATACGCCCCCACCTCAGGAAACTAAAAAAAGAAGAGCTAGATCATCCAAATCAAGCAGATGAAAGAGCATTATAAATACCACAGTAGAAAGCAACAAAATTAAAAGCATAAATGATAGAAAAACATCATTGAAACAAAAAACTGTTTCATTGAAAAGATTAATAAAATTGTCAAAACTCTAGCAAGACTGAACAAAAAAAAAAAAGAGGGACACAAATTACCAATTTCAGGAATAAAACAGGGGTTATTATTATAGACTCTGATGACATCAAAAAAAAGAAATTCTACAAATAGTTCTACCCATATATATTTGAGTACATATGTTCCTCTAAATGCATAGATTACCACAATTTACCAGTATGAATTACACTATTTAAATATCTCTATAACTGTAAAGAAATTGTATTTGTGATTTTAAAATCTCCCAAAAAGAAATCTCTAGGCTTAGGAGATTTCACTAGAGAATTTTACCAAACATTTAAAGACATAACTCCAACATAATACCTTCCAAAAAATAGAGTAAGAGAAAATATTGATAATTGTTTTATGAAGCCAGTATTACTCTGACAGCAAATCCAAGGATAGCGCAAGAACAACAAAAAAGAACAAAAACTAGAGATCAATATTCCTCATGATACAGATTTTTTTAAATCCCCAAAATGAAATATTAGTTTAGCAAATTAGCAAACCAAATCCAACAGTGTATATAAAAATTATACACCATGACTAATAGAATTTATTTTAAGCAACAAGGCTACTTCAACATCCAAAATTAAGTTATTGTAATCCACTATGTAAACAAACTAAGGAAAAAATTCACACAACCATATCAATTGATGCAGAAAAAAACTGCTTGAAAATATTCAACACTCATTTATAGTAAAAACTCTTAGAAAACTAGAAATAGTATATTAGTTTGCTAGAGCTGCCATAACAAAGTACCACAGTGAGTGGCTTAAACAACTAAAATGTATTGTCTTCACATTTCTGGAAGCTAAAATTCTAAGATCAAGGTATTAGCAGGGTTGTTTCCTTTGGAGGGCTGTAATGAAGAATCTGTTGCATGTCTCTCATCTAGCTTCTGGTGGTTTGCTGGCAATCTTTGCTATTCATTGGCACATAGAAGCATGTCCCTGATCTCTGCCTTCATCTTCACACAGTGTTCTCCCTGTGTGTCTTTCTCCAAATTTCCCCTTCTTATAAGAACGCTAATCATATTGGATTAAGGGCCTACATTGGATTAAGGGCCTCTAGTCCAGTATGACCTCATCCTATTTTAGCTAATTCAATCTAAAATGCTCTATTTTCAAATAAGATAACATTCTGAGATACTGGGAGTTAGGAGTATATAAATTTTTTGAGAACACAATTCAACCTATAACAGAAGGAAACTTTTTCAACTTTTGAAGATACATCTACAAAACCTACAGCTGTCATCATACTTAATCATTGAAAGACTGAATACTTTCTCTCTGAGTGACAACAAGGCAAGGATGTTTGTTCTTACAGCTACTATTCAATATAGTACTATAAATTTTATTCAATATTAAAAATCAATAAAAGGAAATAGTTGGCATGCAAATTGTCCCTATTTATAGATGACATGATCATCTACATCAAAAAAGTCCTCCTAGTTCAGCAAGGTCAGAGGATGAAAGATCAATATACAACAAAACTCAATTGTATTACTGTATATAAGAAATGAACATGTTGAAACTGAAATTAAAAATATGATATTATGGAAAGTTGCTCAGAAAATGAAATAGGTGTAAATCTAAGATAACATATATAGGACTTGTACACTGGGGAAAAACACAAAATGTTGATGATAGAAATAAAGAATATTTAAATAAGTGGAGAGATATACCATGTTCATGAATTGTGAGACTCAATATAATAAAGATGTCAATTGTCCCCAATTACAACTCGTTTCATTAATAACATGCTCATTACTCATATACAGTAATATATTTGATTTATGTTGTGTAATGATCTTGCATCCTGTGACCTTGCTGGACTCACTAATTAACTTTCGGAATTTCCTTTTTGTATGTAGATGATCATGTCATCTATAAATAGAGACAGATTAGTATTGGAGATAGTTGAAAATTATAATTTAATGCGATTTCTATCAAAATTCCAGCAAGATTTCTTAAGAGACATGAACAAGATTTTTCTAAAATTAATATGAAAAGAGAAAGCAAGTAGAATAGTTACATTAGTTTTGTAATTTGAAATGAGATAATTCACTTTCTCCAATTTTAAGATCAATTGTATTGCTGCAATAATCAAATCTGTGTGGATATAATGTGTACTGAAAGATGGTTAGAAACATAGATCATTGGAAGAGGTCAGTGCACTCAGCAATATCCCACACAGCCAACAAATTTTTGACTAAGGTACAAAAACAATATAATGGCGAAAGGATAGCCTTTTCAATGAATGGTGCAGGAGCAATTGAATATCCATGGCAAAACTTAACCTAAATCTAAACCTCACACTTTACACAAAAATTAACTCAAAGTAGATCATAAATTTAAATGTATAATGTAAAACTTTAAAATGTTTTTAAAAATAGAACTTAGGGGAAAATCTTTAGGACCTAGACTTGGTAAAGAGTTCTTAGATACCAAAAGCATGATACATTACAAAAAGATAAATTGGACTTCATCAAAAATTTAAAACTTCTATTCTATGAAAGACCACGTGAAAACAGTGAGAATACTACCCGCAGAGTGGGAGAAAACAGTTGCAACCACGTATCTTACAAGAGACTCATATCTATAACGTATTAAAAAACTCTAAAAGCTTGAAAATAAAAAACACAAACAGTCCAATTAGAAACTGGACATAAAAAAACATCTTACCAAAAAGCATATACAGGTGTCAAATAAGCACAGAAAAATGTTCAACATCAATAGCCATCATAGAAATGCAAATTAAGAACATGAGCACTATTACACACCTACCAGTGCAGCTAAAATTAAAACTAGTGACAATGCCAAATGCTGGTGAGGATACAGACAGTTTGAATCTATCATATATTGCTGACTGTAATACAAATTGTATAGTCACTCTGAAAATTACTTTGGCAGTTCCTATTATTAATAATATATTAATTTATTGTTATTTAAATAATTAATATTATTAATATTTTAAAATTAAACATATACAAATAATGTGCCCTAGTGATTGCATTGTTGAGCTTTTTAGCCCATTGAAAAGGAAACTTATGTTGATAGCTACTTTATTTGTAATAGCCAAAAACAAAAATGTCCCCAAACTGGCAAACAGATAAACAAACTATGGTACATCCATACCATGGAATACTACTCAGCAATCAAAAGGAACACATTATTGAATACACAACAAATTGTGTTACTGAAACACTAGGGGTTTAGTTTAGGTTCTGCTGCTCGCCCCATAGAAAGCCAGTCACTGAGACAATTATTGCCAAGGCAGAAGGCTTTAATCAGGTGCTGCAGCTAAGGAGACAGATCAGTCTCAAATCCATCTCCCTGACCAACTAAAATTAGAGGTTTATGAAGCCGGGAATAAATTTAACTATGTGTGAGAAAACAGGAACTTGGGAGGGGTAAGGAAGCAATCATGAGGAAGGAGGTGCCTAGAGTCTCATTGTCTGGATGTGATGTTCTGGTGAGTTTCAATTCTTTGATACTTTTTGAGAGGCCTGGGAGTCCTGTCCTGAAGAAGGGACTCGGATAAGACAAATACATGTTTTACGCTTTAAGACCGGAAGGGTCAGTTTCTATGTTTATCCAAAAAGACCTGTCTATGGGACTATTGAGTTGACTTTCATTTGAATGAGTTTCAAGGGCATCGTGTTGAGTGATAAAAGACAGTCTCAAAAAGTCACATACTGTATGATTCCACATATATAACACTCTTAAAATTATGTAACTATAAAGATTAAATTAGTGGTGTTCAAGGGTTTGAAATTGTGGTAAGGAAGATGATTAGTAGGAGTATACAGGGATAAAATAGTACTGTACTTTTATTTGCAGTGGTAGCTAAAGAAATCCAACACACAATTAAAGCAAACAAACAGACTGAAGACAGACATAAAACTCTATGCATACATTGTACTAATGTCAATCTCCTGATTTTAATATTTTACTTTATTTATATAAGATGTTTATATAAGATGTAACCACTGTGAAAACCTGGGTGAAGGGTACATGGTTCCTCCCCATACTAGCTTTATACTTTCCTATGAATCTATCATTATTTCAAAATCAAATGTTAAAAAAAATGATAGCTGAGGAGGGGGTATGTGAGGATATGGATGAAATAAGACTGATCTTGGGCTGCGTGTGGTAGCTCACACCTGTAATCTCAGCACTTAGGGAGGCTGAAGGGAGAGGATTGTTTGAGCCCAGGAGTTTGAGACTAGTCTAGGCAACATAGCAAGACCCTATCTCTCAAAAATAATAATAAATAATAATAATAATTTAAAAGACTGCTTTCAAGTTAATTATTATTAATGCAGACAGATAGATACAAGGGGGTTCATTATATATTATTCTGTCTGATTTTGCATATATTTAGAATTCTTCAAACTAAAAAGTTAAAAAACAAAAATTTTTTAAAAGCAGGAACTATTTCTTATTTATTTGTGTGCCCCTAAGAAACTACCGTAAAGTCTTCATATGGTAGGCCCTTAAAAGTATTTGTTGAATAAAATCAGCCTTTTCAGTCTGATTTTCTTCTTTAAAAAGAAAAAGAATGTTTTTTATCACCCAGGGTCATTGTAAGAGTTAAAAATCAATATGTATTAGTATCACACACACACAATAAACAAAATACCAATGAGTTGTGAGACAACTTCTAATAACCTAAACTACATGTATTTAGGATGTGCAAAAGAGAAGGAAGGACAGAAAAATTTTTTAAAAAAATAATGACTTAGGTTTCTGAAATTTAATGGAAACTATAAACTGATACATCAAAGGGCTCAACAAGCTAAAGCACAAGAAATATAAAGAAAACCAAAACAAGGTTCATAACAGTCATAGATCTCAAAGCCAGTGAGAAAAATAAAATATTAAAAGCAGCCAGAAAAAAATGACATGTTACCTACAAAGAATAAAAATAAGATTGTCACAAATATTGTCAAAATAAGTATTGTTGGAAATAATGCAAACAAGAGGATAGTGGAGCAATATTTTTAAAGTACTAAAAGAAAAAAAACACAAATTTGTCCACCTAGAATTCATATGTATTGAAAATATCTTTTAAAAATGAAGATGACATACAAAATCTAGAATAGATTTATCACCAAAGACCCACACTACCAGAAATGTTAAAGGAATGCCTGTAGACAGAATAAAAATGATATGAGTTGGAAAAACTGATGTACACAAAGGAATAAAGAGCACCAGAAGTGGTAACTATACAAGTCAACATATTGTTTTCATACTATTTAAAGTCTTTAAAAGATAATTTACTGACTTATTAAACAAATTAAAAACAATGAATCATGGAGTTGATAATGTGTGTATTATCAGATACATGTGTATAATTGCCAGATTGGATAATAAAGCAAGACCTAGTCATATGCTGTCAACAAGAGACCTGCTTTAAATATAAAGACACAGATAAGTTAAACATAAGAGAATCGGAAAAAATCATGTCATGAAACTCTAATCAAATCTATGCTGGAGTAGCTATATTAATATGAAGGCAAATATTTCAGGACAAAGAATATTACCAAGATAAAAGAAGGACACATTACAATTATAATTGGATGGATTCATCAAGGGAACATGTCAATCCCAAAAGTATATACAGCTAATAATATAGTTGAAAAGTACTTGAAGCAAAACTGATCCATCTAAGGATAAATGGAAAAATTTGTCATTAGAGTTGGAGACTTCAACATTGCTCTCTTAGCAACTGTTAGAAAGAGGAAACAGAAAATCAGTATGTACGTTAAAAACTTGAACAGCACAGTCAAACCAACCTGACCTAATTGAGATTTACAGAACACACCACCCAATGACAACAGCCTATATTATTTTTTTCAAGTAGACATGTAACCTTCACCAAGATAGTCCGTATTATGGGCTATGACTTAAGACTAAATATATTTAATAGTATTAAAATAATAAAAAACTGCAATTGCTACTAAAAATTAATAACTGGAAGTATCAAAAATTTCCCTAATATTTGGAAAGCTAACACACATAAGAGAAATTGGAGCACACAAAATTAAATGATAATAAATATATAACATATCACAATTTGTGGGAAGTTACAAAAGAGCAGCTTATAAGAAAATCAATGGCCTTGAAGCTTATATTTTTTTAAGAAAAGAACAAAGTTGAAAATTAATTAAATTTTCACTTTTAAAATCTAGGTCAAATTTTTTAAAAAAGAGCAATTGAAATCCAACATATTCAAAAGCAAGGAAATGATAGAGATAAGAGCAGAAAAACACAGATTTAAAAAACTTTATAAAGTTAAAATTAAAAAAAGAAAAACAACAAAAAAACTATGGAGAAAATTAATAAAACTGAGAGGTAATTTTTAGAACAGATCTATAAGTGGGCCAACAGTAGGCTGATAAGAAAAAAGAGAGAAAACACAAACTACCATTATTAGAAATGATTACACATCCTAAAGGTATTTAAAAGAAAATAAGTGAATGCTTTGAACTTTATGATGACATATATGATAACTTAGGGCAAATTCCTGAAAGACATAGCTATCAGAGTTCATCCAAAAAGAAACGTATCAACTGAATAGACCAATAACTCTTTCTTTTTTTTTTTTTTTTTTTTTTTGAGATGGAATTGCCCAGACTGGAGTGTAGGAGTGCAGTGGCTCCATCTTGGCTCACTGCAACCTCTGCCTCCCGGGTTCAAGCGATTCTCCCATCTCAGCCTCCCCAGTAGCTGGGACTACAGGTGTACACCACCACACCTGGCTAATGTTTGTATTTTTCGTAGAGCCAGGGTTTCACCATGTTGGCCAGGCTGGTCTCAAACTCCTGACCTCAGGTGATCTGCCTGCATCAGCCTCTCAAAATGCTGGGATTACAGTCATGAGCCATTGTGCTCAGCCTAGACCTATAACTCTTAAAGTTTAGCAATATTACATAATCTAGTAATATATTAAAGGTAAAATATACATAACCAAGTGTTATTTACCCAAGCAATACAATGTTGTTTCAACATTGGAAAACTAGTTAATGTAATTCACTTATTAATCATATGTATAGATGCAGAAAAAGCATTTGACAAAAATTCAACATTTATTCATAATTAAACAAAACTCTTGCTAAATAAAGAGTAGATCAGAATTTATTCCACATGACAAAGGGCTTTTTGAGAAACCTACAATTAGCATCATACTTAATGTGGAAACAGAATATTTTCCCTTAGATTAGTAAAGATAGTAAATATGCCCCCTTTTCTCCACTTCTTTCCTACCTTGTACTGAAAGACCTACCCAGGGTTACAAGAAAAACAAAATGCATACAAACTGTAATGGTAGGATAAAGTCTTTATTTGCTGAAGATGCGTTTGATTATGTAAAATATCCTAAGGATTCTATAAAAAGGCAAAAATTTTTAAGTAAATTTAACAATTGACTTTGTAGATGCAAAACCAATGTTCAAAATCAATTGTTTTTCTATCTATTAGCAGAGCATAACTGAAAATGATGCTTAGAAAACAATATGGCTTAAAATAGCAAAAAAAATACGAAATACTTAGGGACATATATAACAAAATATATTCAAATTCTATACATTAAAAGCCAGAAAACGTGGCTGACATTAGTTTAAAAGGAGCAAAATAACTGAGAAATACTATGTTTTTTAGAAGGTTTAGTATAGTTAATATTCTAATTTTTTTTCCAAAATTGTCTATATAATCAATGCTATTTCAATTTTAAAAATCTATCAGAATTCTTTTTGCAGAATTTTACAAGGTTATTCTGAAATTCATATGAAAATTCTAAGAACTTAGAATAGCTTAAATGATTCTGGAAAATAATACAATTGGAAGACTTGTATGACATAATTCCAAGGTTACTATAAAACTTTAGTAATTAAAACAGCATGATGCTGGCATTAGGACCAATATATAAATCAATGAAATAGAAGAGAAATCAAAAATCTCAACAACGGAGCCATAGTAATTTAATGGGCAAAGGACATCTTTTTTCAACAAATAGTGCCGAAACAATTGAATATTTCTATGCAAATAAAAAAAAACCTTGACCCTTATCTCATATTAGATACACAAATAACTCAGGATGATTTTAGGCCTAAATGTACAAATTAAAACTAAGGATTCTAGGAGAAAACAAGGACAAAATCTTTGTGACCTTAGGTTATGCAAAAATTTTTTAGATGTGCTACAAAATATATAAATCATGGAAGAAAAAATGTTAAATTGGACTTTATTAAAATTACTACTTTCGCTTTTCAAAAAACAATGTTAAAGAAAATGGAAAGGTAAGCCAAAGGCTAGTAGAAAGTATATGCAAAACATATGCCTGGAAAACATTTGTGTCTAGATAATAAATAACTATTACAACTCAACACCTAAAAGACAAAAGTATGAAAAAAATACATAAAGATTTTAACAGACATTTCTCAGACAAAGGCATATGAAGGTAAATAAGCACCAAACAAAATTGTTCAATATCAATAGTCTAAAATTAAAAAGAGTAAAAATACCAGATGTTGGTAAGGATATGGAACAACTGGAATACCCATACATTGATGATGGGAATGCAAAATGGCACAGTCACTTTGGAATACAGTAATCTTATTTTTTATATATTTACCTGAGAGAAATGAAAGCATAAGTTCTCACAAATATTTATATTCATATTATCTGAAAATTGGAAACATTTCAAATGCCCAACAACTAGTGAATGGATAAGCAAATTGTGATACAGACATACTTTGGAATAACTACTCAGTAACAAATAGAAACAACCTACTGATGTATGCAGTAGTATTGATGGAACTCAGAAGCATTATACTTGATGAAAGAAGCCAGATGTAAATACTGCATGATGTATGTTTCCATTTATTTGAAATTCAAAAAAACCCCATGACTACAGATATATATATAATATATAGATATATATAAATATATATATGTTTTCCAGGCATATGTTTTGCATACACTTTCTACTAGCCTTTGCGTTACCTTTCCATATACATATATATATAGATACACATAAAATTTGCAGTGTCCAGAGGCTGGAGATTAGCAGATGGGACAAATGGCAAAGGTGCATGAGGAAACCTTTTCAAGTGATGGAAACTTTCTATACCATGATGGTCCTGGTGTTACATGACTGTATACAGTTTCAAAATTCATCAAATTGTACACTAAATATAGATTAATTGCATTACATTTAAATTATACTTCAATTACATACACACACTCAACATATTTATATTTACACTTCTTGGTAGCAGTGCATAGGATGGATGGGATTGGAATAAAGACTAATGGCAGAGAAGTCACTTAGGTCATTGCAGAAGTCGAGGTACGCTGGTAATCCTGAAATTAAGCAGTTGTAGAGAGAACGGGAGAAAAGAATATGAATCTGATGTTAGAGATGTTTCATAATTTAAACCATTCCACAGAATTTGCCAGCCCCTTCTCTCTCTCTTTTCTCTTTCTCATGTTAATAAGAAATCCCTCAGCTCAGTCTCAGACCTTTGATCACATATCATGGTGGTATTTATAAGGAATGGACAAGAAGGAAAGAGTTTGGATATCTATGAGCCTAACATAGCCATTTTCAGTTGAAAGTAGTGAAGGAATGAAGGTTGGGCAAAATCACCCATAAGTTTTTTTCATTTTATGGTTACTTTATTTATTCCCTGCATCAGGGAATTCTGGCACAGATTATGTGGAAAGAGGTTGGTTTGAAAACATCCATATGTGATTTTGATTCAACCTCACTTCCCTAACAACCTCAACTTCTGTCTTCAAAACTTCAGTTGAGAACCATTGGTATAAAATCCTGATAAGATATTCCCAGGTGAAATAGTAAGATCAGTTTTTAGATTGGTAAGTTTTTAGAGGTTACAAAGAATTCTAGTTGGCGTGTCTGCCAGGAAATAAAAATAAAAATGAAGAGCTCAGGAAATTTATTAGGGCTGATGATGTTGAAATGGAAGTCTTCAATGTGCAGACAATATTTTAAGTCACAGAAGTTGAAGAGATTGTCAAGGAGATTATGAATAATAGAGCTAAGGATTGAACGCAGTAAATTATCTACAAAAGGCAAGAGAGGGGTTAGCAAAGGAAACAAGTAATAGTGATAACAGAAATAGGGGAGAGCCAGGACAGTGTGAAAACATATTTAATCAAAAACAGGAGCTAAAGTGTAAGCCAAAGAGTATTAAATTCACAGGTACTTGATTTACCAAAAAAGGATTCCTCCACCAACATCTCTTCTGTATTAATGATGAAGGTGAAATCTTTTGGGGTTTTTTTAAAGGACCACATACATTATTTGATAAGAGTTGAATGTGTAATAAAGAAGATAATTATGATATTTAAAAGGGAGATTAGACTAAGGTATTTATGCACTCAGTTTCATGTCTGTAATTTATTTCCCAAAACATTATTGATCACTGTGCTTTCAAATAAAGAAAAAAATGCTGTCAATTACATTTCCAGATATCTCAACTTGAACTTCATTTAAATTGTAAAATGTTGTTGTGTCATTTGTAAACTAGTTTCAAAAAACATTGACTTTGACATAATTATATAATGACTTCTATCAGTCGACTCTTTCACAATTGTTCAATCTCAAACTTAACGTACTATAACAATCAGTAGCCTATGCATCTAAGATGCTTTATTCTTTTTTTTTTTCTTTTCCTTTTTTGTTTTCAAGAGAGATGGGGTCTCACTCCGTTGACCAGGCTGGCCTCCAACTCCTGGCCTCAAGTGATCCTCCCACCTCTTCCTCCTGAGTTGCAGGGATCACATGCATGACTCTATGTTGATATTTTCAGGTCATACTATCAAAAGTAAATAATCTCCAGGGACAACTGTAATTGTGCATGTACACATAGAGGCCAAATGGTTTCCATTGTAATCCTTAGTCAAAAGAACCAACCTGCATGATCTATATAGCAACATTGAAAGCATTAACAATTCAGTTCTGTCCAAGAAAAGTTTATTTAACATCTAAATGACGCCAGGCACTGTTCTCACCTTAAAAAAGAAAAAGAAGGAATGAATAAAAGACACAGTCTCTTTCATCAAGCAGCTCACAAAGTAGTGAGTAAAGCAAATAAATTACCAACTTCATAATTTGAAAGCTATTTCTATGTTTTTATACTTATTTAGTATTGCAAATTTCAAACAAAACATTTTTAAGTTTCTTGGTACAGCTGATTTAAGATGGCAAGCAATAAGTAAAATTAAAATGCATTTAAAAAATTAACAAGTATAAAATATAGATAATGAAATTTTCAAATTTTTTCAAATTGGTAACATTTATTTACTTGTTTTGAGGCATAGTCTCTTTCTGTCACCCAGGTGGGAGTGCAATGGTGCCATCTTGGCTCACTGCAACCTCTCTGCCTCCTTGACTCAAGTGATCCTCCCACCTCAGCCTCCCTAGTAGCTGGGACTATAGGCTCATGCCACCATGCTTAGCTAATTTTTAAATATTTTTTGGTAGAGACAAGTTCTCACTATATTGCACAGGCTGATTTCAAACTCCCAGGCTCAAGTGATCCCCCTCCTTGGCCTGCGAAAGTGCTGGGATTACAGGTGTGAGCCACTACACCTTGCTAAATTGGTAACATATTTCTGAACTTATTAAAGCTTAAGGAAAAGAGGAAGTCAAATTGTTCCTGTTTGCAGATGACATGATTGTATAATTAGAAAACCACATCGTCTCAGCCCAAAATCTCTTTAAGCTGATAAGTAACTTCAGCAAAGTCTCAGGATACAAAATCAATGTGCAAAAATCACAAACATTCTTATACACCAATAACAGACAGAGAGCCAAATCATGAGTGAACTCCCATTCACAATTGCTTCAAAGAGAATAAAATATCTAGGAATCCAACTTACAAGGGATGTGAAGGACCTCTTCAAGGAGAACTACAAACCAGTGCTCAACGAAATAAAAGAGTACACAAACAAATGGAAGAACATTCCATGCTCACAGATAGGACAAATCAATATCATGAAAATGGCCATACCGCCCAAGGTAATTTATAGATTCAATGCCATCCCCAGCAAGCTACCAATGACTTTCTCCACAGAATTGGAGAAAATGACTTTAAAGTTCATATGGAACCAAAAAAGAGCTCCCATTGCCAAGACCATCCTAAGCCAAAAGAACAAAGCTGGAGGCATCACGCTACTTGACTTCAAACTATACTACAAGACTAGAGTAACCAAAACAGCATGGTACTGTTAACAAAACAGAGATATAGACCACTGGAACAGAGCAGAGCCCTCAGGAATAACACCACACATCTACAACCATCTGTTCTTTGACAAACCTGACAAAAACAAGAAATGGGGAAAGGATACCCTATTTAATAAACGGTGCTGGAAAAACTGGCTAGCCATATGTAGAAAGCTGAAACTTGATCTCTTCCTTACACCTTATACAAAAATTAATTTAAGATGGAATAAAGACTTAAATGTTAGACCCAGAACCATAAAAATCCTAGAAGAAAACCTAGCCAATACCATTCAGGCCATAGGCATGGGCAAGGACTTCATGACTAAAACACCAAAAGCAATGGCAACAAAAGCCAAAATAGACAAATGAGATCTAATTAAACTAAAAAGCTTCTGCACAACAAAATAGACTACCATCAGAGTGAAGAGGCAACCTATAGAATGGGGGAAAAGTTTTGCAATGTACCCGTCTGACAAAGGGCTATTATCTAGAATCTGCGAAGAACTTAAACAAATTTAGAAGAAAAAATCAAACAACCCCATCAAAGAGTGGGCGAAGGATATGAACAGATACTTCTTGAAAGAAGACATTTATGCAGCCAACAGACACATGAAAAAATGCTCATCATCACTGGCCATCAGAGAAATGCAAATCAAAACTACAATGAGATATCATCTCACACCAGTTAGAATGGCAATCATTAAAAAGTCAGGAAACAACAGATGTTGGAGAGGTTGTGGAGAAATAGGAACACTTTTACACTGTTGGTGGGACTGTAAACTAGTTCAACCATTGTGGAAGACAGTGTGGTGATTCCTCAAGGATCTAGAACTAGAAATACCATTTGATCCAGCCTCCCCTTTACTGAGTATATATCCAAAGGATTATAAATCATGCTGTTATAAAGACATATGCACACGTATGTTTATTGCGGCACTTTACAAAATAGCAAAGACTTGGAACCAACCCAAATGCCCATCAGTGATAGACTGGATTAAGAAAATGTGGCACATATACACTGTGGAATACTATGCAGCCATAAAAAATGATGAGTTCATGTCCTTTGTAGGGACATGGATGAAGCTGGAAACCATCATTCTGAGCAAACTATCGCAAGGACAGAAAACCAAACACCACATGTTCTCTCTCATAGGTGGGAATTGAACAATGAGAACACTTGGCCACAGGGTGGGGAACATCACACACCGGAGCTTATTGTGGGGTCGGGGGAGAGGGGAGGGATAGCATTAGGAGATATACCTAATGTAAGTGACGAGTTCATGGGTGCAGCACACCAACATGGCACATAGATACATATGTAACAAAACTGAATGCTGTGCACATGTACCCTAGAACTTAAAGTATAATAAAATAAATAAATAAATAAAGCTTAAAAGTGTACTAATTCTTTTGGAACAGCCAGTGTACCTTGGAATATTTTTCCACACCATTTTTGTATCAGTCTAAGTTATGCTGCAGTAGCAAAATATTAGTGTCATGACACAACAAAAGTTTATTTCTTGCTCATACAAGTGCAACATGGTTCACCAGGGGCTCAGCTGATTATAGTTGCTCAGGGTCCCAAGCTAATGGAAACTCCTTCTTGATACACGTCCCTACAGTTGACCAAACAGTGACAAATAGGAGTGTAGTAAATTAAACACTAAGTTATAAAGCATTTACAGTTCACATTTCAATGCCCCGAACCAGTCACATGCCCATCCCTGTCAAAGGAAATGAGGATTGCAACTGTGCCATATTCCTGGAAAATCAGAATATATGTGAACAGCCCTAACAGCTTCCAAACAACTCCTTTTCTCTTCTTCAAAAATAGCCCTCTTGCATGTGTTATATCTCCTAAGTTATCTTCTCTGAAATTCCTCACATATATGTTTTTCACTATATTTGGTGTTATTTTCTGTAACCTATTCTCCATATTTCTGACTTTTTCTGTTGCACTTATTCCATTTTTTTGGTTGTTTCTAGAATGTTTTTCATCATGATGATATTTTTGTTTCCCCCTCATTTCTTGAGTTTTGTAAGAATTATTTTCATTCTTTTACGTGGTCTCATGATCATTTTTTTGTACACTTACATGACTCTTGATTTTTTTTCATTTCTTTCTTTTAAGATAAAAATTGTTTTTACAATTCAGTACCATAGAACTGTATGATTTAACTATTCTTGTGTTATCCAGCTGCCTTTTGCTCATGTTCCTTCCCTCTATTCTTGCTTGCTTTCAGTCTGTTTTTTTTCTCTATTTCTTTTCACACATAGCTCCCATGATAGTATCTTTCTGACTATTACTGAACTTTGAATGGTGGTGGGACTTTATGTTGAAAAGTTTGGGGATTTATTTCAAACACTACTCTCATCAAGTAAGTTATTTCCTTCACCCTAGGAGCAAATGTTCTCTTAGATTGTTAAGTGTAGCAACCTGGATCTAATAGTCTTTTAAAACTTCTTCAATCCTCCTCCCCACTGGGCTATGTCCTTTGGCAGAGAAGCTTCATCATGGACAATAGAAGTGGCATGTGCACCACCATGGTTTTTCCTTTCAGTGCTCCCTGTTTTATGATTCTGGGGTGTCAAAATTGATCTAATGGGGCATTTTAATTTAAAAAATGTTGTTTATGTCCTTTGGAATATAATTTGGGGGGACTTATTTCTGCATGTTCTTTTTTTCAGTCTAGGCGTGCTTTGTAACATGAGGTCAGGAATTATAGCAATGTCTTGGTATTAGTGAAGATTTTTTTAATTTGTCATTATTTATTATTTTAATAGGTTTTGAGGTAGGAGGGTGGAGTAAAATTGCCTATTACCCACTGCCTTAATTACACATTTTCATGTGTGTGTGTGTGTGTGTTTATATATCTTCTTCACAGGACAATGACCTATTGAAGGCAGAGCTATTACTTATCTTTTTCTCTCCAGCGCTGAACATAGTGGGTGCTCAATAAATATTTTTGAATCAAAATGAATTTAATTTCTATATATTTTATTGTCTATATCACCACTACTAGAAAGCCACATCCATCCATTTTGTGTTGCTTTTGGAAGAGAATCATCATTTCTTGTTGCTGAAAGCCAATAGATTTATGTTGCAACTCAATTTCTAGTGCTTATAAAAACTTTATTTCACTTCTACTAGGTAACTGAAAAACAGAAGCATTCCAAGAAGTATTATCAACCACAATATTAAGTGAAAGCCTATCACTTCAAGTCAATAACTATAGGAATTCAATTTGCCATGTATACCTATACTTATACCTATACCTGTATCAGCACTTCTCATGGTGATTATACAAGTGGTACAGACACACTGATGGCCAAGCATGGAAGAAGTTGGAAAGCTTCTTTCCTCTGATAAATTAGAATTCTCCAGAGAAATACAGCCAATATCATGGTTCTGCTATGAGAGAGAGAGAGAGAGAAACAGAAACATGAGAGAGAGGTGGAGGTGGGCAACAACTTTAAAGTATGCAGGGCCCGCTGGAGGCTGGAGACCCAGGGAAGTATTGTTGTTACAGTCTCAAGTCTGAAGATAATCTAGAGGTGGAGCTTCCTCTTCCTTGGGTGACTCTAGTCTTTTCTCTTTGGCCTTCGACTGATTATATGAGGATTCTCTTATTATGGAGGGTAATCTTATTTTCTCAAAGTTTAACTGTTTAAGTGTTAATCACATCTAAGAAATACCTTCACCACAACAACTAGGCTGGTGTTTAACCAAAAACTGAGTACCACAGGCTAACCGAGTCAACACAGAAAATTAGAAACCACATCTGGCATGCTTAGGAGAATTACAGATTAGCATCAATAGACCTGGCTTGAAATTCAAGTGCTGATGTGTCACATTAAGTAAACAAGAGGATTCTGTGCTATTTTATACTATATAAAGTGTCCCCCGGAGAGAAATGCAGAGGTCAAAGTCTCAAGTGGTAGTCTTTGTTGTGGTATCCAGATTTATTCTGCTTAATAAATATGTTATTGTAAAAAAATTATTGATAACTTAAGGCATCCAGAAAGTAGCACATTTATGGAAAATGGCAACATCATTTTTGGAGCTGAGCCCGCCTTTATCATCTTAATTCCCACACTTTAGATGATGGATAATTTAGAACTCACTCTTATGTGTGCTTTGGTTAAATGTTGAGATTTATAATGTTTCATAATCAGCCTGTAAAATGAGTCTCAATTTCACATAAGCTGAATGAGGACTAAAAATCAAGCAACAAATATGAGGATTATTTCCATTACACCCCCTTTGAAAAATGACACTTTGCTGCCATATGAAGGGTTCTCTAAGCTTTAATACTGAACAGAGATTTAAAAGGATTAACATCAACCACCTTCCAGTAAACACACAAAATGCATTTCAACATCTAGTATTTCATCTTTATTTGAGTACTTTCAAATTGTAATGCTCTAGTCATGTAGAAAGACTGGCTGGCATTGTCTATTACTGTTCCTACTAAGTTATTCACAGTTCTGTGGTGAACTTTTTTCAGCAAGTTTTTCAGGTCTTTTGTTTCAGCTGCTGGTTTTTGTCTTGCTTACATTAGTTAGTCAGATTTATGGTGCTGTATGCAGGGGTTCCCACCATGCATGTCATTATTACTAATGTGTCTCCCTTTAGCAAACCATGTTTATAACTTAGCCAATTAGTTGCTTTGCCCAACTCTTTGAATTCCTAGGACTTACACTTCACTGAAATAGCACTTCTTATTGCCAAGGCACTTTGTAAAACACTTGACTCTATTTTCATGTATACCTATTTTTAGAGCCCACAGTGGAATTGAACAGACCTGTTTCTTGATTGCTTATTTTGCCCAGACATTTATTTGGAAGATGTTCATTCTTTTTGGGCTTCCACAGATGCCCCATTTGTTCATTCAACATCTTCTAGTGCACCAAATATGGACATGACCAGCTTGCTCACAGATGAAATAAAAGTTAACACTTTATTACCATGAAAGTAGTTGCAATGTTGGTCCTGTTAATACACAAACTTTTGCTTTTAGTTTCCTCCAACTATGTGGAGTACTATCCTTGCCCTTCAATGACAAAGTATTTCTCGCAATAACTTTCAAATGAGTGATCATGACTCACTTTTGCACAGGGAAAAATGAAATGATTTTATCTTTAAAATAAATGATGATCAAGGATAATGATGATGCCATAACCCAGTTTCTTTAGGATGTCACAGATATAGTAAGATTTGAGGGATGCTGAAAACCTGCTTGCTTCAACATGTCTCCCCATTAACCTGGTCAGTGCCTCATATATCATCTTGGGTTATTTGACATGTAAAAAAATATATTCAGAAACTACAACGGGTTAATATTCTCATCCATGAATGTATTGTGTCACAACTTCATGAAGAATTCTATGATGTCTTCAGACAAAGTATAACTTCTTAGAACTTTTTGAGTTGCCTACATCTACTATTTTATGGAACTCATTACATAATTCAAGTTTTTGTATTTATTTTTATTATGTCTATCTTATTCAATTTGACTGTAAAGTCCTTGAGGGTAAGGTAGATGTCTGAAGTTTTCTTTAATATGCTCCACAGTAAATAGCAAAGTATTGTGCATATTGTGGTTGCTCAAAAACCTGTTGAATAACTGGAAAAAAGACATATTAATGGTGATTAGCTTATTGGTTTAGCTAGGGAATAGAGATATAGGTACAGAGATAAACATAATATGATGGTAAAAAAAAATCTAGGTTGCTGTTATGAATGTTAGTCTCCAGTCAAAGTGATAAAAATAATTGATTGAAGTAGAACTTCCTGGATGACAGAGTAAGGACCTTGCTAACTCTTCTCCATTAAAAACAAAGAAAATGTTATCAAAATTATCAAAATTAACCATTTCAGAACTCTAGAAATTAACCAAAGGCATACAACAAAGTAGAAAATGTTTAGCAAAACTATTAGATTTTTATAACAAAAATAGAGTCTGTGGCATTTTATTTTGGGGATATTTCCATCCCAAACCCAGGTCCATGGCATGGTAGCTCTCCTAACCATCAGCCTTGCACCCACCGGATGCAGCTGATCCATTTTGGAACTCTGCAAATTATACCATTCCCCAGAGTGTTCTCTGTATTTGACTATACTTAGAGTTCTCTGGAAAAGTCCCATTTCCAGGGCATTGTTGCTATTTAGCCTGACTTGGGGGTCAGCTCAACAGAAAAGCCTCATTTTCAGATCATTGTCAAAAACAAGTACAATTATCTGCAATAATTAATATTACAACTGCTTAAGATTGCAAGTATCAGTTGGTCAAGAATTTGCAAGGAAGATCTAAGCAATGACACAACCCTAAAGGGTTTTGAAAAGCCTCAATCCATTACTAGCGATCTAGAAGTCCTAGTACTTGTATGCCTGCGCACGTGCTCAGGAAAGACTGAATGGAGCACTAGTTATTTATTCATATGGGGTGACTTTGGTGAACACTGCAAGCAGGAAGTGAAAGCTAATGCAGATGTGTAAACTGATTAAACTTTGAAGGTGTGCCCCCATGTACGCGTATCCCTTAGAACAGTGTGGAAGATTTAGTGGCTCAAAGAAATATTTTGCCCAATCACTGACTGATCACTAGGCTATGCTGACCTGGGGTGAATTCAATAAATACAGATTTTAAAATACAAGCAATGAAGTAAATAAACTGATAGAAAAATAAGTGAAAAGCAAATATTTCATTGGCTACACACTGTGGGGAATATATACCCTACAGCATTAGTCTTGGAAAGTCAGTAAATAAACAAACAACTGCAGCAACAGCAACAACAACAAAACAGCACTAACAAAAGGGGGTCTGATTTGAGAATTGCTACAATATACAGACAATTTCCATTATACAGAGATTTCATACTTTTGAATTTCCCTACTTGCTAAAATCTATTTGTAACTCCAAAATCAATACTTGAAGTACTTTCACAGTTGTTCACATGACTGTAAATGTACAGAGTGATGAAAGGTTTGAGTACCCAATGTGCAAGTTCTTAGCTGAGATCAAAGACGACATTCTCTGCATTCTTATTTTACCTCTCATACAAAGATGGCCACAGGATTAAGACAGTAGTAGGGCAGCCTCAGGCAAGTCACTTAACAATTGTGAACCTTGTTCCTTGTTTTCTCTTTTGCAAATTGTTTTTAAAAAGTCTGTCAGGATAAATTGTTTTCAGTTGTCAAAATTCTAATCTATGTGGTATATATAATGTGTGCATGTGTGTGTGTAAGCAGAAACACACACACATATGTGTGTGTATATATATGTGTGTGTATATATATACATGTATATATACATATATATGTGTGCATATATATATGTGTATATATACACACACATATACATATATCCCACAGGAGCTATATATGTGTTATTGCCCACGTGGGATATATGTATATGTGTATATATATACATTTAGCCTGTATGTATATGTATTATACACATATATATACATATACATACATATACACATATATATACACATACATATATATGCACATATATACACACATGTATACATACACACATATACATATATCACACATAGGCAATTATATATATATACACACACATGTATACATATATATATACACACACACACACACAAACACACATATACATATATCCCACAGGAGAAACAATACAATATTCTCTAATTCAGCATTTGCAGTAACTTTATAGAGCATAACTACCATAAATAAAGAGAATCAACTATATTATCTAAATTCTTCCTTTCAATCAAAAATCAGAACATGAAATAAACAGGAAAATACAGCACATAACAGAAAAAAGCAAACAAACAAAACAGTCCACAGAAACAGTCTTTGAGGGAGTCCAGATGCTGCACTAAAAGAAACCATCTTAAACCAGGTTCAATAAAAGAAAAGTCAACAAAGAGAGAGAAATTATAGAAACACTAACCAATAGATATTTTGGACTTAGAAAATATAAGAACTGCAATGAAAAATTATGTAGAAGGGTTTGGCAGCAGATTTGACCTGGCAGAAGAATCAGTGAACTTGAAGTTAGAAGAAATAATCAGTAAACTTAAATATAAATTAATTGAGATTCTTCACTCTTAGGAACACAAAGAAAAATGAATGGAGAAAAATTAAAACAGAGAACTGTGGGACACCATTAAGTGTTCCAGCATATGTAAAATGGCAGTCCTAGAAGGAAAGGAGTGGGAAAAAGACATAAAAAGAAAAATGTTTGAAGAAATGATGCCCCAAAACTGTTTAAATTGATTGGAAACATTAACCTACAAATCCAAAAATTCAATAAACAACCTTTGAGCAGGAAAAACTCAAAGAGCTCCAACCCAGACACAACATAGTCATAGTGCTGAATATCAGTGACACAGGCAATATCTTGAAAGCAGTAAGATAAAATAACTCAAGTGCTCCTTGATAATATTAATAACTGACTTCTCACAGAAACCAAGAGCAGCAGAAGGTGGAATAATATATTTGAAGTGTTGAAAGAAAAAGGTGGTCAATCAACATTATATATCTAACAAAACTAATCTTCAAAAGGGTATTAGTCCATTTTCACATTGCTGTAAGGAAATACCTGACACTGGGTAATTTATAAAGGAAAGAGGTTTAATTGACTCATAGTCCTGCATGGCTGGGAGGCCTCAGGAACACACAATCATGGCATAACACAAAGGGGAAGAAAGGGCCTTCTTTACAAGGCATCAGGAGAGAGAGAGAGAGAGAGCAAAAAAAGCCCATTATAAAACCATCAGATCTTGTGAGAATTCACTTATTATCATGAGAACAGCATGGGAAACACCACCCCCATGATTCAATCACCTCCCACCAAGTCTATCCCTCAACACATATGGATTACAGTTTGAGATGAGATTTGGGTGGGGACACAGAGGCAAGCCATATTATTCCACCCCTGGACCCTCCCAAATCTCATGCCCTTTTTACATTTCAAAACCAACCATGCCTTCCCAGCAGTCCTCCAAAGTCTTAACTCACTCCAGCATTAACCCAAAAGTCCAAGTCCAAAGTTTTATCTGAGACAAGTCAAGTCCCTTCTCCCTATGAGCCCATGGACTCAAAAACAACTAGTTACTTCCTAGATACAATGAGGGTACAGGTATTGGTTAAATGCTCCCATTTCAAATGGGAGAAATTGGCCAAAACAAAGGGGCTACAGGCCCCATGCAAGTCCAAAATCCAGTGGGGCAGTCATTACATCTTAAAGCTCCAAAATGATCTCCTTTGACTCCATGTCTTACATCCACGGCATGCTGATGCAAAAGGTGGGATTCCATGGTTTGGGGCAGCTTCAGCCCTGTGACTTTTCAGGATACAGCCCCCTCTCAGCTGCTTTCACAGGCTGGCATTGAGTTTCTGTGGATTTTCCTGGCACACATTGTAAGCTATCATTGGGTCTACCATTCTGAGATCTGAAAGATGGTGGCCCTCTTCTCACAGCTCCACTAGACAGTGCCCCAATGGGAACTCTCTGTGGAGCTCCCACCTCACATTTCTTTTTCACACTGCTCTAGCAGAGGTTCTCCATGAGGGCTCTGCCCCTGCAGCAAACTTCTGCCTGGACATCCAGGCATTTCCATACATCCTTTGAAATCTAGGTGAAGGTTCCCCTTCCTCAATTCTTGACTTCTGTGCAACCACAGGCAAAACACCATCTGGAAGCCACCAAGGCTCAGGCTTTGCATCCTCTGAAGTAACAGCCTGAGCTGTATGTTGGCTCTGTTTAGCCACGGCCTGGACACAGGGTGCCAAGTCCAGAGGCTGTACAGAACAGTAGAGGAGGCCCCTGGTAAAGGAAATCATTTTTCCCTCCTAGGCCTCTGGGTCTTTGATGAGAGGGGCTGCAGTGAAGGTCTCTGGCATGCCCTGGAGACATTTTCCCCATTGTTTTGGCAAGTAACATTTGGCTCCTCATTACTTATGCAAATTTCTGCAGCCAGTTTAAATTCCTCCCTAGAAAATGGGTTTTTCTTTTCTATTGCATCATCAGGCTGCAAATTTTCCAAACTTTTTTGCTCTCCTTCCCTTTTAAACATAAGTTGCAATTTTAAACCATCTCTTTGTTAATACATAAAACTGAATGCTTTCAGAATAAACCAGGTCACATCTTGAATGCTTTCCTGCTTAGAAATTTCTTCTGCCAGATACCCTAAATCATCTCTCTCAACTTCAAAGTTTCACAGATCTCTAGGCTAGGGCAAGGGCAAAATGCCACCAGTCTATTTGCTAAAGCATAGCATGAGTGACCTTACTCCGTTCCCAATAAGGACCTCATCTCCATCTGAGACCACCTTAACCTGGATGTCATTGTTTACGTCACTGTCAGCATTTTGGGCTAAGCCATTTAACAAGTCTCTAGAAAGCTTCAAACTTTCCCACATTTTCCTGTCTTCTTCTGAGCCCTCCAAACTATTCCAACTCCTGCCTGTTACCCAGTTCTAAAGTCACTTCCACATTTTTGGGTATCTTTATAGCAGTGACCCATTCTTTGTGGTACCAATGTACTGTATTAGCCTTTTTTCACCCTTCTATTAAGAAATACCTGAGACTGGGCAATTTATAGAGGAAACGGGCTTAATTTACTCACAGTTTCATATGGCTGGGGTGGCCTTAGTAACATACAATCACGGTGGAAGGAAAAAGGGAAGCAAGAACCTTCTTCACAAGGCAGTAAGAGAAAGAGAAAGACAGAGAGGGCAGAGAGCAAAGCAGGAAGAGCAAAGGGAGAAGAGCCCTTATAAAACCATCAGATCTCATGGGAACTCACTATCACGAGAATAGTATGGGGGAAATTGCCCCCATGATCCAATCACTTCCTACCAGGTTTGTCCCTCGACGTGAGGATTACAGTTTGAGATGAGATTTGGGTGGGGACACAGAGCCAAGCCATATCAAAAATGAAGAAATCAAGACATTTCCATATAGGCAAAGACTGAGATAATTTGTTGTTTGCCCAACTTTTTGACAGAAAATTCCAAACACAGCCTTTTAGGCTAAAAAGGAAGGATATCAGATGGTAACTCAGCACCACACATAAAAATAAAGAGCATGAGTAGAGATATGTAAACAGAGAAATATTAACTTTTTCTTATTTTAAAAGACAACTGCATAAAACAATAATTATAAAATAGTGTTGATAGGCTTATAAAATATAAACATTTAACTTGTGTGATGATCATAGCACAAAGGAGGAAAGAGAAAAGAAGCTTTATTTGAGCAAAGTTTTAATACACTAGTGGAATTAATTTAGTCTTAATCTGAGGTAGATTGTTTTAGGCTAAAATGCACATTGTAATCTCCAGGGCAACTACCAAGAAAATAAATATAAAAATATAGTTTAAAAAAAAAACAAAGAAGAGAGTGAAACAAGATGGTGAAATAAAATGTTCCACTGATTGTTCCCTCCTCAGGAATACCAAATTTTATCAACTATCTGCATACAAAAAAAGCACCTTTAGAAGAACCAAACATCAGGTGAGCAATTACGATAACAGGTTTTAACTTCATACTGCTAAAAGAGACATTAAAGAGGATAAGAGAGACAGTCTTGAATCACTTGTGAACCCAGAACATTTGAGACAGGTCTCAGTTAATTTAGAAAGTTTATTTTGCCAAGGTTGAAGACGCACCTGTGACACAGTCTCAGAAAGTCCTGATGACATGTGCACAAGGTGGTAGGTGTACAGCTTGATTTTATACATTTTAGGGAGACATGAAACACCAATCAATATATGTAAGAAGTACATTAGTTCAATCCAGAAAGGCGGAGACAACTCAAAGCAAGGTCCCCCACTAGGGGCTTCCAGGTCACAGGTAGGTGAGAGACAGATGGTTGCATTATTTTGAGTTTCTGATAAGTCTTTCCAAAAGAGGCAATCAGAATATGCATCTATCTGTGAGCAGAGGGATGACTTTGAACAGAATTGGGGGCAGATTTGTCCTGACTGGTTCCCAGCTTGAAGGCACCCAAGGTTCTTTCCTCCCACATTTCTCGCCTTTTCTTTTTAAAATATTTTGGAGAAAGCATTTAACAAGAAAATGAATCCCTGGTCTCAAGTTTCATATGATCTCTCATGGCTAGGATGGTTTATTTCTAGATGAATAGGTCCTGAAAGCTCATTTTTAGCACACTGTAAAGTCTCATGTCCTGTGAAGAGAAAATAGTGGAAAGGAAGGAAGAAAAAACAACAACGAACAAAAGAACAATCCTGGGAGAATCAATATAGGTCACATTACTCTGAAATCCACATATTAATAGGCAGGTATAAAAGTGACTTACGTATGTAAACAGTTTACCTTTTTTTTTTTTTTTTTTGAAGTTTAAGTTGTCTGGCTTTAGTTCCTAGGGTTTTAAGAAAGCACAACTTAGTATTCAGTGATTCTAAATTAAAAATAAAAAGAAGAAAAAAATTGAAAACACTATTTTGAAGACTTGTAGCCAAGAAAAATTAGAATGTGGTCCAAACTGTAGAAAATAATAAAAATTAGAAAAAACAAAACAAACAACATTTGGCAAGGCTAGAATCTAAAAACAGGTGTAAATCATCTTAAAACATAATTTTCTTTCTCTCTCTAGATTCCCAGTTTACTAAAGACAAATCATGGTAGGGCTGGTTTGCTTGTTATAATTAGCCTAATTACTTGTATACATTGCAGCAATAATAATTATTTTTTCATGGGCTTTTAAATTGGCTTTGATGGAACTTGTTTCATAGGAGGATCCTCAAATAAGACTTTTGAAAGCCAAGCCCAGCCCAGCCATGGAATTGTGCCATCAAATACCCATGAGTTGGGTGAATTTCCTCTCCTCTTGAGGTTCCAAGATAAACCTGGGGCTTCTGCACCTTTCAGAAAGTGACATTTGTTTGGGAGAAAATATAGGGAAGAGAACAAGTGTCTCTGCTGGGTCATCCAGAGAATTCTTCTAGATCTCATCCAAGACCACCAAGGTGGTACCTCTATGAGTCTTCAAGAACCATGGCATTACTGAGTTTGGGGCCCAAATTCCTTCGAATACCTGGACAACCTTGCCAAGAAAGATGAGCACAGGTTGTGAAGTCCAGATTGCAAACACTACAATAAATACCTAACTCTTCGATGTCCAGCATCAAAATCATTCAGGAAAACATAACATCATCTACAAGCATCAAAATCATCCACGAAAACATGACATCACCAAATGAATTAAATAAGACACCAGGGATCAATCCTGGAAAAACAGAGATATGTGACCTTTCAGACACATACCTGTGTCTGAACATAGCTGTTTTGAGGAAATTCAAAGAAATTCAGATAGCACAGAGAAGGAATTCAGAATTCTATCAGATAAATTTAACAAAGAGGTTGAAATAATTAAAAAAAATCAAAGAGAAATTCTAGAGCTGAAAAATGCAATTGACATACTGAAGAATGTATCAGAGTTTCTTAATAGCAGAATTGATCAGGCAGAATAAAAAATTAGTGAGCTTGAAGACAAGCTATTTGAAAATACACAGTCAAAGGAAACAAAAAAAAAATAAAGAAGAATGAAGCATGCCTACAAGAACTAGAAGATAGCCTCAAAAGGGCAAATCTAAGAGTTATTGGCCTTAAAGAGGAAGTAGAGAAAGAGATAGGAGTAGAAAGTTTATTCAAAGGGATAATATCAAATAAGTTTCCAAACCTAGAGAAACATATCAATATTCAAGTACAAGAAAGTTATAGAACACCAAGAAGATTTAGCCCAAAGACTACTACCTCAAGGCATTTAATAATCAAAATCTCAAATATTAAGGAAAAAAATGACCCTAAAAGCAGTTAGAGAAAAGAAACAAATAGCATACAATGGAGCTCCAATACTTCTGGCAGCAAGCTTTTTAGTGGAAACCTTACAGACCGGGAGAGACTGGCATGACATGGTGACTGAAGGAAGAAAACTTTTACCCTAGAATAGTATATCTGGCTAAAAAAATATCCTTTAAGTGTGAAGGAGAAATACAGACTTTCCCAGACAAACAGAAGCTGAGGGATTTCATCAACACCATACCTGTCCTATGATAAATAATAAAGGGAGTTCTTCAATGTAAAAGAAAAGAACATTAATGAGCAATAAGAGATTATCCAAAGGTACAAAATTCACTAGTAATAGTAAGCACACACAAAAAACACAAGACATTATAACACTGTAACTACTGTTTGTAAACTACTCTTATCTTAAGTAGAAAGACTAAACAATAAACCAATGTAAAATATAACTACAACTTTTCAAGATACAGACAATGTGGTAAGACATTAAGAAAACACAAAAAGTTAAAAAGTGAGGAGACAAAGTTAAAATGTAGAGTTTTTCTTTGTTTTCTTTTTGCTTCTTTTTTAGTTTGTTTGCTGATGCAATCAGTATTAAGTTGTCATCAGTTTAAAATAATGGATTATAAGATAGTATTTGCAAGCTTCATGGTAAACTAAGGTAATCAGTATTTGCAAGCTTTATGGTAACCTGAGGTAACCATGGTAATCTAAAAACATACCATAGATACACACACACAAAAAAGCAAGAAATTAAATCATGCTACCAGAGAAAATCACCTTCACTAAAAGGAATACAAGAAGAAAAAAAAAAAAAAAAACAAGCGAGGACCACAAAACAGCCAGCAAACAAATAACAAAATGGCAAGAATGTCCTTATTTATCAATAATAACATTGCATGTTAATGGACTAAACACTTCAATAAACGACATAGCATGGCTAAACGAATTTAACAACATTAACAAAAAAAAAAAGACCCAATGATTTTTTCTGTTACCTATAAGAAACACTACCTATAAAGATACATATAGACTGAAAATAAAGGGATGGCATAAAAACCGAGCAGTACAACAGAACAGAGAACCCAGAAACAAATTTCTGTATCTACGTTGAACTCATTTTCAACAAAGGCACCAAGAACATACATTGGGGAACAGACGGTCTCCTCAATAAATGGGGCGCGGAAAACTAGATATCCATACGCATAAGAACGAAGCTAGACCCCATCTCTTGCCATATACAAAAATCAAATCAAAATGCATTAAACACTTAAATGTAGGACCTCAAACAATGAAGCTACTAAAAGAAAACACTGGGGAAGCCATCCAGGATATTGTTCTAAACAACAACTTTATGAAGTAATACCCCGCAAGCCTAGGCAAACCAAAGCAAAAATGGACAGGTATAGCTCCGCCCAAGAGGGTGGGGCTCCTGCCTGCTGCATAGAGCAGGAGGCCTGTGTCTGCGGCCATGGCTTGGGCAGCTGCAGTGTACCCGGGGAGCTCCCACCCCAACTCAAAAGGGGTGGGACTCTCATGGGCCCCGTGGAGTGTGCAGCCGTAGCGGAGCTTCCCTGCTGCAGCTGGTGTGATGGCAGCAGCCACTACCATCAGTAACACGTGACCAATTCTGACAATGATATAAGCAAAAGTGATGTGTGTAATTTATGGACCAAACATTTCACAGCCAATTTGAGATCCTCCTCAACTCTCCCTTTTTTTTCCCAACAAACATTCTAGATGCTGGCTGCTCTTTCATACTGTGTCCCTGAGTGCCTACAAAGGCAAATAAGGGCACCCACAAAGGAAAGTAGATGATAGAAATGGTAAGATCGGTCATTTTTCATAAAATGAGTTATATTGGGTTTACATAAGTTATCTAAATTTGGAAATAACTGAATCTGATTATTTGATTAGCTTCTCAAATAAATGAGCTGTATCATCATTTCAAGGGTATATTTACTTATTTTGGCACATACTGATAAAAATATTTCTTAAGAATCAGACTCAAGCTAACAATATAGGATGAAATAAAAGTGATACATGTAAAGCTGGTTTGTTACTCAAATAAACACTAAGGTTTTAACATGTATTCTTCACTTAGTTTCAGCTTTATAAGAACTGGATCTCTGCTAGAACTACTTTCTGGAAATGGCCTGGTTGCTGGTTTTGACCATTATAAAGGTATCTTCTGTTCGTGCAAGCTTTGGATTAGAGCAAATCTAAATAAACACTTTATATCTAAGCAATATAAGCTGAGGTGGATATAGCTAAGAGGAAATTAAACCAATTTGGAGGACTGTTCCCTACGTGTATATTTAATGTGTAAATTCATTTCTTATTTCTATTTTTCTTCATATTAAGTTGGTTAATTTTTAAAAAATATAAAAATTGGCAGAGACAATTTTATTTTGGTTCCCTTGGTCAGAACCCACTGAAACTACAAATAAATGAAAAATAGAAGGAACATTTATGTTGTCCTCAATGAAGGAGGAAATAGCTACGCACTAAAATATACAAAGTGCTCCGACCAACTACATTAAAATTGGCCCAAACTGAACAAAACTTAGAGCTGGTATACAATTTTTCAGAATTTGAGAAGAGAGCTAATCTTTCTAAAAGTGTTAGTCCTATTCAAATATCTTGAATGAAATGGTGAGATTTTGAGGTGTGACTAAAGCATAGCAGGAATAAGGAGCATCATCACATAAATTCAGCTGGACACAGCATAATAGTGATGAATGCAGAGACTGCAGAGTGGAAAAAGAAACTATATTTACTTCCAGTTTTCATTTTCTATGAATTATAACCCTAGATAAGCTTCTTGATGAAAAGTGGGACATGATATGGAAGTAGGGCAGTAATTTCTATGTCTTTGCGTCAAAATCCTGTAGTATAAGGGCTTTGTTTTATGCTATCTGAAGCCCTTAAACATCAAAAACTTTAAAAATATAGTTAAGGAAAAAATTAATTATCAGGGTAAAGGAAACTAAATGTTTGACAAGGTGGTTTCAAACCAATAAATCAGAAACAAAATCATTAACTACCCCAGCTTACTCCCCCTATACCACCCACCTAATTATTTTTTTTTAAAGGTTTCATTTAAAAATGAGTAATAGGCTGTGGGTGGTGGCTCACACCTGTAATGCCAGCACTTTGGGAGTCCAAGGCAGGAGAATCACTTGAGCCCAGGAGTTGTAGACCAGGAGTTGTGCCCCAACCATGGGGCAACATGACAAAACCCCATCTCTACGAAAAAATAAAAAAAAATTTAGCTGAGCGTGGTGATGCGCACCTGTAGTCCCAGCTACTGAGGAGGCTGAGGTGGGAGGCTTGCTTGAGCCTGGAAGGTTGAGGCTGCAGAGAGTCATGATGGTGCCACTGCACTGCAGCCTGGATGACAAAGCAAGACCTTGTCTCAAAAAAAAAAAAAAAAGTAATAATTCAAAACAAAACACAGAACCTAAGCATAAATACTGAAAATCAATACAGAAAGTGTATCTAAGCTAAAAAGCAAATAAAAGATCTACATCATATGAGGATGTATTTAAAAAAACTAGAGGCATATAATGAAAATATTTTGTTCTCATAATTTCAAAGACATTGAATAAAGTGACATATTAACCTGAATAAAAAAGAACCTCAAATAATAGGAAAATGTAATGAGACAATAAGAATATTTCAAAAGGAAATTTATGAATCGTGACAAAGAAATTGTAAAGAACAATAAATCAATTAAAAAATAAAAGCCCCTTTACACTACAGAGGATATAAATAAAGAGAACACTAGTAACTAGAAAATATAATCAAGCATAGGTTGAGAGATTGGAGTAAAACACATATATACTGGGGAGGAGCCAAGATGGCCGAATAGGAACAGCTCCGGTCTACAGCTCCCAGCGTGAGCGACGCAGAAGACGGGTGATTTCTGCATTTCCATCTGAGGTACCGGGTTCATCTCACTAGGGAGTGCCAGACAGTGGGCGCAGGTCAGTGGGTGCGCGCACCGTGCGCGAGCCAAAGCAGGGCGAGGCATTGCCTCACTCGGGAAGCACAAGGGGTCAAGGAGTTCCCTTTCCAAGTCAAAGAAAGGGGTGACTGACGCACCTGGAAAATCGGGTCACTCCCACCTGAATACGGCGCTTTTCTGACAGGCTTAAAAAATGGTGCACCATGAGATTATATTCCGCACCTGGCTCGGACGGTCCTACGCCCATGGAGTCTCCTTGATTGCTAGCACAGCAGTCTGAGATCAAACTGCAAGGCGGCACCGAGGCTGGGGGAGGGGCGCCCGCCATTGCCCAGGCTTGCTTAGGTAAACAAAGCAGTGGGAAGCTCGAACTGGGTGGAGCCCACCACAGCTCAAGGAGGCCTGCCTGCCTCTGTAGGCTCCACCTCTGGGGGCAGGGCACAGACAAACAAAAAGACAGCAGTAACCTCTGTAGACTTAAATGTCCCTGTCTGACAGCTTTGAAGAGAGCAGTGGTTCTCCCAGTACGCAGCTGGAGATCTGAGAAGGGGCAGACTGCCTCCTCAAGTGGGTGCCTGACCCCTGACCCCCGAGCAGCCTAACTGGGAGGCACCCCCCAACAGGGGCACACTGACACCTCACACGGCAGGGTACTCCAACAGACCTGCAGCTGAGGGTCCTGTCTGTTAGAAGGAAAACTAACAAACAGAAAGGACATCCACACCAAAAACCCATCTGTACATCACCATCATCAAAGACCAAAAGTAGATAAAACCACAAAGATGGGGAAAAAACAGAACAGAAAAACTGGAAACTCTAAAAAGCAGAGCGCCTCTCCTCCTCCAAAAGAATGCAGTTCCTCACCAGCAACGGAACAAAGCTGGATGGAGAATGACTTTGATGAGCTGAGAGAAGAAGGCTTCAGACGATCAAATTACTCTGAGCTATGGGAGGACATTCAAACCAAAGGCAAAGAAGTTGAAAACTTTGAAAAAAATTTAGAAGAATGTATAACTAGAATAACCAATACAGAGAAGTGCTTAAAGGAGCTGATGGAGCTGAAAACCAAGGCTCGAGAACTACGTGAAGAATGCAGAAGCCTCAGGAGCCGATGCGATCAACTGGAAGAAAGGGTATCAGCAATGGAAGATGAAATGAATGAAATGAAGCGAGAAGGGAAGTTTAGAGAAAAAAGAATAAAAAGAAATGAGCAAAGCCTCCAAGAAATATGGGACTATGTGAAAAGACCAAATCTACGTCTGATTGGTGTACCTGAAAGTGATGTGGAGAATGGAACCAAGTTGGAAAACACTCTGCAGGATATTATCCAGGAGAACTTCCCCAATCTAGCAAGGCAGGCCAACGTTCAGATTCAGGAAATACAGAGAACGCCACAAAGATACTCCTCGAGAAGAGCAACTCCAAGACACACAATTGTCAGATTCGCCAAAGTTGAAATGAAGGAAAAAATGTTAAGGGCAGCCAGAGAGAAAGGTCGGGTTACCCTCAAAGGGAAGCCCATCAGACTAACAGCAGATCTCTCGGCAGAAACCCTACAAGCCAGAAGAGAGTGGGGGCCAATATTCAACATTCTTAAAGAAAAGAATTTTCAACCCAGAATTTCATATCCAGCCAAACTAAGCTTCATAAGTGAAGGAGAAATAAAATACTTTACAGACAAGCAAATGCTGAGAGATTCTGTCACCACCAGGCCTGCCCTAAAAGAGCTCCTGAAGGAAGTGCTAAACATGGAAAGGAACAACCGGTACCAGCCGCTGCAAAATCATGCCAAAATGTAAAGACCATCGAGGCTAGGAAGAAACTGCATCAACTAACGAGCAAAATAACCAGCTAACATCATAATGACAGGATCAAATTCACACATAACAATATTAACTTTAAATGTAAATGGACTAAATGCTCCAATTAAAAGACACAGACTGGCAAATTGGATAAAGAGTCAAGACCCATCAGTGTGCTGTATTCAGGAAACCCATCTCACGTGCAGAGACACACATAGGCTCAAAATAAAAGGATGGAGGAAAATCTACCAAGCAAATGGAAAACAAAAAAAGGCAGGGGTTGCAATCCTAGTCTCTGATAAAATGGACTTTAAACCAACAAAGATCAAAAGAGACAAAGAAGGCCATTACATAATGGTAAAGGGATCAATTCAACAAGAAGAGCTAACTATCCTAAATATATATGCACCCAACACAGGAGCACCCAGATTCATAAAGCAAGTCCTGAGTGACCTACAAAGAGACTTAGACTCCCACACATTAATAATGGGAGACTTTAACACCCCACTGTCAACATTAGACAGATCAACGAGACAGAAAGTCAACAAGGAAACCCAGGAATTGAACTCAGCTCTGCACCAAGCGGACCTAATAGACATCTACAGAACTCTCCACCCCAAATCAACAGAATATACTTTTTTTCAGCACCACACCACACCTATTCCAAAATTGACCACATAGTTGGAAGTAAAGCTCTCCTCAGCAAATGTAAAAGAACAGAAATTGTAACAAACTATCTCTCAGACCACAGTGCAATCAAACTAGGACTAACGATTAAGAATCTCACTCAAAACCGCTCAACTACATGGAAACTGAACACCCTGCTCCTGAGTGACTACTGGGTACATAACGAAATGAAGGCAGAAATAAAGATGTTCTTTGAAACCAACAAGAACAAAGACACAACATACCAGAATCTCTGGGACACATTCAAAGCAGTGTGTAGAGGGAAATTTATAGCACTAAATGCCCACAAGAGAAAGCAGGAAAGATCCAAAATTGGCACCCTAACATCACAATTAAAAGAACTAGAAAAGCAAGAGCAAACACATTCAAAAGCTAGCAGAAGGCAAGAAATAACTAAAATCAGAGCAGAACTGAAGGAAATAGAGACACAAAAAAACCCTTCAAAAAATTAATGAATCCAGGAGCTGGTTTTTTGAAAGGATCAACAAAATAGACCACTAGCAAGACTAATTAAGAAAAAAAGAGAGAAGAATCAAATAGACGCAATAAAAAATGATAAAGGGGATATCACCACCGATCGCACAGATATACAAACTACCATCAGAGAATACTACAAACACCTCTATGCAAATAAACTAGAAAATCTAGAAGAAATGGATAAATTCCTCAACACATACACTCTCCCAAGACTAAACCAGGAAGAAGTTGAATCTCTGAATAGACCGATAACAGGGTCTGAAATTGTGGCAATAATCAATAGCTTACCAACCAAAAAGAGTCCAGGACCAGATGGATTCACAGCCGAATTCTACCAGAGGTACAAGGAGGAACTGGTACCATTCCTTCTGAAACTATTCCAATCAATAAAAAAAGAGGGAATCCTCCCTAACTTTTATGAGGGCCAGCATCATTCTGATACCAAAGCCAGGCAGAGACACAACCAAAAAAGAGAATTTTAGACCAATATCCTTGATGAACATTGATGCAAAAATCCTCAATAAAATACTGGCAAAACAAATCCAGCAGCACATCAAAAAGCTTATCCATTATGATCAGGTGGGCTTCATCCCTGGGATGCAAGGTTGGTTCAATATACACAAATCAATAAATGTAATCCAGCATATCAACAGAACCAAAGACAAAAACCACATGATTATCTCAATAGATGCAGAAAATGCCTTTGACAAAATTCAACAACACTGCATGCTAAAAACTCTCAATAAATTAGGTATTGATGGGACATATCTCAAAATAATAAGAGCTATCTATGACAAACCCACAGCCAATATCATACTGAATGGGCAAAAACTGAAGTATTCCCTTTGAAAACTGGCACAAGACAGGGATGCCCTCTCTCACCACTCCTATTCAACATAGTGTTGAAAGTTGTGGCCAGGGCAATTAGGCAGGAGAAGGAAATAAAGGGTATTCAACTAGGAAAAGAGGAAGTCAAATTGTCCCTGTTTGCAGAGGACATGATTGTATATTTAGAAAACCCCATTGTCTCAGCCCAAAATCTCCTTAAGCTGATAAGCAACTTCAGCAAAGTCTCAGGATACAAAATCAATGTACAAAAATCACAAGCATTCTTATACACCAACAACAGACAGACAGCCAAATCATGAGTGAACTCCCATTCACAATTGCTTCAAAGAGAATAAAATACCTAGGAATCCAACTTACAAGGGATGTGAAGGACCTCTTCAAGGAGAGCTACAAACCACTGCTCAAGGAAATAAAAGAGGATAAAAGCAAATGGAAATATTCCATGCTTATGGATAGGAAGAATCAATATCATGAAAATGGCCATACTGCCCAAGGTAATTTACAGATTCAATGCCATCCCCATCAAGCTACCAATGACTTTCTTCACAGAATTGGAAAAAACTACTTTAAAGTTCATATGGAACCAAAACAGAGCCCGCATTGCCAAGTCAATCCTAAGCCAAAAGAACAAAGCTGGAGGCATCACACTACCTGACTTCAAACTATACTACAAGGCTACAGTAACCAAAACAGCATGGTACTGGTACCAAAACAGAGATATAGATCAATGGAACAAAACAGAGCCCTCAGAAATAATGCTGCATATCTACAACCATCTGATCTTTGACAAACCGGACAAAAACAAGCAATGGGGAAAGGATTCCCTATTTAATAAATGGTGCTGGGAAAACTGGCTAGCCATATGTAGAAAGCTGAAACTGGATCCCTTCCTTACACCTTATACAAAAATTAATTCAAGATGGATTAGAGACTTAAACGTTAGACCTAAAACCATAAAAACCCTAGAAGAAAACCTAGGCATTACCATTCAGGACCTAGGCATGGGCAAGGACTTCATGTCTAAAACACCAAAAGCAATGGCAACCACAGCCAAAATTGACAAATGGGATCTAATTAAACTGAAGAGCTTCTGCACAGCAAAAGACACTACTATCAGAGTGAACAGGCAACCTATAAAATGGGAGAAAATTTTCGCAACCTACTCATCTGACAAAGGGCTAATATCCAGAATCTATAATGAACTCAAACAAATTTACAAGAAAAAAACAAACAACCCCATCAAAAAGTGGGCGAAGGACATGAACAGACACTTCTCAAAAGAAGACATTTATGCAGCCAAAAAACACATGAAAAAATGCTCATCATCACTGGCCATCAGAGAAATGCAAATCAAAACCACAATGAGATACCATCTCACACCAGTTAGAATGGCAATCATTAAAAAGTCAGGAAACAACAGGTGCTGGAGAGGATGTAGAGAAATAGGAACACTTTTACACTGTTGGTGGGACTGTAAACTAGTTCAACCATTGTGGAAGTCAGTGTGGCGATTCCTCAGGGATCTAGAACTGGAAATACCATTTGACCCAGCCATCCCATTACTGGGTATATACCCAAAGGACTATAAATCATGCTGCTATAAAGACACATGCACACGTATGTTTGTTGCGGCATTATTCACAATAGCAAAGACTTGGAACCAACCCAAATGTCCAACAATGATAGACTGGATTAAGAAAATGTGGCACATATACACTGTGGAATACTATGCAGCCATAAAAAATGATGAGTTCATGTCCTTTGTAGGGACATGGATGAAATTGGAAATCATCATTCTCAGTAAACTATCGCAAGAACAAAAAACCAAACACCGCATATTCTCACTCATAGGTGGGAATTGAACAATGAGATCACATGGACACAGGAAGGGGAACATCACACTCTGGGGACTGTTGTGGGGTGTGGGGAGGGGGGAGGGATAGCATAGGGAGATATACCTAATGCTAGATGACAAGTTAGTGGGTGCAGTGCACCAGCATGGCGCATGTATACATATGTAACTAACCTGCACAATGTGCACATGTACCCTAAAACTTAAAGTATAATAATAAAAGAAAAAAAAACTTAAAAAATATATATATATATACACTGAATTCTGAAGACAGTTTGGACAAAAAAGCATGTAGTACATCCCATTAATTCTTTTCAAATATTGATTATATGTTGATGTAATGCTTTAGAGACACAGGTTTAAATAAAATATATAATTAAAATACAAAAAAAAACACATATGTACATGCACACAAACACACACGGCCCACTTTTGTTAGATTTATTTTAGATACCTTTTTGTTTTATTTGATATTATAAATTGTTTATTTTTTTAACATGGTTATAGTTTTTACTAGAATATTGAAATGTAATTGGCTTATTTTTAAATCACCTTTATTGAAATGTAATTTATATATGAGAAAATACTCCTATTTTAAGTGTTAAGCTCTGTAAGTTTTGACAAATACACAGACCAATGTAACTACAACAAGATCCTGAGACCTTTAGAAGTTAATCATCCTACCAGCTCCTGGTAACCTCTGATCTGCTTTCTTCATTTTAAATACAATTGATCTTTTCTATCGTTTCATATAAAAGGAGTTGAATCTGTAGACCAATTGGAAAAGAATTGACACCTTAACATTAAATCTTCCAAATCACACAAATGGCATATCTCTCCCTTTATTTAGCTTCTTAAATTTCTTTCAGCAAATTTTATAATTTTTAATGTGCAGGATTTGCACATCTTCTACTAAATATATTGTGAAGTGTTTCACACTTTTGATGCTATATAATTAATATAAATCAAATTTAAACATTGAATTATTACCAGTATAGAGAAATGCAATGAATTTTATATTTTAACCACATATCCTATGGTTTGCTAAATTCACCTAATGCTTCTTCCTCCAGAACTCTCCACACAGGTACGTAAGACTGCTTGATATTGTCCCGCATGTCCCACAAAGCTCTGTCCATTAGTTTTCAGTATTTTTTTTTCTTCCTGTGCTTCAGTTTGGATTCATTTTATTGTTATGTCTGCACAGTCTGATTTGTTCTTTATCCCATCCTGTGAATTTTTTATTTCATTTACCATGTCTTTCATCTTTAGACATTTCATTTGGTTCTTTTCTGTACTTTTCATTTCTCTCCTCATTATTTCCTGGTTTCTTTTTAAATCCCTGAGCATATTTATTATAGCTTTTTAAACTTCCTTGTCTGCTAGTCTACCCTCTCTCACATTTCTTGATCTGTTTCTATCAATTGAGGCCTCTTCTGGCTATGTTATATAATGTTCTGCTTTGCATATGTAGCAATTTTTTATTGTGTGCTAGACAACATGAGGTTACACTGAGGTTACATACATCTGCAATTTGATGTCTTGCTTCAAAGAATGTTGTGCTTTATTCTAGTAGGCAACTAACTTACTTGAAGATTAGTTTGATCCATTTAATTCCTGTTTTAAGCACTTTTATGGCATGTCTAGAGTTGTCTTCATTCCAAGCATACCTTGTTCTCTTCACCCAGATATGACCTTTTCCGGGTTTTCTACTGAATGCTTCATTGATGACTGAAGAATCTTTACACTGGTTAGTCAGAGCTCAAATGTTTCCCTACCTTGTGAAAGATCTGAAAGTTGTTCATCTTACAGTTCTTTGCCTGGCTTCATTGAGTTTTACCCTATGCATGTACAACCTTGTACTCAGCAACTACTCAAGGGGTCTCAATGGCAATTTGTTTGTTTTGTTTTTTTTGGTGGGGGGGTGAGGACCGAGTCTCCCTCTGTCGCCCAGGCTGGAGTGCAGTGGCGCAGTCTCGGCTCACTGCAAGCTCCGCCTCCCGGGTTCACGCCATTCTCTTGCCTCAGCCTCCCGGGCAGCTGGGACTACAGGTGCCCGCCACCACGCCCGGCTAATTTTTTTGTATTTTTAGCAGAGACAGGGTTTCACCGCATTAGCCAGGATGGTCTCGATCTCCTGACCTTGTGATTCACCCGCCTCGGCCTCCCAAAGTGCTGGCATTACAGGCGTGAGCCGCCGCGCCCGGCCGGCAATTTCTTAATAGCTTCTCCTTGTACAAAATACTGCCTCACAGTTAACAGCTATCTCAGCTTTTTCTGACAATATTTTTAGCCTTAACATATTGACTATAAGTTTGTCTGTTTCCACTGTACGTACTCTTTTTAACAACATCTTAATATTTCTTAACATGAATGTTCCAGTATTTATTTAGTTTATTTACCAAAGATGGACTTTTAGGTCCTGTGGCAAATACTATGCATTGATTTACTGCAGTCCATTTCAAGTAACTTAGAACATGCTTACTAAATGACAGAGGCTGAAAAGTTGCAGACTACTTTTCTCAGACTTCTCTACAGTTCAGGTTCCAAACAGGCTTAGCTTTAGATGAGCAGATATAATCGTATATTGGGCATGCAATCTGGTACTTCTGCTGTTTCTGCTAATGAGCTTGGTTGCAGCAGTATTTGTCTTTTATGAAACAGAAATTACTGAGCCTGATACCTTGCTTCAGATACCTCTCATTTCATGCCTAGCTTCAGAATAGTCTCATTTCTACAGACTCAGCATAAAGGTTGTTTCTAAAGCCCTTCCAATGAGGTAGCTAATTTCCTGAACTAAATTCTTTTCTGCTTAAACTAGCTAAGAGTAGTTTCTGTCATCTATAATCAAACACAGTGCAAAGGAATTTTGAAACAGAAATTGAGAGCTGCATGCAACAGAAGCCATATATTTTCATTGGCTTAGCAATCAAGTGGAAGATGAAGAGGACTCACATGTTGCATTCTGAAACAATGATGAACTTTGTTATTTGATGATAAAAAACTAATACAGTTGTTCCCTGTGGTGCCCTGGATGAAAGAGTAAGTGTCAACAATGACCGTAGCATTAGGGGAAATAGTAGAGACAATACGTAAGATTGAGGTGTGTTGATTGCCTTTTTCACTTTTAAACAAAATTCTACAATAATGTTCATGTAGATAGTCTAACACCAGCCAGTGAGAAGCTCTCTGCCTAGTTCTACAATCTTGGTTGACTGAGATTACAGTAGTGTGATTCCTTGAAGAGTTGAGAAGGCCAGTTGTTTTAACCCTAACACTGAAGCAGTTATTAGTAGGACTGTATATCAGTCATTACAGCAAGAGATAGCAGTAACAGAAGCCACAGCAGGAACCCAAAAGCTTACCATCAGAGAGGACTTTATCATCGCTAAGGCCCCAGTGACACTTCATGATTCTTATTTTCCTCTTTTCCAAATGAGAGCTTTTATTCTGTTTATCCTGTTCCAGCTGCACCGTGATAGGTTGGATATGTTTGGGGGCAGATTGTTTGCTTTTAATTTTAGCAACTGCCAGACCACAAGAGTACACATAATCTAGAGACACTGCAGTGATCTCTGTGTGGGACTTTGGAACTGTCTATTTTGCAAAAGGCATGACTGGGTTCTGTGTGTCAGAAGAAGGGTATGGCAGAATATTGGGGTAGGCAAATAGCTAGATTGTGGGAGGGACTATGAGTTGTCCCACAAAATCGATTTTTCCCACTTGCTCAGAAATAGACCTTCAAATGTTATTTGGGCACAGGGTCTTCAAGAATAACAACTAAATTCTATAATTTTCTTTGAATCTAGGTGTGGCCTTGTGTCTGTGGATAAGTGTTGACCAACGGAATGTAAGTAAAGTGAAGAACAATCAAATAAATGTTCTCAAAGGGAGAGGGCTTCTTTTCCCTTGTCTGCTAACTCAAATATGGATCAGCTGACTGAAGCTGGAGCAGTTGCACTGGACCACTTATTGAGGGTAGCAGAGCAAAAAGGAAGACAGATCTCTGAGAATCATGGAGTTTTCACACCAGGAACCTACATGAAGGAGAAATAAACTATCATGTTTATAAGCCACTGTTATTTTGGGTTTTTCTATAAATTATAGCTGAAACTACCCCTATCTTTATAGAGTTATTTTCCAAAATTTCAAATATTACCCAAAAAATGCTTCAACAAAAAATGACATCTTTAAAGAAATGTATTTGTGTACATGTTATAAGCATTATTTTTTGGATAGATTCCTAGGAGTGAAAGTCTTGAGTAAATGATGTGTTATTTTTATTTTGAAAGATACTTTCTACTTGCCTTGTAAAAATGCTTTATCAAGTTTCACAAAAAGAGTATGAGAGGAATTGTTTTCCTGTATCCTCTATACAGATTTTTACTGATTTTTAAATTTATTATATTTGAATAGATAATCTTATGTACATATCTGTATTACGAGTAAGTCTAGGAATCCTTTTTTCACACATCTGTTTTGGCCAACTGTTTTCTTCTGTCTTTTGACAAACTTTCTATAAATTCTTTAGTTTTTCTGGCTGATATGTTTACATATTCTGGATATTAATTATTTTTAGTTGTATGTTTGGCAAGTTTTTTTTCCAGACTGCTGGTTATTGTGTAACTTACTTATGATGGCTTTAATTAAAGAAGTATTTATATTTCAGCATAAGTGCCAACATCTTCCTTCTGGATTTTGCTTCTTAGCTAGAAACCTCTAGAGGTCATAACATTATTTTTCTATATTTCTTCCAACATACTCTTTCAATTAAAAATTATTTCACTTTTTAATGCATCTGGAATATATTTATGCAAGATAGGAATTAGAGGTCTAATATTTAATTATTTTAAATGAATAACCAGTTTTCCCAGTGCCATATGTTTAATAATACTTCTACATTTCACTGATTTGAAATGCAAGTTTAATTATAGTCAAATTTTTGAATAGGCAAAGATGTGTTTCTTCGTTTCTGTGTTTTATTAATCATCTGTTTCTATGCCAATGCCATCCTTTGTGAACTCCTACAATTTTGTAACACATTTAGATATCTAGATGGCAAATCTTCTTTTCCAAAAGCATTTGGATATTCTCATTCATATACACTTCCAAATGAACTTTGAAACAAATTTTTATCTGCCCAGCTGAAGGAAGATTTTTAAAATATTGTAGCCATTCCATAATTTTTAGAAGTCAATAAGTGCTTTTAAAAATGTGGATGTTAACTATGATATTAATATTTGAATAAAAATATAGCTAGCCAATTGGAAAGTATTTTAGAATAAAGAAGTTATATAAATGCATATATTATTGATACGTTTATGCAACCAAATGCCTATATCACCTACAGGTTATCAATCTATGAAAATAATTCCTCAAAATTTTTTAGTTTATTATTCCAAAGAAAAGCAAATCATCTTTCCCCCACAACTTGGCTGGATCCATATTTAGACAAAGAATTAACACAACCTCAATTCTCTTTTCTTTTCTGTTATTTTCTCTTTTTTTGAGACAAGGTCTGTTGCTCTGTTGCCCAGGCTGGAATACAATGGTGCAATCATAGCTCACTACAGCCTCAGCCTCCTGGGCTCAAGTGATGCTCCTACCTGAGACTTTCGGGTAGCTGGAACTACAGGTGTGTGACAACAAGCCTGGCTAATTTTTTCAATTGTTTGTAGGGATGGGTGTCTCATTATGTTGCCCAGGCTGGTCTCAAACTCCTGGCTTCAAGTGATCCTCCCTCCTCAGCATGCCAAACTGCTGAGATTATAGGCATGAGCCACTGTGTCTGGCTCCCAATTCTCTTTTCTATATGTCCAGATGTTTTAGTGTATATTGACTGAGATTAGCAAATATCAATGTTCTCAGTTACCTTTAGATTGATGAGAAACTGGAAGAAACTGAAATTTCTGGGCTTTTTTCTAACTTTTTTCAGTGAATATATTGGCATTGTAAAACAATAAGCTACTGGTACTGTAATCTAATAGTTATTATGTGGACAGAAAACCTGTGACCTTAAATTCATGTTGTACTAATAAGAGAAGTGTGTAGAACTGTTAGTAAAATTTGTGAGAAAGGCAGACTCTGATTATTCTTTGGCTACCATTGCGTTTTTTATAGCTACATGACATCACTGTTTAGCCAGCTCCCATTTCATAGGTTCTGTCTTTCACATTACTTGGTTTTTATTTCCTCAAAGTTGAGCTACTAAGGCTCAGGATAGTTGAAATCAGAAATATATCTAAACTTTGCCACATGCTAGAGTAGAAAAAATTCACCTCTTATGACATTCAAGACTGAAAAGTTGAGCACAGACCAGCAATTCAACCAAATTCTTCCCTCCGGGTGATTCTTCCTTCGGATCCTTGGTGTGATCTCCGGCTCGCAGATCTTAGTTAGAAGGAAATCAATGCAACCATAACAGCATTCCCATGAGGATAGACCTCACTTAATCCAAAACAGCTCTAAGAGTTCAATGTTATTGTTACTCTTATTTTATAGATAAGAAGATAAAGCACAGAGAGATTGAGTAATTTGACCAACATCACACAGTGAGCAGATGGAAAGGAGGAATAGACAGCGTGACATAAAGATGGGAAGGGATAGGAAGACACAGTGTGCCTCGGGGTCTGCACTCCTAACCACCACTTTTGTATTGCTTCCCAAAGGGACCGGGGAAAGAGACTTTTGAAGAGTATTTCACATGGACATAGAACTGCACATCAGGCTGTATTTCTCTTTCTCTCTCTCTTTTTTTTTCTTTTTTTTTTTTTTTTGAGATGGAATCTCACTCTGTCGCCCAGTCTGGAGTGCAATAATGTGACCTCGGCACACTGCAACCTCCACCTCCCAGGTTCAAGTGATTCTCCTGCCTCAGCCTCCTGAGCAGCTGGGATTACAGGCACCCGCCACCACACCCAGCTAATTTTTTTTGTATTTTTAGTAGAGATGGGGTTTCACCACGTTGGCCAGGCTGGTCTCAAACTCCTGACCTCAGGTAATCCACCCACCTTGGCCTCCCAAAGTGCAGAGATTACAGGCATGAGCCACCGCACCTGGCCCCAAGCTGTATTTCTCTTTAGGAAGATGACCATCTCACTGACTCCATCCAGTAAGGGTACTATAGGAACTAACTATAATATTTCAGAAGTGACTGTTGTAAAGCATGTATTTGTGAAAATTATAATATCTTATAAATCTTAAAATTGTATGTAAGTATTTATACTAAGCCTTCTTCCTGGATGTCTACATTTTGAAAGAGCATTTACTCTTCGTTTGCCTTTGGGTTTGTCAGTGAGTGCTAATCTGAACCCATAAAGTTTGTCCAGTGGAAACAAATGCAACTGCTTCCTCTTTTGCCAATGAATCTGTGACTTGATATACATATAGCTTTAGGCCACGCCTAAAAAGCAGCAGTAGCAGATTATTTCAAAAAGATGCAGACAGGTTTATATGGGTACATAGGATAGCCATGTAGTTTCAATCACTTTACTTTTATGGCCTAAAATTTTAATATGATTGTATAAAAAACTATTATACAGAAATTCTTGCCAATAGATCCAACAAAAAGACTTGAGCAGTGAGTCCAGCTAAGTCACTGCTTTACTTCACTTTACTTAATTAGAAAACACGCAGACAGTTGGTTTGGGGTGAAGAGTTGTTTTCAGTTAGAAAAAAAAAACTCATTAGTATGCTCATCTCATGTAAATCCTCTAAAGACCAGATTGAGAACATGTTTTCTCTTATCAGGATCATGATATCCTTTTCCTAAACGAAGCATTTGTACCACAGTGAAAATTCCCCACTTTCCCTTATACCTATGGGAAAGAACTTCTAAATAATGCATTTGTTTTGGCTCAAAGACAACATCGTGGGTAATCTGAATCTCTCAGTTTCACAGTTCTCTGTGGATTAGCTCTGTTTCCTCAGCAAATTTTCCTTTATCACAATGGAAATTTGGGCAAAAATGTGTTTATATTTTCCACCACTAAAATAATCTTATCTGAAGGGCCCACTCTGTGGTATTCAGGGTACTTCACTTGTATTTTAGCACTAACAGTTTAGGCCAGAACATGAATCGGGCTATAATATTTGGGCTGTTTCAGAGCTCATTCTAGGGCAGTCTGTTCAAATCAAGACCACACTATGATTGGATCTTTTACAAAGTTCATAAAACGCTATCTTGGGGCAATATTTTAGTGTGGTTAAATACCAGCAACCATCTTCCTTACCCCAGCTAGTGATCTCCAAGGAGCTATGTGATCCATTTTTGTGGTCCAGTAGCAAAAACCACCACTGACAGAAATATTTCGTATTTTGCATGTACATGAGTTATGCCCTCTCTTCTCTCTTTCTCAAACGATTTTTCCTTTTTTTTTTCCCCCTGGTCTTTTACTTCACTCTATTTCTTTCTGCCAGAATCAACATCCAACATTCTTTTAATATTTAAGTGTTCAATAATAGATCCCTGAAAGGAAATAACATTCGATATGTTATTAAAACCCTTTTTAAATTCTGATGATCCACCACTAATTCAATATTCTATGTGCCAGGCTGTGAGCAAAAGTTTTTTTTTTTTTAAGTGCCTTAAAAAGAAAGTAAATGACATAGTAGGGACACCAGAGAAAAAGAAAAGTTAAAGAATATTTTAAACATTATATGCAAATGTGGAATTTTAGAGAATTCTAGAATTTATAGGAATGAAAAGAGCAAAAACAACTATTATTGCTTGAGCCCAGGAGGCAGAGGTTGCAGTAAGCTGAGATTACACCACTCAAAGCCAACCTGGGCAACAGAGCAAGACCCTGTATCAACCACACAAACAAAACAAAACAACAATGGCAACAACAGTAACTACAAAACCCCCAAAGCAATTATTAAATACCTTCTATGTGTCAGGTACAAAATTATATATTCCTTATAAACATGTATATGAGAAGCAGCTCATGTATCTTAAATAAAACAAATTTCAATAATGACAACTCATTTATAAACATAAGCTAATTAAAGAACTACTAATTTTATGGTACTTCATTAGTGATAATGAAATACCACTTCCAGTATTAGTAAAGCCTCTCCTGTCACCATAATAAAGATGTCATGGAATGTAACACTTTCGATTAAATGTTAAGCCTACCGTTCCTTGTGAACACCTGAGTGAGGCAACTGATGATCACAGTGTCTATGCCAAGGTATTTATAGTAAATTACAGACATACTAGACCACTCTGGGTTTTTCTTGCCATTTCATTGGTCACTGTTTCTTCATTAACTTTGTTGGTAGGTCTGGAGTCAACTGTAGATGTTAAGCTGCCTAGGGCTGAAGCCTAACAGCCTCTTTTCTCTTGAAATGACCTTATGTACCACTCATATGCTCATGAGCCTCAAAATGTCTATCTCTAGCCATTACTTCTCCCCTAAGCCCCTTGAGTCTCATATTTAACCACCTGGTTGACATCTCCACCTGGATAAATAATTAGCCGCTCCCAACTTCTCACAGATGAGACTAATTTCTTGATTCCCATACCCACAGGAAAAAAAAGAAAACCCATTCCATTCTGAGTCTTCTTTGTCTCAATAAATGGTACCACTTTTTATCTAGTTTCCCAACCCCAAAACTGGAGTGAGCCTTGGCTCTTTCCTTCCTCTTATCCCTCACATCTCATCCAGGAATTCTAGACTATTTTACTTCCCAAACACCTATCATGGTCCTGGCCCAAAGCAGCATCATTTCTTTCATGGATTACTGCAACAGCTTCCAAGTTGTTTTCCCTGCTTCCTGCATCCCAACTATCTATTATTCACATAGCAGCCAGCGGTCATTGTAAAATTCAAGTCATGTCATAGCGTTTTCTTCCTGAGAGCCTGTTAATGGCTTATCATTGCATGTTTATGAAAATTCGAATGCTTCCTATGTCTTCCATCGCCTGGATGCCTACTTCTCCATCCTCTTTGTGTACTACCTACTCCTTCACTCCCCCATTTGCTCATTACACTTCAACTTCTCCAGCCTCCTTTCTGTCCTTGGAATAGCCAGGTCCTTTACCAATTCATGAACCTGGTACTTGTGGTTACCACTGTGTGGTGAGTTCTTCACACAGCTCCCCATGTGGCAGATGCCTACTCACCCTTAGGTTTCATCTCAAATCCTCAGAAAGACTTTCTATGAAAATGAAGCTCAGTTTACCTTTCTCTACCCCTCTTTGCTCACCCCCATCACATCAGTCTATTGATTTCCTCCATAACACTCCCCAGAATCTGTAATTCTTTCTCCAGTCACTCATTTGCATGCTTTTTGTCATTCCCCAAGAGAATGCAAGAGGAAAGACCTCACCTGCCGTCATGACAATATTCCCAGTGGCGAACTTGATGCCTGATACATGTATGTAGATGCTCAGAAAGTATTTGCTAGATAAATAAATAAAACAGAGGAATTATGGAAAGTAAGAAGTGAATAATCAGAAATAATAGAACACAAAGGGGCTTTAGAGACTGTTTGATCAAACCCACTTACCTTCCCAATAAGACAAACCAGAGAGGTTATTTCTTAAAACTGAGAGAGTGAATGGCTGGAATGGGTTCCTGACATTGAGTGCAGTGCTTTCCACTAAATAAGTGGATCAAAAACTTGCTCCTCGGTCAGCTTTTCACTGGATTGTGCTGAAATGAAGAAAATAAGAGCAATATTACATGCAGTTATATACCTCCAACTATCCTTTTTCAGAAAGAACAAGGTTAGCTCACGTCCTTCCCCTTTTGTGTTTAATATCTTTTCTTTATAAAACAATACTGACAGCAGATAACATTTTTTTAAAATTATCTTTTGACAAAGTAAAAACTTTGAGATCTCTCTTGAGTTCTTTTGTTTTGTGTTTTTGATTATTTCATTTTGTTTTTCATTTTAAAGAGGCTGAATTTTAAAATTCTGATAACAAAGTATCCCTGAACAATCAAGTCATTGTAAGTGATTTATCTTACAGATCCCCCCTCACTCTCTTCCAATCCTACTCTACTCAGACAAGCAGTAAGAGCAGCCTGTTGTATCCTTCAATATGTAAATGTGGTCATTTCTTATGTAAATGTGGTCATGTGCGCACGCACGCACACACACACACACACACACACACACACACACAGAGTTTTGACTTCAATGTAATGCAAAAGGATCATGTCATACACATTACCCTACAATTTGCTTTTATTTTTACCTAATAAAGTAGGTAATATGCATTGTAGGTTATATGCATTGTAACTCTAGAACAGTGCATGTAGTTGTAACTCACTTTTAATTTTACATAATATTGCATAGTATGGATATACCAAAATATATTCAACCATTTTCCTGCTGATAAATTCTCTCAATTTTCCAGGTTTTTAAAATCCACTACAAACAATGCTCTCATGACATCTCTATATTTATGTCTATAGATTAAAAAGATCAAAATCTCTCTTCCATCTTTTTCTACATTTACATCTTTTCTTCGATATTAGGGTTTCTACCTCTTTAGGATACATTTTCAATAGTAGAATTGCTAGATTGGGGGAATCTATATATTTTTAAAATTTTAGTATATACTCATAATATTTAACCAGCATGGCCTGTCATTGTTCTGTATTCCCAAACATAGTTTTTGTTTTTTGAAACATCCTGCTATAGTAGTTTTGGCCTTGTCTGTCAACACATTTTAATCACCTCTGGAACACGACTACTAAGTATGTTAGCTGTCTCTCATTCTGCTATTTGCCACTCTGGAGACAGTTTAGTAGTCTGAAAATCCAAGAGACAAATGTATTTTCATATGAAATGAAAATTTGTATACAAGAAAATGCCCTCACTTTCTGCTCCTTATCTGGCTTCTACTACAGCATTTCCAACCACTTGCCCTACACCATACCCGTATCACTGATAGCTTTCTTTGTCTCGAGTCCATAAGGATATTCTTATACACTAGGACCAAGAATTCTGGTGATATTTAACAGGGTATGTCCCCATTCTTTCTCTGTAAAGAAGTTAAATATTTTCTGTTATTTTTTCTTTTAAAAAATTAATATAGTGTCTGATCATTAGTTACAATGTTCTTCTTTTAGGTAGTTCCCTGAAGATAGAGCAGAAACTTTCATTTTTTGGAAAATCTTATCTGCATTGGCCACCTCTTCCCATCTGACTACTCTGCTATCCAGGGTGTGAGAGTGTTCTATAATATCTTAATAAGCTCATTCTCTTGACCATCACTGTAATCCCCCAAATCACCCATGATTAAGTTCATACCCTGTAGAGAAATCCACCGAACAGTTGATGACCATTCTCTAAAAATGCAGTTGACTCCAACTCTGGAGTGTAGTGCTTTAATGCTGGTATATGTTGCAAAAGCATGCAAAATGGTGAAATCACCTGAAATAAAGTAGCTGTGAATTGCTATATCAATTTTACATTATGATTTTGCTTATTAAAAATATATATAAAACCAGCCAAAGTCCTCACCTGCCAGATTACTGTCAAGTCCAGTATCTTCACTCTCCATGGTCCAAGAAGGAACATGGAGGTTGGTAAGTCTGACCTCCATATTCTAGGAAGAGAAAATTGATACTGCCTTTGGTTCTAACTGCTTTATGATCTCAGAGGAAATGCCAATGTCCAGTGGATCTGGAGCCCTTCACAGCAGCATAGATTTTTCTCCCAAGCCAACCTTAGCATAGGGCCCTTAATGGCCCTTCAGGTTGGAGCTTTTAACTGGTAACTTTTTCAGGCCAATCCTTTAAAATGCCAGCTGGCCAGAGAGTGTCAGGATTAATTCAGGTGCCCATTTACAAACTGAGATCATTGTGCACTTTCCTGCACAAAGGTGTCTATCCTGGAAACATAAAGGAGTCATCACACACTTTTTTTTTGGAACACTGCTATAGGGTAACCTGGGATACCATATTGCAATACCAACCTACCTAGGATTGCAATTCTGATTGCCCCAGGGAGCCGTATAATTTCTTATGCCCTATGCATGTGCAGGCATGCACACACACACAAATCAAAGGTAGAAACAGCCACAAAAGGAATGATTTAAGGTAGCCTACTCTGCTAAAGACAGCAAGGTAACTTTCTGGTTATAGAAAGGAAAAAGAAAAAAAAAACCAATTTAAATCTCCAGTGAAGTACTTTGCAACAAAACAAATAAATTAAAAAATAAATGTGCTCTCTAAAATATTCAAAGTGTGTGAAGTCTAATCAAAACTCTGCTCTTGTGCTTTAGTACAGACTTCAGAAGAGAGTCAATGGTGTTTGTTTTCTTATAAATGAATTTGAAGTTTATTTGATTCTCTAAGTTAAATAACTTCCATAGCAAAGAAAGGTTTAAAATGTCTGTTTACTTATTTACTGTAGATAGTTAAGTGGTTTGCATCATAAATGCTAATTCAGGAAAAGTAGTCACTTATAGAGTACAATCTTAGGTTACATAAACAATCTGTGCTGCAAATGGTATTGGATGAATTAAGATATGAGTCTACTGGAAATATTTTGCATAAACAATGCATGTCAGGCAAAGAATCAAGAAGCTATACCATTAATCTGCTGCCCCAAATTCCTTAGTTGAAAATGTTCTTCAAATTTTTTTTCGTGTGTGCTAAATGTTTTGCTAACATAGAAATATTTCTTCTTTACTTTTCACAGAAGGTCCATGATTTTATCTAAAAACAAACAACCAACCAAAACTGTGCTTCACATTGTCTCATGAAGAAATTATACATTTTACGGTTTGAATTAGTCTGCATAATGATAAAAAAATACATTTACCTGCCTATATGATATCCTAGAAATTAAAGTTAATATATAAGTTAGGATATCTGTTTTTTAAAAAATGACAAAAATCCTGTCTCTGACCTGGTTAAAGTGGCATCTGGTTGGTGGCACTTATCTCAAATCGCAAAGACATAAGGCAACCTCTTGTTTATCCCAGCTTGGCTTTTTGTTTTTTGTTTTTTAGACAGGGTCTCACTCTGTCACCCAGGCTACAGTGCCTTAGTATGATCATCATAGCTCACTGCAGCCTCATACCCCCAGGTGCAAGCCATCCTCCCACCTCAATCTCCCAAGTAGCTGGGACTACAGGTATGTGCTACCACGCCTGGCTAATTATTTTGTATTTTTTGTAGAGACAAGGTTCTCCCTATGTTTCCTAGGCTAGTCTTGAACTCCTTGGCTCAAGCGATTCTCCCATCAGCCTCCCAAAATGCTGGATTATAAGCATGAGCCACTGCACCAGGCCCCAGCTTAGCTTTTGTCTGTTCCCATGCCAGGTTCATCCCTTGGACACATGGAAAAAATGACAAAAATCCAAAAGCTACATATTTCACTGATTTCGCAGATGGTTAGCTATTGGATAGCACAGATTTTCTTTTCATAAGAGACTGAGTGCTAAGTGGTTGGTAGGACTTAACATGAAAAAGGTTTTCATGTTTTCTATTCACTTACTATTAAAATACGTTGTCAAAAACTCCACAAAATCCTAGTTTCTGATGAGTAGAAGACAAATCCCACTAGGGAATAGAATAGAGTGAATGTCCTTTTATCAATAAAGAGCCAAAGACCATAGGCTATTTTAAAAACCAACACTATAAGAAATTTTAATGCTAACATTAAACTAAGAAGCTAATATGAAACATTTGAAAACATATACAGAAAAAAGGAGAAATGGTTACAGATTAAATAGCAGTGCTCAAATAAAAAATAGCATGTTGAGCATGACTAAAATAGCAAATTAAAGCTGGAATAATAAGTAGATTTAACTCTTTTTTCCCCCTGTGAAGCAAGTCAATAGTGATTGTGACTTCTTACGAGCAATTTGGAGGAAGAAAGGCAGTATTCTGCATTTGGGTGGTGGCCATTGCATTCAAGGAAGCAAGCAGTCACCGTGTACTTTCAAAGACAGAGAGTTATGAATGTCTATGGGATTCCTAAATTGGTCTCTACTGGAAGCAACAGAGACTCCTCCCCAATCATTCCTGACTGACAGATTTTGTTATCATACCTCAGAAAGGGTCATGGTGATGTTATGATCTCTTTTAATTAAGTTTAAAGCATCACTAAAAATAGCACATTTCAAACAAAAAGGGTGAGTCTTCTTATTCTTAAATTGACAAATTACCAGAGTTCTTTCAGGAATTCTACATACTGACTTAGATGGCTTATAAGTAACTCAATCTCAAATATTCCAGTGCTAAGCATATTTGCTCTTTCCTATTCTACTACTCCTGCCAATCCCACACAAGGTAAGAGAGCTGTGAATTGAGCATTTACTAAGTGCCAGACATGGTGCTAAGTTGTTCACATGTAATATCACTCTATTATTCTCACAACTATATGTGATGAGGACTATTAGTATCTTAAATTCACAGACATGGAAAATAAGGATTAAGATGGTAATAGCTTGCCTGGAATTACACTGTGGAGCAGATGTTTCCCATCTCAATTACATCATCATTATCCAATCAGTTGAGCAAGCCAGAAACCTAATTCTGTCTCTTTCTCCCCCACCTCCAGCCTTGAATCAGTCATTAAGCCTTGCCAAACTTTCCAATATTTCTGGACTCCATCATTTTCTTTTCATTCACTGTCACTGCCAAGCTCAAGTTTTACCATTTTTGTCCTAAGGAGAACAATAATCTTCTATTTGGTTTCCCTATTTCTTGTCTCTCAGACTCTAATCCTTGAACCACTCTGATATTTCCTTCTTTCTTTCCTTTCTTCTTTTCTTCTTTTCCTGCTTCTGTGAAGCCTTCCTGAATATTCTGCCTTATAATTCCGTCCCAAGTTTAATTAGCTGCTCATTTCTATACCAACAGAACCTAGATGTTTTATTATTATAAAACTCATGCCATTGAAGCACATATATCTGAGTGTTTCTACTACCAGACTGTTGCTCTATGACCAGACTGTTAATGTCTTATAGACAAGACCCCATCTCATTGACAACTTCTTTCACTCATCCATTGATTCACTAAACATTTATTAATCACTCACCTTATACCAGGAAATCAATTATTTTTTAATAATGATAATGATGATGATGATAATAGCTATGTTTTTGATAACATACTCAACAATCCTTTGAGGTGGGTATTGTTATCTTTATTTACCTTGAGGGAACTGAAGATAGGCAAAAATACCACTGTGAAGACACGTATCTTGGTTATATGTCTGGAACACTGTAAGGGCTCAATAAATGTCAGTTGAACTTAGTTGAAGTTAAAATTAGAGTGGAAAAGCCCTCAAAAGAATGTGTCTTTTCCAAGAGGCTAAGAAAGGTGAAGAAATATAGCAGTGATTGAAAAAGCTGGACTTAAATGTCAGGCACCTGTAAGATTTGCGGTTCTTGCTCGGTCAATTGTAAGCTACACGACCTGAAATAAATTGCTTACTTCTGTAAACCACAATTTAAAATATGTAAAATAGATATTATGAGTACTAACTTCAAAGCACTGCTATATAAATTAAATATGCAAATAAGTGTAAAATGCTTACTTAGCCATCTGCTACAAAATAAGCCCACAATAAATATCAACTATTATAATGACTGCACAATAACATAATATGATAGGGGCCAATAATAAGCTAGTCAGTATAAAATGATTAATTTCTTAAGTTAGAATTTTCACCATCATTATGTATTTTTATCCAGTATATTTGTTTTTGTTATTATTGCTGTTATTGTTATATTTGTAGGGAGAAGTATGAAGTACAGCATGAGAGTGGCCACTAAACACATACAGGAGTGTCAACTGATGAATTCCTCTAGGTTTCATTATAATGGTATTTGAAACTACAAAATGTGGATCTGAAGGAAAAATATCTACTAACTCCTGCCATCAAACATTATCATTTGCATGAAATAGGCCTATTTTAAATGTTTTATATTTTAATCCTTCTTTCATAGAATTGCTTTATCAGGAAGACTAAATGAGAATGGAAGTAATTACTGAGTTATGAAACTAGGTTAAATGTCATAGAAAACATTATTTATACCCCAAGTTAACCATCTCTATTGTGGTTGAAATAAAGAACAGAAATGTTTAAAAATAATCTAGGGACTGTCCTCTCAAGGGAGAGATAAGAATTTCAAGCATCTCTGAATATGAAGGAATTTTGGGGACGAAGAGAAGACTTTTAGCTAAAGGATCAATTAACAAGAACATACGCAAATTGGTCTGAGGAGCCTTTCTGCCTTCCATGTGGTTCCTATTGTGATATTAGAAACAAAATGGCCCATTGCCATCTGTGTGGTAGGTGGGTGGGCATGTGGCCCTTCCTCCTTTCTTCCCATCAGGTATACTCAACTCCTCACTAGTGGCCAGTTTCTCAATGAGTAAATAAGGCCTGCTTCTTGACACACATTCCACAGGCAAGCCAGATTTTAGGAAGAGATAAAATATACCAAAAAAAAAAAATCACAGAAGACCAAGAAGCCACAAGAGGTTCAGGATTGTGGTGAGTGTTAGTGGGAACTTTGCCGAAAATTCAGTGCAAGCTTACTCAATCTTCTCTTTCAATAAACATCCTTAGGATGGAAGCATTAGATGGTGGACCTCTCCAATAATTCCCAAACAAATATATTGAGCCATTTGTGGTTTATAGTCTAGGGCTTTATTTTGCTGTATCATCTGTGTATTTTTTTAATGTTGTATTTCTTTTGGTTAATCTTCCTTCCTCCTGGGAAACAAAACGTTCTGCAATAACAAACACTGTCTGTGGTAAGTCCCTAAAACTCCAGTGCAACAGATTGCAAAGCCTGCTGTCCATCTTAAATAGGCTTGCATTGTTTCTCTCTTAAGCTGGTCGTTTTCATGTCTCCAACTCTTACATATGTGTCATTTTTCTCTGGTCACCAATCACCAATTGCTCCTTGGAAAATATGCTTCACTATGCACAGCAAATGTTTTCTCCAAACAAAATTCACAACACTCATTGACTTGTAGAACTTTATTGACATCCCAATAATTTTAAAACTGAGGTTTTTTTTGTCACTGCTTTCCTTATGTCCAAGTCTCTAAAAAAGTCTTCTAAATATATTTTTAATTATGAAGTATTTTGAACTCAAAGAAAGCTGTAGAGAAAAACATAACTATTTGAACACTGCATATCATCTTGGATATACTAGTCAGACTTTATTAGAGGTACTTTTTACTTAGTAGAAATTCACTTATGAGAATGCAGAATGCAAGAAATTAATTAATTGATTTCCAGACTCACTAAAAAATCTAGATGCTCTTAAAGACAGTTCCACAGTACCTACAGGTGCAAGGCAAATTGTACAGTACAGTGACTGACTCTGAGAAGCACTAGGAAGTATACAGGACTCTGGCTATAGTGGCTTTTGTCCCAGTTTGCCTAGAGCCTGATCTGACATATGCCTGTTGTTCTGGCATAATTATCAACACTACACCTATCATTTTCAATGTAACCTAATTTTGATGATAAATCATATGGTTATCCTAAATGAAAAACTAGAGGGCACATGTTCTACCCAAAGAAAAAATAAAGCTTTACTTGGTTCTTGCCCATCATTGTTACATAGGAATGAAGACCTGTGCTTTTTCAAAAGAAGCCAGATCTAGATTTTAGGTAGAATCCTCCAGTATTTAGTGTTAGCTAAGATGTCTTATTTTTCTTTGTGGTTACTTTGTAAGTCAAAACTTATTTGAATGACAGATTTCCCCATGCATCACCAATGGTTTAAAACTTCTTTTGGTCTAGAACTTCTACATTTTGGGGGCTTCTGTACCACTATTTTCTTTTCCATTTCATCAGTTGGAGTGCCTGGCTCCACTTAGGATATTCACGTGTACATTGGAGTTCAGGCTAAATAGGCACTGTTTGAATGCTACTAAAGGAGGCACGCATCATCAGTTAGGAAAACTGGAAACAGAGTGGGTGATAAACTCAGGCTTAATTAACTGATTTGCTCACATCTGTATTTAAACCATTTTCCCTTTCCAAAAATAACATTCACTGAGCAACTGCTATGTGCCAGGTACTAGTCCACGTATTTAATCTACATTATCGTAATATTACTCATCACAACAATGAAATGGCATTGACATCATGATTCCACTTTTAAATGAAATTAAATGGAGGCTCAGAAAATCTATGTGATTAGACCAAGATCATATGGCTAATAAGTGATTGAACAGCCAGGATTAACACCTAAGTCTTTCTGGTTCCAAATCCTGTGCTCTCTCCACTGTACTCATATTCTTTGCTAGGCAAAAATTGACAACTTCAGCATTTAGATTTTTCTCTTATGCAAATAAGTTTGCTCCAAATTGTAGAGTCTCTATTGATGAAAATCTCTATTAGAGAAGTTAATAAATTTAAGGAATAAAACAACCAGTAAGTGGTGACAAATGAATACAGATGTCTATTTAGCAATGTCAAGGTAGATTGACAGTTCTAGAAAACATAGCCTTATTACTAAAAATAACAAATTGTTGTCTGCACAGTAGAATAACTATGTGATATTGGTAACTGTCTTTGGCCAGGTGCTTTACAAGCAGAGTATGAAATAGGGATTCTTATACAAGTATTTTCTGAGGAACAATCTTTTGAGGAGTTGCTCTTATGGGAAACCTATAAGGTTTGAAAACAGCAAGATAAGGTAGGGGAATAGCTAGGCAAAAATGAGCTTTTAGAAGTTTAGTCTCCTGATCTCGTATGGAGTTCTTGAGCTAGATTGTGTCACAGAGGCTGCCCTGCCTAGAGGCAAGAGGGCTACTATGGTTTGGCTCTGTGTCCCCACCCAAATCTCACCTTGAATTGTAATCCCCATAATTCCCACCTGTCAAGGGTGGGACCAGGTAAAGGTAATTGGACCATGTGGGCAGTTTCCTCATGCTGTTCTCATGATAATGAGTGAGTTCTCATGAGATCTGATGGTTTTATAAGCACCTGGCATTTCCCCTGCTTGCACTCACTTCGTTCTGCTGCCCTGTGAAGAAGGTGCTTGTTTCTCCTTCACCTTCCACCATGATTGCAAGTTTCTTGAGGCCTCCCCAGCCATGCAGAACTATAAGTCAACTAAACCTCTTTCCTTTATAAATCACCCAGTCTCCGGTATTTCTTCACAGCAGTGTGAGAACGAACTAACACAAGGGCTAAGCTATCACACCTCTGTATCATGAATCTGAGGCTACCTGCCTCCTGTGCATATCCTGAAAACCAAGGCGTGAAACCATGGCGGTCCTCCAGAGGATACAGGTGTGTGCCTTTAGCAGCTAATACCTACACAACCAGGTAAACGGAAACTGGAAGGGGGTAGACATAAGTGGAGAAGGGAGTATCTACTGACAGCGTCTGCTACAGCTATTACATGGTAGGGATTTGGATACATTGCTGTCTCTTTATAATATTTTCAATTCATGGTATTTTAAATTAAAGAGACTATTGTTTTCTTTACAAGCTTGTATTTTCTTCTTGAATAAGTGGTTTTCAAAGTTTGCTAAATTCTTATGATCTTTTGTTGTCTCCAGTGGCCAAATCTTCCCCTCCCTCCATCCATTTTAGCCCCAGGGGAATACATAACAGATAATCAATGTGCAAAATAAATTATCAGACTCTGATTCCTTTCTTTTAAATACATTTATTATCACATATTACAGTACAACAAAACAACTCAGCCGGTCCCTTGGAGATTGTAATATTTGGCTATGTCACATTACACAAGTGAAAAAAATTACTGTCAAGTATAGAGAAAATTATTCCTCATTTCCCTTAATAAGAAGGTATCCTTACAGGAGAAAAAGCTTTTTAAAAATAATACCATAGAAATCTTTATGTGCATATTGTTTCAGTGACAAATATTATATTAATAGTAATAATTACAGGACCTTTAATTAGTATTTTGTTGTATGTTTCACACATATTATCTTAAATGCATACTATATTATAATGACTATGAGCTTTTTAAATTCAGAAGTCTCATCTTATGTATATTTTTCTTCAATAAAAAGCAAAGAAGCCGATAGTTAATAAATGCTTGCTATATTTTGGCAAGACAAAATATTTGCTCCATAATATTTGATTTTTTCAGATTGTCACCAATCTCCCTGCTTACATAAAACCTTTGAATTGGAGGCCAGCATAACTGTTGGCGATTCAAAAGTGATTGTGGAGAGCCAGCCGTCTATATTTGGTCATACAGGTAAAGCTGACAGTTTTTACAAAGAGCACGAGGAGAGAGCCTCTCAGCAGGAAAATTGCTTGTTTCACAACCCACCAAGGGTGAAGAAATTTTTTCTCATGTTAGCCATTTGTGGGATGGAAAATTCTAATGTGGGACATTTTCTTGCTTAAGTAAACCATGCAGATTTTTCAGTTATTGTCAGATATACCCAGGATCTCAGAAATAGCCTATATTAAAATGTTTTCAAGCATAACCTTACAAATGAGGGCTAAAATCTAAAAGATTTTTTATCCAGCTTATAATAAACTAAGAACATATAAATTTGCCCTTATGAAAAGTTAGTTGAAGGTTTCTTATTCACCAAATGGGCCTTTCACTGTAAGTCAAAGGCAGCTTTCTATATTCTCGGTGTATTAGTCCGTTTTCACACTGCTATAAAGAACTACCCAAGACTGGACAATTTATAAAGAAAAGAGGTTTAGTCTGGGCATGGTGTCTCACAACTATAATTCCAGCACTTTGGGAAGCTGAAGCAGATGGATCACTTCAGGTCAGGAGTTCGAGACCAGCCTGACCATTATGGCAAAATCCTGTCTCTACTAAAAATACAAAAATTAACCAGGTGTACTGGCATTCCTGTAGTCCCAGCTACTCGAGAGGCTGAGGTGGGAGAATCACTTGAACCTGGGAGGCAGAGATTGCAGTGAGCTGAGATTGTACCACTGCACTCCAGCCTAGGTGACAGAGTCAGACCCTGTCTCAGAAAAAAAAAAAAAAAGGAAAAATAAAAGAAGAGACATTTAATTGACTAACAGTTCCGCATGGCTGGGGAGGCCTCAGGAAACTTACAATCATGACAGAAGGTAAAGGGGAAGCAAGGCACGTCTTACGTGGAAGCAGGGGAGACAGAGCGTGTGGGGAAGTGCCACACTTTTAAACCATCCTATCTCATAAGAACTCACTCACTATCACAAGAACAGCATGGGGAAATCTGCCCCCATGATCAAATCACCTCCCACTAGAGCCCTCCTCTGGCGTGTGGGGATTACAATTTGATATGAGATTTAGGTAGGGACACAGAACCAAACAATATCACTCAGTGTTAGATTTTGAAAGAGTTCCTGTGAAGTTTAGGAACGAAGAGAATGAAGATCCATATTATGATTCAAATGCACCCTAATCGTCTACCCACCCCTAATATCTAATCCTCATTCTAATATAATCAGCAGACCAGAAAGTGTCCAAAAAGCAGATAAGCATATATGTCCATTCTTTCTACAAGATGACTGTTTCTCATGTTTTTCTTTAGAATGTAGTGTGTGTGTGTGTGTGTGTGTGTGTGTGTGTGTGTGTGTGTGTGTGTGATCTTCATTCCTTTCACTGTGCTGAAACTCTGATTTGGGAAAAATTTTCTACTCCCTCGATCCCTGCCTCCTCAGAATCAATAGCATCTGCCTATCCACTATCAGTGCAGGAGATTATGTGGTGCTCTAGTTTCTATTGCCCACAATTATAAAAACAATAAGTATGATATTCCCTTTTTCAAATTTAAAAGTGTAATATTAAAGAAGCTTGCAAATTACATATGCTATCCCTTCAGAAATATTAAAAAGTTCATTCTCCTCTTGAGAAACACTGCTTTCAGTTTTCAAATGAGAAACATTATTAAATCTACTTAGTGTAAAAGTAAATGAATATGACCATTATTTCCTTGTCGAAGAAATCACAGAATTTGAGATGCAGGCAATATAAGACACATGCAAGTTTTCAGAAAATAAGCAGCCCCTTACCTGAGATTAATTGATGGTATTTCTGAGATTAGTAGCAAGGATGGTAAACACAATTCCGGATTTATCTACAAAAGGGTATCTAACCACAGCTTATCCCATCTCTACAGTAGAGATGAGATAGATGAGGGAATGAGGCTCAAGGATGAAGTAAGAATGTTCATTTAGTTTTATATTTCATAATAAAAATCTAGAAGTTTAATTTTTAAAAGGTGAATCCAAGTGTGCCCTTATAAAAATAATTGAGTACAAAATATCTTTGGTATCAAAAAGGCTTTGTAAAACTGGTGAGATTCAAACGGTCTTGTCAAGAGGCTATGCACCCTGGAATAAACAGGTATGGTTTGGAAACCAAACCGACATTTATATCTTATGAGCCTAAATAACCCGATGTGTGTGTGTGTGTGTGTGTGTGTGTGTGTGTGTGTGTATACAACAGAATAAATATTCTATGTTATTTGTTTTTTTGAAGACTAATGATAATGATAATATATAGAGGGCCTAGTACAATGTGTACCATGAAGTAAGAATTTCATAGTCTGTAACAATTATTTAACCCTAATTATAATTTTATCAATGACTCCTAGACTTTGTGTTATTATAACTATTATCACTTGTGTTGACAATGTCTGTAGACCCTCGAAGGGTGAAGAATGTATCTTGTTTGACCTTGTATCCCCTGTAACAAGTATGGCTTTTAAAACATTATAAGTACTAAATAAATATTTTTGAATGCATGTTGATAAATAATTGGTACATAAAATATTACTAGGCTAAAAATATACCAACTGGGAGAATTATTCAGATCACCCTAGGAAATGCTTCTTGTAGAATTCTCTTCCATTCCTGTGTAGCTTTTCAAATCTCTGAATCTAGCTTTTTCTTTTGGCCAGTGTTTTTCAGTTTGTCATATCCCAATTAATTCAGGCTGAATGACCCTATATGTCCTCACACAACTTAGAATACTGGACCATTTGAAACAGTCCAACACCTGCTCAACTCTAACACCTGTTCATAATATCTCTAAAGATTATGCTACATGTATCCTGGTTTCCATCCTGTTCAATCTTACTTGGTACTGGTTGAGCCAGCTAATATGTATATTATCTGATCCTCCAAAATTCTTTTCAGTGATGCCCTTTATTGTGATTTCTAAACTTTTCTTCTGGTTTTTGATATGTAATACCGAAATACCTTTCTCTATCCTTGACTGTGTCTTGTATCTTGTCTTTTCCTAACATTCCTGTATTTGTTATATGGACTCCTTCACAGGATTCCAGTGGATTCCTTGTTATTGACTCACCATTCTTTATGAAATGTCTCTGTTGAAAATGTGACTTTGTCTTTGGGAATTGTGCAATTGAGTCTTCCTCATAGGAGTGTCCTTCCTATACAAATAGTTTAATTGGAAATCAAACATCAAATTGATGGTGTGGTAAATTGCAGAGGAGGATGGCCACAGCCCTTTTTCCCGTAATTGTGGGCATGCTCCTTAGCAATGTCACTTTGCCATTCTCCCCATCAAGAAGTGAAGTCTAATGGAATCAACCCAAATGCTCATCAATGACAGACTGGATAAAGAAAATGTGGTACATATACACCATGGAATACTATGCAGCCATAAAAAGGAACAAGATCATGTCCTTTGCAGAGACATGGATGGAGCTGGAAGCCATTATCCTCAGCAAACTGACACAGGAACAGAAAACCAAACACCACATGTTCTCACTTATAAGTGGGAGCTGAACAATGAGAACACATGGACACAGGAAGAGGACAACACACACTGGGGCCTGTCAGGAGGCAGGAGGAGGGAGAGCATCAGGATAAATAGTTAGTTCATGTGGGGCTTAATACCTAGGTGATTTATGGGTTGATAGGTGCAGCAGGCCACCTGTGCACACATTTACCTATGTAACAAACCTGCACAGCCTGCACACATATCCCAGAACTTAAAATTAAATTAAATTAAAAATAAAAAGAAGTGAAGTCTAACAGTCCTTAACTTTCAGCTGCCCTTTAACTTAATTTGACCAGTAAAATGTGGTAGGAATAAGGATAGAGGACTTCTGAGCTTAGGTTCCAGGAGACTTTATAACTGCTGTTCTCGCCCTTTTGGAACTGTGCTGAAACTGCCAAGTGAGGAGGCCTAATCTAGCCCCTGGAGTATGAGAGACCTCATGGAGCAGAAAGCACCCTCTCCACTAAGGCCCAAAGATGAACCAGCTGACAGTCAACACTAACAGTCGGAAACATGAGTAAGGCCATCTTGTACCATCTAGTCCCAATGAGTGACTAGATGACTGCAGCTGCATAAATAACTCTAAAAACAGTAGAACTGCCTAAATGAATTCAGCTCATACTGCTAACCAACAGAATCATGACAAAATAAATTAATCCAGTAAATTTTGGCATGGTCGGTTATATATCAATAGATAATAACCAAAACAATAAATAATTGATAATACACATGGTTATCCAAAGAGAAACAACTATTTTTTTTGCTTTAATAAAATCTAGAAATGTGTTATTTCTTTTCAACCTATGTTGCTATTTAATTGCTGTGTATAATCCATAGCTAACATTTGTGGAATGTTTTAAAGTTCACAATGTACTTTAATATCTGTTCCTTTGATTCTGACATCCACTCTGTAGGAAGGAAGCAGAGCAGGTATTATAATCATTCTCATTACCTAGATGAGGAAATTGAACTCAGGATAGCACGAAACTACACAAAGGCATGTGGCTGCAGAGATCAAGGCCAGGATCACGACCCAATGCTCTTTACTTTGTTCTGTGATGTCTCACAGCCCCCTCTGCCTGGATACAATAATCTCATACCTAATATTGGCAAAATTGGATTAAATATAGGTTTGCCTTTACCAAAATCCTTGATTCTGAATTTTTAAAAAACCCAGTCTCTAACATTGCTAATGTTCACTTTTCACCATTACTTTTTAAAAAAATTCCATAATCACATGCATTTTAAGTAAAATTTAGCTTTGAAGTTTCTGAGTCATTTTCAATTAAAAGATTTTTAGCAATATTTCTTTGATGTTTGGTAATGACTTTGAACCCTTTTATAAGCCATTTGCACCTTTTATCTTTGAATCATCCAGTCACATCTTTCCAAGGGAACTCAAAATGATATTTCACACTTTTTATATTTGGTTCAAAATGCAATGTATTTTTAACCTGAGTATGTTGTTGCTTCTTTCACTGAAGGAATTGCTTTACTGTATCTTTTACAAACTTGTTTTCCCCTAAAAGAGGAAATTTACTTCATTTGAATTTTATTGCTACCTGAGGTTACTATAGTCAAAATGACCTTTGGGGGCTTATTTTAGATTCTAATAAAGTGGTAATTTATAAACTGTGAGAGCACATCATTATAAACACCAATTTTGAGAAATATACATTCATCAGTAAAGGTCCTTGGGCCAACAAAGCACTATTTTTTTTAAATCGTATTACTTTTTTTATTTTAATAAATTATATTTAACTCAATATATCCAAAATATTATTTCAATAAGCAAACAATATAAAACTTATTGATGAAATATTTGCATTTTTATATTATCTTTTAAATCTGATGTGTGTTCTTTGCTTATAACATATCTTGATTCAGATGCTAAATCTTCCTCAGAAATAATCTGTATTTCAATTTACAGTTGAAAAGTAGATTAACACAGCCAAATTGCTCCAGATGTACTTAAAATTTTTCAATAACTAAGTAAAATATCAGTATGTAAATTGATATTAATTAAAATAAAATTTGAGCCAATTTTTTAGTTACTTTAGTCACATTTTAAGTTCTTAATAGCCACAGGTGGCCAGTATCTACCTTACTGCACCTTGGAGACATCAGTTACCATCTTAAAAATCAGGTTTACTGACTGGATCTTATTACTTTTTAAAAAAGCATTATCACAGCTTAATTTTTTAGTGATACATGTTTAGTGTTCCATTAAAATGGAAGGTACTGTTTCTTTTATTTATCCAGAATTAGAAAGCACAAGTAACATTGCTTTAACATCTATTTTGTGCCTAGAATGATTCTTGTTACGTTTTCTGTTTAATCCTTATGACAACTCACTAAATATGTATGTGTTATCCCCAAGTTTGTAAACAAGGAAATTTACACTTAGAAATGCCAATGACTGAACCCACACTCTATCAGATACCCTATGTTTGGTATTAAAATGGCTTATATGAACTTATGAAATCAATGAATCTCTAGCTCTTATTTTCCTTATATGTAAGATAACATAACAAGTTATGCATATTGCATAAATTTATGTGAAAAAAATTCTAACCTATAATATGATATCCATACTGCTGTCATTATTAGATTTTTCTAAAGAATCCATTAGTCAAAATTATGCTTAATGTGCTTTGGAATAGAACTCTGCTTCCAGTTAGGTGTATAAAACACACGGGAAATGACAAAATTAATACCTATTAGTGAGGCACACAATGAAATCTCATGTTGGAGAACCAAGGAAAATGGCTCAGATTTCCTCGGGGCAATCTCTTCCTGCAACCCCCACTCCATATTAAGAAAGAATGTCACAACATCAGACAGAGTAATTGATTCCTGTGCTGAGAAGTCTTGCCCTAATTTCTATTAGGAAGTGAGGAGTCAATTAAATAGTTTGAATGAGCTTCATTTATTGAGATATACAACATGAAAAGAAATCCTATCTTCCATTTAGAATATTCTAAAATGTTGATTAGAATTGGTAGATTATAATAGTTATTAATAATAATTGTTAGTTCTCTTGTACTTCATTAGAAAAAAAACTTTATGAAACAGGTATTATATGTCTATATTTCTATTTTCCAGTTGTGGAAATTGAAGCAAAAAGACACTGAGTCTTGTGGTCACACAGATAATAAGTAAGAGTCAACCCTAAATAATCTGATATTACAAGCCTCACTCCAAACTTCTCTGCAATTTGTAAACCCAAGGCCCTTGTGAGGACATATATGTTGTTATATGTAAAAGATCCTGCAAATCATAATGTATAATACCAATGAAAGCTATCATTTTGCCTAAAAAGTGTGAAAGTCAATAAACGGTTTTAAAGATATAGGCACAAATTTGCAAACTCTAAGCTACTTGCCCATTGAACCAAAAAGAAGGAGGAGGAGGAGGAGAAGGAAGAGGCAGATGGTGGGGGAAGGGGACACATAAACAAGGAAAAATATAAGAAAAAAAAAGGATGTTGACTTTTAAAATTGTTTTTAGGTATAACGGTCTTTACTTACTTTCCTTCTTTCCCCTAAGTAGTTGTTAGATATTTAGTAAAACACATTTGTGAGATTAATTGTAGGACTAATTTAGATAGTGCTACTTTGAAGACCACACTTAAGCATATACCTAGGAATGACTCCTCTTTCTCATTTTCACTTACTAGACTAGTTTTTTTCTCTATGTGTCCTGTTTTACATGCCTTACTTTTCATAATGTTCAACTATCCCCAACTATGTAAAGATCATTTAATCCATGAGTCTGGATTAAATAGCTGTTGGAATTAATAAATGTGTAAATAAGAAAGGAAGCAAATACTGATGGAGCCACTTCTAAAACTTCATGGTCCAATAAAACCATATTATTCTAGAGGGAAAAGACATTTGAATATTTATTGTAACTCTGAGTGTACAAGATAATGTGGTGCAAAGTATTTTAGTATTTGAAATAAACAGAATTGGCATCTTTGATTCCACCACCAACCACCTATCTGATCCCAGGTAATTTATTAAACAGTCAACCTCATCATCTTCATGAGAAAAACAGAGTTAATAAAAACATACCTTTCAGAATTTTGGGGATACATTTAGAAAGATATAAAATATGTCCAACAAAATGGCTTTTCACATTGCAGGAAATCAATAATTTTTAGTCTTTTTTTCCTTCTCGTTATCCGCTTTCCCATCTCTCCCCTTTGTTTCATGTCTAGATCAACTATGTCAGTGAGAACAAAAAATACTTACGCACTTCTGGGTTTAAATAATGTGAGACTTCTTCATGTGAGACTTAAAAAAAATGGATTAACTGTAAGTCTTCATTTCATTGGATGCCCTAAAAGAGCTAAATTGGCTTTTTCTGGTTTTCTGTGGGTCTGTATTTTCATAAAAATTATTAAGATTCATTTGTAAGATACAAATTTAACATTTGTACATTACAAAAATTACGGAATTTTAGAATTAGAAGGGATCAGGAGAAAAGAGATGAACAATTCAAACGATCAACAACTTGTGAGTGCTTACTATATACTAAGATAGGAGGTTTCTGTCCTTTTGAAGTTTATGTTTCAGTGGGGCAGGTAAACAATAAGTAAGAGTCAACCCTAAATAATCTGATATTACAAGCCTCATTCCAAACTTCCCTGCAATTTGTAAACCCAAGGCCCTTGTGGGGACATATATGTTGTTATATGTAAAAGATCCTGTAAATCATAATGCATAATACCAATGAAAGCTATCATTTTGCCTAAAAACTGTGAAAGTCAATAAAGGGTTTTAAAGATATAGGCACAAATTTGCAAACTCTAAGCTACTTGCCCATTGAACCAAAAAGAAGGAGGAGGAGGAGGAGAAGGAAGAGGCTGAGTTCTATTCAGCTCTTGTGTCCAAGAAAGGACTGGTATTGATTGAGTGGTGAAGGAAAACCTATCCAAGAAAGTTACATTTAAGCAGATACTTAACCACATGAAGAAGTCAGTTGTATGAAGGATGGAAGAATTATGGACAGGAAATTGTAAGAGATTCAGAGGGAAGAATCTTGGCCTGCTTGAGGAACCACAAGCAGATTACTCAAAAATAGAAATGGAGAAAGTGATAAGACATGAAGTCAGCAAGGTAAGCCGGGACACATTGTGTAGGGTCTTGAAGACATGAAGATAGTGTTTGGATGTGTGTCTGCACTCAAATCCTATATTGAATGTTATCCCCATTGATGGAGGTGGGACTTGGTGGAAGGTGATTGGCTCATGGGGGTGAATTTCTTATGAGTAGTTTTGCACCATCCCCCTTGGTACTGTCTTCACAACAGTGAGTGAATTCTAATGAGATCTGGTCATTTACAAGTGTGTAGCACCTTCCCCCTCTCAGTCTTGCTCCTGGTTTCATCATGTGATGTGCCTGCTTCCTTTGTGCCTTCTGCCATGGTTGGAAGTTTCCTGAGTCCTCCCCAGAAGCAGATACTGCTATGCTTTACATACAGCCTGCAGAACCGTGAGCCAATTAAACCTCTTTTTAAAATAAATTACCTAATCTCAGGTATTTATTTATAGCAATGCAAGAACAACCTAACACACATGGTAAGTAGTTTGAGTTTTACCTTATGTGAAATGGGAAGCTGTTGGAAGACTTTGAGCATGAGAGTGACAGATATAATTTATAAATTTAAAAGATAACTCTGGATGCCATATGGAAAATAGATGGTCAGTGGGCAAGAACGGAAGCAAGAAGGCCAGGTAGAAGGTATTGCTGTATTAAAAAATGAACAAAATGGTTATTTGGATTAAGGTGGAAATAAGTAGTCACATTTAGGTAGAGTCAATGGAACTTGGTTATGGATTGAATTGGGGAGTGAGACACCTCAAGAAACCAACTGTGACTCCTAAAATTTTGGCTTCAGCAAATGGTTGGAAGTTGCTGCCATTTAGTGTGATGGGAAAGATTTGAGGAAAAGAAAGTTTGGGGTCAGAAGAATTCAGCTTGAACTTGGTAAGTTAGAGATGATTATAAGACATTCAAAAAACATGTTGTCAAATAGTCAATCAGATACACAGCTCTTGAGTTTGGGAGAATAGTCAGAGATGGAGATGTAATTTGGTTGGCTGGCATTATGCAGATGGTTTTTAATGCCATGGGCCTGAGTGAATTCTTCTAAGGAAGGACTGTAGTTACAGAAGGGGTGAAGGCCAGAAACTGAGAACCAAGGAACTTTAACATTTATCTGTTGGAAAAGGAGGAATTAGCCAGAGAATTTGAGAAGTATCAAACTACTGAGGTAGAAGGAAACCCAGGCAAGACTAAAAGACAATCAGCAATAATTCAGAGATAATTCATGAAAAGTACTGAATACAATTTCAAGAGAATGCCAAGAAAATGACAGTTCATCAGTCTTAAAGGTCAATATTATGATAGAACCAATGCTGAATTTTTAATGATTCTGCCAGATTGAGACAGTATGTTCCTGATTAGTATTATTTTATTCCAAAAGCCTAGAAGAAAGCCTGAAATTCTGAAAAGAACTGGTAGAGAGAAAGAAGGAAAAATATGAAGGGAGAGGTCAGATGGTGGTCCTTTGAAGACCTTGCCTCAAGTATTTCCCTTGTCAGGGCCACTAATTTTCAAAAGGAAATTGAAGCAAGGAAAAAGGTCATGTAGGTTCCTTTTCCTTGCAGTTGCATATTGAAAGCCCCCCATGCCACTGCCAGTAGCTTCTTCTTGCCACTTCCCAAGTTATTCGTCTCCACTCTGGCTCTAGTTCCAAACCAAAATGGGAAGCAGAAACTCTACACAGTAATTTAGGTCATAATCTAACTGCCTAAGTTAGTTGAACTTTGAAAATATATAATTAGCCCACTGAGGTTCAATTTACTCCATTACTCAAATGACTGATCCCCTTCAAGGGTTTCCGTGTTGTGTAACTGCTACCTATGAAAGAACAGACATGTGTGGAGCCTTGAAGGAGTGCTTCTGAACATCAAAGTTCCAAGTGGATTGCTTCAGAAAATCGCTGGTGAAATACAATTGTGTAGCACTTAGCAATTCTCTTGAAAGGTGAAGAGAATTACACTATGAACTCTGATAAGAATAATTAAGAAGACTTTAGATTGAGCTAGACAATGAAAGACAGGCTTTGCAGTTAGTTAGAGGTTGGTTCAATTTCAAGCTCCATAACTTATTGGTAGTTTGACTTAGGCAAATTGCATGGCATTTGTAAACCTCAGTTTCCTTTTCTATAATGGGCTTTATGATAACACTTACCTAAAAGATTGGTGTAAGAACTAGATGACTGTGTATGTGTGTGTGTGTGTGTGTGTGTGTGTGTGTGTACAGAAAGAGAAAGAAGGTACTGAAAGTATCATGATCTATCCTATGTGCTAAGCACAGAAAGTACCTTATGCAAAAGTACCATAAGGCATTAGGAGCTTTCACTATGCAACTGTAAGGAAAAGCACCACAGAAAGTACTGTGCCTGGCACATACGATAGGTCATAATACGATATAAATAAGTGATAACCATTTTCCCATAGGAGGTAGGTAGCATTAACAGGGCTTATCACAAAGAGTGCAATGTGGCCTTAGCATAGTGGGTTTTCTGCTCCTCAGCCTCTTCCAGGTATTCTTCTCTGACTCTCTCTAGTACCAGATCTAAGCAGGAAGGGCTGGAAATCTGTTATTTTCCCAACTTCCTTAAACACCCTTGCTCCCTTGTCTGTCCTGCTCTGCTTAGCTGTTTTGTTCTTGCCCTATCCCAAATCATTTTTCAAGTCTTTCTACTTCTTACTGCCTGCTACTCAGCCTGCTCCAGTCAATTCAGCCCCTTCATCACACCCCACGTCTCTCTGCTCAGTCCTGCTCAATACTTTTATTTACATTGCCCAACAGCTACCTCATTGCCGAAGCTTTCTCTCCTCCCCTTTGTACAGCCAATTATTATTCATCTTAAAAAAATGAGTTTAACTAAATGCAATGTGGTGTCCTGAATTGGATCCTGGAGCAGGAAAAAAGGACATTGATGGGAAAACTGGAGAACTCTCAATAAAGTAATATACCAACATTAGTTTTAATTCTGACAAATGTACCATGGTAATGTAAGATGTTAACATTAGGAGAAAACTAGGTGAGAGGTATACTGGAACACCAAGAATTATCTTTGCAGCTTTTCTGTAATATTAAAGTTATTCCTAAACAGAAAGGTTATTTAAAAAATGTACACCACAGCTGGGCGCAGTGGCTCAGGCCTGTAATCCCAGCACTTTGGGAGGCCAAGGCGGGCAGATCACCTGAGGTTGGGAGTTCAAGACCAGCCTGACCAACATGGAGAAACCCCGTCTCTACTAAAAATACAAAATTACTCGGGTGTGGTGGCACACACCTGTACTTGGGAGGCTGAGGCAGGAAAATCGCTTGAACCCGGGAGGCAGAGGTTGCGGTGAGCCGAGATCAGGCCATTGCACTCCAGCCTGGGCAACAAGAGTGAAACTCCATTTCAAAAAAAAAAGGACACGCTATCCTTTCTTGAAGACTTCCTTGTCTATAACAATCCTCTTTGCCCCTGACTCCTTTCCTTGCATACATTGCTTAACTACCCTGTGCTTTAGTTTCTTCATCTGTAACACAGAAACGGGCATAAGCCATAATTTAAAAAGGGTCCAGGCAGACGTATAGGTTGGTGCAAATGTAATCGTGGTTTAAGACCGTGAATTTTAAATCATTATAACTAGGCTCAAATATATCTTTAGTAGTCAAAATAGAAACCATTGCAATCAATACATTTTTGCCAATGAGAAATAAGTTTGTTTATTCCTGTAGCATAAAAAGCCATGCTTCAGGATTTGACGAACTCTTGGAAAGCATTTTCTGCATCCTGCTTGTTGTGGAAGTGTTTTCCCTGCAAAAGGCTATTGAGATGCTTGAAGAAGTAGTAGTTGATTGGCAACAGGTCAGGTGAATGTGGTGGATGAGGCAAAATTTTGTAGCTCAATTCGTTTAACTTTTGAAACATTGGTTGTGCAACATGTGGTCTTTGCCTTGGAGAAGAAATGAACCCTTTCTGTTGACCAATGCTCTCTGCAGGGCGTTGCAGTTTTCGGTGCATCTCATCAATTTGCTGAGCATAATTCTCAGATGTAATGGTTTTGCCAGTATTCAGAAAGCCATAGTGGATCAGACCAGCAGCAGACCGCCAACAGTGACCATGACTTTTTTTGGTGCAAGTTTGGCTTTGGGAAGTGCTTTGGAGCTTCCTCTTGGGGCACCCACTGAAATGGTTGTCGCCGGTTGTCATATAAAATCCACTTTTCATTGCACGTCACAATCTGATTGAGAAATGGTTTGTTCTTGTTGCACACAACAAGAGAAGGCGACACTTCAAAAAGACGATTTTTTTGATTTTTCACTCAGCTCCTGAGGCACCCACTTACTGGGCATTTTCACCTTTCCAATTTGCTACAAATGCCAAATGAACGTAGAATGGTCTGCTTTGAGTTCTTTGGCAACTTCTGTAATTGTAAAAAAAAATCAGCTTCCATGACTGCTCTCAATTTGTCGTTGTCAGCTTCTGATGGCTGACCACTGTGCTCTTCATATTCAAGGCTCTTGTCTCCTTTGCAAAACTTCTTGAACCACCAATGAACTGTATTTTCATTAGTGGTTCTGGGTCAAATGTGCTGTTGATGTTGCGAGTTGTCTCGCTGCTTTACGGCCCATTTTGAATTTGAAAAAGAAAATCACTCAAATTTGCTTTTAATTCTAACATCATTTCCTTTCCATAGTCTAAAATAAACATAAAATAAACACCAAGTAGTAAGTTATTAGCAAAAAGAAATAAAGTGAGAAGTGCCCATTAATATGATCTATAACATAACCACATGTAGTTAAGAAGTTATTCCAATATCAAATGGAAAATTCCAACAATGCAAAAATCTCAATTACTTTTGCACTCACCTAATATTATACAGTGTGTGTGTGTGTGTGTGTGTGTGTGTGTGTTTGTTTATGTGGGTAGAGTAACCTAGGGAGCTACTAAATAGCAGAGCTGGAATTTTCACTTAGGCTGTCTACTTTGAGTCTTTCCTCTTAATCATTAATTTATATCACCTGTGGAAACATTATGTAACTTACGTTGTAGGCCTTTGTATAGCATGCATGAAAAACAACCATAAGGGCAAACAGCTGGGGTCGTCTCTGAGCTATGGTATTACAAGTAATGTTCATTGTTTTATTTTCCTTTTCTTTGTTTTACTAATGTTCTACAACAAACATATTCCTTGTGCCGAGGAGCAAATAATTATACACAGCAAACTCATTAGAGTGGTTGCCTCTGAAGAGCGACAAAAATCGGACTCAAGGTAAGACTTGAAGAGGATTCTCATTATTTCTTAAAAATAAAAAGCAGGCCGGGCGCGGTGGCTCACGCCTGTAATCCCAGCACTTTGGGAGGCCGAGGCGGGCGGATCACGAGGTCAGGAGATCGAGACCATCCCGGCTAAAACGGTGAAACCCCGTCTCTACTAAAAATACAAAAAATTAGCCGGGCGTAGTGGCGGGCGCCTGTAGTCCCAGCTACTTGGGAGGCTGAGGCAGGAGAATGGCGTGAACCCGGGAGGCGGAGCTTGCAGTGAGCCGAGATCCCGCCACTGCACTCCAGCCTGGGCGACAGAGCGAGACTCTGTCTCAAAAAAAAAAAAAAATAATAATAATAATAATAATAATAAAAAGCAAATCCCTTATAATCCCAAAAGGTGTTACTTCTAACCTATGGACTGAGCAAAATTTAGGGGACATAAGTAAAAAACAGGATTTTGGGTGTCATCCATTTATATTATTTAATTTTTTAAAAAATAAAGTAAAAATAATCTAATTGTTAACTATTAACACAGTAAATGATTTTAGTACTGGTTTGGAAACATCACATTATTTAAAAAATATATTATCTCAGTGCCTGTGTGTTGCTGACAGCCTTCACAAACATTTTTTCTACCTAATAGGTAATTTGCTATGCCAAAATTGCTTCTTCTACACATGTTCTAGCTGCAAGAGGGTAGCTTTCTATGTGAGAATATGTCTTTATCAGGTTTCTCAACTGCTAAAGCATATGGTGTGTAATAAAAAGGCAACATGAAATAACTGTATTACAATATCTCTTTAGGAGTAAAATCTTGAAGTTGCCCAAAACCATTCAAAAACTTTACGTAAGAAAGTGCTATGTATGAAAGTCACCTAAATATTCTGTGATCTACTCCAGAATTAAATCTGCCCTTATATTGACTCCAAGAGAAGTGTCTATAGTCACTTCCCCTTTAGAATGAAGTAATTGGTTATATCGAGGGATGTTATAAGAAGCAACTCAGCACTGCCAGTATTGTAAGGATATTTTTGAGGGTGTTTATTGTTATAATCCATATGCAGACCTAGAGGAGAAGTTCTACTCTGACCTTTTCACCAGAATATTTCTTGAACAACAGTTTTATTTTTCACCTTATGAACACCGTGAATTCTGTACTTGGTTGTGCATTCTTTTCTTGTCTGGCTATTAAAAAAATTTTAGGGTCAAATGTATGGCCTAAAAAAGAATTGGAAGAATATCTGCATGACATTAACACTGGCAAAAATGTCTTAACCAGGACACAAAAAGCACTAGACTTCAAAGAAAAGATTGATAAATTGGACCTCATTAAAATTAAACTTTCTGTTTTCAGAAAATATTATTATGATAATGGAAAGACAAGCCATAATTGGAAGAAGATGTTTCTAAGATATACATCTAACAAGCAACCCAAGTTAAACTGGACAAAAGACTCAAAAAAAATTCACAAAGGAAAATATCAAAATGGCCACTAAAGATGTGAAGGCATACTCATCATTTGTTATCAGAGAAATGTGAATTAAAAGCACAATAAGATACCACAACCCGCCCATGAAAATGGCTAACATTAAGATTGGAAACACAAAGTCATGATGAAGATATGAGCAATGGGAACTCTTTTATATTGCTGATAGAAGTATAAATCCATATAACAACTTCTGAAAATTACTTGGCAGGACCTACTAATCTAAAATATTATGCAATAATTCCACTCCTGGGAATATACCCAACAAAAACAAGTGGTTTTATTCACATGTACATGTACAAAAATATTCATAATACCTTTTTTTGTAGTAGGCCAAAACTTGAAACAACCAAATGTTCAACAGCAGTAGAATGTATAAATTAATTGTCATACGTTCATATAACAAAATTCTAAACAAAAGTGAGAGAAAAATGAATCTCACAGACATTCTGTTGAGCAAAAGCAGTCAGACACAAACTGTATAATGCCATTTATATGAAGTTCAAAAATAAGCAAAACTAACATATGATAAAAGTCAGAATAGTGGTTACCTTTAGAGGAAAAATAAAGATGACATCAGGCTGATGAGAATGCTCTGTAATTTGATCAGGGTGGTTATACACATATTTATGTGAGAAAAGTCATTGGGCTGTACATTTAAGGTTTGTGCACTTATGTAAGCTATGCTGCTTTATATTTTAAAAAAAGAAATAATGTATGGCTTTTCTCTTGGGGCATTTATATGGCTACATGACATGTGTTTGGTATAATGACCTAACATTCTAGCTCCATTAGGCCTTATTTTCCTTTTCATCTTCTCTCTTACTTATTTTTAATCATTTTATTTTGCTATTATTTGCATAATAGCATCTTCCTGAGCCATCTCAAGTCCTAGTTAGAACAATTTATAAATAAGTACAAAAATATCTGAATAAAAGTTCAGGTGTTTATAAATTGGACATCAGAAGACTTTGAATCACGAGACTCAGATTTCCTTTCTCATTCTGACTACACTAAGAGTACAATTTATGGAGAAATTACTTAAGATAGTATCTACTTGACATGGTTGTTAAAGGAATTGAAACAGCATAGCTAAAAGTATTTTTCAAATTGGGGAGTGATGTAAAAATTACATTTAAAAACATCTAATATTAATCTAGGAACACAATCTCCAATTAAACAATAAAACTTTTAAAAAGTATATTTTTCAGAAGAAAAAAAACTGGTTCAAGGCTATAATTTGTCTTTCCTAAGATTATTTGTAATTGTTTTAAAACATACTTGGTATCTATGTTCAAATTCTGTCCAGGTGAGCACCAACATGAGTTTATATGCTTGAGAAATGTCTGGTACACCCAGGATCAACTTATGTGAAGCTATCAAAGGAGAGGATCTATATGCCTGTCCAAAATTATTCCAGTCATGCAAAATATTTTGTTATTGAGACATAAATCTATGATATACTAAGAATCAAGTTAAGTTTGTGAATTAAATTCAGTAAAATAAAATTTATGTTAGCCACTGTTTAGATTGGAAAATTAAAGAGAGAACAACCACTTGAGTCCAGAGTTTGAGGTTCCAGTGAGCTATAATCATGCCACTGTACTCCAGCCCGTGCAACAGAGTGAGACTCTGTATCAAACAAAAAAAAAGAAAGAGTGAGATAAATGTAAGAGCTGTTTTCATTTCTCCTTGTGCAGATAAGCTGTTTGTGGAGACACAATAGATGCTATCAGATCTTCCCAAAGGAGTTTCTGAATACAGATGTTCTGACTTTTATGTATAAGGGTATCAGCTATACCAGGTGATTCTCTCAAGTTTCTTTCTAATTTAACACATTCTTCAACCCATTCCAAATAGCTTCTGCCCTCAGATATCCCATTGAGATTATTCTCATCAAGACAACCTGGGATTCTCTTGTTGCTAGATCCAACACACATGTTGTAGTTTTAACTCATCTCACCACTGAATATTACTCTCTCTTCTTCCCCACTGCCCTCCCCCCACACCAAAACAGAGTCTTACTCTGTTGTCCAGGCTGGAATGCAGTAACACGATCTTGGCCTCCACCTCCCGGGTTCAAGCAGTTCTCCTGCCTCAGCCTCACGAGTAGCTGGGACTATAGGCACGCGCCACCATGCCCGGCTAATTTTTTGTATTTTTAGTAGAGATGGAGTTTCACCATGTTGACCAGGCTGGTCTCGAACTCCCGACCTCGTGATCCACCTGCCTCGGCCCCCAAAAGTGCTGGGATTACAGGCGTGAGCCACAGTGCCCGGCCTACTCTCTCTTCTTAAAAACCTTCTTTCCTTTCCGTGACGTCACCCTCTCTTGGTTTTCCTCCTATCTTTAGAAGCTGCTTCTTAGTGTCTTTTGTGAACTCTACTTTTGCCCATCCTTTAAAATTTGGTGGTGCTTAGGTTCTCCTCTGTGTCCCCTTTATTCTGTCTCCCTAGGCAATACCATTCAGTCATCTGAATGCAAACACTGTATAATGACTATCAAACCTCTAACTTCAGCCATGATCTCACTCCTGAGCTCAAAATTCATGTAACTCTCTACTTGACATTCCCACGTAGGTTTCCTGTAGTGGCTTCAAAATCAGTATTAAGTAGAGTTTATCATCTCTCTTCCTAACCTGTTCCTGTGTTACTGATCTCAGTGAGCACTTTGTCACCCATAAAGTTGCTAACATTGAGAATTCTCTGTCAACAATTTCTTTCATGCAACAAGTCCTTTCAAATTTATTTGTTAACTAGCTCTACAATCCATTCATTCCATCTTACTTCTTTCAGCTGCATAATGCTTGTCTACAATCAATTATACTCAAAACAGCAAAACCTAATTATTATTCCTCGCTTAATATCCTTTATCACTGCTAAAGACTTACATTCCATAATTACCGTTAACGACTGCCATCACGGTTCTTGAAGAGTTATTTTTCAGAAAACTTTTTCTTATCAGTATAACAATTTTTATAACACATTAAATAAATATGCTATAAACTAATATTTAGACATTAAAGTTTCAGGCAAAGACTTGACAGAGAAAGAAAAATTTGATGTGAAAGCAGTATTTGAATGACATCTTGTTTATCACTTATAGAAATTTGTTTTCATTGTTCAAGTGATACATATTTTTTCTTATGTAAAAATTGTTTGTGTACATTGATTTGAGGTGGAACACATAATAACATTTTTCATTAGAAATAATGGAAGTTTTTGGCCGGGCACAGTGGCTCACGCCTGTAATCCCAGCATTTTGGGAGGCCGAGGTGGGCGGATCACCCAAGGTCAGGAGTTCGAGACCAGCCTGACCAACATGGAGAAACCCCGTTTCCACTAAAAATACAACATTAGCCGTTCGTGGTGGTGTGTGCCTGTAATCCCAGCCACTCAGGAGACTGAGGCAGGAGAACTGCTTGAACCCAGGAGGCGGAGGTTGTGGTGAGCTGAGATGATGAGATCATGCCATTGCACTCCAGCCTGGGCAACAAGAGCAAAACTCCATCTCAAAAAAAAAAAGAAAAAAAGAAAAAGAAAAGAAAGAAATAATGGAAGTTTTTTCACTTAGCAGCAGGATTTATAAGAACAAATGAAAGTCATTAAGTGAGAGTAAATTGTATTCTCATTGCTTTCAGGATAAATTCTAAGCTTCTTAACATCACTTGAAAGATACACAACCTAACTTCTGCTTCATCTGACACCAATCTCCATTTCACATTTTACCTTCCAGTCATATGGAGCTACAGAAATCTTGCACCAACTCAGGAGCTGTGTTTCTTAAAAGCACGGGGGTTGGCAGAACTAAGGCTGGCATGATTGAGTTCTCACATATGATAGAGGGTTCAGGGAAAACATTAAATATATATGAAATCTGTATACCACTGCAAAGAGGTATTTTAGAAAGCATCTACTTCCAGAACAAACTGGGTCAATACGTGACTATTCTTCTGAATCCTCTTCTTGAACTCTTCTTGAAAAATTATGGTGGTATTATGAGCTAGCAAGGCAGAATATTTTAAATATTTTGTTATACCAACTACTTTCACTTACAGTTTACACATCAGCCCTTATTGGTTTTAAATTGAAGTGGGTTACTCATAAATGTTGATTTTATATATCTGTGTCATTCACCCTGTATTTTGCTGATTAAAAAATTCTTCTTAACCTCAATGTTTTTGGTTTCTTAATTTTAACAATATCAGCCTTAATGTATTTGAATGGGTGCAGTAGCTAAAATGTTTCTCAAAGGATCCTCTTAAATGAAATGTTAGTCAACTGGGCTGTAATGAGAACATCTCTCTGGCTGCTTTGCAAAAAATGGATGCTAGCATACAAAAGTGGAAACAAACTACTGTGGAAGCTATTAGAATACTCCAAGCGAGAGATGGCAGTAGCTTGCCAGGGATGGTGGCAAGGAGATGGAGAGAAATAGAATACAAAGGTTTTAGAATAAGCAACAAAAATGGGGAAGACTGGAAAAGGAAAGGTCAGGGTGAGCGAGGGAAGGAATCAAAAGATCTGTCTTGGACATATACATTTTATTTGCCTACTAAACATGCAAGTGGATATTTTTAAGCAGAACTGAAAATTCGGAGCAGAAGATGTAAATTTGGAAGTCATTTCTACATAGCCACGAAACTAGATACCAAGGGAAAGAGTGCTGACAGCCCAAAATGATTTCATATTCAAACCATCAAAGGAATTACAATGAATTGAAATGGATTCAATGGTGTATCAAATATCAAAAGAAGATAGCATAAAACAGGACTGTATTCCAGACTTCCTCCTTTCCAATTTACTCATGAAGGATTTGCATACCACTTCAAGTCTTTTTTAGAATGAAGTGGGCATTAAATATATAACAAATAATTTGTTATAGCATGTGTGCCTTCTTCCCATGTCAAACAGGAAGTTAAACATTCTTCTCTCTACTGATCACGTAATATCAGTGTGGCTTTCTGGAAGTGCCCTTAAATAGCATGTTAACCTGAACTTATTACCAAGCTCAAGACCATTTCACCAAAACCAAAAGTGTTTGGCATGTTTATGACATGCAGAGTGATAATTATAAATAAATCCATTTCACAAAAAAACCCATTTAGTTTTAGTTCAGTATATTGTGCAGTTAACTCAAGTTTTAGAACTACACAAATGTTGTTCTCCTCAAAACAAAATATTCTAGAAGAACTATATTAAAAGCAGTTAAATAGCAGAAGCCAACTCCTGCCTTTACATCCTCTTTAGCCACACATCTCTCGATACTCTGGGGACAAAGCTCTTATTCAGGATTTGCAAAACAATCTCTTGGGAATTTTATTTTTAAAATATTCACACCCAAGCCTCACTCTTGGAGATTCAAATTTGGTAGGTATGTGAAAAGAGTATTCTGAAGAAATTCTTCATGAAATTTTGCTGCTGATTCCTGGTTAGGAATTTCTGCTCGATGGTAAGGACCTCTGAGGTTTCAAGGGAGTGAGCATTTGAGATCCAGAAAGGATTTGGGGAAGCTTCTTTGCCTTGCTTGCCCCACTTGATTGCCTGCAATCCACCTGTGAACGTCACCGTTTAATTTGAATAATAACTCAAGCAAGGTTCTTTAATTTTTATAACAAAATAGATAAATTTGTCAAATATATGTCTAGCATTTTATCTAACGCAGATGGATCTCCTCTAGCTCACAATAAGAATAATGATATTTTAGGCAAATATGATGACTGTCATATTAATTGCTCTCTCGATTTGTTCAAAATCTACATTAGTCAATAAATACAAAACAGGGACTGTACTGCATATGTGATATTCTCACCAATCAATCTAAGTTTCTCTTCCTGAATTATCAGAAAGTCAAATTTATAAACTGTTTCACCTTTGATTACTTTAGCTTCCTATAGAATGCCTTCAGACAATGTAAATTTTAAACACTAAGCCCTCATGTTTTATGAAGGTTTATAAAAGAAATAGCTTCAGCTAATAAAATCTATTGAGGATACTATCTACATGATAAATTTCACCTCAGAGTAAAAATCCAGGGAAAATTTAGCTAATATAAATTGATATGCCTCATTCCATTTATAAAGAGAATTATCACTACCAAGAACTACTGCAGTAAGTTTTATGTGCCACTGTAGTAACCATCCCTAATCAAGGCTTTCTGGTTCAAGCATCTTTCCAAATCACTTCATTTTTTAACCTTTGTTTTAATGATGCCATGGTGCCTATGGCTTTTATTATAAGTTACTTCAAATTCTTTTTGGAAAGTGGATTGATTATTAATAATAAAATCTATCCTGGATTCACTATCTCATAAAATCAATATTTATTTATTTTTAGTTATTGAGAGAACACCTCCAACAAGTGTAGTGTGAAGGTTTTCTAAATTAAATAATCCAAAAACCTTCTGCTTTAAAACAACAACAACAACAAAAACTTAGTAAAGCATATCCTGCCATGACAAGGGTTTCTTTCAGGAAGTTTACATTGTGGTCAAGGATTACGACTGCTCCTTTAGCATCTGGAATAGAACTTTGTGAGCTCCTCTTCCTCTTTTCTACAACATCACCATTAGTGATATTTAAGCACTTCCTATGTACCAGGGACTGAACCAGGAGCTTTGCTGCAAGCTTGTCTAATCCTCAAAACAAAGTTGAACCTGGTCCCAATAATGTACCTATTTTAGATGATGAATCTGAAACTTAAAAAAAGATTAAATATATTGCCCCCAATACATGGTTTTAAATAAATGCATAAACTTGTGCTGCTAGATATACAATTATTAGACTTAGCCCTGGCTGAGACTAGGAGAAACAATGTATGGAAATGCTTCTTCTCCAGATTCAGGGATAAAGTCTCCTCTGCTGCTCTCAGGAACTTGGGCTTTCCTGATCTCACTGGAAATCAGAAAAATGGCTTTGCTTTTGCCCTTTTACAGCAGGCAAACAGTTGAACCTAACACATTATATGGTTACCTTTCTTTAATCTGAGCTTTGACTTTTCTATTTACCTGTGTTACTTATGTTTAAAAATCTAAACGAAGGCTTAGAGAGTGGTAGATCCACTGAGCAAAGGATCAGGTAGATGCAGTTGACTGTCCCAAGGCCCTTAGGTTCCAAGTGGCAAGGGATCATAGGGAGCATTCACTCAGCTGACAAACTGACCACGCAATGTCCCCAAAATGGGTCTCTCACAGCCCTTTTTTTCTCTTACCGCATACGGAGAGGGAGCCATTGCCTACTTACCATGAGGCATATTTTTTACTATAGCCTTGAGGATGATATGTAATAGAGCATTTGACTCATATTTTTGACTATAGTGTTCCAAGATTAATTAATAAAACTGTTTATTGATCCAATATGTTTTATATGGAATTTACCAGCTTGGAAATCAGGAAACCTGGTACATAATCCTGGTACTTATTCTGGTGATGTCTGACTCCAGATAAGTCATTTAAGTGCTCTGTGCCCCAGCTTCTTAACTGTACGTGAGAGAATTTTGTTAGCTTGTTTTAAGGTCTCTCCCAACTCTGAAAATAAATGAAGTTACCAATCTCTATGATTTACTGTATCAAGCTACTCTTTACTGGGCTAAACTTTTATTCATGTAATCTCCTCTAATCTGGAAGAAAATAATTCAAAGTCAAGAGGCAAAAGTAAGAAAGTGCTTTTTTACAGCACAAGGATAAATTTAAGCATGATGTATTCTCACATGCTTCATCTAGTCATTCATGAGAGTTTTCTTTCATTGTTACTCATTTCCCTAATTGACTTTATATTTGACACACGGAGCATCTGATACACGGAGATGAGGTCAAAATAATCATTGATGAATTTCCTTTCAAAAATGTAAAAGTTGCTTCCTATTGTATGAGGAATTCCTATTCCTGAATGAGGTCATTTTTTCCTATTCCTATAGGAATTCCTATTCCTGAATGAGGTCATTTTTTCTAAGTTACCAGATTCCAACACACTGCATTTATTTATCTAAGATTTGTAATTATAGACTGCTCTCTAAACCTATAAATATTTAACATAATATTTCCTTACAGATGTTTTAGAAAAACAAATGTTTCCTTTCTCTAATTCCTCAATTCAGTGAATCAGCTCTGGGATGAGAAATTTCATCAGCACTTGCTACCAAGACCAGGGAAATCTTTGTTCTTAAAAAAGAAAAAAAATTCTGAACCTCAATTTACAATGTTTATTACTTTCCCTTCCCCACCAAAAGTAATTTTCTACTATTACTCATATTATTTTTTATCATATTATTATCCTATTTATCATATTATCTATCATATATTATTATCCTTTATTTTAATTCAATTTACACACAGCCATGCTTAGTCTAAGTTTTATGTTAACTTTTCTAGAGACATCCTGCCTACAGTTTTTTCCTTATTCCAAAAATGGCAATAAGCCAAGCCCCACTTTCTTCTAACTTAATTTTTCCAGACATCTTAATGGCTATGTCAGTTTCCTGTCATTGTTCTCCTATAGGATTTCCTTAGTCCCCTCCTGATGCCTTTGGCGGGTACACATTTATACTGAAATTGACAAAGGTAGGGAAAAGTCATTAACACTGTTCAGAGGAGAAGAGACTTATTCATTATGACATAACTAAGTTGAAAAGCACAGCTAATGGACTATTTTGGTAGCATGACTTGAGATGCAGAAGCCTTTCAGTCCCTGGAAACAGTTGCCTCTAAATGGCACTCCCAAGGTCAGGAAGGAAACATGACATCACTGAGGAGCAGCTGCCTCTGAGGTAGTGAAAAGGAGCTTCAAGAAGCTCCTGTGATTAAAGGTACATTAATCATGACCATCCAGTTGGCTAAAAGATAAGAAAAATACAAGGATTTAAGGGCAAATTTAGAAAAACTCCAAGAAAAAAAGAGTTTGAGTTTTGTTTTCATATTCAGTGAGCTCTTAACCTTGAAAGAATGTTTCTTAATAAGCATTATTGTATTTTCATTCTGTAAAGAAAATAAGTGATATCATTTTCTTCTCACCTGTGAGTTCAAAAGCAGTACAGTTTCTCCCTGCAGAGTCCAGTGTGAACATTTAGACACTTATTTCACATTTATCTGTGTTGATTTGGACAGGAAAGAGGAGATATTGAACATGAACATTTTGAACCACAATATTTTTAAAAAGCATATCATTATTGAAGAACCTCCACATAGTATTTAAGGAATCCAAAGAACCCAATGTTGAAACATGCTTGAAAACTATTACTTTTCCTAATGTTAAGAGCTTTACTCAATGCCAAAGCAGACAAAGTTTTGCTATCAGTCCCATTCCTTATAACAATCTAACTCTTTATTTTTATTTGGAAACTATACTGAGCTGGAATATGTTGTAAAATTAATGAATATTGTCAACAGTAATAATATGTATGTTAAATATTAATATATATGTTTATGAAATATGTTTAACTTTAGACTCATTTAAAATTGCATCTCTTGAGTGGAGTATCTTAGTTTCGTATTGCTCTGTTGCAAATTAACACAGACTTAGTAGCTTAAAACAACACAAGCTTATTCTCTTACATCCCAGAGATCAGAAGTCTAGAATCCAAGTGTCAGCAGGGCTACATTCCTTCTGGAGACTTCAGGGGAGAAGTCATTTTCTTGCCTTCTTCGATCTTTAAAGGCTGTCTTCATTTCTTGGCTCCTGACCCTTTGAGTCTGTCCTTACATATCTTGCTACTTTCTTTGATCTCCTACCCCTCTCTTATGAAGTTTGTAAGTATATCAGACCCACTGAGATGATTCAGGACAGTCTCTCAATCTCAGAATCTTCAATTTAATCCATCTGCAAAGTCCCTTTTGTCATATAAGGTAAGATTTATAAGTATAGGGAATTAGAATGTGAACATCTTTGAAGGACCATTTTCAGCCTACCGCAATATACTTTACAATACTCAACAATATACTTTACAAATCTTAGTCTTAGTGGAAGATGACAGTCAAAAGTCAATTAAAAGATATTTATAAGAAGTCAGACAAAGATTCTACATGTTAACAACATTCTAAAAGTGGAAATACTGGGAATTAATTACATATGTGACAGAAAAACATTGCAGCAATAAAACGTGAGTCCATCAACTTAAGAAGGATAAAATGGCAAAGGAATGTTGAATATAATTAATCTGATCTGGGATTAAATTGGAAATTATGGAACTTGTAATTGCAAGCTTTGAGTGAATAACCATAGATTTTTGTTTGTTAAAGTTTTAAAGAAAAAATGTCCATCAACAGATCAACAAATGAACAAATTATGATATATCTATACAATGGAATATTATTCAGCCATAAAAAGGAATGAAATACAAGCTAAAATACAAATAAACCTTGAAAATATTATGCTAAGTTAAAGACACCAGACGCAAAAGGTCAAATTCTGTATGATTTCTTATATATGAAATATCCAGAATAGGAAAATTCATAGAGACAAAAAACATATTACTGGTTGCCAGAAGATTGACAGAATGGAGAGTATGGAGGGATTACTTACTTTTTCCTCATTTAGAAAAAAGTGCAGCAGCAATTGCTCCTGGCACAGTACTCTCGGGGCAAATGGGAAAAAGGTAATGGATACAGAAATTATTTTAAAAGTTTTGAAACTAGAGCAATGTTATAGTTATACAACATTGTGAATACACTAAATGCTACTAAATTGTACACTTTAAGATGTTTAACTGTATGTTATATGAATTCCATCTCAATAAAAAAAGTTCTAAAGAAATCTCAACATGACAATGTTCTTAACAGTATTGTGTATATAATCAGTTCAATAGTAGGTTCTAGAAAAATCGGGAGAATTACAGAAATTAATCTCAAGAAGTGGTTTTTGAGATTAAAACCCTGGATCAGGTAATGAGTGACCTCTGTTCTGATTTCAACTACCAAAAATTAGCCATAAGACTCTAGGAAAAAATCACATGTCTGGACCCATTTACCCATACGTAAAATAAATTGAATAAATCAGATAATTTCTAACATTAAACTTCAAAATTCTATTATTCTTTTGCACCTTCTGTTCACACTCACCTAATTTCTTTGGAATACAAAAAAAAATAAGAAATGTTCTGTCTCTGAAATTTACATTTCAGTGTAAAAGCCAAATATGTTGTTTTCTATTTATTTGAGTATATAATTTATGAACAAATTTGTTTACGATCACCAGTAAATAAAGAGACAGACAGACTGACACACACAGACCCACACATACACACATACACACACACACACAGAGAGAGAGAGAGAGAGAGAAAGAGAGGAAGTAGGTATACCTACCAATGGTTATATCTAGATGGTGAGATTATAACTTTTTTGTTGCTATCTTTACCTTCTAATTGTTTTTTAAAATAACATGTATTATTTGTATTGCAGAAAAAATACAAATCCTGCTAAATTTGTCTCCATATTTCAATGTTCAAGTATGTCTAAACCTGTAGTTATTAGAAATTCACAATAATCTGAATGCACACTAATATTTTCAGGAACAAAATAAATAATTTAACTTAAAGAAATAGTTCAACAAAAGCCAAAGTTTGCATACATGAAGATATTCATTGCAGCATTATATTTATAGCATTTCCACATTGAAAGTTACCTCAGGATCTCAAAAGAGAGGAGTGGTTTAATACAAAATCTAATATCTTTAAAGATTATGAAGTTTTAAACCTTGAAGAAGTAGTTTGTTTATTCCTATTGTTCAGCTTTCCTCATTCCCTCAAGTCCCTTTGCTCTATCCCGAGCCTTGGTATATTAGATTGGCATGAAAGGGGGCATCCTACTCTGTGTTGTCTACAAAGGGGGCAACATATTAAGCACAATGTTTTAACCATGCCTATGTCATGTGATTCAGAACACCATGTCTACTTCTGCTCTGCTACATGAAATCAAATACAACCTTCGCTAGAAAACAGAATGCCATTAGTGTTCAAAAACATTTTGAACATTTTTACTTGAATCAAGGAACCACTGACAAGATTAAGTTTTAGAGCGGCATGGACCCATTCACCCCACTTGATAGATAAGGATAAGAAATATAGAAAGGAAAAAAAATCACTTTGCCTAAGTTTACTCATTTGGTGTGAAAATTGGGGGCTTAGTCCAGCTCTAGACACAGGCCACAACTCTTTTTACCACACCACCAGAACTCAGTCTTTACCAGATGGCATAAAAATCAAAACAAAACAAAGCAGGGCAATCACTTGAAAAAAGATCAATTCCACCAGTTGCCTGGTTTCAGTAACTGTTAAGAATGTTATTGCTATGTTTGTTAAATGGCCAAATACGGTTCAGCATGAAGACACAATTAAGTTTAGGAATTGGGAAATAAAGTAAGCTTCTTGATTTAATTTCAAAGTTTTCTGCTATAATCATTCTAAATTTTCAGAGAAGAGAGTTATTGAATTCTAAACTCTATTAAGATGTGTGCCAATTCAACTTCCATGTGTCTCAATGGTGTGTGACCATCACTGCATGATATTTATATACATGGGGTTGCCCCTGTCCTTTCTTCATCAGTCTACAGGAAGTTCCTTCAAAAAATAACCTCAAACTCATCTTCTGAGTCAGTGGTCATCCTTAAAACAGAATATCCAGGGGATTTCATATTCCTTGGCCATTCTCAGGGGCCATTATATTCATAAGTAGGTCATCAAAAGCAAACAGGTGGTTAGGAAACATTATAGTGAACGTAAGAGCAGGCAATTAGCAGGGGAGACAACTATCCCCTAAATCAAAGTGTTTGGCTATTAAAGAATTTGCTTGTGTGTCTTTAACTTTATAGGCATGTATTTGAATGTACAGAATCTGACTAAAGGAAGGGTCTCTGGGCATATCTATAGTAGCAATGACACTGATTCTCTGTACATGTGTTTCCACAGTACCCAGTTGGCAAATTGAAGCCAAATTTTCATAATTATTTGGTTCAAAGCCAAAATCTGATTCTGCCAATAAATACATTCAGCAAATATATACTTGGCATCATATTGGTGCTTTTAGGGAATATTCCCTTGTTTGACCACAGATTCTTGGCTCAAAAAAAATTTTATGTGTGCTGTTATTGAAAATTCACTGTAATCCATTGCTTTCCTAAAAATTCATGACCCTGTTACACAAAACAGCTCATTGAAATTGAACCAGTTTCACTAAAGAATCTATGCTTTCTCGTTTTTATTAATATCTACCCAAACATGTATCATTTCCTGCTTTTTCTTATGCATTTGCCCTGCTTCAGACATCTTGAAGCATTGATCAACTGTTTTCTGAAAAACAACAATCATTAGAGTTTGATTATTTCATAAGTGATGAGAAAAACCTAGTTTCTACATAAACTATTTGAACCTAAAGTAGTTCCAAATGATATAACTCCAAAATTCTAGAGTTCTGGTCAATGTCTTCCCAATTCCATGAAAAGGAATCGGGGAGGCGGGGGACATATGTATATATTTAATCCAGTTTTGCAACACTCCACATCAATTCCCAGTTCAGCAAAATGTTCAGCATTCTTGACTCTATTAAAATTCTTGCAGTTAAGTTCCATATGCCTCAATGGGGTGTGACCATCACTGTTTGACATTTATTGGGTTGGAATGCTTAGGTATAAAGATTCAGTATTATTTGTGTTGCCAAACCTGAAATTATTTTAAAAATAAGGCATAATTATAATTTCTTTATAATCTATAGGGTGTTAGAAGTTATTCAAATTTGACTCCTTGTTTTGCTGATGTATAAGCACAGATTCACAATTTTCCGAGGATACCACATAAAACTAATAACGCATTCAGCCATCCAGCCATTGCTCAATACAAATTAAGCATTTACAACAAATGAGGAACAGTGCTAGACTTTTAGAATATCATGGTGAATGAGACATAGTCTCTGCCTTCATTGAGATTAGAAGGAAGGTGGCCAGTAAACTGACACATCCCATACAGTAGAACAAGCTATTATGATATGATAGAGAAGTGTTATGTACATAGAAATTACTATGAACTACGGTCATATATAGAAGGGTACCTAACTCTGTCCTAGCCAATCCAGAAAGGATTCCTGTGGGAAATGACATGTAAGCTGGAACTTTAGGATGTGTAGGAATTACAAGGAACAAGGGTCTCTGTGGGTATGTGCATGAATGTGTAAGTGTATGTGTAGAAGGAAGCTTTCCCGAAACTGAAAATAATTCAGTATGTTGCAGCATAAACTGGCTTGTGGTAGTGTGTATGTGATAGGGTGAAGGTCAGAAATTGGAAGCCTGAACCAGGAGTTGAGTAATAAAGTTCTTTCTGTTCTATGCCAAGAAGTTGGAACGTTATTATGGGGGCAATAAGAAAATGAAAGTTTTTGTTTGTTTGTTTTGAGATGGAGTTTCCCTCTTGTTGCCCAGGCTGGAGTGGGATGGCGCTATCTCGGCTCACTCGCCTCCTGGGTTCAAGAGATTCTCCGGCCTCAGCCTCCAAGAAGCTGGGATTACAGGCACGCACCACCATGCCCAGCTAATTTTGTATTTTTTAGTAGAGACAGGGTTTTGCCATGTTGGCCAGGCTGTTCTCAAACTCTTGACCTCAGGTGATCCACTCACCTCTGCCTCCCAAAGTGCTGGGATTACAGGTGTGAGCCACGGCGCCCAGCCAGAAAGTGAAAGCTTTTAAGCCCTCGAAGGATGGAGGCTGGTGAGGGAGGTGAGCACCTCTCTCAAGGATGAGTTACAGAAAGATGATTCTCCAGCTACAGAGAGGAGGCTGGATCAAAGGGAGACATAGAGATATGCCACAAAGCTGACAAGTACTAAGTGCCACTAAAGATTAGCTCTCAGATTGCTTCTGGGTGTCCCAAAACATGTCCCTGGTGTGTCATATCTGGGAAGCAAGAATATTTTCAGGCAATGTACAACTCCAAGGAGCGCCATTGCCTTTCTACCCCGATAGGGTCACTGTATCATAGAAGCAAGGTATGGCTACCAGTGCAAAGAGGCTTAAGGTGTTTGACAAGTTCACAGCCTGAAATCATTTCTCTTTTTTTCAGGGGCATCTAAAAAACTGATCACTAGTTAGTTTATCTTTTTGGAATGAAGATATCTTGGCTTTATATAACAAGGCTAGTGAGAGGCACAAATAAGTTTACCTATTTAAACACAACTATGTAAGAAACATAAAGGGTGATACATAATACAAGGAAACATCCTTAGGGGGCAGGCTTTATGGAAATTAGATTGTTAATATTAAAAAATGTTTTTCTATATAGTCCAGTTCAGAAAAAATAAAACGACTAGACCTAAATACTGTTTTTGGTAAAATAAAAATATTCTCATTGAATTTCATCAGAAAGATACATTCTTACAAATGCATTATATCATTAGTGCTCCAAAAATATCCTTTTCAGGTAGGGATTATTATTATTTCCACATTTCATATGGTGAAACTGAGTTTTAATAAGCTGAAATGCGTTGTCCAAAATGTCTCATGTTAATACAATTAACAACAAAGATGGCCTAGAGTTAGATCATTCCATTCACCACAACTAACTGCTTACTCTGTGCCAGACACTGTAAAAGGCACTGAAGACGCAAGATATGTAAGAGGTGGACCATTGCCCTTATTTGTTTTGGATTTCCTCCCATGTTTGCAGGATTTTCTCTTTGCTTTGCTCAGGCTGAGAAGAGCAGTTCTAAACCCTAGAACATCACAAAGGTCCACTACATTCCCACGCAGATAGGTGGTTCTGGTTGTTTCACTCTTCACTTGACTGTATGAATCCCCAATATGCTACGGGACTTGGGATGGGGCTTGACTCACTCACATGTTAATCCCCTCCAATCCACAGCTTCTGGAAAAAAAATTATAAAGTCGATTTCTGGAGATTTTTATTACACTGTCTGAATTGTGATGCTTTGTATGAGGTAAAAGGTGGCAATTAAAATTTGTTAGGTATGTCTTAGGTTGCTTGTCACTGATCTAGACTCTATACTCTGAAAACACAATGTAAACCTTATTATTTATCTTAGAGTGTACTCTCCAAAAACAAAATGAAAACATTCCTAGTCAGGGTTACTTTCAATGTGCGCTGATTCACATGCAAATTGGACATATGATCATGGGAACGGTTTTATATATCCCTGAAGTAAAAAAGCATATTATGGTGCCACCACTGTTCCTAGAAAAGACAGTCATGTGGTGATTAAAAAAAAGAGTCTTTTTAAAATTCACTTATACAAATTAAAAGCGATGAGATACAGGTATCAATTTTAAAGAAGGTTAATTTTTAGGCAAAGTGGGTTAAAAAAAAGACATATCAATCAAAGATTGCCAAGGTTTATCACCAGCCACAACATGAAATTGATTTTATAAAAATTAACCCACTCAGCAACAATTTAAATAGCATTTTGGATGCAGTGACTTGTCACAGTATATGTCAGTAGCTTTTTTCCTGAGAATCTGGTATAATAGGATAAAAAAATAAAAATTCAGTTTTCATCTAATGATCACTTAGGCTTCAGAGTGTGGGAAATAAGTACTAAAAAAACTCTCTGGGGTTTAAAGCATAGACTGTCTTAGGCTATGAAGTACTAAAGTTAGCAAACCACATTTTCACATCTTCCTTTGTAGTGAGAACCAAAAATGACACAAAATCCATTCTGTGATAATAATATCCTTCAGTTTTTCCATTATTCCCTAAAGATCCAAATATCTGTCATTCTCATGCTGCTAGAATCTCTTCACCAAAGTAAAATTGAGAAAAGTATCTGTGTCCCAGTTTCCACTTTACAGTATTGCACCTGCCAATCAGACTCACCCATTACCACAAATAAGTCTTTAGAGGATTGCAAAATGAATTGAGTCCTTCAGATAAGAACCAGTAAAAAACGTATGTAAAATTTCAACACACGAGGATTTTGAGTGTTCAGATCCTAAATCTCTTATGAATTACATGGAAGGGTATGCAACCTACCCAATGCTAGTCACAATGAATCAAAGTAGCAGTGTTTGCTGGTGGAATTGTCTTCATCCTCAGACCTGGCATTTGCTTTCATGCCAAATCTACTAAGTTATTTTAATACAGCTGTCGACATCTTAATAATTACCATAAATTCCAGGTTTTATTACAACTTATGTAAGTAATGAGGGAAAATACTTAAATTGTTAGTTTGGTTAGATGTCTAAAAAGTAATATGCTAAACCCAAACCCTTCTCATAATTAAGGAATCAAGTAAAGCAAAAGGAAGATAAGTATTACATTGCTCTAAATTTTTCACATTTTACAATTATAGTTACTTTTTTGCAAGACAGACTATATGGGAGGTCATTCTGGGAGAAATTCAGGATTGAAAATGATCAGATTTGTTAATGTGTATGCTACCCCAAAAATTGGAAAAGAAATGATATTCAGAAGTTTTATATATTTACTAAATATAGTAAAGCTAAAGCTTGAAGGAAATTTTTATTATACCTTGGGAAATTGGGATAGGATGGAAATAAGAAAAAAAATTGATAGCCGCAGGTTACTTAGAGAGATTTGAAAAATGAATATACTAAATTTTTTTAATTCTACAAAAATGAAAGATAAAATGCTCAGCAAGTAAGCCTTTGCCATTGCAATGTGTCATAGACTGGTTTAGATTTAAATGTAAAAGATTATTTTAAGTAAGGAGTAATACTCAAAATATGAAGAACTAGATAGAGATTTCAAGGTGAGTATACTAGCAGCAGTGGAGGTGGCAGACAGGGGAAGAATGGGAGCATTAAATAAATAAGGAAACTGAAGTCAATAAGTAGAGTTAAGACAAGGTGTTAAAATACTGAGATCAAATTAAGGAATGAATAATCATTTGTTCAATAATTATTATGTGCCAGGTGCTTACAGACATTCTCTTGTTTAAGAAAATATATATACTAAACTCTGCTTGCAAGCCTGAAGGTGTTTCAAAACGTAGGTTTTATTTCGTTTTGTATTTCAGGAGACAGAGTCTCGCTCTGTCACCCAGGCTGGAGTGCAATGGCGCAATCTCGGCTCACTGCAACCTCCGCCTCCTGGGTTCAAGCAATTCTCCTGCCTCAGCCTCCTGAGCAGCTAGGATTATAGACACCCGCCACTAAGCCCGGGTAATTTTTGTATTTTTAGTAGAGACGGGGATTTCACCATATTAACCAGGCTGGTCTCAAACTCCTGACCTCAGGTGATCCACCCACCTCGGCCTCCCAGAGTGCTAGGATTACAGACATGAGCCACTATGCCTGGCCCAAAATGTAGGTCTCATTATTTAAGTATGATGAGGCCAACAGATCGGGAGAGGATTACTATTGAAAAGACAGTTTGTTACATTTCCCAAGAGGAGGGAGCATACCACATCATATTGGGGGGCCACATGAGGAAGCATCAGGATCAGTCTGGAGGCAAAGGGAGTGGAAAGAAAACGTGGCCAAGAGCCTTTATTATGGTTCCATGGGCAGAAATGGGCAGAGCAGGGTAAGCTGGTTTAGGATTGGTTGTTTGAGTAATTGTATTGGGTTCTGGGGTATAAAGCCTATCTCTAGTTGTCTAGTACTTGGTAACAGGGTGATTACAGTAGGAAAATAGTGGCTTAGTGTAAAATCCTGACAAAGGAAGAGTTTGGGATATGGGCTCTTGCTTAGTTGGTTTTCATATCTAAGAGGTGTCTTGGATATATGTTTGCTGTCTCTAGGAATTAGCTACCCCCAGGAAGGACAGTCCCTCCAGAATCAGCAAGGTCCAGATGTGAAAATATCCCACCAAAACCAACTAGAAACCCAGACAAAATATATAAAATAATTTGCTTTAAGCATCAGACAACAGGCATTACAGGACTATGGTTGCGGAGAAAAGCAAAGCAAAAAAGTTGAATCCTGTGATCACACTAACCTACTGCTTAGAGGCCATTTCTAGTCCACGGGACAGAGAGAAAAACAAAAAGAGAGAGCCTGGCCTTCTTACTAAGTGAGCAGGCATATATCAGAATTTGGGAGACCACATCAGCTAGAATTTGTGGAGCAGAATACCAGAGTAAAGGTAGTTAAAGGGAGTGGGAGAGGGAGAATGGTCGGTCAAGACATTCAGAGGACTCATAAAATCTTCAGCTGATCTGTGCATGCATGGAGTGAAATTCCATGTCTGGGGGCCAGGAGTGTGGTAGGAAACACCAGAAAACACTTGGCTTGACAGTTTCTGGACTTTACTCAGGACTGGAAGGCATTTGCATACACACCTGCAGAAGTAGAATCATCTCATAATACACAAGCCACAGGCTAGAATCCTCAGAAGGGACCAGCCTTAGAAATAAGGCTAAGTTGGTCTGAGACTAAATACTGTGCTTGGTCCTTAATGCCAAGGCTCAAAAGGAGCAAACTGATTCCAAATAAAACTATGCTAGAATAAATTCCCACATGAATTAAGGGAATACGACAAAATCTAACACTTTACAATGTAAAGTTCACAATGTCTGGCAACTAATCAAAAATTACCTGGCATACAAAGAGGTAGAAAAATAGTATTCATAACCAGTAAAAAGGAAATCAGTCAAAAGAAACATTACCATAATAATAACAATGATACAATTAGCAGACAAGGCAATTCAAACAGTCACTTAAAAATTTTTTGACACATTATATTTGTATATATTTGGGGGGTATATGTAAAATTTTGTTACATAAATAGAGTGTGTAATGATCAAGTCAGGGTATTTAGGATATCCTTCATGTGAGTATTTATCACTTCTATGTGTTGGGAACCTTTTAAGTCCTCTCTTCTACCTATTTTTAAACTACAACACATTGTTGTTAACTACAGTCACCCTACTCTTCTATCAATGAGTAGAAATGATTCCTTCTGTCTAACTACATATTTGTATCCATTAACCAATCTCTCTATCCCCTCTAGCACCCGTATACCCTTCCCAGCCTCTGGTATCTTTCATTCCACCCTCTACCTCTATGCAATCACCTTTTTGGCTCCCAGCTATGAGTGAGAACATGCTATATTTGTCTTTCTGTGCCTGGCTTATTTCACTTAACATAACGACCCCCAGTTCCATCCATGCTGTTGCAAATAATAATATTTCATTATTTTTATGGCCAAATAGTATTTCCTTGTGTATATATACTACATTCTCTTCATCCATTTATCCATTCATAGACACTTAGGTTGATTCCATATCTTTCCTGTTTTAAGTAATGCAGCAATAAACATGGAAGCACATGTATCCTTTTGATATATGAATTTATTTTCCTTTGCATAAATACTCAGTAGTGGGATTACTGGGTTGTATGGTAGTTATATTTTTAGATCGTTGAGAAATCTCCATACTGTTTTCCACAGTGGCTTTACTAATTTACATTTCCATGAACAGTGTATAAGAGTTCCCTTTGTCCACATCCTTGCCAACACCTGCTATTTTTGTGTTTTTAAAAATAGCCTTTCTGGGATAAGATGATATCTCATTGTGGTTTTGGTCTGTATTTCTCAGAGGATTAGCGATGCTGAGCATTTTTTCATATACCTGTTGGCCATTTGTAAGTCTTCTTTTGAGAAATATGTATTTATGTCCTTAGTCCATTTTTAATGGGATTATTTTTTGTTTTTGTTTGTTCGTTTGTTTTTTACTACTGAGTTGAGTTCCTCATATACTCTGGATATTAGTGTTCTGTCAGATGAATAATTGTAAATATTTTCTCCTATTCAAGATGTTGCCTCTTCACTCTGTCGAATGTTTGTTTTGCTGTGCAGAAGCTTTTAGTTTAATATAGTTCCATTTGTCTGCTTTTATTTTTGTTCCCTGTGCTTTTGAAGTCTTAGCCATAAAATCTTTGCCTAGACCAATGACTTGAAGAGTCTTCCTTCCATTTTACTCTAGTTGTTTTACAGTTTTAGGTCTTACATTTAAGTCTTTATTCCATTTTGAGTTGATTTTTGTATATGTTGAGAGATGGGGGTCCAGTCTCTTTCTTCTACATATGGTTATACAGTTTTCCCAGCACCATTTACTGATGATGCTGTTTTTTTCTCTAATGTATGTACTTGATGGCTTTGTCAAAGACTATTTGGCTGTAAAGAAGTGGATTTATTTCTCTGCTCTGTATTCTGTTTCATTGGTCTAGTATCTGTTTTTATATCAGTACCATGCTGTTTTTGTTCCTATAGCTTTGTGATATATTTTCAAGCCAGGTAGAGTGATTCCTCCAGGTTTGTTCTCTTTTCTCAGGTTGTTTTGGCTATTCTGTCTCTTTTGTGGTTCTATACAAATTACAGGGTTTTTTTTTTTCTATTTCTGTGAAAAGTAAAATTGGTATTTTAAAATTGATAGGGATTGCATTGAAACTGTAAGTTGCTTTGGACAGTGTTTTCATTATAACCATATTAATTTTTCCAAACCATGAGCATGGAATGCCTTTCCATTTCTTTGTGTCCTCTTCAATTTCTTTCATCAGTGCTTTGCAGCTTTTCTTGTGGAAATCTCTCACCTCCTTGGCTAAATTTATTCTTAGTAATTTAAGTTTACTTTTATAGCTATTGTAAATGGGATTGTTTTCTTGGTTCCACTTTTGGCTATTTCATTATTGGTGTATAGAAATGCTACTGATTTTGCTATATTGATTTCTCAGCCTGTAACCTTACTTTCAGTAAACTTACTGAATTTATTTAACAATTTTAAGAGTTTTTAAGTGGAGTCTTTTAAGTTTTATAAATATAAGATAACGTCATCTGCAAAGAGGGACAAGTTGACTACCTTCTTTCTAATTTGTCTTTTTAATAATTTGTCTTTTCTTTCTTTCTCTTGCCTGATTCCTCTGGCTAGGAGGTCCAGTACTATGTTGAATAGAAGTAGTGAAAGTGGGTATCCTTGTTACAGTGCTTAGAGAAAAGGCTTTCAGCTTTTCCCTGTTCAGTATAATGTTAGCTGTGGGTTTGTTATATATGGCCTTTATTATTTTTGAGATATGTTCCTTCTATGCCTAATTTGTTGAGAGTTTTCATCATGAAGGGATATTAATTTTATCAAATGTTTCTTTTGCATCTGTTGAGATGCAAAACCATAATAATATGGCTTTTAATCATTCATTCTATGGATGTGATGCGTATTTATTGATTTGTGTGCATTGAACAATCCTTGCATTCCTAGTATGAAACCCACTTGACCATGGTGTTTTTTCTTTTCTATATGCTCTGGAATTGGTTTGCTAATATTCTGTTGAGGACTTTTGCATCTATGTTCATTAGAGGTGTTGGCCTAAGGTTTTCATTTTTGTTGTGTATTTGTCTCGTTTTGTTATCAGGGTGATGTTTGCTTCACAGAATGAGTTGAGAATTTTCTTCTCTTCAATTTTTTGGAATAGTTTTAGAAGGATTAGTGTTAGTTCTTTTTTATATATTTGGCAGAATTTGGCAATCTACCAAATCCATCTAGTATTGGGCTTCTCTTTTGAAGACACTTTTTATTACCGATTTACTCTCATTATTGGCCTGGTCAGGTTTTCTATGTCTTCCTGATTCAATTTTGATATGATGTATGCTTCCAGGAAATTATCCATTTCCTCCAGGTTTTCCAGTTTGTTAGTATATAGTTGTTCATAATAGTCTCTGATGATCATTTGTATTTTTGTATATCAGCTGTAATGTCTCCTTTTTATGTTTGACTTTGATTATTTGGGTCTTTTCTTGACTAACTGAGCTAGCAGTTTGTCAATTTTGTCTATTTTTTCAGAGAAATAATTTTGTTTCATTGATTCTTTGTAATTTTTTTAGTCTGTTTTATTTAATTCTGCTCTAATCTTTATTACTTATTTCCTTCTGCTAATTTTAGATTTGCATTGTTCTTGCTTTTCTAGTCCCTTGAGGTGTATCATTAGATTGTTAATTTGAAATCTTTCTACCTTTTTGATGTAGGCATTTAATGCTATAAACGTCCCTCTTAGCACTGCTTTTGCTCTATCCCACAGGTTAAGGTAAGTTGTGCTTCCATTTTCATTTGTTTCATGAACTTTTTTATTTCCATCTTAATTACTTCATTGACCAAAAGGTCGTTCACTAGTATGATGTTTAATCTCCCTATATTTGTATATTTTCCAAAATTCCTTTTGATAGTGATTTCTAGTTTTATTTCATTGTGTTCTGAGAAGATAATTGACATGATTTTCTGTTTTTTTTTTATTATTATACTTTAAAGTTCTAGGTTACATGTGCACAACATGCAGGTTTGTTACATATGTATACATGTGCCATGTTGGTGTGCTGCACCCATTAACTCATCATTTACATTAGGTATATCTCCTAAGGCTTTCCCTCCCGCCTTCCCCCACCCCACAACAGGCCCTGGTGTGTGATTTTTTTTTTTAATTTGTTAAGACTTGTTTTGTGTCTTAACATATGGGCAATCTGGAGAACGTTCCATGTGCTGATAAGAAAAATGTATACTCTGCAGTTATTTAATAAAATATTCTGTAGATGTCTGTTAGGTCCATCTGGGATAAAGATCAGTTTGAATCCAGTGTTTCTTTGTGCTTATTTTCTGTCTAGATATTCTGCCTAATGCTGAGAGTGGGGTGTTGAAGTCTCCCAATATTGTAGTATTGAAGTCTGTTTCTTTCTTTAGAACAACTAATATTTGCTTTATGAATTTTGCTGCTTCCATGCTGGGTGCATATATATTTAGAAATTTTTATCTTCTTACTGGACTGATCACTTACCATTATGTAGTGACCTTCTTTGTCTCTTTTTAAATTGGTGTTTCTGACTTATAAAGTCTGTTTTATCTGATATAAGTATAGCTACTCCTGCTTGCTTTTGGTTTCTGTTTGCATGAAATATATTTTTCTGTTTCTTTATTTTCAGTCAATATGTGTCTTTACAGGTAAAATGCATTTATTGTAGGTAGCGTATAGTTGGATCATTTTTAAAAATCCATTCAGCCAGTCTATCTTTTAAGTGGAGAATTGGTTTACATTCCAAGTTACTTTTCATATGTGAGGTTTTGTTTCTGTCATTTTGTTGATTGTTTTCTGATTGTTTGGTGTATTCTTTACCTTTTTTCTCTCTCTCTCTTAATGTTTGTCATTGTAGGTTGATGATTTTTCTGTATTGGTAACATTCTAGTTTTTTGTCTTCCTCTTTTACATGTTTGCTTAGCCAGTAAGTTTTATACTTTCACGTGTTTTCACATTGGTAATTGTCATTCTTTTGATTCCAGATTTAGGAATCACTTGAGCATGCCTTGTAGGGCTGGTCTAGTGGTGATGAATATTCTCAGCTTTGTTTGTCTGAGGAAGACTATTTCTCTTTCATTGATAAAAGATAAATGAAGATAGATCATGCTGAATATTGTTTCTTGGTTGGCAATATTTTTTTCTTTCAGCACATGAATATGTCATCCCATTCTCTCCTAGCTTATAAGATTTCTACTGAGAAATCTACTGTTAGTCTGATGGGGATTCCTTTATAGGTCACTAGATGCTTTTCTCTTGCTGTTTTTAGATTTCTCTGTTTGTCTTTGAATTTAGACAGTTTGACTAGAAAGTGCCATGGGAAAAGGCCTTTTTACATTGTATTTGTTTGGGGATATTTGGATGTCTAAATCTCTTGCTAGAATTAAGAGATTTTCACCTGTTAGTAGGTTTCCTAACCCATTTGTTCTCTCTTAATCTTCCAGGATACCAATAACTCAAATATTTGGTCACTTTAGGGTGTCTCATATGTTATGAAGGCTTTGATTATTCTTTTCTCTTTATTTTTGTCTGACAGGGTTATTTCAGAAGAAATGTCTTCAATTTTTTATGTTCCTTTTTCTACCTGATCTAGTCTACTACTGAAACTTCTGAATGTATTTTGTGTTTCATTCAATGAATTTTTCAGTTCTAGAATTTCTGCTGGTTTTTTAAAATAATATCTATTTCTTTGATAAAGCTCTCATTTATATGCTAAATTGTTTTTCCTATTTCTTTGTATTGTTTTTTAGAACTCTTTTCTCACTGAGCTTCTTCTTCTTTTTTTTTTTTTTTTTTTTTTTGAGACAGAGTCTTGCTCTGTCGCCCAGACTGGAGTGCAGTGGTGCGATCTCAGCTCACTGCAAGCTCTGCCTCCCAGGTTCACGCCATTCTCCTGCCTCAGCCTCCCAAGTAGCTGGGACTACAGGTGCCTGCCACCATACCCAGCTAATTTTTTTTTGTATTTTTAGTAGACATGGGGTTTCACCGCATTAGCCAGGATGGTCTCGATCTCCTGACCTCGTGATCCATCCACCTCGGCCTCCCAAAGTGCTGGGATTACAGGTGTGAGCCACCATGCCTGACTCAGCTTCTTTACCATTAACATTTTCAATTCTTTTTTCAGGATTTTGTGAATTACTTTCTGATTGGGATCTGTTGCTTAAGAATTACTGTGTTCCTTTGAAGGTATCTTATTTTCTTGCTTTTTCATGCTTCCTGTGTCCTTAAGTTTATGTCTTCACATCTGGATCTTCCAATTTTTTTGGAATTTGTCTTCATAGAGGACGCTTTTCTTCCTGAAGATGTATTTGTGGTGTTGGTTGTGTAGGGAACTTTGATTCTGGGTACATGCCATAGTGTAGTCTCTGTATGATTTCTTCAGCTGTAAGCAGCATCTGTTATTTCTTCAGTGGCATAGGGTGTGGTTACTAGTGAGGGCTGAGGTGAAGTTTTGCTGGGGAATGGGATGTCAAATGGGCAGTCTTTGGGCCCTAGTGGTGGCAGTGGAGGACTGAGCATGTCTGTCCTTGGGCTCCAGGGCAGCAAATGCTGGCACTGGTGTTAGCAGGTCCAAAAAGGCCGATTCTTGAGACTCCAGGGGACCTACTTGGATACTGGTCGTGGCAGCAGTGGGCTCTGTGGGTAGGAAGGTTCTTCAGTGCCTAGGCAGCCAGCATGGCATAGGCAATGTCAGTGGTAGTGGTGGCACAACCTTCTGGATCTTCAACTGTGCACACTGGTGTTGGAAGTGGCTGCAATGGGCTTGGTAGGCCAGTCTCCATCCCACAGGTGTTATGTGTCAGGAGGTGTTAGCTGCAGGGGAGCAGTATGGTGTGGAGACCCAACTTCTGGTTCCTTAGAAGAGTGCTCAGATGCCAATGGTGGTGAACTGGTCTGGGCAATTCCCTGGACCCTGGACTGTATGCCCTGGCCTCAGGGAGCAAAGCCAGGCCAAGCAGGCTTGTCCTCAGCCTCCCTAATGTTGTGTGCATGCACCGTAGATGGTAAGTAGGGGTAGGGCAATCCCCAGCCTCCCAGCAGAATTCCCAAGTGAAGGATGGTAGCTGCCATACTACTGCTCTGCCACTCTGGAAGGCTGGGCTGCCTTCAGTGGCAGCAGGCTCAGTTGATTGTGAAGAACATACATGTGTCTCAGATTTTAGCCCCAGCAGAACTTAGCTACCTAGTGGCTGTGGCCCACACCTCACTCATGCCTCAGCCCTGGTCGTGTTAGCTCATGCCTCACTTGTGCCTCAGCCCTGGATGCAACAGCCTGTGTCTCACTTGCTCCTCAGCCTGGTGGCAGCATCCTGTGCATCACTTGTGCCTCCATCTTAACATTGTTGGGCCCCAGGAGAATGCGCAATTTGGAACAGAAACTACCCAAAATGAAGTACAGAGGAACAAAAGGTAAAATCTAATTTCCAGAACTTTGGTGTAATATAAAGCAGTATAACATATAGGTGTATTTGGAATTCCAGAAAGAAAGAACAAGAGTGAACTGAAAAGTAATTTTTTAAAGAGGTAAAGGCCAAAAAATTTCCAAATAAGATGAAAATTATCTCAACAATGTCAACAAAACCCAAAAAGAATAAATATTTTAAAATAATGGCAAGGCACATCAGTAGGATATTTTGGAAAATGAGTAATAAAAGAAAAAAGTTTTAAAGCAGCTGGTGGTGGAAGAGGAAAGAAACAAAATTATACACAAAGCATTAAGAATTAAATCAGGCATCTCACAAGAACTTATGCAAGCTAGAAAGTGGTGACAGCCTAGAATACCTTATCCCCCTCCCAAAAAAAAATCTTTCAAAAATGTAATCAAAATAAACACAGTACTGTAAGAAGTGTTAACGAAAAAAATGTAATCAAAATAAACACAGTACTATAAGAAGTGTTAAAGGAAATTTCTTAAACAGAAAAAAAGATACCCAATAGAAATTTGGATACACAGAAAAATAAAGAAAAGCACAAAAGATAAGTACATGAGAAACAAAAATGCTATCTGACACATAATCCTAATTGAGATTTTAGAACACTCCACCCAACAATTTCAATAATAAATATATTGTTTATAAGTGCACATAAAGCATTCACCAAAATAGACATATTCCAGACTAAAAAATAATCCTCAATGTATGTGAGAAGATTAAAATCACTCAAAGTATATTCTATGACACAATGATATAACACTAGGGGTCAATAGCAGAAAGATCTTTTAAAAATGCTTAAATATATGGATATTAAAGAAGATACTTCTTGACAACCCTTGGGTCAAAGAAACAAACAGAAGGGAAGTTAAAAAATATTTGAACTGAATGAAGATGAAAACAACACATTAAATGCTCTGTGGTGCAAAAAAAAAAAAAGCAGAACTTAGTGTAAAATTTATAGCATTACAGTTTATATAGTTTATATGTAGAAAAATATCAAATAATTTCAACTTTTACCCTAAAAAACTGGAATAAAAAGAACAAGTTAAACCTAAAGAAAATGCAAGGAAAGAAACAGTAAAGATAAAAGTGGAAGTCAATGAAATATAAAATCAACATTAATAGAAAAAAGACAATGAAACCTAAACCTTGTTTTCTGACAAATTCAATAAAATTGGTAAGTTCTAGATGCAATAATCGAGAAGAAAAAGAAAAACTTATGGATTACCAATATCAAAAATGAAAGCAAGGACATCACTAAATCCTATCAATATTAAAAAGGTAATAAAAAGATATAGTGAACAACTTTATACTAATGTATTTTGCATCTTAAAAAGAAACATAAAAGTTTCCTGAAAGATATAAACCATCTGAGCTTACTCCAGAATAAAATAGATAACCTGAAGAATTTTATAAGTATTAAAGAAAATAATTCACGTTACTAAACTTTTCAACAAAAAACTTCACACTCAGGTGGTTTTACTGGTGAATTCTACCAAATATTCAAGGATGAAAAAAAGGTCAATACTACACAAACTCTTACAGAGAATAGAAGAGACTACTTCTCAATTCACTTTATGAGGCCAGCATTATCCTGACACCAAAACCAGGCAAAGATATCACAAAGAACACTACACTAATTTCCTTCATGAAAAAAAAAATTCTTAAAAACTTTTAGCAAATCAAATTTAGCCATAAATAAAAAGAGCAAAGCAAGCTGGGTGCAGTGGTACAAGCCTGTTGTCCCAGCTACTTGGAAGGCTGAGGCCAGAGGATCGCTTGTGTCTGGGATTTTCAGGCTGTTGAATGCCATCATCATGCCTGTAAATAGCCATTAGCCATAAATAAAAAGAGCAAAGCAAGCTGGGTGCAGTGGTACAAACCTGTTGTCCCAGGTACTTGGAAGGCTGAGGCCAGAGGATCGCTTGTGTCTGGGATTTTCAGGGTGTTGAATGCCATCATCATGCCTGTAAATAGCCACTGCACTCCAGTCTAGGCAACATAGAGAGACCCCATTTCTAAAAAATAAAAACAAAAGAACAATATGTGATCAAGTGGTATTGGTCATAGGAATGATAGTTTGGTTTAATATTTTAAAAGTCAATCAATAAAATTAACCATATTAGTAGGCTAAAAATAAAAAGCTATATGACAATGTTTATAAATACAGAAATAGAATTTGATAACATGCAACATCCAATCATAATAAAAATGCTCAAAAAACTAGAATGGAAGAAAACTTTTTCAACGTGATAGAAGAAATTTACAAAAATAACCCTATAACTAACATCATACCAAGTGATGAAAAACTGAATGCTTTCCCCTTACTATTGGAAACAAAAAAGGATAGCTGTTCTGTCCCCTGCTGTTCAACATTGTACTGGAAGTCTCAGCCAGTGTAATGAGGCAATTAAAAATGAAAAGAATGCTGATTGAAAAGGGGGGCAATGAAACTGACTTTATTCACAGATGGCAGGATCTTGTATGTAGAAAATAGTAGGAATATACAAGAAAGCAACTAGAACTAATAAGTGAGTTCAGCAAGGTTACATAATACAAAATCATTATAAATCACAATTATATTTCTAGTTATTTCCAATGAAAAATTAGAAATTTTAAGTAACAAAAATTCTACTTATGTGCAAGACATGTACATTGAAAACTATAAAATATCATGCCCCAAAAATGAAAGAATACCTAAATAAATGGAGAGTCAAAACATGTTCAAAGACCAAAAGTTGCAGTAATTTAGGATGTCGATTCTCTTCCATTGATCTATACAATCAATGTAATTTTAATCAAAGTCCAAGCTTTAAAAAAATTTAACAAGTTAATGCTAAAAGTTATGTGGAAATGCAAAAGACTTAAAACAGCTGAAATCAACTGGGAAAAGAACAAAATGTCAAGACTTAATACTATTTGATTTCAAGGTTTACTTGTTACTATAGTAATAAGACAATGTAATATTGACAAAAGAAGAGATACAGATTAAGGAAACAGAAGATACAGTCCAGAAATATCACAAATGTGGAATCAATTGATTTTTGACACATCTGCTGAGGTAATTCACTAAAGGAAATAATAGGCTTTCTTTCAACAAATGGTATTGGAACCTTTTGAAATCCAAACGCAAAAAGAAATTAGCTTCAAATATTACCTCACACTATTTATAAAGCAATAATTCAAAATGGAGCATAAGACCTAAATGTAAGAACAAAGACTATAAAACTGCTACTAGCAAATATAAGAAAAACTCTTTGTGACCTTTGATTAGGCAAAGATTTCTTAGATAAGATACAAACAGCCCAAACCATAAAAGTTGATAAATTTTCCCAAATTAAATATTTTCTCTTCAATGGACATCATTTTAAAAAATGAAAAGATAAGTGAAGATTGGGAGAAAACATTTGCCAAATATAGCTGATAAAAGATTTTCATCCAGAATTTATAAATAAATCTTATAAACCAATAACAAAAAGACAAAAAAATCCTATTTTAAAAAACAGACAAAAACTATTTTACAATAACAAAGACATGGAATTAACCTAAATGCCCATCAATGGTAGAATGGATAAAGAAAATGTGGTACATATATGTCATGAAATACTATGCAGCCATAAAAAGAACAGAATCATGTTCTTTGCAACAACATAGATGGAGGTGGAGGCCATTATCCCAAGCAAATTCATGCAGGAACAGAAACCCAAATACCACATATTCTCACTTATAAATGGGAGCTAAACAATGAAAACACATAAATATGAGGGGGGGAACAACAGACATTGGGGCCTACTTGAGGGTGAAGGGTGGAAGGAAAGAGAGGATCAGAAAAAAATACCTGTCAGGTACTATGCTTATTACCATTGTGAAGAAATTATCTGTATGCCAAACCCCTCATGATACACAGTTTACCTATATAACAAACCTGCACATGTACCACTGAACCTAAAAGTGTTTTTTATTCTTAAAAATTAAAAAATTATAAAAATAAATAAGATTTAAAAATTAAAAAAATTTTTAAACAGGCAAAATATTTAAATATTCATGTCACCAAGGAAATATATAAATGGCACATAAGCGTGTGAGACATGTTCCAAATCACTAATCATTATGGAAATGTAAAGTAAAACCACAATAAGAGCATTACAAACTCATGGGATAAGTTAATTAAAAAAAAAAATGTTGATTCCAAGTATTGGGGAAGAGAGACAGCTCTTGTGTATTTCTGTAGGGAATGCAAATGATACAGCCACTTATCCAGCAATCTTGATCCATATGATCCAGCAATCTTGCTTCTAGGTACTTATCCATGAGAAGTGAAAATATGTTCACAAGAAAACTTGCATGCAAATCTTCACAACAACTTGATTCATATTATTCCAAAACTTGAAACAACACAAATGTCCATAAACTGTTAAATGGATAAGCAAATTGTGTTACAGTCATACAATATACTACTACTCAGTCACAAAAAGCAATAAATTACAGATATATGCAACAAAATAGATGAATCTCAGAAATATTATGCTAAATGAAAGAAGCTGAACACAAAACACTATTGTGTCATACCGTGTGATTCCATCTGTATAAAATTTTTGAAAAGGCAAAACTATAGTGACAGAAAACAGATTAATCATGGCAGGAACTGCTGTAGAGGCAAAGGGTTGGTGGAGAAGGCAGGAAGGAGACCAGCTTCAGAGTTGATGAGAATGCTCTGTATTTTTATTGGACTAGTGATTACATAGGTGTATATATTTGTCAAAATTTTTCAAATTATACACTTAAATTCTTGACTTTTATTCTATGTAGATTATACTTCAGTAAAGCTGACTTTTTTGTTGCTTGTTTTGAGACAAGGTCTTTCTCTGTCACCTAGGCTGGAGTGCAGTAGTGTGATCACTGCAACCTCTGCCTCCAGTGCTGCTCACTGCAACCTCTGCCTCCCAGGCTCAAGTGATTCTCCCACCTCAGCCTCCTGAGTAGCTGGGAGGGACTACAGGTGCATACCACCATGCTCAGCTAGTTGTTACTTTTTTTTTTTTTTTTTTTTTAATAGAGACAAGGTCTCACACTACATTACCAGGCTGGTCTCGAACTCCTGGGTTCAAGTGATCTTTCCGCCTCAGCCTCCCAAACTGCTGGAATTACAGGCATGAGCCACTGTGCCAGGCAATAAAGCTAATTTTAAGAATACATGTACTGCCTAAAATATCCCTGAGATTGTCTGAAATTGTTTCATATGAAATGTAAGGCTGAAGATATTTAGAACAATGTGAAGAAGCCTCTAAAAAATTTGCAGAAATCGTAAAGAGAAGACCATAAAAATGTGAGACAAAGGAAATCACACAGAATTGAAAAGTTACAAATAGGAAACAAATAAGTGGAGACTCTCGACGAAATCTTTAGAATGTAGGTCAACTTCAAATAATGAGGAAGGGAGAGCAAAACTAAATGATAGAAACACGGATAACCAGGAAAAGAGAGAGAGTGAATGTGAGCAACCCACATTGTCACTAGACAACAGGTTTGTAAAGCTGGTTCTAAAGCAATTTTCTTCCATATTATGTATAGACCCCAGAGGTAGGGTATAGATTCCTCCATGTGAACAGTTCTTGTGCTTTCCTGAAACAACAGAACAAGCTTCAGAGGGCTCCCTCTTTACCAGCTAGCAGCAGAAGAGGGGCAAATCAACAATGCCTAATTGTTTTACAGTTGAATGGGGTTTTGTGAGTGTTTCAGCATTAAAGGCAAGAAACAGTCACTAAAAAGGAAACTTCAAATTCTACCTGCCGATGAGGAAAGGAATGCTTTGCTGAAGAGAAAAGATGTTCAAAAATGGAAATGAGCAATTTCAAAATCAGATATGGTAAAGGAAAGAGTAAAAAGGAAGGAAACATGAAAGGGTTTAGAGAGGAAAACAGGAAAAAAATATTTTGGAAAGCATTTTCAAAGGAAGTCTATATTTCCAAAATAAAAATAATTGGTCTTGAGGATGAGCTCATTAAAATAAGATCCTTAACTAGTTTCTGAAAATAGAAACCACAAGACAAAGCAGAGACATCATGAGGCATGTCTCACCTACTAGGCAGATGGTGAAAGGTAACAGGAACTCTCAGAGCAGAGGTGAGAGACAGGCAAGATAGGGGTTGGAGGTGGCCAGCACTGCAGGGATGGAAGAGGGAAGCAGGCAGGAAAAACAACATACAGTTTCCTAAAGACCACAGTAAAAGACTTTTGGAACTACTTGTCACAAATTCTAGGGGGCCAGGTGAGGTGAGAGAGGGGTTAGAAAACAGCCAGACAGCTATAGTTATGAAGAAATAGTCTGGCAGTTCACATTCTTTCCTATGTCACCTGCACGTCTTAAGATCTGCTGCACCCAATGTTCACACTCTCACATCTTGCCAATTTCTTCCCCCACCCTGTGCATTCTTTTTTCAGTGACACCAAAACTCATGCGTGTTTGTCCCTTTGTACTTGCTATTTTGCCCTTTGCCGTGAATATTCAAGGCATTTCCCTCTCAATTGTCACCTTTTTGGAAAAATTTCCCAGATGTTGTCTCATTACTCCAAACAAGTAATTCTTATTACTCCAAACGAGTATTTTGAGTTGCTATAGCTCTTCCAGTAAATATCATAAAATAATAAGCAATGCTGCCTCTATTGAGCACTTATAATGTTCTGAAACTATAGTTGGTGCTTTACTCATGTTATTCCTAATCTTCATTAAAAAAAATAAGATGGGTGCAATGGTCTTCATTTCACAGATAAGCCATCTGGCCACAGGGAGTTTTGTAGATTGACTGAGGTAACACACCTAGTAACTGTTGAGAACTGAGCCCAGATCTGTCCAGCTCTAGAGAGCACTTTCTTTTCCATTTTGCTGGGCTATTTTTCTCACCTTTGTATTAGACTTAAACTTTGTAATTATTTTTTTGCACATCTATATCTTTTACTAGATGGTGATCTCTTTCAAGTTGAGACATGGTAATTCATCTATATCTTTCCAATGCCAAATATACTGCATACTCCGGGTTTAGTAAATGTTTCATAATACATGAATGAAGAATGAATGAATAATAAATAAATAACTGAGAAGTCTCCATAGTGAGCATGAAAACAAAGCAGTGGATGTCAGTTATATAATTAAGATATGTAATGGTAGCAAACTCTCAAACTCTAATTCAGTGTTTAACTCATTTTAAAAACAGATTTAAAAATAAAACACACAAATATGTAATATGTATAAAAATTCAAGACAATGTAAACCACTTTCATATAAACATTTGCTGCCAGTCTCACTTGTTTAAACTCAGACCTCAACAGAAAATGTCTCCTGCCACATCTGTGCCTACGTCTGAACTTCACTGTAATGCGTCCTTGGTTTTGAAGATGATTCCTTTGCATATTTACTTGATATTTCTACTCGTATGAAACCCCCAATTGTTTACATAGCTATAAATGACAGTGACAGTGAAGTGGATGACTGGGGCAATTAATCAGAAATTTAGGGAAATATAGTGACATGTTTTATCCAAGAAAATAAATGTAATTCTTTACTTAATGTGAATGAGGACTAAGCTTTTTTTTTTCAAATGAGCAGCAAACAGTAGCATATGGTAAGCTGTATTTTTGTTTGCAATATTCATCTCTTTCTCTGTTAGATCGAATATATCAGCCCGATGCTGTCTTCCATGTAGTTTTCATATATTTCTCTGCCTTTTTGACTTTGAGCTTGGCCATGAGACTTTCCTTGTCAATAGCCTGTGAGAAGACATGCTGTTCACCACAACTGAGCATGAGTTTTGGAGACATCATGTGATTCTACCAGCTCTGTTGCTCTTCCCTCCTTGCTATGACAATGGCATGTTCCACAAAGGGGCTGAAATAAGAAGACATGCGGTGCTGAGCCCAGCAGAGCCAAACAAAGTCACGGCAGCTGCAGCCAACCCATAAATCCTGACATATCACTTGTCCAAAAAAATCAAAGTTTGTTTTTGTGAACCACTGAGATTTGGGGGCTATTTGTCACTGCAGGAAAGGTAACTAATAGATAGGAATTTACTGAAAATAAAAGAGCAGTATTATGTTGCTTCCAAAAGTGGGAAAACTAGCCTACTCCCCAATGTTATATGAAATTTTACTCTTGGGTCCCAAACGAGCACTCCCTGTACCCAGAGTTTCAAAGAAATTACTTCAGTTCGTCTCTCTATCAGGACTTTATGTCACTTCAAGAAGACACTGGATTTACTTCCTCCCTTGTTCTCAAATGACAGTGTTCAAAAATCAAAACCAAAACAAACAAACAAAAACCTCCACCTTTTACCTCTTGCCAAAAAATACCAGTGCGTATGAATTTATGCAAGTAGATACCAGAAGTGGTCACCAGGCCACTAGTCTTGCAAACTGCCACATTCTGAAACTCATCCAAATACAAGCTAGGGCACCGTGTTCTATCCTCTTTTTATAGATGAGGAAACTGAATCCCCAAGTGATTACCGTGGTAAGTTTCCAAGGCCACTGCTGTAAGACCTTCAAATTCATGTGTTGAAACCCTACCCCCAGTATGTAAGAATATGACTATATGAAGATAGTGCCTTTAAAAAGGTGACTTCATGAAAATGAGACAGTTAAGGTGAGCCCTAATTCAATCTAACAGTTGTCTTTATAAGAAGAAGAAATTTGAACACAAAATGAGAAACCAGAGAAAGACCATGGGAGGACACAGCAAGAAGGTGGCCATCCCCAAGCAAAGGAGAGAAACCTCCAAAGCAACCAAACCTGCTGACACTTTGATCTTGAACTTCTAGCCTCTAGAACTGTGAGAAAATACATTTTGCTGTTTATGTCACTCGATGTGTAGTATTTTGTTATGGTAGCCTCAGCAAACTAATACAGTCAATAAATTTTAAGTAGATAAATTTTAAATTTAGTCTACAGAACACCAAAGCTTAATTATCTCCACAAACAGTAATTGCCTGCCTCTTCTTAACTAATATTGGCTTATTACTTGTGTTTATTTATGTAGAGGTAGGAGCCTACTGATAATAATAGTTAAGCAGCATTTATTGAGCACTTGCTATGTGTTACAGTGTGAAGAGTTTTGCCTGCAAACAGGCTGGATCAGATTATGAGAAATGGGTAAGCTGCTAAGAAAAGGAAGTCAACTGCCTTTCCAAGTCCTACTCACAATTCCAGATTCAGTTCTACTTCCATTCAGAAAAATTCACTGACTCTAACAGGGATACTCCACCTAAGATTTCCTATGGAGTCCTGTGTTTCTTCCTATGGTGATTCTTATTGAATTTTTTAATTGCTTATACCTGTTTCCATACTGGACACTAATTTTTTAGGTATCAAAAACTGTGTTTTCACTTCTTCATTCTCACCACCTTGCAGAGTACCTGGTACTTTATAAGCATTAAATATTTTTTGTTGTTGTTCTTGAATTGCTGCATTGTAGCTCTTTGTTACCATTTGTTACTAAAGAAAATTGGCAATAAAAGATGATTTCACTGACTTGAATTTTTTTTTAATTAAATGCATCCACCTAGAATGAGTAAAATCTTCCTCTTTTATTCAAAGGAGTAGGGCCCATTTCAATCAGTGCCAAATACTTTTGAGCAATATTGAGGAAATATTTTTAAGAACTACAAAATCTTATGAGTCAGACAGAGAAAAGTAATCTATTTTCATTATATTTTTGCCACATGCAAAGACTTTTGTTATAACACTTTAACTTTCATTTAAAAATCTATCATCACCACTGTAAGTTAGGAAGCAAGGAGTGGTAATGACAGAATTTTAATTTTTTTTCATGGGCTAACATAGCTTAATATATAGATAATCATGCTTGGATAAATACTTGATGAAAGAATGATTGAAGATAAATATCAAATATTTCCTTGCGTCTACTTTGGTACCATAATCCTCTCCAGTGATCTCTCTATTTCTTTACTTTTCTTCACAAAAGATCTTTTTAAGTAAGTTGCCACTTTCACTGTCTCCACTCAACCACTGCCAATTTGTTTTTTCCCCACCCCAGGTAGACTTCCAGTCTCACCCCTGCACGGATATCTCTCCCATGAGGTCATCAGTGACTCCATGTTGTCTAATCCAAGGAATATTTTTCTGCCCTCATCTCTCTTAACTTTCCAATGGCTTTTGACACAATTAACTACTCCACCTTTCTTGAAATATCTTTTATCGTAGTCCTATCTCTTCTGGTTGCCAGTAACAGGAACATGACTCAAACCAACTTATGTAAACACAAAAGGAATTTATTGGCTCTTTTATCCAGGAAGTTCAAGGAATGGTGCTAGTTTAAGGCATCATTGGCTCTAGAGGTTCAAACACATATTATCAGAAACTTATTTATTTTTCTCTACCTCTCAGCTTACATTTCTGCTGTTATCTCAGTTTTTAGGCAGGTAAACCTCACATGGTAACAAAGATGGCTATTGACAGTTCTAGACTTTTATCAATCATCCTTGTCTTTCCTGGTCTTAGTAAACTCAAACACACACACACACACACACACACACACACACACACCACATGCCTCTTTCCTGTGAGTATCAGTGGGAGTAGTGAGAAGGCTTTAATTGAGCAAGTCTCATACCATGCCCAACTGAGAGCAGAGACTTGGGGAGGGTCTTGTGTGTTGGGAGAGAATCAGCTCCACTTAAACTGTATGGATTAAGATTTAAGAAAATACACTCATCTTACACAAAAAGAAAACACACATAGGTACTATAGCTTCTGTAACACTCCTCTCTCTTCTATTGTCCTTGTCTGCTCTTTTTCAGCCTCCTTTGCTGTCTTCAACTCTAAGTGTTGGAGTAACTGAGCTTTGTGCTGGGTCATCTTTTGTTTTCTGCTCACTCTCTCTTCCTCACTGTTGTCTAAAACGCTTCTAAATCCACAGTTTACATCTACTTGTGAAGCTGCTGACTTCCCATGTTTATAGCTACAGAAGCAACTTCCCCCGAGTGCCTTCTAACTGCTTATTTGAAATAAGCAGTCAGATTTCCACATGAATATCTATATGCATTTCAAATTTATAATAGTGTTCTTGTTTTCCGCCCAAACCTATTATTTTCCTGAGTCTTTAATATCTCTTTAAATGGTGCCAGCATCCATCAGTTGCTTAATCCAAAAATGCAGAAAACAACCTTGTATTCTATTTTTCTCTCAATTCCCATATCTAATTCACCAGCAAATTACACGATTTATGACACCAAAATATATCTCAAATCCATCTTTTCATCCGTTCACCAACACTGCCATCACCCTGTCTAAGCCACCCTAGTCTATCACTCAGATAACAGCAATAGCCTATTAAATTAAATTGCCTTCTTGCTTTTACTCTTCCCCTTCACTATTCCAGTTTTGTACTGAGCAATTGAAGTGATCTTTCTGTCATCTCTTACTTCATCTTTTTAAAGTTTTATTCACTATATTACAGCCATGCTGGTCTCTTTTCTGTTTCTTCAATAGGCCAAGCCATTTTTTTTTCCTCAAAATCTTTGCATTTGCTCTTTCCACAGCAAAGAATGCTCTTCTCCCAGTCTCTGTACTTTTCAGTTCTTATCTTAAATAGTCTGTCTTTAGAAGGGCCTTTCTTTACCACCTGTCTTGGTCATCTTGGACTGCCATAACAAAATACCATAAACTAGGTGGCTTATCATCAACAGGAATTTATTTCTCACAGTTGTAGGGGCGGGAAAGTTTAATACCAAGATGCCACCAGATTTGGTGTCTGCTCTGGTAAGTACCCACTTCTTGATTCGCAGGCAGCAGTCTTCTTGCTATGTCTGCACATGGAAGAAAGAGTGAAGGAGCTCTCTAAAGTCTCTTTTATCAGGGCACTAATCCTATTTATGAAGGCTCTGCCCTTATGACCAAATCACCTCACTAAGGCCTCACCTCCAAATACCATCACATTGGGGATTGGGTTTCAGCATATTAATTTGAGGGGCGCATAAACATTCAGTCTACAGGACCACTCTATGTAAGTTTATTTTCTCCTTAACTTACTTAATTCATCACCCACTGGAAAGAATGCAAGCTCCCTGAGCATAGAGACTTTTAACTGTTTTGTGTATCACTAAATTGTCAAAACCTACAACAGTGCTTAGGCATTAAAAATCTATTTGAATGAGTGAAGATCCCCATTTATTCGCTTCATGGCATTTGTTAACAATTTGTCAGTTCCTTTCTTATTTGTTTACTCATCCAGTGGTTATCGTTTTTACTAAAATGTAATCCCTAAGAAGACATGGAGATCTCACTCTATCTTCTAGGCTTGATTCAGTGCCTTGTACTTAGTGGACACTTAATACAATCTTGAATGAATAATTGAGTCAATACTTATTAGTGATTGCTCCCTGAACTTAAGCAGAGATCATTCCTAAAAATGTTTTCTTCATGACTCTCTCACTTCAAAAGAAGAAATCAAATCATACCACGCATGGGATGCCTATATCTTGGTCAACATTTGCCAATTTGAAATAGTTAATTAAATTGTTAATCATCATGACTAAATTTGAATATGGCTAGATGCAAATTCTGTAAAAGAGTATACAAAGGCCTTTACAACCAGAGTCCTGCCTTCTTAGTCTCTAGACTATAGACACCCTCCTTCAGTATTCAGCATCTTTTTTTGCATTTTGTTTCCCTTCATATAGTATCATTTCCTTCATTTCTCTATCTAGATAATTTCTATTTACCTTATGCATAAATGTTCATTCTACAGAAGACTTCGTCAAATTTTTGCTCTTCTCTCTTCTTTGTTTTCACAACCTTTTACATATTTTTATAACATTTATTACATTGTATTTATATATACATACGTATGTGCAAGTGTGTGTGTGTGTGTGCATCTCTTATCTTTTAACTTATGTATCTTTCTCCCTTCTTAGACTCTGAGATTCTGAAATTCTGGCCTTTGACTTACTCATTTTTTTTTTTACTTCATATAATTACTGTGTAATTATATGTGGCATATAGTTGGTCCCAACAAATGTAGTTGAATGTGGAATTAATGTTGCTGTCAAATTTTATGCAAGATGAATCAGTGATATTTCTTGTAGTAAAATTTGTTGTTGAAGAGGCAAAAATACCATCAACTTATATTTTTCATTTCTGTTTTTTTCAAACACTTCTGCATAACATTATTATATATCTCATGACATATATAAAAATAAATTATCCCCATATCAGACTGAAGCAAAGTCAGGTTAAATTATCAGTCTACGGTCAACAACTAATAATTGGCATTAAAGATAAAAAACTTGGGTCTCCTAACTCCTAGCCATATATTCTTCCAACTGTACCAGGTATTTGTTTTCAACTTGGATTCATGACAGAATCATTAACACTTACACTGATATGATAGTAATTCTAAAGAAGAAACCAGTTACCAAACAGGAAAAATAATGTTCAAGTTCAATAATAATCGAAGAAAAAATTCATATAGTTTTTGCTTACAATAGTAGCATTAAAATTGTACTGCTGTGAAGAAAGTGTGATAGAATAGGTATTCTCTTTTTTTATTCATGGGAATAAGAATTGATTGAAAATATCCTTTGGAAAGTAATTTGGCTGTATTTATGAAGAAATATAAACCATTTAATACCTCATAAGCTCTCTTCTTGGAATACATTTCATGGTAATAATATGAGAACTAACTTTATGTACAATAATATTTATAATAAATAATAAATACTACAGCATTGTTCAAAATAATGTTAAAAATTTTAAAAACTAAATTTCCAACAATGCGGCATAATTAAGTGATTTGAAATATGAGTAACAACATATAAAAAATTATTTTTGGTAAGAAGGAAATCCTTATTTTATTTTTAATGAGCTATAAAATAATATGTTTCAATAATCTCATACTTAATAAAATATTCATAGAATGAATCAAAAACATATAAAAATGTCAATGGCATTTTTCTTTTGTGGGTAGAATAGAGAATTTTTGAAGTATTTATTTATATTGTACAGAAAATTAAGTAAAAATTATATACTATTTAATCTTTTTCAATACAAAACAAGCTATAAAACACCACAGCAGCATAGGTTCCAACCGAAGCTTTAAAGATTAAAGAAATAATAATTTTCCTTTTGTCTAAGAAATTTGATTGCTCATTGACACTGTGGTCGTTTCCGTGGGAAAAAGATGGGTTAAATTATGAAGCTAGAAGGGAAAGTCAGGGGTATTACTGGGACATAAGGAGGCCTGAAGGCCATGGAAAAATAGTTAAAGATTTCTGAGCTGCAGTGTAAGGCATGCAATCATCTCCCCAATGACCTTAGATGACATTCAGAACAAAATTTTCCAACCAAGTTATTAACATATACTATTCTTTGCCTCTTTTCTTACACGTTACACCTTCTCCTATCTTTACTGGTGTTCATATTAAACCATCTAAATTTTCTATATAGTTCATTTTTGTAATTTCCCTTTACCCCAAATGATTGGTACTTATCACATAGTAAACTCTTGATAGTTTACTGAATCGAGTTTACCTAATTCAATTCAATTATTAAGTAAATTTGATTCAATACTTGTCTAGTACTTATCTATGACTTCAATAAGGTTTCAGAGGAGGAGATGATGAAAGCAGGTTTTTAGGAAGGCAGATGTGGTGATGTTGCATAACATAATTCAAGTTCAGAAAAGCTGGATTTAAGTCATGGCTATAGTCACTTAGGTATGAAGGGCAGCATGGAGACTGACCAGTCAAAAGTGAGGCTCTCTGAGGGCTGAAGCATGAGTTCTGGGGGGCAGGGGTCTGCAGGAGGGCCAAATATAACCCCTTAAGCTGCTGGATCATGTGAGGTTGTTGCGGAGGTCTCAGGAGAAACAACAGGGTAGTGGGTACTTAAGGGCTCAGGGCAGGGGCTGATGAAGGTGCTTGAACATTTCAAAGTCAGTGCAGCCATGTGAATGTATACCATCTGATATCTGCAATGAACAGAAAGAATGGTTGTAAAGAGCACTTGAAGAAAATGAATTAGGAGACGGTAGCAATGGGTTAGAGAATGATAATGTAAAAAACAAAAGTATTGAAGCTTCTTGCATGTGTTGGAGCAAATATTGTTCCTCTTAACAAGAAGATAAAAAGAGCCAGTTTTAATGGTTAAAAAAAAAATACAAATGGTTTCAGATAAGCTTAAGTTTGAGATGATAGTAGGATATCTAAGTGGAACTAGTTAAAGGAAAATTGGAGATATATTACTTAAGGGAGGGACTAGTCGACATACTAAATAGAGAGTAACTTCCAGCCAAAGGTAGTAAGCCACAGAGAGAAATCCACTAGAATCTGAAAAAAAAAGAAGAGGAGAGATCTTCATAGAAAGTGTCACATAATGCTTCAATGAGGACCATTGGATGAGTTGTATTCTTTCTATTTTTCTGAAGTTTCCATATTTTCTACAAATGAATGATAGTTATGACCGAAATTATAGTTTCCACCCTATCATTCCTTTTATATATGGGGAAAATATTTACTTTTGAAATTTGATTTTATTTTCACTAAATAAATTATCCAGAGCAGTATACCTCAAGGTGTAAGCTAAACCACAGGGCTAGCAAATTAAAATTATTTTGTTGTTTCAATCTTTATGAATTAGGATCTCAGTGGTCACTGCCCAGGAATCTGCATTCTCTACAACCTTGCTAGGGGATTCATACGCACACTAGTTTGTGAACCAATGACCCAGAGCACAGCAGCAGGGCCCTAAGAACATGTCCTTATCTCTTTTTGCATTGATACTAATCAGTGTGCATTGCTTTCATCTGCAGCTTAGGGCGTTTCTCTGCTTCACTGAGCACAGAGATTTCCTGAGCTCCTAAATTCTTTGAAATATTTCTACTGTGGTCTTGCTTGAAAGAGATTACTCAGTAAACCATTTTGGTTAATGTGTTCCAGGTAGACTTAGATAAATCAACGGGACCATTAAAATCTTTCACCTTCTTTAAGGACAGAGTTTTGAGTTTTCTTCTTGACATCTTTTTTTCTTAAGCCTTCACTTGGTACAAACTGACTTCTTTATTTTTTTATTTTCTCTATCAATAATGGTCATAGGAGGTGCAAAAGCAAGCCTAGTGTACAGAACCATGTATCATTGCAAACAGTAAGATGACCTTGCCGTAGGATGATGTCTGCCTGCTTTTAAAGAAAAAATGAACAATCAGTGTTCAATGACTTTATAGACACACACACATTGCACATAGCCTTTGTTTCCACGGGAGCAAAATTAACAAGATAAGAACTTTTTTTAAGAGTTATGGTAGATCATTAAAACGTATGTAATTCCTGCTTGGAAAAAAAGATTTAAATTCAGATTTTTTAAGCAGGTCATTAAAATGTGTAAAATCATCCTCACTGAGAGAAGAAGGCTTTAGGGACATGGTTATCACACTGATTTTTTTAAACTAGGTTTCCCTTTTTTCTCCACTCAAATGGAGATATTCTTTTGAAGATTAAAACACTTTTTTGAAATAGTATAGTTTAAAACTAAAGGGCAGTATTAAAATCACATATCAAGCTATGCTAACAAATAATGTGAACGGTTATTTTCTCACATGGATGCCCTCTAGCAAGATCAGAGACAAGGTTATATATTTCCAAATGAAACCAGTTAGCTTCAGTATCCAGCAGTGTGGTACTAATGAGGCTGAGGTCAGGGTTCAGTTTCAAAACAAGTTGGTTAGTGTGATAAGAGCGATGGCCTCACCAACCTGGCTGTGCAAAGCATGAGAGTCACCTGGAGATTTCTATTTTGTTTTGTTTTTTTTTATTTTTTGTTTGTGTTCTGAATTTTGGGGCCTTAGTCCAGACATACCAAATCAAAATTTCTGAGAGTGAGGGAAGAAAACTATATTTTTAGAGAAATCCCCAGGTAATTCTCATGCCAGTCAGGATTTTGGAATCAATAATCTCAGAGCCAGCCCAAGCAAGAGGCAACGCAGCATGACTGCTTGCTGGCCTTTACAATTCAAAACTGCAAATTCTAAAACTGCATCAATTGAGAACTCTCAAATTCTCCAGGGAGTTTGTCCTTTGCCTCCATGGATTCGGTTCCTTTGCAGAGGCCATGAATTCAGGGAAATTTTAAGCTTTAATGATAAGGCTTTCTTAAAAATAGCCCTTCTACATGCCTCCTTTCATGAGCACTTCACCGAGATTTTAAATGCTGACAGAACTCACCTTTCCTCACAAACACAGACACATAGGAGAAACCCTAGCTTGCCCTTGGAAATGAACATTGATTGCAAATTCAAGCTTCTGAAACATTCCACTCTGAGTGTAGTGATCATTCCCTCTGAACATATCCAGATAGGATTCTGGAGGATGAGAGAGAAAGGGTATCTTCTCTGAAGAACTCAGATGGTTTTTTATGGCTAGATTATTTCAAAATACAAAAATCCAATCTCTAGTCAAGGCCAGAAGAAACCAGGATGGTCCTGTGGGCAATCATGTGAGGCCAAACTGAATGATAAATCTATGTCTCTGTTGAGGATTCGAGTTAGAATAGAGGGGAAGGGCTCTTATGCAGTGTGTACAGGATATGAAAACAGCAGGTGGGCAAAATGAAAAATTGGTCAATGGAGTAGAAAACAAAATACCAGCAAATGACATGATTTTTTATAGTCTAACTAGCTGTGCAGGCATAGAATATATACAATCTGTATGTATTTGCTATATTTTCAAGTCAAATAGATAAAAGAAAATAGTTCTCAGAGTTATTCACAAATGCACTGAAATGGAAAAACCCAACTTATCTTAAAAAGCACAAAATAATATTTTTTTCAGTTTTAAGGCAACGTTTTTAAATGTGGGTTTAGAAAAGCTCAAATTTGAAAGTTTTAAAAGTTTTTCCCCACCTTTGAAGTTTGACATTAATCTCCTTTCTGTCACCAGCAGAACCTTCAGACTCAACTCAATTTCCTCAGCAAACGCTTTATTAAATGCAAATGTCGTATCCATTTCCATTGTCATGTAGCGTGCTAAGCCCAAAGCCAATGAGGTCTGCCTTTGCAAATTTTGACAACAGTAATTGACATTTATCCACCATCCCATCTGCTACATATTTGGATTAAAAAAAAAAAGATAGGCTTTCTTTCAATATGCTCAAAAGACAGAACGGGCCTGGGAGAAAAAGCTGACACAAATATATCACACATTTTGAAAGTTGCCAGGTACCTTTGCTTCTCGTGGGTCAATACTTTTAAAACAACATCCTTCTCTAGAGAATCTTAACATTAAAGGAGTTCCCACTCTGTTATTAGAGCAAAATAATGGTATAAAACAGTCTCTTTCTTGAATTTAGTAGGGTGCTTGACCTGTCAGGCTGCAAAGAGAGAAGCTTGGTTACTGCCATTTTGTGATGGTCAGCCAAATGGTTTTACAAAGAAGAGGAAACTGTGGGTAGATGAAAGTTCTGCCTATAAAGTAGGTGTTACTACAGTGCATTGTGGTTATATTAAGTATGCCCAAAGGATAAGGAATTCAGGTGTGAAGTTGTGTGGCAGAAGTTGAAAATTAATTAAGCTCTGTGTTTAGGGTTTTTTTCCTTTAGTGTGCCGTAGTAACATGCCCTTGGCTCCAGGGAACTTTATGACTAAGTTGGAACAAAGCACTCATGACTCATGTTAAATGTAGCAGAGGAGAGATCATTAAATGTTTCTTGGCAATTAATTACCTGGGATATGCCTCTTTTTTCATAGCTTTGGTTTCAGGTGTGTGAGAGAGTTGAAAACGTTTAATTGCACCTAATTTGTTGCTGTAGTTTTATCATATGCCTAAGCATTGTGATAATGCCTGTAACCCGTGTGAAGAATTCGTAAGGGGCTTCATTTGTGACACCCCCAGAGGAGGGAATTTTTTTTTATGTTTGTGCAATAATCATACCTGACCTTTGATCCACTTTCTAATATAAAGAAAATTATGAAAACCTGCCAAATATGTACTAGATCCAGAACATCCTGGAAAGAAAATCCTTCCTACTTCTCCGGCAGTCTTTCCTTAATTAGATGTAGCCATTTTCCTCACTCCTACCCACCTATTGGTCCAGAACCTGAAAGAAATTTCTTCCCAGCTAGAAGCTGAAAGACAGATTGAGGGTAATCATTCCTTTGCATCTGGCCGATTTCAGTGTATTCTGCTGGTCACTATGTTATTTTCAATCACCTGAGATCTGATTACTTCTCCCCATCTTGCTAGCTTCCTGTTTTCTAGAACTCTAGTTTGATCACTAAATCTAAGCATTTTTACTTTCTGGCTTGAAGATAGTCTTCTTGTTTTCATGTGCTCTCTATTTTTTTCCATAGCACTTAGAACTAAAATCACATTATTTACTTGTTTAGTGTCAATTATTTTTTGCCTGTTTTCTCTCACTAGAGACTCCACAAGAGAAGGAAGGGAATTTGTCAGTCTTATTGACTGTTAAATCTCCAACATCTATTTCTGGGTCTACCACTGAGTATTTATGCACTCAGTTGGAAAGGGGTGGATGAATGAATGGATAGATGGATAGATGAGAACCTGACATCTTCTAATCTTCTAGGCGCTATTCTGGATTTGTTCATTTGCCTCCATTGGAGTTCATATCAACTCCAGTAGAGTATTTCTTATGTAACCCAAAATACATATTTTAGGCACTTGCCAAAGGCTTTCAGTACATAGTGGAGGCAAAAAGAAGTTAAAATAATTTAGAATCTGCTAAGAAAGCTCAAGGTGAATGTAACATGAGAATGAAGTCTGAGTGGTATTTAACCAGATGGGTGATTGTCAATGAAACATTGCCAACAGATAAGCAGGATTGAGGATCATAAATTTTGGCAGAGCTGTTCCTGGTGACATTGCCCAAGAGACAATGGGTATAATGGATAGAAAATGAGAATCATTGTTTTCCAGATCAAACGGAATCGATGTCTTCCACTCAGCCATACATCCAAATGCATGAATGAAGGACCAAGCATAAATAAGAGCAAAGTAGCTCTTTAAGCTACTTTGAGCTACTTTAAGCTACTTTAATCTACTTTAAGCTCTTTAAGCTACTTTCATAGTAAGCACTTTAAGCCAAAGCCTTAACTGGATATAAGCAAATATAGAGAGATGACAAAGGGGCCTTGCAGTTAGAATAAGATTTCACTTACTCTTCATAAGAAAATTTTCAAGGAGATAATGTCCAAATTTATAGGAAACTAAAGTTCTGACAGGCTTACTAACGTACTCCAGGTCACACAAGGATAAATGTGTGATTCATACCCCAATACATGCTGTTTTTACTCGCCCAGGAAGAGTAAATGGTGTCGTTTCCCCTTCAATTCTGGTTGGTTCATAGAAAAAAGCCTCAAGACCACTGTTGAATCTCACTCTGACTACAGCAGGATCCATGGGAATGGGTGGAGGGCAGGGTGTGTCTGCTAGGAGATGGCAACAAGGAGTGGCAGTACCCACTCCATTTACCATCTCTGAACACGTTATCTCATTGAAAGAGCTCCCAGACAATGTTTCTAAGGTGTTTGGGAATTTGGGGACGAAAGAAGCTATATGAAGAATTACTAATAAGTTTAGTATAGATAGTAAATCTGATGAGGTATTTCTATCTAAATAGACAAGTTTACGTTTTACGAGACTTTATGAGGAAACGCTGTGTGGGAAATAAAATGAAGTATTTTGCCAAATTTTCTTAATTTTTGTTAATTGTAAAGGAGAATGTACTCAGAACAAGTAAGAAAGCACAAATATTTTTAAATCGTTTAAATAATCTCCTTCTCCACCTTCTTCACCATTTTCACTTAAATAAAATGGTGCATTTGATTCCATATCTTTCTCTATATTCTTCCATGTGTTCTATGTTCCCTATGGGATCCATTATGTTCTATGTTCCATATGGAATCCAATTCCATATGGAATCACATGCATACATATATATATATATATATATATATATATATATATATATATATATATACACACATTTGTTTTCTAATTACATGATTATAATTCTCTACCTATCTGTCATTTACCTATCTCCCTCAGCATCTTGTATTTCTCACATAACATTATATAACATCCAACAGTATAAATATATCATAATTTATTCTACCATTTCTCTAACAATGGGCATTCGAGTTGTTTCCAGTGCTTTGCCACTTCATATAGAGCTGTAACAAACATACTAGTATACATGTGGCATAGCTTTATGCACCAGGGCATTCATTATTATAGGCTAGATTATCAGAAGTAGGACTGCTGTGTCAAAATTGTGTTTATTTTTACTTTAATACACATTACCATATTACTCTCTAAAAGGGTATAGCAATTTATGTTCCCATCAGCAATATATGAAAATGATGTTGCACCAGCACTTAAATGTTACAATTTTTTGTTTAACTTTTGCAATTTAAAAAGCTAAAAGTGATATCTGACTGTTGTTTTGCTTTGCCTTTTCCTGACTATGAATATAATTGGGCAGCTTTTTATGTTTTTAGATCAGCTGGGTTTCTTCCATGAATTGATGATTGCCAGTGTTTTTATTATATATATCTATTTTTTTGATAAATCATTTTTTATCAGTTTGTAGGTGCTCTTTATATATTCAAGAAGAGTAATTCTTTACGTCATGTGCACTGTGAAAACATTTCCCAGTGAATCATTTGATTCTTTACTTTGTTTATAATATCTTTTGCTATAAAATTATATTTTACTTTTATGCAGTTAAATATGTCTCTTTTTTTGGCTCTGGGCTTCAAGTCTTGAGCAGTAAGATCTCTTCTTCCCTAAAACTATTCTTCCACAAATGTTTTCCTAAAATTTCTATTAGTATATACAACGTTTTATTTCTTACATTTAAATTCCAATTCAGTGCTAATTTTTTTAGCTTGCTTTCCTTTTAGATGAGGTAACCAAAAAATCGCTATTGATTAAGCAATCTAAAAGGAGAATAAACATATTCAAATCATTAGAAAACAATGCAGAAGGAGGTGGAGGGCAAAGGGGTACTTACACAAGGAAGACATATTGAACCCAACCAGCTTATGCAAGTGTGTCCTAGGTGAGCCTTAAAAGACGTTGCAGGCATATGCAAATCATATCAATATTGTCTGTCTCCCTCTTTTTCTTGACTCAATCCATAACTGATATTTCTGATGCTACTCTCTTGCTCACTCCTTACTACCAATAGTCCTACATCTAGTGGAGTAATCTGTCTCAATGCCTAATGTGTGGCATTGGTCACACCTTATGGGCAGGTCACACACATAAGTGAATTTGGCTAGCAAGAGCATGTTCTGTCTAAATTAATCAACTTCCCATAAGCTCCTGTTGATAATTACTGCACAGTAATGCATGTTCTGTGTTGCCAGATTATTTGTCTATTTATTTATGTTTTTACTTTTACAGTCTCCCATGTGTCAGAAAAGATTTTTTAAAGATAATTTTAAAATATTGATATTTATGAAAATGTCTAAGTTTTAAACATTAACAATTTTAGTTAAACACACACACACACACACACACACACTCAGCATATTAGCCAAACAAAAAACATCTCTGGACTTTAATTCTTTTCATGAGCTGTCACTTTGCAACTCAGGGCTACTCCAAGCCCTGCTGGCTTTACTATGATCAACACGTTCTGCCAGATTTGACATCTCTTTCTCAAAAGCTATTGTCCACTCTAATGAATTAAATCTCAAAGTCCTAGCCTAACTTTTAATATTGTCACTACCTTAGGTTTTAATCTACCTTTCCAGCCTTATCTGCCACATGGCCACACCACAGACCCTGTAAAATTTAGTGCCTTTAGGTATCTAACAGAATTTCTTTATTATTATTATTATTATTATTATTATTATTATTATTATTATACTTTAAGTTTTAGGGTACATGTGCACATTGTGCAGGTTAGTTACATATATATACATGTGCCATGCTGGTGCGCTGCACCCACTAACTCGTCATCTAGCATTAGGTATATCTCCCAATGCTATCCCTCCCCCCTTCCCCCACCCCACAACAGTCCCCAGAGTGTGATGTTCCCCTTCCTGTGTCCATGTGTTCTCATTGTTCAATTCCCACCTATGAGTGAGAATATGCGGTGTTTGGTTTTTTGTTCTTGCGATAGTTTACTGAGAATGATGATTTCCAATTTCATCCATGTCCCTACAAAGGACATGAACTCATCATTTTTTATGGCTGCATAGTATTCCATGGTGTATATGTGCCACATTTTCTTAATCCAGTCTATCATTGTTGGACATTTGGGTTGGTTCCAAGTCTGCTATTGTGAATAATGCCGCAATAAACCACCGATCCCACAGAAATACAAACTACCATCGGAGAATACTACAAACACCTCTATGCAAATAAACTAGAAAATCTAGAAGAAATGGATAAATTCCTCGACACATACACTCTCCCAAGACTAAACCAGGAAGAAGTTGAATCTCTGAATAGACCAATAACAGGAGCTGAAATTGTGGCAATAATCAATAGCTTACCAACCAAAAAGAGTCCAGGACCAGACGGATTCACAGCCGAATTCTACCAGAGGTACAAGGAGGAACTGGTACCATTCCTTCTGAAACTATTCCAATCAATAGAAAAAGAGGGAATCCTCCCTAACCCATTTTATGAGGCCAGCATCATTCTGATACCAAAGCCGGGCAGAGACACAACCAAAAAAGAGAATTTTAGACCAATATCCTTGATGAACATTGATGCAAAAATCCTCAATAAAATACTGGCAAACCAAATCCAGCAGCATATCAAAAAGCTTATCCACCATGATCAAGTGGGCTCCATCCCTGGGATGCAAGGCTGGTTCAATATATGCAAATCAATAAATGTAATCCAGCATATAAACAGAACCAAAGACAAAAACCACATGATTACCTCAACAGATGCAGAAAAGGCCTTTGACAAAATTCAACAACACTTCATGCTAAAAACTCTCAATAAATTAGGTATTGATGGGACGTATCTCAAAATAATAAGAGCTATCTATGACAAACCCACAGCCAATATCATAATGAATGGGCAAAAACCGGAAGCATTCCCTTTGAAAAGTGGCACAAGACAGGGATGCCCTCTCTCACCACTCCTATTCAACATAGTGTTGGAAGTTCTGGCCAGGGCAATTAGGCAGGAGAAGGAAATAAAGGGTATTCAATTAGGAAAAGAGGAAGTCAAATTGTCCCTGTTTGCAGACGACATGATTGTATATCTGGAAAACCCCATTGTCTCAGCCCAAAATCTCCTTAAGCTGATAAGCAACTTCAGCAAAGTCTCAGGATACAAAATCAATGTACCAAAATCACAAGCATTCTTATACACCAACAACAGACAAACAGAGAGCCAAATCATGAGTGAACTCCCATTCACAATTGCTTCAAAGAGAATAAAATACCTAGGAATCCAACTTACAAGGGATGTGAAGGACCTCTTCAAGGAGAACTACAAACCACTGCTCAAGGAAATAAAAGACGATACAAACAAATGGAAGAACATTCCATGCTCATGGGTAGGAAGAATCAATATCATGAAAATGGCCATACTGCCCAAGGTAATTTACAGATTCAATGCCATCCCCATCAAGCTACCAATGACTTTCTTCACAGAATTGGAAAAAACTACTTTAAATTTCATATGGAACCAAAAAAGAGCCCGCATCGCCAAGTCAATCCTAAGCCAAAAGAACAAAGCTGGAGGCATCACACTCCCTGACTTCAAACTATACTACAAGGCTACAGTAACCAAAACAGCATGGTACTGGTACCAAAACAAAGATATAGATCAATGGAACAGAACAGAGCCCTCAGAAATAACGCCACATATCTACAACCATCTGATCTTTGACAAACCTGAGAAAAACAAGCAATGGGGAAAGGATTCCCTATTTAATAAATGGTGCTGGGAAAACTGGCTAGCCATATGTAGAAAGCTGAAACTGGATCCCTTCCTTACACCTTATACAGAATTTCTTACACATGACATGCCCAATAAACATTTGTACAATGACCAGATGAATGGTTCTTAAATAACATGTTGGCTGGTTTGAGTATGGCAGTCAGAGAGATGGACTTTAAATTGGGCAACGCCTGCAATAAAGATGAAAGAGTTTGAACATTATTCTACAGGCAGGATGTGTAGTAAAACACATGCCAGACTAAAAATTGGGAAGCCCGGATAAGAATGATACAATGGACTTTGGGGACTCAGGGAAAAGGCTGGGAGGGGGTGAGAGATAAAAGACTACACTTTGGGTGCAGTGTTTACTGCTTGGGTGATGGGTGCACCAGAATCTCAGAAATCACCACTAAAGAACTTATTTCTGTAACCAAATACCACCTGTTCCCCAAAAACCAATTGACATGAAATTTTTTTTTAGGAAGACTGGGTTTGAATCTAGTGCTCTCATTTTAAAATTGTGTTATCTGGATGAGGGACTTACTATTAATCAATTTAGATTTCTTCATTTGTAAAATGAGGGAGTTGAAGGTTTTTCGTTTTTGTTGTAATTAGGTGAAGAGAAATTTGAGGGACAGAAGTCTTTCCAAAGTAGTATCTTAGAAAGATAAAATTGAGGTGAAAGGGGATGAGAAGCATAAAGAATCTTAAGATAGCAAAATCATTTGTGAGATTATTGCCCTGGTAAAACTATGAAGTGATGGAGCTGGAAACAACAGAGGCAACATTAAGAATAAAAAGAAAGTGGATGTAAGCAGCTCTATGAATAAAGAATTTACAGAATTTGGTATCCAACTTTAGAAAGAAGGAAAGGAAGGACTCAGGGAGCACTATGGTTTTGAGACTAGGACGTAGAATATACCTTGAAGACAAAGACTAGTAGTAGATATTTAATAAATATCATGTTGGGATATTTGTTAGTAATCATGCACAGTTAAATAGCAGAAACACTAAATACAAAGTGAGAAGAAAATGTTTCTTCCATCTCTGTAATCCGTCTCTGAAGAGCATCTTCAAGCAAAATGACTTTGAATAGTAAAATGCTTCCTCCTGGCTTCCATTTCTTCCTGAGTTAGAAGACTTCTATTCAATAAATAGTCTCCAGATCTTGGACTGAGTCACAGCACCCTTGTAAATACATCACACCTGTAAACATGTCACCTGTGTAACCATGTTCATCAAATACATTTTGGGTTTTTTTCAGATAAGAAATGCATCAAGACAACAGGCTATAAAATGCAGCATTGATCATTTTCCTTATAAGCTTTTATCTTTACCATTGCTACCTACCTCCAGCTGCTTTCCAATCAGTTGGATTTGGGTAGCAAAAATATTGGATTGAAACAGGAAAGCAAATAATAAGAGAAGACTGGTAATTTAATGTTATTTTATGGCCTATAAAATCTTTGCAAAAGACTCTCTAGAACCGCATTATTCAATAAAATAATCACTAGCCATATAACTATTGAGCAGTTGAAATGTGGCTAATCCCAATTGAGATGTGCTATGAAGTGTAAAATACACAGAGTTTCAAAGTCTCAGTATGGAGAAGAAAAGAATGTAAAATATGCCTTGAATGAGGATGTTTTGTCTATTTCATGTCAAAATATAATATTTTAGATGTATTGGGTTCAATAAAATGTGTTATTAAAATTAATTTTACCAGTTTGCTTTTCTATATTTTATCTTGTTACTTTTCTTAATATGGTTCTGAGAAAATGTAAAATCAAATACGTGGCTTATGTCTCTGGCTCATATTTTATGTCTATTGGATGGTGCTACTCTATAAGGTTTATTCAGAGTTGAGGGCACTGGAGATGCCATTTGCCAAATTTTTTAAAATTCTGACAGCCAAATGATCCCTGCCTTCTACATTCTTATTTAATTAACTCCCACACCCTAGTGTCTGAGACCACAAAGGGAAATTAGCTACTGATATCATGCAGAAAGAAAGAATCACCTCCATTCAGGGGAAAGATGAGTATCTCTGTTTTGATCACGTGGTGGGTGGTAGCACATTCAGGAAGAATGTCTAAAAGGGAATTAGCAATATGAGACCGAAGCTCAGGAGTGAAGGTAGGACCTGAGATGCCTAACTAGGTAAACTGACACCAAAAGACAAAGGACTCATCTAGGCCAATGTTTGAATGTCTGCATCTCCCAATACTAGCTCTATGGTCATAAATAAATGTGTCTTCCATTGCTGAGACTCATTTTCATGGTGATAAAGTAGGAATAATCATTTCTCTCCCTCAGTAAATATGACTGAGCCCCTATCAGGTGCCAGACACAGCTTAGGGGCTAGAAATGCAATGAGGAACAATGATGCCTTCCAGAAGCTTTGATCTAGGGAGGAAGGCCATAGGAAGATGTGCAGTCATAAACTAGTATCAAAGTTGCCATGGTCTGTGAATACTGAAGAGCAGCAAATCCAGTCTTGGGAGTCAAACTTATCCCTCTACATCCTGATAAGTTATTCAGATTTCTATATTCAGCACAACTACCCCTCTTCGGGAGAGCCTTCATGCCATTGCTCCACACCTGAGGCTCTGAGAGGTGTTCACCTTTTGCCCCCGTGCCCTGTGCACACACCTCTACTAGCATCTATGAGCTGTAGAGTCAATATCCTCTCTCTCTCTCTCTGTCTCTCTCAAGTAGTTCCCTCAACATTGTGAATCCTTAAAGGAAGGAGCTGTGTTTTCTATCTCTAGATTCTCAACACATTTTAAGTACCAAATAAACGTTATCTCTCTCCTCTTTTCCTCCATCTTCAATTAGCAAAGGTAAGAGTTAAAGCCCTGAGAATAGATAAGGGCTGAAAGATGATAAAGAACTCAGAATAGAGAGGGTTCAGGACTGTTCTTTGGGAAATGTCTTCATTTCAGGAGAAGAGAGTTCTGTGTCATGGAACTTAAGAGAATTTCCCAAAAAGACATTTTGGGATTCCAAGGCAGGCAGACCACTTGAGGTCAAGAGTTTGAGACCAGCCTGGGCAACACGGCAAAACCCCATCTCTATAAAAAATACAAAAATTAGCCAGATATGGTGGTGTGCACCTATAGTCTCATCTACTCAGGAGGCCTAGGTGGGAGGATCGATTGAACCTGGGAGATGAAGGCTGCAGTCAGCTGTGGTTGTACCGCTACGCTCCAGCCTGGGTGACAGAGCGAGACACTGTTTCAAAAAAATATCCCCCCAAAATAGAGTGGCAAACAGCCCTACTACATGCCGCAGAGAGAGCAATAAGAAGGAGACTGCAAAAAGACCTTGGATATGGCAGTTGCATTACATTATTTGAATTCAAATCAAAGTACCATAGAATAATGTTCCCAATTATTTCCTCAGCCTTAGCAATGGTAAGTCTTTGTTTTCCTATCTGTGAGTATTATGAAGATCTGAGGAAACAATGAGATTCTTTTGCCAAATGACAACAAAATTCATTTTGAGGGCAGATAGACAGCTATATACAAGTAAATATACGATGAACTGTAAACTCGAGGCAACAAGGGAAGTTGGTATGAGTCACAGCATGACTGAGCATTGTTCAGAAAACAGCTCCCACCTCTTTGTTTAAGTTATTTCTAGCAGGTGGCTGAAGCACAGATTCAAGGGTGTGAGAACCTGGAATAATCATACATCTTCTTTTCTTCATAAACTCCGTTCTGACCCAAGAATCTTCACTCATGAAACAAAGTGCTGAGGTAGAAGAAAGAGGCCTGAACTCACAGAGGTATGATATTGAGTTCTGGTTTGGCTACTATCTAACAAAAAGCAAGTCACTTCTGAGGGCCTGTATCTCCTTATGTATAAAACATATGCTTTTCTAAGAGATTGTAAGGTCCTTAGACAAACCACCAAGTTTCATTTCTTTTCATCACCATTCTCTAGCATAGTAGTTTTATGTAAAGTGGAAACTGAATAAGAAGAATTTGAAAATAGTTTAGAATCTTGGTTTTAATATCTAATATTTGAAGTTCTGACATTTACTTTGAAATGCTTTTTGACCTCAGATAATAGCCAGATATATTTATTGAATGCTATAGTATCAGCAAACTATGGCCCAGAAACCAAATCCAGCACTCTTTCTGTTTTTATAAAGTTTTACCAGAAAAAGTCATGCACAATTCATTTACATATTGAGAGCTAGCTGTTTTCAAACTACAACAGCAGTGTTGAGTACTTGCAACAGAGTCATTCCAGCCTGCAAAATCTACTTACTATCTGGTTTATAGAGGAAGTTTGCCAACTCCTGATATAGGCTACTGAAGTCTGAATGCCAAGAAAGCATGTGGGATAAGGTCCAGGTCGGACCTTAAAGTTAGTGCTAAACCATGGGCATTCTTCCACTGGGATAATACAAAATCTGCCTTGCAACAGAATGAGTTTAGTGGTCGGTAAGCATACTTCTCTTTAACGTCCTCCTTTGTCTCTTGGATCTGCATGCTCAAGAAAGCTGTCAAAATGGAGCACTTAAAAGTAAAAATCAATCTTCACTCTTAAGCACTGGTAACTCAATATTGTCCAAAAGTAGGCCAAACCACACACATGGCCAAAGCTATTTTTGCCTGGCTAATTTTTCTTCATGCTCAAGGTCAAGCTATGGCCTCAGCAACTCTAGGAAGCACTTCTAGAAACACACCTGGTATATTTTAATGCCTGACTCTACTTAAGACTATGGAATCCTCAATGGATCATCTTTCTACTCCTGGCACATCTTTCTACTTCTACATGATACCACAGTGCTTATCATGGCATTTGATAGATACTCAATACTTTTGAACCAAATTGAACTAACAGGTAGTGTTCTTTCTGGACAAAGACATCTACCTTGGTCTGAGTTGTTGAAATGATACCAAATGAATTGAAGTCTTTCTGTCCAAAAACAGGAAATAAATACTAACTTCCCCAGATTTTTGTTTTTTTTTTTCACGCTAGTCCTCACCATTTTCCAATTTGATAGTAAAATGAGAGCAATATCATACAAATGTCAAATATTTGTTGAGCACCTACTCTGAACAAAGCAAATAGAAGTAGACATAATTCCCTTTTAGTCTCATGATACAATTATTTTTCCTCAAATATTCCCTAGAGGTCAATTACCATCTTTTATGCTGAGAGGATAGAAGCCTACCATTATTAACGACCTGGCCTGACAAATGTATAGGCTGAATAGTAGTAAGAGGAAGAAGACTGTCGGGGTTCACACCATGCAGTCTTCATCCAAGGAATCAGGATAAAACAGCAGTTGCCTTAATTTGGCTGGGCAAAGTATATACCAATTAATGATGAGATAACTGGTTCAGATAAAAGCTTGTAATTAATGAATCATTAAGGCACACACTTTAGGAACATAGAAGAATCAGGAGCCACACAGCTTGCCCAGAAGCAATCTTCCAGTTTTGTTGCTGTGCTTAAATGCATTGCTAATTTCTGAGAGCCTGCCATTTGTAATAGCACTGAAATGAATCACAGTGAATTTATGAATGTGAATCTGCATTGTTCATTACACAAGCTCTCTCCCGGGGAATGGAACCACCCTGAGAGCAACTTCTAATAAGCAGAAATTAAGTGTTACTGTCCCTTGCCGCTAGGAGGAAAAAAATATGTGTATGTGTGTCAGGGGAGGGGCGGCATAGTAGATAATTTGGTTATACATAAATAGTGTGAAGGGAGAGAGATGGGTATCTATTTTAAGCCTTTGTGGCCTGAAAAACCACATGCCCTGTGCTCAAAGCCAGGAGCCCTCTTACACAATAAATAATTCAGAAACCCCACAAGTGCCTGACTGGGAAGCCTGCTTCCTGAAAGCTGCCTCCTTGGCTAATCTTGGAAAAAGCCATGGATCAGCTGGCAGCTCAGACAAAATTCCTACTTTCCACCTAATGATTATGCCCAAGGCCCTCAGCCAGGATACTTCAGGAGGAAATCAACACAATCGTGTAATTGTTTGTGTTATTTATAGCTTGTTGTTTAAAACAAATGGAAATGACTGGACTCCTTGTGGCTAACTTAAGATCTTGTTCATGAACTCAGCAGGCGCTTTTACTGGGGCAGATTTAAAAAACAAATTCAAAATATTGTACACTATCCAAGGGAAATATGGCAAGCCAGAAACCTCTCCTTTTGTTATTTTTCCCCTTGTCTCTCCAGTATCTTCTTTGACATTCACCTGGAGGAATTTTGAAGGAAAGGCCAATCAGCTTTATTTTTTCAACTAGACCCCAATATTTCTGTGCAAAATCCAAGGAAGCAAAAAGCCCAAATGTCTCCCATTTGATTAATCTCTGATTTTAGCCTGATTTACGTGATGGTAAGAGATTTATGCAAAATACTATTGAGACATAGCCAACACATAATGTACAAACTACAACAATATGTAAACTATAACATGTCATCAAAAGCTACTTTATGACTCTAGAGGAAGGCACCCATGCCCCAAATTGATCAAAGCTATATTTTTGGTTTGGTGGAGTGTTTTGTGTTTGTTTATCAGACTTCAGCCCATTGCACCTCAAAAGCCTTATCTTTTAGGATGTCTTTAGTCAATAAAAAGCAAGAACCTGAAGTCAGTACTAACAAATGCATTTTAGTGTGAAGGGTGATTTCTGCAGACTTCTAAAACTATTCAAGGTTATTGACACACACAGATGAATACCAATGTGCTATTATGTTATTTGCTGTACAATATAAATGAGATCAAGTTTCCCTGGGCCTTGAAAATGCGTGTCCGACCTGAAATGGCTCAATAAATCTGCCAAATAAATAGCGGGTGTTCCTACCCCTTGCTCTGACTCCTCCACATGTCACCTTAAAAAGAACAAGCAGAAAATGTCCCTTTATACTGATATTTACTGATTCTGCCCAATGCTTATTTGCCTCTAGGGGGCATTTCTAAAGACTGCAAGGAAAAGCATTTCAGCTATTATGGCTGTCAAACCAGATGGCTCAGAAATAGGTATTAGATCTATTGATAAAACAGGAAAAAGAAAAAAATCATTTTGGGCAAGTCAGCTTTTCTTACCACAAGAAGAAAAATAGTCAAACTGGCTTTTAAATTAAATTGAATTGTGAGATAGGGGAAAAGTATCTTTTAAAATAATTTCTTTAAAGATTTTTATATAGTTAACTCTCCTGGATAATAGTGTCTGACTTTTGACCTAGAACAAATGCCATAAAAATAAAATAAGTATCATTAGAATGATGCTCAACATCAAAGGTTACAATTACAATGGTCACATTAAGTCATAGAATAGTGTGGAAGATTCAACTTTGATTGATATAAGCACCTTCCATTTTTTAAAGTTAGCATGTGTTTGGAAAAGAAGGAAGGTGTTGCAACACTCAGAAATTGACTATTGTGTGTCAAAAGAGATACTCTTTTGAATGGATTCTTCAAAAGCCTCAAATCAGTATTATAATTTAGTGTTACACCAACTTTATTTTCTTCCAGATTCTGTTTCTCAATCTATTGGTTCTATTGCATCTTTCATCACTTTTAATATGTCACTTTGTTCTTCTTTAATATTCTTTATATTTTCATAAAGGCTTTTAACTCCCAGCATATTGCAAACACCAATTAACTAAGCTACTCAACATCCCTATGTGTGTAGAAGCATTCTATTATTCTTGTTTTAAAGCTGGGAAAAAGAGGTTCAGTGAGGTGAGGTGACTCGCCTAACGAGCTAGTGGGAGAAGCTAGTCTCTCAGTTTATGACACCTAATTATCTGCATTAACAGGACATGATAATCTCCTACCTCTAATCTTTTCATGGCTGTACATTATGTGGAGTAAAGACATCAATACTGATGTCAATTTGAGAAACCAGCCACAATTTTACAATACAAACCCATTTCTGCTTTCAAAACAAAAAACCAAATTTTCATTGAAAAATTCCAGTAGCCCCTTCCAAGTATTAGGTTGGTGCAAAAGTAATTGCAGTTTTTGCCATTAAAGTAGGACCAAAATAGCAATTACATTTGCACCAACCTAATACATCAATCATAATTCTTATTTTTCAGTGGGCAACTTAGCACCTAAAAGTGGCTTAGTCATCTGATCTTTGACAAACCTGACAAAAACAAGCAATGGGGAAAGGATTCCCTATTTAATAAATGGTGCTGGGAAAACTGACTAGCCATATGTAGAAAGCTGAAACTGGATCCCTTCCTTACACCTTATACAAATATTAATTCAAGATGGATTAAAGACTTGAAAATAATACCTAAAACAGTAAAAACCCCAGAAGAAAACCTAGGTAATACCATTCAGGATATAGGCATGGGCAAGGACTTCATGACTAAAACACCAAAAGCAATGGAAACAAAAGCCAAAATCGACAGATGGAATCTAATGAAACTAAAGAGCTTCTGCACAGCAAAATAAACTATCAGCAGAGTGAACAGGCAACCTATGGGAGAAAATTTTTGCAATCTACCCATCTGACAAAAGGCTAATATCCAGAATCTACAAAGAACGTAAACAAATTTACAAGAAAAAAACAAACAACCCCATCAAAAAATGGGCAAAGGATATGAACAGACACTTCTCAAAAGAAGACATTTATGTGGCCAACAGACATATGAAAAATGATCATCACTGGTCATTAGAGAAATGCAAAACAAATCAAAACCACAATGAGATACCATCTCATGCCAGTTAGAATGGTGGTCATTAAAAAGTCAGGAAACAACAGATGCTGGAGAGGATGTGGAGAAATAGGAATGCTTTTACACTGTTGGTGGGAGTGTAAATTAGTTCAACCATTGTGGAAGACAGTGTGACAATTCCTCAAGGACCTAGAACTAGAAATACCATTTGCCCCAGCGATCCCATTACTGGGTATGTACCCAAAGGATTATAAATTATGCTACTATAAAGACACATGCACACATATGTTTATTGTGGCACTATTCACAATAGCAGACTTGGAACCAACCCAAATGTCCATCAATAATACACTAGATAAAGAAAATGTAGCACATATATACCATGGAATACTATGCAGCCATAAAAAAGGATAAGTTCACGTCCTTTGCAGGGACATGCAGGAAGCTGGAAATCATCATTCTCAGCAAACTATCACAAGGACAGAAAACTAAACACTGCAAGTTCTCACTCATAAGTGGACACAGGGAGGGGAACATCACACACCGGGGCCTGTTGGGTGGTGGGGGGCTAGGGGAGGGATAGCATTAGAAGAAATACTTAATGTAAATGATGAGTTGATGGGTGCAGCAAACTAACATGGCACATGTATACCTATGTAACAAACCTGCACGTTTTGTACATGTACCCCAGAACTTAAAGTATAATAAAAATAAATAAATAAATAAATAAATAAATAAATGTGGTTTAGTGAGGACAAAGCTGATTTACTAAAATCTGTTAAAATGTCAAAAAGAGATGAATTTTACAAAGAAAGATAGGATAAAATTAAAATTATCCTTTGCTAATAATAAAAAAAACTACCATACAATTAATTGAACTCTTGAGCTCATACTATGAATCAATGCCTATGTGCATTTTCTCACTTAATGCTGACAATCCTGTGAGGGGAGGACTATTCTTGTTCACACTTGAGAGAGGAGAAAATAAAGCACATAAAGGGCAAAGTGGATTGCCCAAGGTCGCATAGCTGGTAAGGGAGTCCAAGCTCAAATTCAGATATTCTGTCTCCTGAGTCTGTGTTCTTAATTGTTTCACAGTAATTATCCCATTTTCTGGATGAGATGTCACTTGCCTTTTCCTTCATATTAGAAACTTTACATTTGCTCTGAAATCAATACTGTGAATATTGTCTCTGCATTGTATATTGTATCAGGAGCGCTACGGAACATATAAGAGTAAGATGCATCTTTCTCTTCAATGACTACATGTCTTTTGCCAAATCACAGATTATTTTTAAAATTATTACTCCCATATTTGAATTTTAAGTGTAGTGACTAGGTCACCTTTCCCCCACCCCAATCTCCCAAGAAAGCCCCACACAGTACTAGACACGTAGTAGGCACTTTTTTCAATTTGATTGGATTTGATGTTTTCTTTTTTATTTGCTCCTATTGCCCTTCTTAGATGATCTTGAAATTCTGAATGTCTTTTTTTTTGTTTACAATTCTTTATTGTAGTAACATTGGCAAATGAGATGACTTCGTGCATATGTTAGAATTTCTATGCTTCCCAGAACAATTCTTGCATCTTCCTGAACAGCTCCTGTGAGTACAGAGGCCAGTAACGCAGTCAAGGGTATTAAACTGGAACAACATGGCTGAGACCAGTAGGATTACCTTATCCCTCCTCTTTCCTTGCTACTCCTCTATTCAGATGGCCAAAATGATTGTCACCTTTATTTAAGTGTTTAAATTGAGTTTGGCACTGTACTTAGAGCTTTATGTCCATTATCTCATTTACTCCTTCCCCAAACCCTACAACATGAGACTTTTATTATCATTCAAGCATGAGAAAACTGAGCCAAAGAGGCAATAAACAACTTTCCAAAGACGGCCCAGTGTTGGTGCAGGCATTTGGTTCAGGCAATATGACTCCAGAGCCCAAGGGTATAATTTGTACATGATTGCCTCTTCACCTTTGAATTTCTAGAAAATATCCTATTGATTAAGACATTTATGCAGCAAGATTATTTTTTAAAATAACTTAGAATAATTAAAGGTATTATATGCATTTTATAGCTAAAGCCTAAAGCAAACACTAAAAAATAGCTTCTGAAACAGCACCAGATTTTCTCTATTGTAATGAAAGTTCATTGAGCTGAGTTGTGCTTGAAGCTGTACAACGAAGGTGGCTATACAGAAAGCCTCATAATGCCTGGGAAGAAGGGGAGGGAATAAGGTCACCTTGGCTGGCATCTCAAAAACAGTCACAGGCAGGAGGAAACTGATCTTATATTTTCAAAGTTGATTCTAAACTCTTTATAGGTGGCTCCTACTCCCTGAAAGAAAAATGAAAATAAAAAATGGAAGGAAAGCTGATTTAATCTATTTATCCAAGATTTGTGGGTTCAGCATATTTCCTACTAAAGAGATGGCCTTTAAGACCCCAGGGGAGGTTTGAGCTCAGCTTTGGTTATCTTTTCCTTCTGAATAGCTGTGTAAACTCCTGGGGAGCAGATGAAAGCTGCCTTACAAGACAAAGGCACAGGAGTTTCTTCTTTTCTCTATCAGCTGGAAGAAAAGGAACTCTAGGAATCCTTTATAGTTAACTATTAAAATTGGTCATTCCTTTTTGCTTTTTTATAAGTTCTTTTTTAACCTCAATCTCTAAGAGCTATCAAGCAATAAAACTTCTCCCAGGGTGAGCAGGAAACACCAACGTGGCTCACCTTATTCTCTCATCTTTAAAGCCAGCATCCAAAACAACAGCTTAAAAGGACACCAGCTTGCATTCTTTTGCCAACAAAGATCTCAGGACTGGGTTATGTTTTCAGCTTTGGCGTCTGACCCCAAAATATAAGGAATTCTTTGGGGTCTGTGGAAGAAGGTAGGGATTAAAGAGAGCTAAGAGGTGTCTAATGTGCTTCATCTTCTATCCTAAGACTATTATCTATTGATAGAACCCTGCAGCTCAGGATGGAATTACCTGGGGCAACAAAAGAGATCAAGGGATAAAGATAAATAAAAGTGGGGAAAGGTAGAACCAAATGAAAACAGAAATGTGGAGAGGGGACTAGAGAGAAAAAAGAAAAATATGAAACTCTTTTCAGAAGAGTTACAAGTATGGAGAAGGCAAAAGGAAGAGAAAAGAGAAATATCTGTGATAACAGTTCACTGTGTCAATGATTCATGCTGGCAACTGGCCAAAATCAACCAATGTCCAGGGATATATACTAAACACTGAAGATTCAAAAATGAGTGGAGAATAATCCTAACCCTAAAAAGTTCACAGTTTAGGTGGAGAAATAAGCCTGTAAAAAAATAATGGCTATACGTATTTTGATGTTATTCACAGTTGCACTCTGTTTCATTTTGTCCCTCCAAAGCAGCAACTTTGATTCCAGCAATGGGCCTTTGCACTTGCTGGTGCTTCTGCTTGGAATGCTGTATCTTTGCAGGGCTGGCTATGTTACTAGCAGCAAATCCATACAAGTCTGCAGCAACCTCAGTTCATGCCTCCTCAGAAGAAAGAATTCTTCCGAGGGTCATCAGGCAGAAGAAGAGACTGAGGCAAGTTTTAGAACAGGAGTGAAAGTTTATTAAAAAGCTTTAGAGTAGGAATGAAAGGAAATAAAGTACACTTGGAAGAGGTCCAAACGGGAAACGAGAGATCAAGTGCACAGTTTGACCTCTGGACTTGGGGTTTTATACATTGGCTTGCTCTGGGGTCTTCATTACTTCTTCCCTGATTCTTCCCTTGGGGTGGGCTGTCCGCATGTGCAGTGGCCTACTAGCGGTTGGGAGGGGAGCGTGTGCAGTGTGTTTACTGGAGTTATACGCACGCTCACTTGAGGTGTTCTTCTCTTACCTTACCTGTCAAATGTCCCTAGGAGCTGTCCCTAGAAGTGGTATATCACTGGAGATGTCATATACCAGTTAAACTCTGCCATTGTGCCTCCTAATGTTTATGCTTCAGCTCTCTTGCTCAACACCTAAGATCCTTACCGAGAAGCTGCTGATCACCAGTTTCAGGTGTTCCTGTTTGTCAGGGAGTGCCTTTCTAAGGTGCTGGCTGCGACCAACTAATACTTTAGAGAGACACTTAACAACGGTGTGATCATCATCTGATGGTCGCCTGATATTCCTGGTGTGTGCGTGTGGCAGGGAGAGCCTTCTCTTGCCCTGCTCATGTATGACTAGCTACCTACTGTAACAGCTACTTTCCATTATTCAAGTCTCATCTCCAATCATCTCTCCAATCTAGGAATTCTTTATAATTAACTATTAAAATTGGTCATCCCTTTTGGCTTTTTTATAAGTTATTTTTAAACCTCAATCTCTAAGAGCTATCAAGCAACAAAACTTCTCCCAGAGTGAGCAGGAAACACCAAGGTGGCTCACCTTATTCCTTCCTTTTCTAAAGCCAGCATCCAAAAAACAGCTTAATATCACTCCAATCATCTCTCTCCCCAATAATGGGACTACTTCCCATTATTCAAGTCTTATCTCCAGTCAATCTAGTTGAAGCAGCACATTCAATCCCTTTCTACATTAACCCATTGCATCCTCTCCAAAAGTCATTTTGCACATCTGACAGTATCTTAATTTTTTTATTTCTCCCCCATGTTTAAAGGCTATCTTCCTCCATTAGGATACAAGCCCCTTGAAAAAAGGGACTCAATAAAAAGTCATTGATGAACTAGTAAATATTTATTGATCATTTGACTAACATATTGACTTTAAAATGTTATAAAAGAGATAAGCATAAAATTATTATGGAAGATTATGAAAACATTAAGGAAGGCTTTTCAGCAGAGGTGATTTTGTTGCTGTTGTTGACTATTTAAGGCTGAATAGGTATTTAAAACAAGGGCAAAAGAAGCAGAGCATTCCAGGTGAAGAGTGCATGTAATGACAGGGTCACAAAAAGAACACTGCTCCTTCCTGGGACCCCACTTCATTCTGAGTGTCTGATATACAGGCAGTGCTGAAAGAGGAGCAGCCACATAGAGTAGTAAAAAACATGGGTTTTGAAGCTGAGAGTAGATCTTGGTTCTTACACTAGTAAAGAAGGTAACTTTAGGCAAGTTATCAGTCTTCTCTGAGCCTCAACTCCCTCACCTGTAAAAGGAGGATTCATTCAACTCACATCACATCTACCTCATGGGATTCTTGGGAAGATTAAGTCAGTTAAAATGCCTAAAATGGTTAGAATCATGTAAGTGCTCACAAATGAAACCTATTATAATTATGGGCAGGTGGTGGTGCAGAAAAATAATAACACTGTGACAGCCCTATTTTTATTTTAAACTCACGCATGTGCAGATTAACCAATGTAATCCATACAGATTTATGAGGAAGGTACTATTATCATCATTATCTTACAGATAAGGAAACTCAGAAATAGGTTAAATAATTTACCCAAAGTCACACAGCAGTTACTAGCAGAGCTGGGATCTAAATCTAGAAAGTCAGGCATTTGAATCTTGGCTTTCACCATTATGTTATGCCACCTCTTTGAAAACCTAATTTATAGGCATCTTGTGAGGAAAAATGAAATAAAGTACATAAGTGGTTTATCATATTTACATAGTTTAATATGTATTAAACACTCAATAATTATATTTATTTTTTTAAAAAAATGTCTGTGGAACAATAGAGTTATAATTAGGATTGGTCAATTTTAGAAAACACAGTTTCTGTGGATTTTCTGGAAGACTCAAAAGAACCCAAAGAAGACAATTAGGGAGCATATCAGAAATAACTGGTGGTTGAATTACTGCTGAACAAGCAGTAAAAAGGTGGAATAGCCATAATCACTTGCTTGACCTTGATTTCTGGTGAGAGCACCAAAGGCCTCCTGTGCATCAATCTTTGCCCAGCTGTATTTCCTAACTAATTAATTTTAGAAAGATCTAACTCAATTAATTATAAAGTAATGGTTGTCACTTCCAGCTGCCAATTTATCTATATTACAAACCATAGCTAATTAGTTAGTGTATTATATCTCTTTCTTGGAAACACACTATTTGCCAGCTACATTAAATTATGTACTTAAACCCTGCGTGTGAGTTATACATTATTCTGCAATAAATGGTGAAACTAATTCTTTTGTAACTACGCACCATAAAAACACCAGAATGACAAAGAGAAAGCACCTTTAACATGCCTAATCAAGTTAATAAATAATCAGGCAAGCAAACTTGACAAGAATTCCATAACGGAACATGATAAAGACCTCTAAAATGCTGCGGACAGCCAGCCAAAATCCTGGTGATTTGGTACCCTCAAGAGACTTGTGACCTTGAGGAAAATGGAATCAAAGCAGAATTAAAGGTGCAACTCTATTTATTCCATGTAAACGGATAGGCAGCCTCAACACAAACCTGAAGACCTGTATTTTCTTCTACGAAGGAGTGTAGAGGCAGAAAGATGTGATACATTCCTTCACCCATCATAAGGGTCACGGTTGACATTCCTAAAATGAAAGACTGTTTAACAAAAAAAGGTGTAACAAACTTATTTAATCAAAGTTTTACATGACACAGGGACCTTCAGAAATGAAAACCCAAAGACCCAGGGAAAACTATTTTTATGCTTAGGCTCGATAAAGTGTTATAGAAATGTGATGGGACAAAAGGGTGTAATTTGATTGTAATTGACTGAGGAGGGAAACGCAGCAAGGTCTGTCCATTCAGATTCTTCTTGGACTGTCAGTGTAGCATTCCATCCTCCTGAGTATGGGGAAGGACGCCTCTGGAATGAAGGTCTTCAAAGAAGAAGAAGGCAGAAGATAGAGAATGACTTTTATAGGTTTTATGGCTTGCTTTGGAGAAGAGGAGTTCTATTTCTATGACCCTCCTTGGGAAACAGGAATTCTAATTTCTATGAATCCCTTTGGGGAAGAAAAAGGGTTGTGAGACAGAAGCGCAGAAGAAGGTCAGAGAGAACTCGCTTCTGAGGCCCTTCCAATCTTCAGTTCAAAGTACTCAGCATGCCAAGATACCTTACTTTGGGGTATCATATTAAGAATCCCAACAGAAGCAATTATATTTCTTTGTCCCAGCCTTCCTTTCTTCCCTTCTATCTTAAAAGAAAAGGTGTTTCTCTTATCCAAGGCTAAAACCTTCATCAAAGCTCTTAATCTCATTCCCTCCCACCTCCCCTGAGACTTTACTACATAAACATCTCTGTTTTCTTTTGTGTTATCAATTTCTGCTTCTCTTGATCCTTTCTCAGCCTATAAACATCTTGTATCCTCCTGCTTCTGAAAACAGCTTTCCTAAAGCCTGGCACTGCCACCACCGGCACCACTGCAAACTACTGCCCTATCCCTGCTGCTTTCCTCATGCCAAAGAGAGTCTCAAGTCTTGTATCCAATTCTTTATTTATATAAAAACTTTTTTTGGAAGAGAAACTGCTATGCTCTGCCTGGACTTAGCACTTTATTCGTAATCCACATAAAACCCCTTGCACAGCAAGTACCCAACCAGTATTAGCTGTTGTGGTGGTTGTCACTGTCATTTTGAGTGGTAGGATATTATACAGTATTTCAGAGTGTAGCCTCCAAAATCAGACACTATAGCCCAAATCCTGGCTCCACCTCCTTCTAACTGTGTGACATTAGGCAGTCTATGTAATTTTTGAAACTTTGAATTCTTAAATATAAACTGCAACTCCTCATAAAGTTGATGAGAGAAATAAATCAAAAGAGGTGACACATATATGTGCTCACTACTTTGTCCACAATTTAGTAGGTACTCAAATACGCTTTTTAAATATGTAGTGTAACTCTGCAGGTGCACAATTTTTATTCATTCCTCTCCCTTTTGATAAGTATAATAACTTTCCTTTGGGAAATGACTTTCTCCACTGCTTATTCCAGGAGGTTGGGCCCTATCCCTGACTTCAGAGTTGAAACATATGACTCAAGTCTGGTCATGCAAAGCACTGAGTCGCTTTTCTAGGCACGTGACTCAGACATGGCCAATCAGATCACTGAATCTTTCTTCTGGGCATGTGACCTGGGCTGACCAGTCAGAGCACTGAATCCCCTCCTGAGGCCATGCGACCTAGCTTCACCAATCAACAGAATTCCATTGTTTTGGTCTTCTTGTTCAGTTCACAAAGGGGACTTTCCAGTGTTTTCATCAGAAGGAATTCCAGAATTTTTGTAAGAATTATCAGTAAGATATATTGTCTTCTTCCTACCCAAATGGGCATGATGGAGCCATCTTGCCGTCATGTCAATGTGGAGAAGTCCACCCACAGAGTGGTGCAGAGCTAATCCAATAGACCTGACATTGCTTGAGGCCCTAAATCCAGCCATAACTGAGGCCTGTCCTGCTCTGTACTTCTCATTCGTCAGTAAGTGAATTTCTGGATTAAGCTAGTTTGCGTTTTATCTTACTTACAATTGAAAACTGGCGTAAATGCTTATCATGGTTTAGCATAGTAACTGTTCGAAGGTAAGGACCAGGTACAGATCTTATTCTGGAGCTCCAGTAGAGTTTCGTGGATGGTCAAAAAATAGGTGTTGTACAGAGGAGAAAATATTCTGTTTATGGTGAGGCGGGGTACATTCTACACCCATGCCTCATTATCTTGCTCACCCTTTAGGCACAGATTGATTCCAGAGGCTGGCCCAAAATGGTGATGGCCACAAAAAGCTGCAGAAAAAAAAAAATGTTCCTTCACAAGTCCATACCTTCCCAGGGACCAAGAAAACTGTTTGCATTTGAAATGTCATCTCTTCCAGCTGTTACAAAAGAAAACAAATAGCTTATTTAACAAAGTACTTAACTGAGCAGACTAGATCACTATGTCAATAAGCATTTTCAAGCAAGATAATTCCTTCCCTTACAATGGAGAATTGCATGCTTCTGATGTTAAAATTACTTCCCTTGTGACATTATCTTTCAGGACTATTTTCTCCAGAAGCAACCATTTCCCAAGTTTAAATGAAAACCAGTGGCATGAAAAGGCATGAAAAGAACAATGAAACAAATTCACTTTTAACAAACTTCAAATTTCCTAGGTTTTCTGGAAATTGAGAGACACCTGTAAGATGATCCAATCCAGCTAAACTGCTTAGAAATAATTTAACGATCTTGTAATTGGAAAAAAAAAAATGAATTTCTGTTTCCTCTGCTGGACATAAGGATGAAACAGGAGAGACGCAGGGCATGCATGAGTGAAAAGAACAAAGGATTCAAGGAAAATACGTATTTAGTGGGGAAACTTGGGGGCAGCCCAGGGAGCTGAGAAATGAGAGACGTTAAACAGTGTATGTGAATTGCTTATGTGAATTGAGGGCATTCAAACTGAATGTTAAAAAAAAAAAATGTTATTTTGATGCAGATGGCAACAGAAATAAATTCTGGGAAAAAAAACTCTGCACTCCATCAAAAGCCCTGCACTCATATTCCTATTCCTTCTGTTGCTTTGCAGCACAGAAACACAACAAAGAAGCACCAAAGCCAGTTAGAAAATTATGGCAACCAGTGTAACTGCCATGGAAAGGCCCTTCCCACATTTGGCACATTTTCCAGGTCTAAGAGGGTTTTCATCAGTGAAAGGGCTGTTGCTGAACAATGAACCTGCTCCTTAAGAGTGAGAAAGGTTGTTGACTCTTCAAATTGGCATCTGCAGCTGCTGGTCCTTAGAGTCTGTGCTAGTCAGGGCCCCTCCTTTTTCTTGTAAAAGCTTGGCACCATTTTAATTATTTTGTAAAATTTGCCCTCCATCAGCTCTACCATTCTGGGATATAAAGGGAAGTAAAAAGCTCTCTAATTTGAGGATTCATTAAGCAGCTGTTGTTACTTAGTTGATGTAGTCGATGCCTGAAATTCGCTGGTTTGCTGAATTAGTATAAGCAACTATGATATTCTAGCCAGACTGGTTTTCGTTTGTTTCATTCTGAGGTCAAGCTACTAGAAAACATAGACATCCAGCTAAAGAATACACCAATATTTTCTTGTCTCCTTAGACGAGCATTTATTCTCTCAAAGATTATTGAGCTTCTACTCTTTGAAAGAGCTCTTAAGATACTGCACAGTTGCCATTTTGTGGAGTAAACTTTGCCATGAGAATCTCTATTTTCTCTAGGATAAGTGAAAAAGGTGAGAAACTGGCCCTTTTTAAAATATTATTTTTGATTTATAATCCACATACATACATTCCCTCTCTCTACTTATTACTTCCCAGATTTTAGTAAGAAGAGAAGAGAAAGCAAATCATTCTTCCAAACTGCATAGCCAGACAGTATTATCTCTACTCTGCATGCTGGGCAGAAAGTCAAACATGACCAAAGAGGATAACTTGTGAAAAGTGTGAAATCGGACAATATCCCTCCACTACTACTGCAGAGTTTGTTGGAGATGAGTACCCACGATCCCATCATAACCAACCTTCTCCCTTCCTCCTGTTGATGGGCAGAATTATTTGGCCAAAAATTCCATCAAAAAATTATTACCCTTCCCCCTACTCAGTCTCTCCAAGTGATGAAAAAGTTGAAGAACCTAGTCTCTGCGGTCAATTTTTAATAGAGAAATCTAAGACTTTGTTTTAAAGGTATACATTCCCTTTCTGATTTTTAAATAGGTGAAAACAACATCTTCGTATTGTATCTTGAGCCCTAAATGCTAGCTTTCTATAAGTAAAGGAATCAGATTCATTTGTGAAAAAAAAATTGGCATCGGGGGCAGCCCAGGTAAAGCTGAACACCACATAGAGCAAAACATTTTCTCTAGACTTCAAATGTTCATCTTTACAAAAGATGCTGAAATGAGAACTCAATGAGGGAGCTGTAATTCTTTCCATTGGTGAGAAATTGGCACCAACTACAAACTGAAAAAAAAGAATTACTCTATAGTTCCTGTCCCCAAAGGTCACTCTTGGCCACATTTTGTCTCTGAAGACAGAGAATTGAAATATTATTTGTTCTTGTGAATAATTTTTTGTTCCTTTATTGAAATTCAATAGAGTAAAAATAACCGCTGCCTATTATCCCTTGTCTGTCAGCTCTACCTGGGCTGAGGTGGTGGGAAAGGACAGGAAGAGCTGCTACAGATGTTTAATAGAAGAAAGCCCTTTTTGGAATGTGTTTGCATGACTCATAAAGAACAGTTATTCTTAGCTTTCCTGTCACAAGAGATAAAGCTCTTTGTCCTACAATACAGGCATCTACTTAAAAGGAAAACCCAAGGTTCATTCAAAGCTAGAGTCCAATAATAAGCTCTCATTATAGTACTTGCCCCAAACTCCTGGAGTTATATTGTATCACTCTTTGCAAACCTGGAGTGCAATGTAAAATTTTATTCTGTTAGGCTTTTTGATTTGCCAGTTTTGCTACCTGGAAGAAACAATAGGCACTGCTTAATGTGCTAGTGATGACTTTAATTCAGTTACAGCAATCATTCATTTAGCAGTACAATAAATACCATACGCTATATAGAAAATTCTTCATCTTTTTGGATCACCTTTATAGAATCAGATCTTATAATCAAACCTCAATCTAATATTGATTATGTTTTGGATATGCCTGTCTTGATTCCCAGAACCAAAAAGCCAATAACATACTGAATCAATTTACTAAAGGATAGCACCACTCTTTGATGTATTAAATAGCAAGAGGTCAATGGAGACTAAACGGACTTCATTGAAATTAAAATGTATCTTCTCTTCAGGTTGCTTCTGAACCAGTTTCTTGCACGTTCTTAGATTTCTCTTCTTTTGGATCTTTTCAGCTCACCAATGTACCTTTTCCCTTTGATCACTTATTCACTCAGATTTTTATTCTTTCAACGTTTATTAAATGTTATTGAACACTTTCTTTGTGCCAAGCTCTATACTTGGGAAAATGATAGAAATTCTCAAGGATAGAAATTCCCTAGAAGGGAAGACAAATAAGAAAAATGTTCTTAATACATGGTAATAAGAGCTACAAGGATGGGAAGTTCCAAGGACTCTGTGAACTTAGAGAATACGTGCCCAGATCTCTCTTGAGCCAGAATGTGACTTTAGTAAAGGATTACCACTCTATCTCATAGAAAAGTAGGGCATATATATGTACATAGATATAGATATAGATATAGATATAGATATAGATATAGATATAGGTATAGATAAAGTTTTCCCCCTGGGTCAGTGGAAGGCAAGAGGAGAATAATCCTTATATGTGCTCTTTCTTCTATTTGAAAAACTACCCAAACTAAATCCTCCTGGTCTCTTAGGTCTTAGGAAGCCTTCTGTGACTACCTCTTCCCAATCCAATCCTCAAGTCTGGATTGGGGCAAGCTTCCTAATGTACCACAAAAGCACCCTGAATTTACTCCTGTAGTGCTTCTAGTGAGATTAAAACTGAATGCACCCAATGACTTAGATGTCCCTAAAATACTGTTTTGTTTTATACTGCCTACCTCTGGAGTCTCTATTTGCACTGATAATGGTGAGATGGGAGGACACTTGTCAATTAAAGATAATTCAGCCTCTTTCAGTTTAAAACAGTTTCTTTAAGAAATTCTTCTGTCAGTTTAATGCTCAAAATATTTCTCATTCTTCATTAGGGCTGTCTATGCTTTCTCAGAAGGAAGGGGCTTCGCTCACTCCCGCTTCCCTGAGATGGCATTTTGAAGAAGGGGAATCTCATTATGCATATAGCGCTAGGATGGTGTTCTTGTCCACATTTTGCTCTCTATTCCCTCATTGGCCTGAAAGAGATGTCTATCATCTCATTATGTCACAAAGTGTCATATATTTGTATCCCCTGAGGTGTGGCTAATTCCTCTGTGTCTTGCATTCTTCATTGGTTTTTTCGTAATCAAATATTGAGTAGATATGAATGAATATTTATATATATACATACACACACGTAAGTATTAAAAATGATACAATGCCCATTTACCCACTGCCCAGTTTAATAGAAAGAATGTTACCTTTGCCATTGCTGTCTCTCATATGCCTTTCATTTTACCCAGTTATCTCTCTGTTCAGGGGAGCATAATCCAGAATTTTGTTTTTATCACTTCCTTGCTTTTCTTCATAGTTTTAATACATATGTTGGTATCATTAAACTTACTTTTTTTTTCATTTTTCTTTCCTTTTTTTTTTTTTTTTTTTTGAGACGGAATCTTGCTGTGTCACCCAGGCTGGAGTGCAGGGGCACGATCTCCGCTCACTGCAAGCTCCACTTCCCGGGTTCGTGCCATTCTCCTGCCTCAGCCTCCCGAGTAGCTGGGATCACAGGCACCCGCCACCACGCCCGGCTAATTTTTTTGTATCTTTTTGGTAGAGACGGGGTTTCGCCGTGTGAGCCAGGATGTTCTCGATCTCCTGATCTCGTGATCTTCCCGCCTTGGCCTCCCAAAGTGCTGGATTACAGGAGTGAGCCACCGTGGCCCGGCCTAAACTTATTTTTTTTTTCACTAAACATGTTCCTGAATTCATCCATATTGTTTTGTGTAACTGTAATTTGTTATTTTTTCTCAAATACATAGTATTTTGTTAGATAAAAATGTCAGAATTTGTTTATTGCTTTTATAATAATGGGCATATGGTTAGATTCTAGGTTTTTTGTTTTTGTTTTTGTGTTCTTAAACAGTATCTTCTGGTGAACATGTAAAATAATGTTTCTAGAATATATACCAAAGAGTGAAAGTGCTATAAGGTATGCATATTTTCATCCTTCTAGAAAATGCTAATTTTTTTCACAATGTTTTTATACTGATCAATAGTCCCATTATCATGACATAAGTTTTCTAGTATCTCCACAGCCTTATCAATACTTGAGATAGTTTAACTTTTTTCCTAGTTAATAGACGTAAAATTATATCTCATTATGGTTTTAATTTCATTTCCCTGATTGTTAACGAGCATGAACATTATTTCCTAAGTTACTAGCATTCATGATACCTAATCTGTAAAGTCAAGTCTCTTCAAGTCTTTTGCCAATTTTTCTTTTATTTTGAATTTTTTTGGGGGAGTGGGGTATAGGTAGATGTTCTTTACACTTTTGTTATACAACCATTTTGCATTATATGTTTTGCAAATACATTTTCAAATCTGTGCCTTTTCATTTTCTTATGGTATGTTTTAATTTCTCATTTTAGTGTAGTTAACTTTGTCTATACTCTAATTTAGGGGGGACTTTTAATGTCTTATTTAATATGTATTTCTTAAGACATAGAGTATCTTCTATTGTTTGCTCAATGTTTTATTTATTGTTTTGACTTGCACATTTAAATCCTTGTATTCACCTAGAATAAGCTGAATTTTTGTAAGCTGTAGAATAAGAAATATAATTTTTTCATATAAAAACTCAATTGCCCCAACTCTACTTAATGAAAATTATATTCTTTCCAGGGGTCTGCAGTGCTGGTCCTGTTATACACCAATTTTTCATTCTGTCAGGGCTATGTTTCTGTACACCTTTTTCTGTTTCAATGTTTCATTTGTCTCTCTCTGTACCAATATCACACCATCTTAAATATTAAAGTTTTGTTAGTCTAGATATATGATGAAGGATGTTCAATCACTAATCTTTTACTTCTGGAGGGGTCTGGCTATTATCCAGCTTTTCTTTAAATATAAAATTTAAAATTAATTTGCTAATTTTCACAAAAATACCTGTTGAGATTTTTAATTTTATATATTTATAATATTAAAGTTTTGAATTCACTAAGACAATTTATCTCTCCATGCAAGTCTCCTTAATGTCTTTCTGTACAAATTTAGTTTTTCTATTATTGTATGATGCATCTTATATGACACTTATTTCTAGGTATTTAATATATTATAATTGGCATATCATTATTATTCCCTGTTGCCTCTGCTTAGAAAAGTAATTGATTTTTATATTTGATTTTGTATTCAGCAACATTGATAAACTTTATGTTGCTAATAATTTTTTTTTTGTTTGCAGCTCTTATGTCTTTTGCCTCTTTTGCTTGCCTTCTTGCCCCTGGACACACAGTTAAATAGAAGTGGTGATAGAAGATAGTCTTATTTATAATCTTAAGGGAAATTTTCATAACATATTAGTATTAAAATGTTTTCTGAGTATTTTGTCTAGATCCTGTTTATCAGTTAAAAGTAATTTTTGATATCTAACTTACTAGATATTTTATCATTAACCAATGTTAAATTTTATCAAAAATTTTTTGTGTCTTCATTGAGATAATAATCTAATTCTTTTCATTTAAAGTTTTTATATTAAAAAATACTATGAGTTTCTAATGTTAAACAAGGCTCACATTGCTGAAATAAAATTGTTCAAGACACATTAACCTTTTAATACATTCCTGGTATTTTTTGCTAATATTATGTTTAATATTTCTGGATTCATGTTCATAAGTAAGATGTTTTTATAAATTTGTCTTTCTCTTGCTATTCTTGTCAGGTTAAACTCCCCAAAGTTAACTTAGCTCATTGAATTAGTAAGGGGGGGGTTCTCTTTTTCTATTTTGTATTCCACACATATTTTGTGTAAGATCAAAGCATTTTTTCCTTTAATGTCTGACAAAACTTTCCTGTAAGAGTGTCTGGAACTCTTGCTTTAACTTCCTAAATCTGATATTTTTCATTACTGATTCAATTTCTTTATGGTACTATTTAGGTGCTCACTTTTTTTTTTATAAAAAATTGTGAATAGCCACATATTTCTACAAATTTTTCCATGTTTTCTAAATTTTCCAGTCAAACTGTTGATCTGATTTTCTTATATCTTTGTAATCTTGGCCACATCTTTGGTTGTAGCCCCTTTTCCACTCTTAACATTGTTTATTTTGCCTTCTCTCATTTTACTTGGCCAACCTTGCCAGAGGCTTCTCACTTTTATTAGTTCTCTTTAAAAAGATTGCATTTGGTTAATTTTTGATATGTTTGTTTTCAATTAAATTTATTTCTGTTGTTTGTTAATGACTCTTCATTTTTAAGGGGTGGTTTATTCTGTTATTCTCTTTCAAATTGTATAAAATGGGAGCATGTGTGATCATTTTATCCTTCTTTATAAAGATATGATTATCTCATCCTTCTTTATGGAAAGGGCTCTACTTCTCTGCCCACTAATTTTGGTCTGACCTCTAGAACTTGTTTGGGATAATGGAATGTAAGCAGAAGGAACAAGATGTCGGTTCTTTAACTACCAATTCTGAGCACAACTCTTAGGAGATATTGTGAATTCCTAGCACAAAAGCTGGACTTGCAGCTTGGATCATGGACTGGGAAGACATTAGAGCAAAACCCACCCTACTTAAACATCTAGCAGAGCTATAGCTGAGCCAAGATTCAGTGTAACATGAACAAGAAATTATTTTTTGTTGGTATAAGTGCTAAGCTTTTGAGCCCATTTCTTACTATAGCAAAGTTGATTAAAACAAATCTTAGTATCTCAAAGATAGGTACTCCTATAACAATTGAAAATCTGTGTCTTGACTTTGAGGCCAAGAGACAAGTTGTAAAGATACTATTTTCAGAGGCTGGAACGATGATGACCCATGATATGCAATGGCAAAATATTTAGCAAACTGTCACCTTTAATAACTCAGAAAACAGATAATAGATCTACCTATTAAAGAGTGGCTTTGGAAGGAGTTTCACAACAGAATATTACTAATGTTACCTTTTCCTCTGAATTGCCATAAGAGCTCAGAGAAGAATAGGTTGCTTTGCAAGCAGGGAAGAAGCAGAAATTAGAGTAACCAGATTCTAGGGACTGACGGATAGGAAAACATAATTTTTTTAATTAGTAGAAAATAAATGCTTTGAGCAACAAAATCTCAGATTAAAACACATGTCCAAATAAAGGACATTGCCATTCATATCCTTTGTTAAAAACTATGAATGGTTTAAGATGACTACTAGAAAATTATGCCAGTTGGACAAAATGACTTAGAAGAAAGAGATGCCAACAGTTTCCTTGAAGCTGGGTAGCTCACATTATTTATAAGTAAGTCTGGAGAGAAAGGCACATTTCCAAATAACAGAGGTGTAGCTATTTGAATATGTTGCTGATTAAAATCAATTCATTGAAAAAACAATCATGTTTTTCAGAGAGTTATAATGCCAAAAGTTCCAATAGCCTGGATTAAAATAGACTGTAACTGTTAAAATATAAAACAACTTTTGGGCTTCCAGCTTTCTAGGAGAAAGGAGCAGGCTTAACAAGCTGCTCAGCCCCCAAAGATGCATATTATTCAATACCCTTTTGAGATATGGCCAAGGAGGAAAATAGAAAATAACTCTTCTGGAGAGAAGTGCTTGGCACCATGGAATATAGACTGGGCAAAATAAAGGCCTAATCACATAACATTTCTTATCCTCTTTCCAATGGGAGTAGTTTTTGCAGTAATTGTTCACTGTCCCATGATCCTGTATTTGAGGGCAGTGCCTTTTTATGTGTTAGATCTCTAGATCTTCACTCAATGGAGACACTATCATGAGACCCTAGGTATTGACCTTGAATCTGATATTAGGATTTCTTCATTAGGGGAGGGAGTTAATATATTTTGATTGTAGAAACAAAGAAACTTATTTTTTTATTAAGATAGCAGATAGTAGTATATTTCCTTGGAAAACACCTCAATCCATAGACCTTGATATTGGGCATAGACTAGACAATGTTCCAGTTCTGGGGAGAAGCTTTAAGGTACAAATGACTTTCCAACACCTATCTTGTTCTTCACCCTACCATTAGGAACAAGAATAGATTGGTCTCCACAGTAGTTCCTTCAACCTGGGTCTTGGAATGATAAAACACATGAAGCAAGCTGCAGGGAAGAACAACACTGGGGCAGAGCAGTATCTGACTCACATCTACATGTAATGTGAAAAGGAAATACATTTTTGTCAGTGTAACACACTGAGATTCATGGTGGTATGTTACTGTAGCAAAACCGACTGAAAGAGATGCTTAGTTCATTAATTTTCACATCTTTTTTCCTAATAAAAGAAATTAGAGTTACAACAGGACTACAAATTAGTCCATTTTCACACTGCTATAAGGAACTGCTTGAGACTGGGTGATTTATAAAGAAAAGAGATTTAATTGACTCGCAGTTCAGCATGGCTGGGAGGCCTCATGGAACTTACAATCATGGCAGAAGATGAAGGGGAAGCAAGACATGTCTCACATGGCAGCAGGAGAGACAGAAAGCTAAGGGAAAAGTACCACTTTTAAACAGTTAGATCTCGTGAGAACTCACTATCACAAGAACAACATGAGGGAGACCACCCCCATGATCCAGTCACCTCCCACCAGGTCTCTCCCTTCACATGTGGGGATTACAATTCGACGTGAGATTTAGGGGGTGGACACAGAGCCAAACCATATCATAACATTTTATCTGAGTACTGCATTAATTGTATTCCACAAGGCTAATAGATAATATGTTCATAACCACTCAGTTCTAAATATTTACTAATTTCCATTTTCACTTTTGTCCCATGTCCAATTTAAAGTGAGTTTCCTAATATTCAAATATTTGACACAGTTCTATATGTATTCTCTTAATTTTGAATTTGATCACAGTTTACTAAGAAAGTTGGCCCATGTAGACTAATCCTTTGAAATTTATTTAAGCTTTTATCAGGACCCAATAGGCATCAATTTCAATAAACGTCCTAAGTGCAGTAGAAAGAACTTTCAGTTTTCAGTTTTTACATGTAGTATTGAATGTATTTCTATTAGATCAAATGCAGTAATTGTGATGTTCGTGTGTTTTGTAGCCTTACTTTTGTATTTCCCTCTTGATCAATCATTACTGAACTTTATCATTTACTCTATAGTGAGTAATTTATCTATTTCACATTGTAGTTGTACAATATCTTAAATTTGTTTTGAGACTCTGTTATTTATAACACATCAGCTTTGAATGTTAACATCTCCCTGGAAAACTGAAATCTTTTTCAATTTATAGTGACATTCTTTTTTTCTAGTAACGTTTGTGCCTTAAAATATATTTTTCTGATATAAAAAAGCTACATAACTTTCTTCTATTCTTATTTATTTTTAATTCTTTTGATTCCAACTTTCATTCTGTTAATCCCAAATTTTCTAGATCCTTTTGTTTGAGAGCTCTCACCTTTACAGTATATGCTGGAAATTTTTTAATGCAGATTAACCATCTTTGTATTTAGCTTGAGCATTTTTAAAAATAGCTAATATATTTTAATGATTTCTACCATCACGTTTGTACTGTGTATTTGTCCTGCATTTGCTATGTTTGTATTTTCATCTCTTTTCTTTTAGATAAACTGAGTACTCATTTGACATTTAATTTTTTTCTTTGTGTTACTTTGGAAGCCATGCATTCTATTTATATTCTAGAAACTTTAAAATACTTCACTTAGGCAATCAGTATTTTTATTGCCTATCTGAATAAAACAAGGACCTTAGAACACCTAAATTACCTTCTCCCAATTTCAATTTTGGTATTATAATTCTATTTTGGTCTTTGTTTGTTAGTATTGGTTGCCTGGATATGTTAATGGCCACAAAGAGAATTGCCAAAGTTTTGGGGGTGTTAATAAAACAAAAATTAGTTTTGTATTCATGTCACAACCTGATGCAGGTTAGGTGGCTCTGTTTGGTAATTTTCCCCTCCTGGTATTTTAGGGATCTGGGCAACTCCCATTTCTGAACTGTTTCTGAATTTATTTTCAACCACATAGAAAAGAGAGAGAAAATGTGGAGAACTCCTATTCTGCCTTCAGCAACCTTGGACCGGAAGAGAAACATCACTTCTCTCCACATTTCCATTGGTGAGAACTCAGTCACATGCTCCCAATGGACTTACTAGCTCTATCTCAGGTTACAGTAAGAGTCCACTGGGACTTACTAGCGCTCTCTGTGTAGTCTGACTGTGTGCCAGAAAGAAGAAGTATAGCACTGTTTGGTTCAGAGACCCGTAATTCCAGCTACTTGAGAGGCTGCGGCAGGAGAATCGCTTAAACCCAGGAGGCAGAGGTTGCAGTGGGTCAAGATCACACCTTGAACTCCAGCCTGGGCGACAGAGTGAGAGTCTGTCTCAAAAAAAGTGTTTTATTCCTAAAAACTATTGACAGAATAGTCATTAAATTATTTGATTGTTAACTCTGTACTCCAGACATGACATATCATTGGTAATGATCTGTATTGTTCATAAAATTTTTTCTAGTGGAAATATAATGTGAGCCACATATTTAACTTAAAATATTCAAGTAGCAATATTTTTTAAAAGAAAAAGAAACAACTGAAATCAATTTAATGTTTTATTTAATTTGATATATTTCAAATATCATTGAAACATGTAATCAATATAAAATATTAATGACATTTTTAATAATCTTTTGTTGTACTAAGTCTGAAATTTAGTGTGTGTGATGGTTAATATTGAATGTCAACTTGAATGGATTGAAGAAAGCAAAGTGTTGATCCTAGCTGTGTCTATGAGGGTGTTGCCAAAGGAGATTAACATTTGAGTCAGTGGACTGCTAGAGGCAGACTCACCCTCAATCTGGCTGGGCACCACCTAATCAGCTGCCAGCGTGGCTAAAATAAAGCAGGTAGGAGAAGGTGGAAGAGCAGACTTGCTGAGTCTCGGCCTTCATCTTTGTCCTGTGCTGGATGCTTCTTGCCCTCAAACATCTGACTCCAAATTCTTCAGCTTTTTGACTCTTGGACTTACACCAGTGGTTTGCCACAGACTAAAGGCTGCACTGTTGGCTTCCTTATTTTTGAAGTTTTGGGACTTGGACTGAGATACTACTGGCTTCCTTGCTCCTCAGCTTGCTGACAGCCTATCGTGGAACTTCACCTTGTGATCATGTGAGTCAATTCTCCTTAATAAACGCCCTTTGATATGTACATCTATCCTATTAGTTCTGCCCCTCTAGAGGCCCCTGACCAATACAGTGTGTATTTTACACTTAGAGCACATCACAATTCATACTAGCTGCATTTTGAGTATTCAGTAGCCAGATGTAGCTAGTGGCTAGCATATTAGACAGCTCAGGTTTAAAACATGGATGAGTTGGTAAAATTTATATTGTTTATAACACAGATAGGAAGGAAGAAAATATGGTGTTCAGAACAACAGTTTATGAGAGCCAGGAAGGTTTATGCAGTAACTGTCTAAAGAAACCTGAAAACAACAACAAAAAAAAGTAAAGGCTGTGTATAAATATCAAGTTCAGCTTCACAAATAAACATAGATCCCTTTAAGACACTGTCTGAAACATTTATACAGGATTACTTTTGTTTATAATTTGCGTCAATATATTTTAGATTGCCTTGTTTACAGGGTGGAGAGTTCTTAATATAATAAGCCATCACAATAGCAAATGCAGTGACTTTTTGGCCTTGCAGAGAGGAAATCCTATACTATAAGGGGCTGCAGGACCTCAGGGTGTGGCCCTGTTATTCTGCAGAACATGCCAGTTAAAGTAGTCAAGGCTTAATTCAGAGCCAAAATAAAAACAGTGACTGCCTAGGTTGAACTTTGTGTGTTTAGAGGAGGAAGTCTGAGAATAGAGAATATATTTCATCAAATCACAAACTACATTCTTAAAATTTTATTTCATTTAAGATTCAGGGGGTACATATGAATGTTTGTTACATGATATTGCATACTGGTAGGGATTAGAATTCTAGTGTACCCATTACCCAAATATTGAACATGGTAACCAATAGGTAATTTTGCAATCCTCACCCTCTTCCCACTGACCCCCTTTTGGAGTCCTCAGTCTATTATTTCCATCTTTATGTCCGGATGTTCCCATTGACAAACCACGTCTATTAAGCACCTAACATATTCAGCTCACTTTTTTTTTCCCTCTAGGATTTATAGTTTCATAAACAAGTTACACAAACCAGTATCTAATCCACAACTAATCAAAGTATTTCAGAATGCTGTTCATTATTCTTTTTTTCCTTAGGGAGAGTTCAAGGCTCAGAATAAATCAAGTCCCTTTGTGTTAAGAAGCACATCAGCCTTTAACAAATGCAGAATTACTGGGAAAGGAGTAGTATACATAGGTAAGAGAAATGTAACCCTCTGATCTCTGTGCTGTGAATTTTTAAGCAAAGTCAGATAAATAGCTAAAGATATCAGAAAGTACTGGAATGTAAGACAGAGTGTTAGGACCCAGGGACATTGATTTATGTGAACCTGTGTCAAGGAGGATTTAAATTAAAATTGTTTGAGTCTTGAATCAATCATCCCAGCCTACCCTTGGGCATTCTTATTCATACCTTACAGTCTACCTGAGATGGTGCTTTTCATGCTCAAAATACTTTCATCATTAGCTTATTATTATTATGTATTTAATACATTAAATATAATATTTAATATTTAATCTTATTAAAAGAAAAATAAAAATCATGCCCAAAGTACATTTTGGTATTTTGAAACACAACCTAAGAATCTATTTTCCAGTCATCTTCCTGGAGCTAGCTGGATCATAGATTCAAGAATGGCTCTTGGAGGTCAAAGGTTCCAAACCATTCTCATTTTGTGAGAATAGTAAGTCACAGTCCATGATAGGATCTTGATACAACATTGCTAAATTCTACTGCATCCTGAATAGAGTGTGACATAATTGCCAGTATCATCCATATGGTTCCAAGTGAATCTTAACTGAATGCCAAAACCCAGAAGTTGTATGCTGAGTAGGTGTAAGATAAATGTCATTACCTGATCTGTGCAGTAGCCTCCCAGGCCTCTATGAGACATTAGTAGTGTTTGACTTGTTGTCATTAAAGACAAAAAAAGGAAACTTTATACAGTATGTAGTGGTTTTCCAGGTTCCACGCAGCACGCAGGTTGCAAAGTGAGCCCAGCCTTACACCTACCCCATTGCCCTCTCACTAATTATTCATCAAGCTTATTTCCCAATCTGACTCCTCATTTCCATAACCTATTTTCCTCTTCACCTTTCTACCTCTCTGCTCCAGTTTTTAATTTTTTTTCCTTTCTCATTCTCTAATGCAAAAGTACATTTTGTCCCTAGATAGCACATTTTATATATTCAGGTTAATATTATTAGACTAAAACATTCCTCTTTACTATCATTGATCCCTAAAGCAATCCTGAAATGGCAACCCATTTAAAGCAGAACTCCAGTCTAGATGCAAAGGCAAGAATCCCCCAGCTACAAAAGGGGTACACTTTTCATTGTATTTTCAATTCATGTTATTCATCTTAGAAGCTATAGAGCCTTTTAAGAGCCTTTAACTGTATTTCTAGTGTCAGAGAACATTTAACCAAAAAGGCAATCTCTTCCTTTACATTTATGTCAAATTAAGTACTTGGTGAAAGTAACAGCCCTGGACAGGGAATCATGTTCTCAGGTGCACGTTTCTAGCTTGATATTGGCTGTGGGCTCACAAGCAATTTATTAAATTTTTAAAGCCTTGGTTCCCTCATCTGTAAGATGGGAATCCTAAAATGCCTACATTACTATCACTGGGCAAGTAAATGACACAATACACAGTTCCTTGCACATAAGGAAGACTTAAGAAATTAGTCACATTATTATTAGCATTATTATTATCATTAATAATACATTAACATTTACATAATGAAAGATTCACCAGCTAAAAAATAAATCTCCATGCGATTGGTTCAGTGTCCAAAATACAGGCTGGAAAAGAGAATCAGAAGGCAGGTGCTGGTTTGTGAAACTACAAATCCCAGAGAATAACAAAGTGTGATGAATAAGTTACGTGGTTAATAAACGTAGTTTGTGATTTGGTTAAATACGTGCCCCATTCTCAGGGACTCGGAGAAGAAATTCTATTTTGATTATCCCAGTTTGAATAGGAAACACAAGATAAATGGTTGATTCTTTCCCTTTATTTACCAGTTTAGCACATCGAATGTGATTAATAAGTTCCATAAATCTATCTTAATTTATAGGCATTTTCATTTTATTCTCTTGATACCTATTTGTCAGAAAGACTGAATCATTAGATCTTTTGAGATCTTTAAAATTTCCCTCAGTCAGGATTTTTCTAATTGCATCCCTGTGGTGTCATTAGGAGATTCCCATGTTCTCTATTTTTTCTGTCAACTGTTAAATCTAAGGCATGATCCGATTCAGATTTGATATTTTTTTTGCAAGGCTACCTTAGAGATGATGCACTGTTCCATCAGAAGTCACGTTGTCTCTCTTTTATTTTATAAGCTGTAATTGATGCCATGGTCTTGAGCCCTAATGGGGATCACTGGGGCTGGGGAAGAATGAGAAAAATATTGCAATTCTATCATTTCTTCACTTATTTCTTAAAATATTTCTATAATGAGAAACTTTCCCTTGCTTTCCATTTGGTTACTTAATGGTACAACATAGGAAACATAGGGTAAATGCTTAATCCTTCTCCCAACTTCTAAATTTTAAAAAGAATAAATTGGTTCTCCGCATTCTGAAGCTAGTACATTTTGTTGATGGTAAGCTTTCTTTTTTTTTTTTGGATAAGTATTATTATGAACCCATTGATTTAAATGTATTTAGTATTAAAGTCATTGCAGCTTACATCTTTATTGATAATCAGATTGCTTCATCTTTTTATGAAGTTGCATTTATTGTAATATATGGATACAGGTCCAGTTACTGAAAGAATAATCAGACAAAAATCAGCAGATAAAAAGAAATTGTAAAAATGATGACTAAGAGTTTACGTAGTCTTATATATAAAACACTGCTCAAACAACTATAGAATATATGGTTTTTCTTGTATAATTGGAATTGTTTTCTCTTTTGCCAGTGGATCTTCTTTAGGTTGATTCCTGAATCTTTTTAACACTACCTTAATAGTGTTTAATAGCCTCCTTGGTAAAATATTTCAAACTCATCTTGTACATTTCCTGTCCCAGGAATTGTGGTTTGCTTTAGTGGGAAATAGTATTTCAGAATAAAAATCCGAGTGTTAGAGGGCTTATTACTCTTTGGTTAACCATGGTTTCTAGGCCTTTTCATTAGACTAAGCTAGGAATTATTTTTAAGATAAATCACATCAAAATCCCTACTATATCTTCCAATTTAAATTCAAGACTACAGGATTTTTACTTAACCTCTTCTATCTTATTTCTGTGTCTCCTTTCTCCTATTTTGAGGATGACAAACCTGGCTCTCAAGGACACAGGGATAACTGAATTAAGCCATCACATAGCTACTCATTTGTCTGTTTCCAGATTATCACACAATAGTGGTAGAATAAAACACCTACTCGACCTGCAGTATTACTACAGTCACGTTACTGGGTTTTAAAACCATTTAGAATACTTCTTCACCATGTGGCTATCCCACAAACTGAACATACATTTGTGGTTTTTCTTAGTTGATAGAGATTTTTCAATTGAATTGAGTTTTTAATTTTGTGAAATATTTATGTGGTTTTAAAATCAAATTTATCAATCTAGCATATTTAAAGAAATCTAGCTTGCATCCCTATTCCCTCTACCTATTCCTTCCACTCTCTAGAAGTAACCATTTTTCTAATGTTATGGGTGTTTTTCTTTATTGTTTTATTTTGCATAGCCTACTAAGATAAATGTAGCACATTTTCCTCACCTTGCTTTTCTCACTTCACAATATATCCTGGACGTAAATTTATAGTAGTATAGGGATATTTTCCTCATTTTTTATAGCTGCATAAAACCCCCACTAGATGGTTGTGACATGGTCTACTCAACCAGTTCCCTATTGACTTACACTTACAGCAGTTCCAGTCTTTTGCTAGAATAAAACTTCCTTTAATAAAGATCTTGGGCAAATGACTTTTACAATTTACGCTAGTGTAACTTTGGAATTAATTCCTGGAAGTGAAATTGCCACATCAAAGGGTAAAATGCATATGTAATTTGTTAGATACAGTCATGCATCACAACGACAGGGATATGTTCTAAGAAATGTGCCATTAGGTGATTTTGTCATTGTGTGAATGTCAGAGTGCACATATACAAACCTAGATGGTATAGCCTACTACCTATGTAGGCTATATAGTATAGCCTTTTCCTCCTTGGCCTCATAACTGTACGTCATATTACTATACTAAATACTGTGGGCAATTGTAACACAATAGTAAGCATTTGTGTATCTAAACATATGTAAACTCAGGACAGGTACAGTAAAAATACAGTATAAAAGATTAAAAAACGGTACACTTGTATAGAGCACTTACCAAGAATGGAGCCTGCAGGATTGAAAGTTGCTCTGAGTGAGTCACTAAGTGAGTGGTGAGTGAATGCAAAGGCCTAAGACATTACTGTATACACTACTGTAGACTGCAAACATAGTACACTTAGGGTACGCAAAATTTATTTTTAAATATCAAGTAATCGAGCTACAATGTTATGACAGCTATGATGTCACCAGGCAATAGGAATTTTTCAGTTCCATTGTAATCTTATGGGACCACTGTTATATTGGCAGTTTGTTGTTGATCAAAATGTCATTATGGGGTACATTACCGTATCTCCAAACTCTCTGCCATAGGCATTGTACCATTTTGCATTCACATTGGCAGTGTATGACAGTACCTATTTTCCCACAGCCATGCTAATAGAGCCTATTGGCAAACTTTTGGATTTTTGCCCATTAAATAGGTGAGAAATTGTATCTTGGTTAGTTTTTATTTGCGTTTCTCTTACTATGAGCCAGTTTGATCTTTATTCCATAGGTTTAAATGCAGTTTACATTGCATATTTTTGAAGTTTCCATTTATCTAGCTCATTTTTATTGGTCTTTTCTTTCTCTAGTTATTTAAATATCAAAAATGTTTGTGAGATTAACTGCAAATGTTTTCTTCAGTTGTCATTTGTCTTGATTTGCAAAAAATTTATCTATGTGTTTATGTGTGTGTATATGTATATGTGTTTGTGTATATGTGTGTATATATTTATATACACACAGAGATAGATACATATATAGGCATACATATATGCACATATATACACACACATATATATACATGCACATATATACACATATAAATATATAATTTACCTTTATTGCTTTTGGATTTAGAGTCTTAGTTACAAAAGTCTTACCCACTTCTATTTATAGAGAAATTCACCCATATTTCCTCTTGTTTTTGTATTGTTTTATATTCTTACATTTAAATCTCTTATACTTGTACAAGTTATCTTGGTATATGGTTTGAGGAATGAATCCAATTTTATCTTTTTCTATAAACTAACTAGTTATTTGGACATCACTTATCTTACAAGTTCACCTTTCTTTTATCATTTGAGATGTCATCTGTGGTATACAAAATAATGGCCTTCCAAATATGTTTATGCCCTAATTTATGGAACCTATGAATATGTTTACATGGCAAGGGGAAATTAAAGGTGCAAATGGAATAAAATTTGTTAATCAGCTGACATTAAGGATTATCCAGGTGGGCTCAATGTAATCATAGGCGCTTTTGAAATTAAAGAGGGAGGCAGAGGAGGAGGTCGGGTTCAAGGAAGAGTTGCAGATGCTGCTGTCTTTGAAGCACCTTTGAAGGAAAGGACCATGAGCCATCAGATGCAGGAGGCCTATAGAAACTATGAAAAGCAAGAAAATGGATTCTCCCTTAGAACTTCTGGAAAAAAATGTAGCCCTCCAGACACCTCGATTTTAATCCACTGAAGACTGTTGCAGAGTTCTGACCTGCAACACTGTAAGACTGATAAATCTGTGCTGCTTTGAGTCACTACATTTGTGGTAATTTGTTATGGCAGCAATAGGAAACTAACATATCATCTTTATTATAAACTACATTTAGGAATTAATTTGGATTTACTTCTGATTTTCTATCCTATCCCATCAGTCAGTCTGCTTTTCCACATGCCGTTTAAGACACTGTTTTAATTATAGAAATTTTATTATAGATTTTAACATCTGCTGGGGATGCCACCCTCCCCCTTTCCTCTCTGGAGTTTTCCTGGCTATTCTCACTTGCATATTATTCCAAATGAAGTTTACAATCCATTTGTCTGACTCCAGGAAAAAAAAAAAAGAACTTGATGGAATTCTTAGGAACCAATAATATTTTTGGGAAAAGTTCATGCTTGCTTTAGGCTAGAGGCTCAGTGACCCTAAAAGTGATTCACATAAGGAGAAGAGAGTACCTAGTATAATATGCCATAGCCATAGAAATGAGAAAACAATTACTTGACAGTCATATGCAAACAAATAACTTTTTTATTATCAAGACTTTGTAAATGTTAAATGAACCAATCGCACTTAAGAAAAAAAATAATTGGCCCACATGATTAAAATTCCCAAATGAGCTGGATGTGGTGGCTCAAACCTGTAATCTCAGCACTTTGGGAGGCCGAGGCGGGCAGATCACCTGAGGTCGGGAGTTCAAGACCAGCCTGACCAATATGGAGAAACCCCATTTCTACTAAAAATACAGAATTAGCCAGGTGTGGTGGTGCATGCCTGTAATCCCAGCTATTCGGGAGGCTGAGGCAGGAGAATCGCTTGAACCCAGGAGGCAGAGGTTGCAGTGAGCCGAGATCATGCCATTGCACTCCAGCCTGAGCAACAAGAGTGAAACTCTGTGTCAAAAAAAAAAAAAAAAAATCCAAATGAAGTTGGGTGCAGATACTCAAATGACATCAGAAACAGATCTCCATCTCTGGTCCCTTTGGTCCATACTGTTGTCTTCCTACTCAAATGCCCTCTCCATGAACTGGGGCCGTGTAACTACAGACATGCACTTGACCAACTTAGCAACTCCTGAGGAAAAAGATTCTCTTCCTCAATAGTTCTTGTAAAAGTTAAAAATTAAATCTCATTAGTATAACTTTCTTCACATACTAACCCCTCAGCCAATCACTATGGCCAAAAGAATAAAATAATCTGATTGAATAGTTCTGGGTCATGAACCCACTCTTAAGCTGTGGATGGAGTCAACACTTCCTAACTCCAGAGGTGAGAGTTAGGGAGAGGGATTCCCCAGAAGGAAAAGCCAGAACACTGTGATCAGAAAAAGGGTGAATGGATATAGGATAGGCACAAAGCACCATTATGATCACTTTAATTGTCACTGGGTGAGGTGGGGACAGGGGAAAGGAGTAATTAAACTTGCTTAGGAGCTGATCAACTGTCAAAATGTAAAGGACACACAAAAGTCCCTGTTCTGAATTTAGATAGAGATGTAGCCAGTCTTAGCAAACACAGGCTGCAGAGTATCTGGCTTCTTCAGGAGAGCTGGTGCCTTCCCAACTGTGTGTCCTAAGCCAGCTTGGATAGTCTACTAGATTCATTGGATAGTTTCAACCTAGTGAAGTTAAAATGGAAAGTAGGGTTGGAAGATTAGAATATGAAGTGTACTCAGGAGAAAAATCTGGCAAGGAAGTACAGAAAGATTTCAGATAGTTATATTTAAGAAGAATCCTAAAGGTTAATAATCTTATTTCCAAGTAAAGAAAAAAGAGAGTTTTTCAGGGGAAAAAAAAAAAGCCATGGCAAAAATGAAAGGACATGGTATGTTTAGGGAGCACTGGAAATTCCATGCTGCTGCTGCAGAGCTTTTACATCAAGACGTCGGGACCCAGGGCTAAAAAGCAGAAGGAGGATCTTTCGTGCCAAGTGAATGAGTTTGCACCTGATTCTGGAGCATCATAAGTTGGTTTTGAAAAGACAGAATTATAATTAGATTTTGTTCAAGAAGGACAGCCATTTTGAGCACATAAAACTGGGTTGGGCAGGAGGAATAAAAGCAGAAGACCTATGAAGAGTCTATTATGGTAGTTCTCAGCAACAGAATGAGAACTTTAAAGAGAGCAACAAGAGTTGTGGAAGAGAAGAGGAGAAAGATTAGGACATCTTTATTTTCCAAAGAGTTTTCCAAGGAGCACTAGTTTAGTTGGATGTTAGGGTGTTATGTTTAAAAAAAAAAATTCTGTAGCCAAATAAATTGCAGACACCTAGTTTACTGCATGACTTTTCAGAACATATAATAAACTAACGTGTAGATGTAGATTTCCTGCAATAGTAACTTTGCTGATTTCTTTCATTGTGGATATTATGCTAAACAGGTGGCTTTTTTTTTTTTTACCACTCTTGGATTAGAGTAAAAACAAAAGGTGATAAGATATAAAACATATGATAAATAATATAAGAAGTAATATTAAGATAGATAAGACAAATAGCATATATAATTTATATATGCTATTTATTAAATATAAATTAATATTAGATTTGTTAAATATACTATTATTTATTCAATATAAATAAGATACTTAAGTGTGACCCTTTCCACTAAGATGTTTGATGGGACAACCTGTAGCAGGTGTGTAAAGGGAGCCTAACAGCCAGATTGCAATAACTTGAAGTTGCAGATTTTGTAGGGGTATTAAGAACTGCAACATTTTATTCAGGAAAACTCATCTTTTTTGCCAGACCCCCTTTTATCTGGCACCAGGGCCCTGATGCCTCACCAAAAGCTAACATTTTTGATAGCATGCACAACAAAGATTTCTCTTTTTTTAACCTTTGTTTTAAGTTCAAGGGTATATGTGCAGGTTTTAAACAGGTAAACTGCATGTCACAGGGGTTTGATGTTCAGATTATTTTGCCACCCAGGGAATAGACATAGTGCCTGATAGGTATTTTTTCTGATCCTCTCACTGCTCCAACCCTCCACCCTCAAGTGGGCCCCCGTGTCTATTGTTCCCCTCTTTGTGTCCATGTGTTCTCGTTGTTTAGCTTCCACTTATAAGTGAGAACATGCAGTACTTGATTTTCTGTTTCTGCATTGGTTTGCTTAGGATAATCATCTCCAGCTCCATCCATGTTGCTGCGAAAGACATGATCTCATTCTATTTTGTGGCTGCATAGTTTTCCATGGCATATAAGTTCCATGTTTTCTTTATCCAGTCTACCATTGATGGGCATTTAGGTTGGTTCCATGTCTTTGCGATTGTGAATAGTTACAACAGAGATTTTTAAGGAAAGCAATGTGAGGTGTTACCGCCACCTACCCTATCATCCCAAATAAGTTGCACTTCCCCAGTGGTAGCCAACATCGAAGATGGCCCTTCTGCCAATGATCCTTCAAACAACAGCCAGTGAGGAAGTGAAGGCTCTTGCAAATAGTCAGAAGAGTGATCTTGGTGCATGACATTGAATCTCAATCAAGCTTTGAGAGTTGTCAGCCTTTATCTACATCTTTATGGTGACCTCATAAGAGGCCCTAAGCCAGACCACCCAGTTAAGTTGTTTCTGAATTCTTGACTTTCCAAAACAGTGAGATAATAAATACTTGCTTAAGTATCCCTCTAAGTTTTCAAATAAGTTTTACAAAGCAGCAGATAGTTAACACACCATCTAATAATATTTTATTATGTAGGAGATACTCATACAATATTTCCCTTATTGCAGCCCACTCAGATCTGTACCCTCCAGCAGTGTCTTAGGTCCTGGAACTACTCTTGCCAAGGACCGTAACACAGATACTCTGCTGTCTCTCTCTTCCTTGGTCTGTCTATAGTATTTAACAGAATTGACTATTTTCTTCAAGAAACATTTTCTTTCCCTGGTCTTCTTGGTATTATACATTCCTGGTGTTTATTCTAACTCACTGTTGGTCTTTCTCCATCTCCTTTTGAGTAAAGCTGATATGGAAATTTCAGCTGACAAGTGGAGAGAAAGACAAAAGCCAGGTTATGAAGGATCATTTATATCAGATTGTAAGTTTGGACTTTAGTTCTCCAGCTAGTCTTTAAATATGGGCTCATTCTTGTTCCTGTCCTAAGCCCTTGTGTGTCTCTTCTCACCCTTTATCTTCCTTCTGGGGTTATCTCAGCCATTCTCCCTAGAATGCACACTATAAGAGGGTAGAAATTTTTTATCTGTTCTTCTCTGCCAAATCCGCAGTGCCTAGAACAGTGTTTCTCACACAGTAGGCATTCAAAAACTAACTGAATGAATGAGTGGATACAATTACCATCTACATTCTGATCACTCCCAAATCTAACCCCCAGCTTAAAGCCCTCACTGAGTTCTAGACGAATGTATTCTACTTCCCACAGTATACTTCCATTTGAATGGCCAATAGAAACCTTTAACCAAGCCAAAATTAAACTCGTCATCTCCCCATCCTCATCATCCACTTTTTGTGTTCTTTTTTTAGTTATTGGCACCACAATCCACCACCCAAACATAAATCTTGGCCATCATTGACCATTTCTTCTCCTTCACCTCCTATATCAAATTGATCACCAATCTTGTGATTTGAAAATCTTGGAAGTTGGAAATATTTGATTCTCAAAATTATTTTTCAAACTCTTTTTCTCTTCATTCACATCCTCATCCAGTTATGGTCATCTTTTTCCTGGATGCTTACAATAGTCTTTTAACACCTAACCACTTCATATCCCTCTCATCCATTCTCCATGCTACAGCTAAAGTGATAGTTAAAAATGCAAATCTGACCTTGTTACATGTCTACCTAAAAGCTGTAAATGGCTTCATATCAGTCAGGATAGGATAGGCTAATGCTTCTGTTACAAAGACAAAATCTTAATAATTTAAGACATAAAGTTTATCTTTCATTCATGCTTAGATCAGGGACTTTTTCAGGCAGCTGTCTTTATCATCAATCCAGATTGGGTCAATTTCATGGCTCTAACATTACAGAGCTTCTATGTTCAATGCTGGGGGAGAGAGGAATGCAAAGTCTCTCAAAGATATTCATTAGCTTGGTATATGTGTTAGTTTCCTATTACTGCTATAACACACTGCCATAGCATAGTGGCTTAGAACAACATGAATTTATTATCTTACATGTCTCGATATCAGAAGTCTCAAATGGATCTCACTGGACTAAAACTCCAGGTGTCAGCTAATCTCTTCTGGACACTCTAGGAAACAATCCATTTCCTTGCTTTTTCTGGCTTCTAGAAGCTGCTTACATTCATTGGTTCAAGACTCATCCCTCTGTCTTCAAAGCCAGTAATACAGCACCCTCAAGTCTCTCTCTCTCTCTCTCTCTCTCTCTAATTCTCTGTCTCTGTCCCTCTGTTTGTGTCCTATGATTCTGTCACCACTTCTCCTTCATGTCAGGATGCTTATAATTACATTGGGTCCATCAGATAATCCAAAATAGCCGCTTCATCTCAAAATCCTTAACTTAATCACATCTGCAAATACTGCAAAGTTACTATACCCATGTCAGGTAACACATTCACAGGTTCTGGAGTTAGGATATAAATATTTCACAGAGAGGTGGTGAACCATTGTTTACCACAGTCCATATTGCTACTTACAATCTGTTGGCCAGAACTCAACACTCCTCCGCAACTACAAGGGTTCTGGAGAGTGTAAGACTTCCATGTGGCCAGGAAGGAGAAGAGAACCAGACACTGGTGAGCATTAGTAATAGCTACTCCAGACTTCCACTGCTCTTAAAGTTGAAACAGTTTGTCTGGCTCAGTAGGTCTTGCAGAATCTTGCCCACCCCATCCACCCCACTCTATCTGATCTAAACTACTCACAGTTCCTCAAATACACTGCCTGTTCACTATCATCCCAAGGTGTTCACACATGCTACTCTCTTCCACCCTGCCTCGAGAACTTTTTTCTCTCATCTAATTGTTATTTTTCCTTCAAGTTTCTGATATAAAATTTTACATATTATTACAAGCACTAATTTCACTAAATTGTTTTTGTTTGTTTAAATAAAGATTTCTTAGTTATTTAAAAGATTAAATTTTCTTCTGATTGTAATAACAGCAACATTTTCATTATTATAATAACGGATATGTCATAATGGAAAGATACTTCTGAAGCAACATGACCCCAGTATCCCAAGATTAGTTGTTTCACTAATGCCAACTTTAGTTCCTTCATCAATAATAACTTTAATTATCCCATGTTAGAACAGAATGCCAGGCAAACTAGAGAGATCTCCTTCCCCTCAAATGATTAAATAGAGGCTAGATCTCTCATTTCTATTAGTCTAATTCAGTCCTTCCATCAAACTTCTAGTCACTGAGATTCAAAATACTGGTTAAGTATTCCCACTCCTGTATGCCCATGCCAATAATGAGGTAAAGGTTTTTGCCATCTCTTCCTTTGTAAACTGGGGGCCTCTGCTCTAGCTGAGGTCCTATTACCTATTAATCCACTCCCCAACTCCCCTCCCTGTATCTCATGACCCTTCACTATTCTTTCCCCAATCTCCTTTGCATACAGATCTTTTATTAGCTATATTATCTTCATGCAGGTCAACATTTGAGGCCACGCATGCTCTTCTTCAGCTGAATTCTCCAGATTTGACAATGACAAGATCAAGCTAGCTTTGCACGTTTTCCTACACATGTTATTCATTGGCCCTTGCCTGCCCCTACCACCGCTACCAATCCACCTCAAATGTAATACACTAAGTATAAACAGAGTGTTTATTTTGTAAATGAAACATCAAGTTAACAACCTTTAGCAACCTCTTGCAACCCTTCACCATATTTCTACCCCAGACCCTTCTTTATATGGAAATTTTCTATGTATCTGTCCCTTCTTTCCATTACTTCTCTTCTTATATATTAGGTTCTAACTAACCTGGACTATTCATGGTGCAGTGAATTGGACACCTTTTTCTCATACCTAGAGTTATTTTCTCACATTGATTCCACAGGTAGTGATGCGGTTAAGAGCATATGTGTGCTATCCACACTGCCTAGCATCAAAGGCCTGCTCTGCCATTTACTTGGGTTGTGGTCTTGGGCAAAGTTAATTGACATCTTTGTACTTCCGTTTCCTTATTTGTAAAAGGGAGATAATAACAAACCTAATTTGTAGAGCTTTGTGAGGATTAGATGAGAGAAATTTATGTGAAACCTTACCACGTTTGTTGTCACCAAGAAATGCCTAATTTCACTGGTGATTATTATAAGATACTTTTTTCTTGATTTTCTGTTCTCAAACTCCATCTTTTTAAAATCCTTTGTAACTTCTAACGTTCAGTTCATATACCTGCCATCTTGATGGAAATACACTCTTCAACTAGATACCTTCTTCTACACATGCATGCACACATATATACACCCTATTGTCAATGTCATCCAAATAAATATGGCAGCCAAGTAGAGTCTAGGGAGAATTAAGGCAGCCACAGTCTCTAGAATCAGGTGACGTCAAAAGTGCAAGGAACTGTCAAGATTTCTGATTGACTTCAATTGATCCAATGGGAAAGCAGGATAGCTACAGCAATAAGGAGACATACTCCAGGATGCCTGAGAAAGAAGACATAAGAAGGGTGGTGCTTTGCAAGTATTAATGGGCATATGAATCATGCCAGAGGTCTTGCTCAGAGGCAGATTCTGATTCAATGGCTCTGATAAGGATATAAAATGCTTCATTTCTAACAAGTTCCCAAATGATACCATGCTTTCAGTCCTCCAATCCTCCTTCAGTAGCAGGGCTCTAAAGAGAGTGAGGTTGCAATCCAGAAAACTCAGGAAAATCACCACCAAAACTTGTGGATCAGCAAGACAAAGATTGAGAGAACTGAGCAATAACAGCATAACGGCAGTGAGAAAGGAACATGAACCAAGAGACCACAGTCAAAATCAAGGTTAGACACATTAAGGAAATTACATGGTCATTATGCCAGTGGCACAGGGCATCTAGAACTGTGTCTGGAGTCACAGTCGAGGACAGAAAAGCAGATTCCAGAGAACTGAGTAGACAAACACATTGACCGTGACAAATTTCTCATACCAGCTACACACAAATCCTACCTCCTTATGGCAAAGCAGTGGAGTATGGTGGAAATAACTCTGTACTTGAAAACAAATACAAGTCAGATAGAGCCTAGACCCTGACACTAGCTGTGTGAATTCTTTGAGGACCCATTTTCTCATCCCCAAAGAGGGGGAAAATAATGCCTTCTTCAAAAGACTGCTGCAAAGGGCCAGGCATGATGGCTCTCACCTGTAATCCAAGAACTTTGGGAGACCAAAGTGAGCTGATTGCTTGAGCCCAGGAGTTCGAGACCAGCCTGGGCAACATGGCAAAGCTTTGTCCCTTGAATAAATACAAAAATTAGCCAGGTATGGTGAAAGGCGCCTGTAGTCCCACGTACCCAGGAGGCTGAGGTGGGAGGACGACTGAAGCACAGGAGGTCGAGGCTACAGTGAGCCATAACTGCACCACTGCACTCTAACCTTGGCAACAGAGAGAAAAAGATCCGTCAAAAAAAAAAAAGAGAGAGATTTCTGAAAGATTAGGTAAGACAATTCTTTCACTGAGTGGGAGGTTACTTAGATAATCTCTAAATTCCTTTCTAAGAATCAAATTACATATCTATGATTACCATGAAGATTACCATTGCCTCACTTAAAAAAAATCACCATCATCTCCTACTATAACAAAACTCAGAAGTCTTGCCTAAGTTTCTGCTGGGGAAAAAATAAAAAACTGTTTTAGCTAATTCATTATCAGGTAGGAGATAACAGTATCCTAAAATGAGAGGTTGCAAAGTCCAGGCAGGTAACTTCAAGTGTCCAGCATTAGGCAGGAACTGGAGATCCCTAAAGGATGCCTGTCCTTTCACAAGATTGTCACCAAGAAAGAAAGGGGGTGTGGTTTCAACACAAAAAAGAGAAATTTACTGGAAAACCTCTTAATTGTTAAATGTTGGCAAATAACGGAAATACTAAAACACTTGTTTGGGCCGCACGAAACCTTATCTGCAGACTCAATTCCTGCCCTGGGCCAACAATTTTTTCCCCTTCCATCTTTGCCTTAATCCTTCGAGGAATTCATGCATTTTAAAAGAGGACAAAGATATACTTAAAAAGCCTCTGAATAGTAGATTTTCAAGCAATTCTAAAGTAAAGAATATGAGACTTTTAGAGCACAGCACATTTTCAGCACCCTTAAATCGGGTCATGTAGACATATTTTTAAACTCTGCCTATTTGTATTTTATGCCTAGCAAGATAACGTGGCTCTGCATTGTTAGACACTCTTGGCTAAGGGTTAGGGAGACCTCAGATGACCGGATTTTATAAACAACCCCCAGATTCTCCCAGATCCCTTTTTTTTTTTTTTTTTTTTTTTTACTTAAAGGAAAGACCATTTTCAAGCTTTGTTCAGTATTCATTATTCACAACTCTTTTGCGTGGTTTATTCCATATAATTAATTAATTGATCCGCTTGTTTGTTTGTTTGTTTTGAGTGTTTACTGAATACTAAGCACTGTTTTAGGTGCTGAAGAAAGAGCAGAAAGTACCATACTCAAGAGTGGAGTAGGGACATTAATAAAGAAGTAAGTAAATCAGTAAATAAACAATTTCAGAAAGTTATAAGTCCTGTGAATAAAATAAAATAGAGTGGTGTGGGAAAATTACATGTTTTGAAGGGTGGGCAATCTATTTTAAACTGTGCTCACAAAGGCCTATCAGAGGAAGTGACATTTAATCTGAGACTGAAGGATATGGAAAAACTAGCATGGGACGACCTGCAAGAAGACCATTCCAGGAAGCAGAACCCTAAGATGGAAGAAGTATGAATTCTTCTGGGAAAAGGAGAAAGCAGGTGAGGATAGTATACGGTGAATGAGGAGACAGCAGGTGCAACTGAGCTGAAGAGAGGGGCGGACAGCAGGCACTTCACGTGGGCCCAACAGGAAGGGGCTTGGATTTAGTTAGAGTACAGTTCAAAGCCAGTGGAAAGCTACAAAGGGAGAAACTTGGTATAATTTACATTTCTGGGTGATCACTTAGGCCACTGTGCGAAGAATGGATTGGAGAGCATCAGGATAGAGGTAAGGGACCCATATTTCAGACTATTGCTAAGTGCAGGCGAGAGGCAGCAGATCATAATGGCTCAAACTAGGGTTGTATCAGCAGAGCTGTTGCTATGTTCAAGTTCCTTAAGAAATGCACTGTTAAAGTAAATGTATGTGTGTGTGTGTGTGTGTGAGTGAGAGAGAGAGAGAGACAGAAATATCTACCAAGACCAGTGGTAAGGGGAGTGGTTATTTTGGTGAAAAATAAAAATAAAAAAGGTCACATTTTTCCAAACTTACTTGAACATGAACATGGAATCGTTTTCTCCATAAAACATCTCTTGGGACTTGTATACTCCAAAATACACTTTGCAAAAACATTTGTCAAAGTACAATTTTCAAAAAGTTAAAAGCATAGTGTTCATGTATTCAACTCATTAATTCGGGAACCAGCATATGGTAAAACTGGTTCAAAGAGCATTTGAAGAACTGGTTATCTACATGTATTTGAATACTTTTGCTAATAGACACAAAACTGATTAATATCTTCCAGCGCAATAATCTTTGTGATATTTTTCTATTCTGTGGCTGAGAAATCATTTGTATCTACACTGACACTATTATCCAAGTATAATGTTTAATAGTATCTTGATTTAGAAGACAAATTGTATGTTTTGTTCTAATTTATTAAGTGAGCATGTAAGCTAGCAAAATTTAGACCTATAATCTAGATTAAAAACCAAATCCAACAAAGCTACATTCCCTTGGCTAGACCTATTAACCAGTGTTTCCCTACAACATAAAACTTTGAAAACACATGCTGGCCTCCCAAGTTTGCAATGATGTTTTCTTAATAGACACGCTTATGATCATAAAAAATCTCCAAAGATTATATTTTATTCCTCATGAATCAAAATGATTATGTATTGTTTTCTGGTCCTTTCATTTTCATATATACAACACCAAGTGTTCACTTGCTTGAATGCATAGAGCCATACAGTGTTAAAAACTACTAATGCCAGATAATTATCTTTCATGTGAAAATTTGTATAAGGAATCTAGGGTTCCACTTTCAAAAACCTCTATGTTTTTTGCTTTTTTATCCTGAGCCTACAAAACCAACCCCCAAAAAATTACCTCCATGAGTTTCACCTGCAGTACCTATCATTGTGGTCAAATTTCTTTCTTTTCAATATCCCCATAATCTGTTGACATTCCTGGACTGCCAGAAAGTGACCTAGGGAAGGCAGAGCTTCACTTATGTTTTGATTATTTTTTCCCTGTAGGACAATTATGGTAATCATCCCAGTAAGACAGCTCTTACTGTGATGTTGAGTTATTTAAGAAATATCAGACATATTAAACATACCTAATCATTTCTAGTATCTATAATAAATTTTGTGATTCCTCTCAGATTCTTTGGGAAATCTCTACAATCATTTTAAGTATAAGAGATACATTGCTTTTTCTTTCTGCTGAGGTTAGAGTTTGATCTTGGAAGGCAAAAACAAAAAAGTTCTTAAAATAGATGTGGTCATTTTATTAAAATAAGATTATAGATACTTAAAGAGAATAAATCATGGAACTTTGGCTATTTATTAATCAGAAAAACAATATATTTTGTTAAATATACAATTGTAAGGAAACAATTCTTTTAAGTAAGGAGCTTTTTTGTTTTATTTAAATAATAATTTTACATAGGATATCTGTTCTCTGAGTGGAATGGACAAAAGATAAAGGATAAACTTATATTATGTTTGTAAAGAGCAGAATATGACAAGACACACTCATCATTTTGAAAAAGAGAAAACCAAATCTAGTGTTGCACAAATATAATACTTGGCAGTAAAGGATCGTTAAGTGTCTTCTTTTTCAATTATCTTTTGAGAAAGTCCCTCAAAACTAAATAAATTTAAGATATTTTGTGACTTCTCTTTCAGATTCATTATTTTCAGATATAATAACAAGCCTTCTACAACTTTCTATATCCATACAAATTTTGTCTCTTGCTGTTCTCTTTCATATTTCAAACAACCTGACACTTTTCCTTTGGTCAAAACTGCCCTTTTTAACCCTTGATAAAAAAAAGCACATACATTAACGTGGTATTCAGTCAAACTTCTTTGTCACTATTTTTCCTAACATAATCTCGATTGCCCACATTAATTATACTTTTTAACTAGATTGACAGACTACTTTTTCACAGAGAGAACTAGGAGACAGGAAAGAATTGATAACTGTGTGTCATACACAAGCATGTCAGTATACTAACAGAGCTCACGAATAGAGAAGAGTAAGAATCTCTGTTGAGATAGTATAGTACCACTCCCAACAGTGACCATTCCTTTCACACTCTCTTACAGTGGCAAAAATAAATACATTTGTTAATATGATTCAAAACTACGGCAACTCTATAAAATATATAGATAAGGGGCAAAATTTTATATGTATGTGTATATATATATATATGTATAATACATGTAAACAATGTTTGGTGACCAATGTTTTAGTATTCTATAAGTTTTCCAAGATTAATTAATTTGATCTAATTTCAGTTTAATAATTTAAAATTAATTAGATATTTTGGAAATTATATTTAAGCTGATGCACTGCGGAACCCAATAATTATTTATGTAAAAACATTTGTCAAATATAATTCAATTTAGTTGAACACATAATTTTACATTTTACTTAATTTTAAACATTGTGTAGAAGTAATGTTGGCTTATCTGATTGGTAAAATAGTTTAAGAATATTAAAGAGTTCAGATTAACTAAATTTTTAAAACCCCAATGTTAGACACAGGGAAGGAAACAATACACACTGGGTCCTGTTGGGGAAGGTGTGGGGGGAGGGACAGCATCAGGAAAAATAGCTAATGCATGCTGGGCTTAATGCCTAGGTGATGGTTTGATAGGTGCAGCAAAGCACCATGGCACATGTTTACCTATGTAACAAACCTGCAAATGTACCCCAGAACTTAAAAAAAAACCCTCAAAAGCCATACATAAAATCATTGATAAGGTTGACTCAAACAAACAAACAAAAAAACCCCAAATATTATATAGAATACAATGTAGGTATTATGCTCTGTGTTAATAAAGTCAGGAAAAAGACACATAGCTATTTTTTTTAATTATTAAAGCAGCTTCGGTCCAAATACCCACTTTAATTATTTGAACTTAGACTATTAATTAAAATGTAAAATATAAGTATATAAAACATGGAGACTTTAGTTATGTCATATATATATATATATATATATATATATATATGTATGTATGTATTTGTGAATCTCTATCAACCAATCAGAACAGAGTTCCTATACTGAGAAACTCTATGGCTTAATGTATTACTGTCCTCTAGCAATAAAAAATATTTCACATTCACATGATGAAATGGGTTCGCGTTTTAGTAGCTAGAGACATCAACTATCATTTATTTGTATTACAAATCTATGGTTTGGGCAGAATTTGGCAGGGAAGGCTCCATGCATTGTCATTTGGGGTGGCTTAGCTGGAGTATGGAGGATCCACTTCTAAGAGCTCTCACTCACGTGGCTGACAAGTCAGTGTTGGTTGCTGGCTGTTGGCTGTGACCTCAATGAAGGCTGAGAGATGGGGCCTTGGTTCTTCTCCATGCGGGTCTGTCTATATGAGCGGCTTGGGCTTCCCCACAGCATAGTGCTTGGTTCCAAGCATAAGAACAACTGTATTGTCTTTTATGACCTACCTTCAGAAATTCCTCAGTGCCACTTAAACCTGAGTGCAAAATCTGCTCCAATTTAAGAGTATGGAACATAGATCTTGCCTCTTAATGTGAAGAGTGTCAAAGTCATGTTGTAATAACATGTTGGATGGAAGATATGGTGGTAGTCATTTTTTGAAAAATAGAATCTGTCAAAAGAGGTAAAGACTTTTCTCAAATACAGTCACATAGACACACAGATAGCTTATAGCTTTCACTGCACAACCTCAGCCATGGATCAAAAGAAAAAAACAGAACACAGAAAAACACTTGTCCAGGTATCGGAAGTTCTTCTCCTTCCCAGAGGAACTAAAACATTTTCTCATATAATTGGAGTTCACAGATAATCAACCAAACAGAAAAGGCTAACAAACAAGATTCTCTGTCCTCTCCTTCCACCACCCAACTGAGAGCTCTAAAAGATTAGACCATAAAACCAGATTTCTCATCATTCCTGACACCAGTGCTTCTGAACTACTAAGAGTAATTTTTACCTTGCATGAGTAAAAGTTGCCTTAAGTACATTCTCCGAAAAATAGTGTATTTGAATTTCACAATTTAGCCCAATTTTCACAAATGATATTTTGTAACAAGAATCGAGTCTCAGCAAATATGATTTTCAAACTAAAATCTATAGTCAATACAAGACAAATATCTAGTTAATGAAAAGCTAACAAGAAATAATATCGATTCATTTAAAATTTTTCTTCCATCTTTATAGTCATTGATAAGCCTTTAGCAGTGGAGTGCAACGGTTGGAGTTTGGGTATGAATTCAAATACTAGCTCTACTCCATAGTAGTTATGTGTTTTTGGGCTCCTCTCTCGTCCTTGGGTTCATCATGGGCAAAATGGAAATAATAATTATACCTTATAGGCTCACATGACTATTAAATAGATCAACTTAGTAAAACACTAATCATGGTGCCCAGTGCAAAGTAAACCCAATAAATGCCTGACACTATTGTTACTATAACTATTACAATATTATAGTAATATAATATGTAATATATAATGACATATCATATGTATTATATAATATACACTAACAAATGTATATATACTAGCAATATTTATATTATATAGATATGTGGTACAGATTTATGTTATAGAGATATATAGTACTATGTATTAATAGTTATGTGTATAATACAGATTATACTATTAATATAACAAATATAGTATACTATTATATATACTATATATTATAGTATATTATATACACTATATATTATAGTATATTATTATATACACTATATATTATAGTATATTATATACACTATATATTATAGTATATTATATACACTATATATTATAGTATATTATTATATACACTATATTATAGTATATTATTGTATACACTATATATTATAGTATATTATTATATACACTATATATTATAGTATATTATTATATACACTATATATTATAGTATATTATTATATACACTATATGTTATAGTATATTATTATATATACTATATATGATAGTATTTATAGAATTACATATAGTGTAAATGTAGTTTTATATGCTATATACATAACACCATATATGTACTATATATAAAAATATATATTGGCCTGTGTGGTGGCTCACGCCTGTAATCCCAACACTTTGGAAGGCCGAGGCGGGTGGATCACAAGGTCAGGAGTTTGAGACCAGCCTGACCAATATGGTGAAACCCCGTCTCTACTAAAAATACAAAAATTAGCTGGGCATGGTGGTACACGCCTGTAGTCCCAGCTACTCAGGAGGCTGAGGCAGGAGAATCACTTGAACCCGGGAGGCGGAGGTTGCAGTGAGCCGAGATCATGCCACTGCACTGCAGCCTGGGTGACAGAGTGAGACTCCGTCTCTCTATCTCTCTATCTATCTATCTAATGCTATATATACTACACATATTACTGTAACTACAGTAATGTAACCATTACTATAAGGTAATGTGACACAAAAAAGGCTACCTGCCAATTTGACTCTATTTTAACTTCAATGGTCTGAGAATTAAAGTGATAATAATGAATCTCCACATACTTTCAATGTTTCAACTATAAATTTTAGAGAACACACATTCCCATCCAATAACATTCTTTTAATCCAAGCGTACATGTGGTACATTTAAGTTGTGCTTTTATGTGAATTTGAATTGCTTTTGGTTTCAAACTGCTTCAGAAAAACACAAGTCATTTTTGCTGCTAGGAGTTGAGGAATCCTTTATATCTGAAAACACGCATTGGGATAAAGCCCCTTATTTAATGTGTCTGTCATTCATTTGTTCCAGAAGTCAATTTGGGGTGTTAACATTTGCAACGCCATAAGTGCAAGAGTGAGCCCTTACCCCTACAGGCAGCTAAACATACAAGTATACGTCTAGCCCTTTCTTTTTGTAGTTTCCTCCTGCCCTTATGCCCAGAAAGGTGGACACTTGCATCCTCAAGTAAATGCAGCATTTTTCAAACTCTTCTCTTTGAAAACTATAGACTCCCATATGATAACTGCCTACCTAGGATCCATGGCCATTCAGGTGGATCCAAATGAAAGCTCCCTCATCTAAGGAAAATAGTTAATGTCTTCATATATTGCAACTCCATCAATAGCTTATCCAAAAATATCACCTTTATAATACAGAGCTCTGCTCTGGCTCTCTATACAAAGAACGCCCAGAATAAATATGATGATAACAGGAAAACAAAGACCAAACATTTTGAAGGCATAATGTCTTCTATTTTTCACATATGACCAACTAAACTAAGAGCACCTCAAACATCCTCATTTTCTGCTTAAGAAGAGTAACAAGAAGTACCCTCATTTTCTACACAAGAAGGACGACTAGTGGTCAAAAGACGTACTTTTCTCTTGATTTTCATGCCTTGAATCCATAGAATCATATTTTTGCAATTAAAATTGTAGATAACTTACTTTACATTTATTACTGTGGAGAACAAGGCCATGAAAAGAAGAAGTAAATTAATTACTCAAGGTTGCCTATTTAGTGATAGATGTAAGTCTCTTTCTAACATATAGCCCCTCTTAGGTCTAATTGTCTTTGGTTGTGAATATGCGGTGGGAAATAATTAGCTCAGATTCCTTTGGTGTTGTCCAGAAGAATTTGGTTCTTTGCGCAAACACAAACTGCAAACACTATGCTCGAAAACTGGGAATCTTATGATTCAGTCTTCCTAGAGAATTTAAGTAGGGGTTTGTCTTAGTTTCTGACTGTTTTGGTTTTTGGGGGTTTTTGTTTTTGTTTTTTTGAGATGAAGTTTTGCTTTTTTGCCCAGGCTGGAGTGCAGTGGTGCAATCTCAGCTCACTGCAACCTCTGCCTCCCGGGTTCAAGGGATTCTCCTGCCTCGGCTTCAGCCTCCCGAGTAGCTGGGATTACAGGCATCCGCCACCATGCCCAGCTAATTTTTTGTATTTTTAGTAGAGACGGGGTTTTACCATGTTGGTCAGGCTGGTCTCAAACTCCTGACCTCAGATGATCTGCCCACCTCGGCCTCCCAAAATTCTGGGGTTACAGGTGTGAGCCACCATGCCCGGCCAGTTTCTGACTGGTTTTGAAGCCTCCTGAAAAGAAGTAGGTGTTACAAATTTATTTTGGTTGATAAGTGTGCATTGAAACTTCTCCTACTGAGTTATTGCTGAGCAAGTAGATGGAAACTTGGAATGCTGTACCAAGAGTAAGCTCACCATCCTTCTATCCACATACCTAAACATCTCAAAAACCCAGTTGCCAAAGCCCTGCATTCCTTAGCCCATGACTAAATGTTAACACTCTTGCCTGATTATATGTGTCTAGAAATAAATATGCACCAACAAGTGCATAATTTTAACTAAATTTAATTGTGCTTTAGAAACTTGAAATAGCTAGTAGATAATGAGTGTGTCTGGAAGTGATTGTTTTAAATTCAGCGCTTAAGCAAAGATTTCTGAGAATCATCTAAGCATTTGCTTTTCATCACTCCATCAGTGTTTCTTAATTTTAACACAAAATGGGCTTGTGGGCAGAAGACTCCTACACAAGAGGGAAAAAAAACTCTTCCTAAACATGGCTAGTGTAACAACAACACCAGGACATTAAAGGAAGGAGAACTAAGAAATATTCTCTTGAAAGTGAACTGACTGAGCTGAATTTGTAGCCAAGCAATGTGCAGGAATGAAGTAATTCTGGTATTTCTGACCTCCTACTCAAAGATGTTCCAAATTTCACATTTTCTGGTGTACACAATGTCTCAATACTGCTCACAGTAACCATATCCTCTGATAAGACCAACACATGAAGAAGTTTTGGGGGATGAATTATTTATGATGAACTTCGAAGATTGCAGAATTTCACAAGTTTTAAGCAGACAAGAGGCAAAGAACCTCCTCAGGAAAAACAATCATATGTGAGTAAAATTCAATGGTTCAGACTACCTCTTCTATGAAAGTATTTTCTTGTACTCTCAATGGAAAGTGGTCTTTTTCTTATTTGAATAATCAATCTCAATCTCTACAAATTATCTTGAGTACATAAAGGGTGAATTCTGTGTCCCACATGAAGTTGTACAGGTGGTAAGTGGTAGTAGTATGTACTTACTGTCTTATTCAACACTGGTGAAGCACTTATGGTGTGCCATGAGCCATGCATGGTGCTGAAGTCACTAAGAAAGTAAAAGTCTAATAACAGAGCCAGATTTCTTAAATTCCAATACAATGGTGTGTGTATGTCGATAATGTATTATCCAAACATTTATTGATAAGAAAATAAGATGTCCCAGTTTGCCCACCTTACACCTGTTGTGCCAACAGAATGATTAATAGCATCCTGGTTTAGACAGCAAATTATATACTTACCCTATTTATTAAACAACTCATGCATGTCAAGCACCAGAAATAAAAGAAAATTTCTGCATTTAAGGAGTTAAATATCTAGTAGAGGAAATAGACAAATAAACAATTTTAATGCATGTGATAAATGTTATATATTATAGATATATGTAGAAGGCCGTCAAAGTTTATTTGTAGCATATCTGTTCCAGACCAGGCGTCAGAAATACTTTTCAGTGTCCAAAAGGCATGTGGCAGGTTGTCTTAAATGAAAAAAAGGAGTTAGTTAAGTGAAGAAAGAACGTTCCAAACAGAAGGAGATGTAGTTGCCAAGGCAAAGGAACAAGAGAGATTGTAGCAATTTTCAAGAACTGAAAGCATTTGATCTGTCTGGAGCATTGCCTGCAAGCAGGGAGGTATAGAAGATGGAGCTGGAGGGATAATAGCTGGATCATGAGGGACTTCATTTGCCAATTTAAGGTCTGAACTGAATTCTGAGGCTTGAGGAGTTATTGATGCATAAAACACTGGGTCGCTTTAACTATAACATGGAACATAAAGTAGAGAGGGCATGACTACACAGAAATGTAAGCAGATGTTTTTGGGTGGGATTTACATAAAATCTCTTTAAGTGACCTTAATTTGGCATGAATTTTTTTTCTCTCCTCCATTTTATTGCTTTCTCCTTGGAATATGAATGTGATGGCTGGATTCCAGCAAACATCTTGTGACTTTGAGGAAGGAAGTGACATGGAGTGAGTGAGCAAGGAAAAAAAATGAGTCTGGATTTTTATGACTTTGTGCATTCATCTTACTAGTTATAGATCACCTACCTTTGCACTACCCCATCCCTTTTACTCTCTCCTTCCACAGAGTGAACCATGATCCTCTAACTGGTGTGCATCATCCCATAAATTTTTACTTTATTGCATATGAATCGAAAATAAATGTATCATTTTGTGTTATATTAATTAGGATGCATATTAAGCTTCTATAAAAAAGAAACCCCAAAATATAATGGTTCAAAAATTCCATGGCTCATAGAGTCCAGTGATAGGCTAGCAATTCAGGGCAGATGTCTTTACCCACAAGATTAGCCAAGATCTAGATTCCCTCTCTTGTTGCTGCATCATGACCTCGGGTGTCTTCATAGTTGAAGCTGGCATTCTTGCATTCTAGCCATTGGAAAGGGAAAAGAGAGGGAGGGTGGATGTGCAGCCCCCTTTCACATTTATGGATATAAAATTGAAGTTGTACACATAATTCTATTCACACCATATGGGGCAGAATTTTACTCATGGCTGTACCTAGCTTCAAGGGAGGCTGGATAATATCTGCCAGTATAACCATATACATTGCTGAATCTTGGGCAATGGGCTCTTCTCTCGTTGGAAGAGAGAAGGGTAGACTGGATTCTAAGCCAAAATTAGTAACTCGTAGGTTTTTAACATTTATATAAATTGACTGCATTGTGTGTATCTTTCAGTAATTAAGTTTTTTACATTTGATATTGCATTTTTTACATTTGTTCCTGTTACATTAAATAAATTTTAATCGCTTTAATAATTGTATTGCACTCATTCTAGGGATAAATCATACATTATCTGTTCATCTACTGGTGGATGAGATATAAAATTCTAGTAAACCCATCTTCTCTTGTAGTGTTGAACCAATACAAAATCAGTCTAAGCATGTGGGAAATTGCATTTAAAAATGGTGGCTTTCGAGTACACCATGAGGCAAGCTATTCCAGAGGTCATAGAATGGAGAGGTTTACTGGTCAAGTTAAGATGCTCAAATCACATGGCTTACTAAATTAATATAAAACATAGTAAGAAGAAAAGGGAAAGATATGGCATAAGTTAATACAGTTAGGATAGGATGCAAGCAAGATAAAGGGACCACGCTAGCTGAATCCTGTGTCTCTGTGGCACCAGTCTTCCCTCCTGATGATAGGGTTGTGAGGACCAGAGTTGAATTTTGAGGCAAGGGGGTCTCCAGATAAAAGGTGGCTGAGCCAACATATATTCTTGCTCTGTTGAAGAGACCCAGGGGCAATTAACCTGATAAGCAACTATAAATTTTTAATTGCTTTTCCTGGGCAGAGAACTTGTAGGGCCAGAATGGATGACCGATTTTAGACTTACTGCTGCTTCATGCATATCATCAGTATTAGGTGCTTCAGTGCCTCATATCTATTTAATGAATTATAAATATTTAGATCCTCTTCATTCTTCTTTACTTTTTATCTGTGTTTAGCACTCATATGCTCTAATTACTTTATCCATGTCTGTCATCTTACAGGTTACTGACTTATATATAATTAAACATATTAAATGAGTTTCATCAATCCCATTTGTATTTCCTATCTTCTACAACAGAATTGAATATTCTAAAATAATAAAAAAAATACATAGTGTAAGTTAGGGCAGACCTTTCCTATAAGAGGGGAAAGCCTTTACCACTAACTTCATGACATGGTCAAGAGTAATTGTCAGACCTCTTCCAAAGTAGAAGAGATGAAGACATGCCTGGTTTCTTTTTGCAAAATCACCCATATGGTAAATCACTTCACCTCTCCAAGTGCTAAGTGAGTGGATATAGAGAGGTCAGGAAGGTTATACAAATGCAGATAGTTCCACTTAAAAGACAACAGCAGCAGTATGGAATATTTCCCTCTCAAATGAAACTAGAATTCACAGATGAAGAACAAAAACATTACTGTTATAACCTACAAGGCTGGTATCAGGAAATGTAGCTTACATCTGGCAGAGAAGTGGGTTTCATAATGTTGAACTCCGGAATTAGGCTGACTTACTCACAGTCAGTACTGGACCGATACAAGCTTCACACATGGGGAAAAGATTTTCATGACTAAGATTAATGTGGCCCATAATCTTGAGAGCAACTGGGAGCAGTGTCAGTTCCCAGATTCACTTGCCCAGTTCCAGACCCCAAATCAATAGTCAGGTTATTCTCTCCTTATTGGGAGGAGCGAGTGAGGGTGGATGGAAATGAAGTATCTGGAGCAAAAAAAAAAAAAAAAAAAAAAAGTTCTTCCTGACAATTTCCAGTTTTTATCTTAATCTACTGGGTTTAACCATTAAAAGTATAATCAGACAAGGAGAAGATCATTCTATTAGGGTAGCCCCATTCCTATGTTTACAAGGCCTCTTTCTAACACCAACCATTACTCCTTTGGGTTCTTCTTGGAACCACTGCTAATGTAGAGAGCACCCTCCAAAGTCAAGTGTAGAGTAAACTCTCAAAAGGTTCTGAACATGTCAGAGTGGTAAATTAGTTATGTTAGCTCCAAGCCCACTCCATATCAGTGCTGAAATTCACTGTCTATTTTGTCTAGCATCATTGTCCAATATGACTCATGAGAAATTAATATTCAAAGATTAAAGATATACCTGTCAAAAATCTAATTATTTTGCCATTGTGAGTTGAAGTTGAAATAAATGAGAAAGGAGAGTTTAAAGGGCAGCCTCTCTAATTTCTTATTCTACTCAGTCTACCAGCTAAAGGGGTTCTTAGCGGCACGGAAGAATTTAGTCTTTCAGAAGTTACATCTTGGACTGCACTCTTACAACTAATTTATTGCTTTCAAGGTCTCAAAATATGCATAATTTCAATAACACGTCTCACTTATTAAATGGCCTACAAGATTAATAGGACATGTAATATTATCACAGCATCTATTTCACACGTAAAAGATATAAGAAAAAATAATATCTACCAAATTATTTATTTCAGGCAAAATTATGTTCCTCAAACTGACTATTTTTAGTATCACACATCATAGCAAACCCCAATCATACCTGAGTTAAAAAAAATAGAGAGAAAAACTTGGTTTCAACTTCATCAGAATGCTAATAAATCTATGCCAGATGTTTAGTATCTACAAACTGTGAATTTAAAATCAAGTGGGAAAGATCTCCTAGCAAATGGTTAATGTAGGTCTATGCATTTGCCATTTGTGAGTTTCTAGGGGTGGGAGGCTTGGTCAGGAAAATTCATTTATGCTTATTGTTTTGTCACTCAGACTGTGGTATTTAAGATATTGCATCCTTCTTGCAATCTTTGGAAATTTTAATGGTGGCAGCCTATGAATCCAATTTGAGGCACCTTCTTTCCTGCCCAGAATATCCAACTGCTCACTCTTGTGAGCAGACACATCCATCCCAGTGCCCTCATAGGTTTTCTAATGCTGCTTGCTGTAGAATTGTGTAAGCCTGTAATATTGGCCTCCTAGGGAGGATTTTCCCCAACTCTTTAAATTCACTCATCCATAGAATTTGCCCTCAGCAGATTCCTGAAATGAAGCTATAGTTGTTTTCTGAAGTTGTGCCCCTAGGGCCATAATAAAGTCCAATAACTCAAATGCTCCTCAGGGGACTGTCTGTGTGTGTGTGTGTGTGCCCGCGTGTGTGCACTGGGCAAGTGAATTAATCCTCTCGTGTTTGATTTCATTCTATTATTCTTGTATGTCTTTTAGGAAGGTTCTAACCATCTCTCCTGCTTAATTTTCTCCCTTTCCTTCTCTACCTCATGAAGTACTATGATTTTGCTCGCCATGTCTTTTTGACAATTAAGAACAAACTGGTTTCATATCTCTTATTTTTAAAGAAATGCAAAACAGTATCTGGAGGAATATGTTTGAAAACAGAATGTCTGGGCCAGAAATCAAACTTTGAGCTTAAGTACCAATTGCTCAAACAAACCTTCCTCACCTTCACCTTCCTTGGTTGATGAATCTGAGCTCCTTTAGCTAAACTTTAACCTTTAACCAGGGCTGGCCTCAACTCACTGCACTACCTATTGAACCTTTAATATTTCCTCTTTGTTCTGCCTTCCTTTAGCATTTTAGATCCCTGATTTTCTCAGGAATGTTTACTCTCAGAATAAGCAATTCGTATATTCTCCACCTGTGGAATACGGTACCTTCAGACTCTCCCAGTCATTCTTTTAGTATGATGCTGATCTTTTTTTGCTCATTTGAAATTTGTCCAGATTTTCCTGCCACCACTCTAGATGGAGAGCTGTTACAATCTTTAAGGGGATCCAATTTTTAAACTACCCAGGGCAACATCTCAGTTGCCTCAGTATAAAAGACAAGACAGTAGCCAGTTGCTTTTCCTATATAATATTAAAAAGCTGCATCTCAACAGTGTCCCAAATCTGGCCTTCCCTGAAGCAATCATTCCAGTTTGCTTTCTAAAATTTTGCCTTCCTTTTTTGGGCCCCAATCAAAGCTTCTGACAGGGCAGTGCCGTCCTTCTCTTCTAATGCCTTCCATGAGCACTTGGTTTGGAATTCATCTCCATTTTCCTTAATATTTTTATATGCCTTATCCTTAAAATTTTCATTGTCTATTTTATAAAAGCAAGACTATTTCCTAGAGTCTACACTGTTTTCCTAAAGGAATTTCTCCTCTTCTAGCTAAGTTAGCCTATCTTTCAGTTTATGTGTGTGTGTGTGTGTCTGTGTGTGTGTGTGTTTTACTATGCCATGTGTCTCAAGCCTCTCCAATTTACCCTTGAATTCCTAATCAAACCAAACTAATAATCTACTCTCAGCATGAAATTCTGCAATTGTCTTCCTATTTAGTCGGCAATAATTTCCTTGAGTTCTTAGATTCCCTCAAAATGGCCTCTTTTTCTGGTGCCTGATCCTTCTTTTGTTTAAAAGTAATAATATCTACCACAGATTGGGTTTCAATTCTGGTCTGAACTTACGTTATTTTCAAGCCCAAAGCCAATATGAAAACATGACGAAAAATGTTTAACAACTGTCTGGCAGGGAGAAGAACCCTGATTTGTAGGGTTTACTGATTTCAGTTGTGTAAAAATTCTCTGTGTTGCCAATTTCAAGCTACCAATATGTCATCAATCACCTCACAAAATTACTGAGGATTGAACAATCTGCTTGCATGAGCTGATGCAAGCTGGCCTTAGCACACAACTGGGTGGCCCTTTCACCCGTGACAAGCCATATAGCCAAGATACCCAAGATAAGTTTCCCTCAAGTTCTCTACATTGTATTCATTTTGCTTGAAAGCAAAATGGAATTTGAGACAGCAATCTAGAGCTACATATGTAGGCCTACTTCTAAAAGTTTAAAACTAGAACCTCTGCTAGTGTTCAACAATTTATGTGGAACTCGGTAATGCCTTACAGCTTAAAATCAGCCAGTGATGTTCTATCAATAATGGCTTAAAGATTTAATCCTGCCTCAGCCTGACCTCCAATACTTGGTCCAGATGTAGGATCAGGTCAAAATGCAGCAAAGTGCATTTTCAAGGCCCCACAATTTGATTAAGATGTCACCTTGGCCAATGCCTTTGCTGAAACCTGCTGAGCAGTTGCTTTTGCTAAAAGAAGGGAGAGCAGGACCAGATGATGTATGTTTAAGACCTTCTGTGCAGTCCTGCCTTTCTAAAATCAGTCACACTTATGAGGCAAAGCTACATTAAGAAACCCACTGAGGTAAAAATCCACCCCCACCCTGGCCACAGCCTAGCATAATATCATCAAAGCATAGACCTACCCACCCTGCCCACACTGAAAGCCTCTTTATTCCACATGTTCTTTACTTTCACAAATTATATTTCTTATTTCTCAATCTTGGGATTCAAGAGGACCAATAAATAGCATACATCTATACTAACCCATTTAAGAAATGAGACAAAGGAGGATGGCAGACAGATATCAAAATATCATCTTTTTACTGGTGAAACTGAACTGAAAAATATGACTTACATGTGTGGGCAAATGGGCTTCCTAATTCTGAACCCTAGAACCTAAGACATAGGCTGAGGTCACCTCGGGCAGTCCTCTCCACATCAACAGGGCAGGACTAGCCTGTATAATCCTTCTGGAGAGAAGCAGAGCATTGCACGCACTTCAGGCGTGGAGGCACTCTCCTAAGAAGAAGAGAGAAAGAAGCCTAGCCATGCAGGTTCCTTTCCTTATGTCAAACTCACAAATAATTTACTCTTCTTCCTCTGGAAAAGAAAACATGAGAAGTTGCACTAGTCAATGGTCCTCTAATGGAGCAAAACATCATCATAAGGGTTTAAACTTAACCATAAACAAAATATTGCTTCCCAATTTTTCCACTATTAAAAAGTGTTGCAATACAAATCCTTATACTTATCTCCTTATGCAATGTGCAAGAGTATCCTTGGAAATATACCTAGAAGAGGATTTGCTGGGTCATAGTATATCATAAGGTAAATACTGTTAAATTGCTCTCCACAGTGGTTGAACGAACCAATACTTCCACTGTTAAAATATAAGTTCCCATTGATCTCTATCCTTGCCAACGCTTACTGTTGCATGAATTATAAAAAAAAAAAAACAGTCTGCTGGATATAAAATGGTATCTCAATATAAAAATGGCTTTAATTTGTATTTCCATTTTCCTGGTAAAGTTGAATTTCTTCTGTGTTTACTTATCATCAATATTTCTTATCATATGATTTCCCCTTTCATTTTTTTGCTTGTATTTCCATCATTTTGTTTGACTTCTTACCAATTTATAGTGGGCCTTTTTCTTTCTTTTTAAATTCTGAATGCAAATCTAAGATCAATAATATGTGTTGCAAATCTCTCTCTTTTTTGTATTTTCTGTTTTTCTTCCTATACTCTATTTTAGAATTTGGGGGAGGAGGGTGGTAGGGCGGAGCTGAGATTTATTCTCCTGTTGACTCATTCACTCTTTTCCTGTATCTAAACATCTGTTTAATCCATCAATTTTTAAATATCAGCCAGAAGATATTATGGGAAGAAAAAAAGGAAACTTCAAGGCCAGGCATGGTGGCTCACAGCACTTTGGGAGGCCGAGATGAGCAGATCACTTGAGATCAGGAGTTTGAGACCAGCCTGACCAAGATGGTGAAACCCCATCCCTACTAAAAATACAAAAATCAGCCGGGTGTGGTGGCACATGCCTGTAATCTCAGCTACTCAGGAGGCTGAGGCAGGAGAATCACTTGATCTCAGGAGGCAGAGGTTGCAGTGAGCAGAGAGATTGCACCACTGCACTTCAGCCTGGGTGACAGAGTGACTCCATCTCAAAAAAAAACAGAAAATGAAAAAGAAAGAAAGAAACTTCGTATCAATCAAGTTTCTTCCTTGGCCATAACCCATAACCTCTGGATCTACTTCTTTCTTTAAATTCTTCCCTCATTTAGCCTCCCCTAACCTCTAATTCCCCAAAGAATTTGTCTCTGAACCTAACTTATATTATCTATTCTGAAAAGCAAAGTCTTGAAGTTACCTAAACCCTTAGAAGGCAATTTGAGGGCTATTTTCACATTTCCAAGAAGCATCTCAAAATATTCACTCATCAAAAGGGAGGATTTTGCTGTATGGTGGTCAACAGCACATTGGTCTGGACTTGCCCAGCACCACAGGGATTACAGTGCTCAAAGGAGAAAGTCCACAGTAGTTAGGACAAGTTGATTTCCCTATTCTTTTACCAATAATATACGTATTTCAACATAATTAGTCTACCTGTTTTTTTAGGATAAATTTTTAGATACGGAATGACTAGATCAAAGTGCATTTATTGCTTAAGGATTTTAGCAGGTATTGAAAAAAACAGCTTTCTAATATAACTGAATCTATTTTTAATCCCATAGGCATTGACAATAGTTTCCAGACATTTTTAATGAGCCAGAATAGCACTGTCAGCAACATCAGAGAACCAGAGTATATTGGAGACTTCACGTTAACAGATGAGGACACTGAGGACTGTCTTCCATATTTGTAGGACGTTTAGCATCTCTGGCCCATAGGCAGAACCCTCTCCCTTCACTCCCTACTCACGTGTGCCTCTCATTGTGACCATCTCACAAACATTTCTAGGGGTCAAAAACAATACCTTTCCATAAAAAGCACAATGTATATAGCACCATCTCCAACAATGTAAATACATTTACTTACCAGTTTTTCTGTACCAAACACAGTGTTAGACACTGTAGATCTGAAATAAATTTTAAAAAGTTATTGCCTTTAAAATTTACTTATTTGGAGGAGACAAACATACAAACAATACTTAAAATATCTATAGCCTTAACTTTAACCTTTCCAAAACCATTATATAGTCTTAGTACACTGGATAAAAAAAGAATAATATATATTTTTTTCCTCAGTAATAAAATAGAGTATTAGGGTATTTCTCTTCCAATTCCAACTCTCAAATTTGTTAATTTCCTAGAAGAAGTGGTTTTGCACTACCGGCAATTATATCCGTTATGAATCCATTTTACAATGAACTTAAATTTTAAAAAGAAATGATTCAAAACTTCAACATCTATTGTTTCAAAAATCATCTCTATGGTGTTGCTGATAATGTTTCTAATAGTGGGTCATGGGCTTTTTATCAAGTCAGTGGCTTTTATAGTTACGAAGGCTTGAAGGCTTGTTATAAACCAGAGGAAGCGGGTCAGAGTTCAAATCACTTTTGAAACTAGCCAGAAACCAGGCTTTGTGATGAGCATCTCTGTAGGTCTAACACATTCACACAGAAGTTGCCAACACAGATTGGAAAAAAAAAAAAATACCCCACAAGAACCAGTGGAGTGGTTAAATCAGAAAAAAATAAAATCAGCACGTGGGAGGAATGCACATCTTCACACTATTTGAGCTTCACACTATTTGAGTTTTAGACATATTCATCACTGCTTGTCTTTTCTTTTTCCTAAAAGTGGAAACTCCTGGAAAGCAGAGTTTCCTCAACTTCCCTAGAGCATCTAGCTATGAAATTCATGACCACTAGAGGGGTAAGAGTCAATTGAATATCCTAACTAGGAGTTGCTGATACTTCCATTTCAACCCCTGTAGTTGGTAATAATTCTAAAACATACTGCTCCCTTCCTGTGAGGAAAAGCCACCTTTCTGTAAACAATTGAATCCTTCTTTAATGATTCTGAAGTTTGGTGCCTCAGGGACACCCTCAGAAACAAGTTTCCTTTGCCCCAAACTGTAACTATGGAAAGTGTGGGAGGTTGGCCTTCTTACACTTAATCCTTTAGTAATAGGTTTTTCTTAAATTTGCTCTTTCTTCCGAAAGAGGAGTACAAAAAAACAAATTGTCTAAGGGCATTAAGCCATAAACAATTTTAACTAAACATTTCATATGACCCCAAATTGTAAATGTTTATAATATGCTCATTCTGGGCTCCTATTTTTAGACCCTATTCAGACCCTATTTAAATCTGATATTTAGACCCTATTCAGAAATTAGAGTCACAGGCATTAGGCATAAAGGATTAGGTTGTCTGTTCTCAGCCACCAACTTATCTCCTAATATGGCCAGTTGCTTTGCAAAAGCAAGAGTAGACTCAGCTATGGATGGATTCATACACATCCATCTTTGCTGAAAAAACTAACAGCTCAATGAGCACATACTTCTTGTGCTCTTTTAACATATGAAAGATTCTATTAAATATTTTGCCATCTACCTGGCATGAAGCCATTAGGTAAACCATTCAAATCAACCAACACTTATCAAAAACTAACCTGCCACAGCAAATATCTACCATAGATTCTCAGTGAATTTGAGGGAATTGACAAGTAATATCACAAACAGCTCTACAGCCCAACCAGCTGTACATGCTGGGTGGGATTAAGGAAATGGGGCTAGCCAGTGCCATTGTTTGAGATCAGAAACAACCTCATTGAGTATTTTGAGGAATGCTCCAAGGTCCCACCAGAGCCATCTTCTCACTTACCTGGTGTGAAAGTCCCACCAATAAAGTTGACTCTCCTGAGACCGTCAATAAAGATGTATTTGTTGAATTTGTTTGCTTCTCTGTATTTCCCTAACTAGATTAGAAGCTGCTTAATAGCTGCATGAAAGGTATTCATGAGTGTTTGCCTAATTAATTAATAGAATGTATTTGTACCTGATTATTTCTAGAAGACCTTGTTAAAGTGTTATCTGGAGAGTGAGGGACACCTGAAGGTTCACAGTCTTTCTTTCTTTCTCCCACTGCAGCTTTTGAGCTCTTGACTCCTCAGAGCCTGAGAATCTCATGGCAGCTGTTCTTTGAATTCATTTCTTCCCTGAGCCCCCAGAACTGACAGATTAACTATTTCTAAAGGTAGGGAGGAGGGACAGCCATTGGTGGTCAGTTTGGCAGACATAATGTGTGCCTAGAGCGACAGTTTGCTTCTCTTCCCCTTCACCTTTTAGTCTATCATAAAAGTTTCCAGAATTCTTTAAAATAATGAACAGAGAACCAATCTCCATGAGCAAATCATTGAATACGCACCAAGGCTCATTGACATGATTCTTTTCATTTTGTCATAAACCCTAACAACGACTCAGGAAGGAAGACATTATCTCATTCTACACTGGAGAAGCATAAAGGCTCAAAGGGAAGTTGACTGGCTTACCTAAGTCTACCCAGCAGGCAAGTGACAGGGCCAGGCTTTGAACTCAAGACTGTCTGACTCCAAAGTCTTCACGTTTCGTCATTTGGGGCCAATGCCTTGCCTAAGTCTCACTTTCATCTGTATCTTGAGGATTTCATATTAGATAACTGTGAGTGTTCTTCCCAGTGAACCCTTCAGAATTTGTGTTCCATTATCTCATTTTCCAACACTTGAACATCCATTTGACCCATGACAAAATTGAGACCCAGAGAAGTGAACTGACTTGCCTAAATTCAGTGAGCACCTTACAGTAGCCCCTGGCCCAGAGCCTATGTTCTAACATCCATCCCCAGTCTCTAACATCTGACATCTTTAACCAGGCCTATCGGGCCCTAATCTTTCTGGCTTTTCTAAATGCCATTTTCCTCTTTATTTTTTACAGTCTGACCATAAAGATTGCCTGGTCTACCTATCCTTACCCTCTGTTTCCACCCCCAAACCTTTGACTTGGGATAACACCAACTTATTCTTTAGGTCTCAGTTCAGATGTCACTTCCTAGGAGTAAGATTTTTTAGCTACCACCTCCTCTACCCCACACATAGGGTTGCCAGATAAGATACAGGAGCCCAGTTGAATTTGAATTTTGGATAAACAATGAAGAAACTTTTTTATAAATGTGTCCCAAATACTGCATGAAGCATAATTACACTAAATGGTTCATTGTTTATCTGAGATTCTAATAAATTGGTGTCCTGTGTTCTTATTTGCTAAGTCTGGCAACTCTAAAACTCTTTCAAATGAGATCTTTTCTTCTTGTTATACACTTTTAAGAGTACTATGGGCTCCTCTTTCATAACTGTTAATAAAATTATAAGTAATAATTTTTATGATGCTTTGCTTACAGATGGTGTCTGTGCCACTCTAGACTTGCTCCAAGACTGTGTCTATTTTGTTAACCATCTGATGCAGAAAGAAGGAAGAAATAGAGAGAGAAGGAAAGAAGAAAGAAAGAAAAAGAAAGGAAGAAATAGAGAAGCAAGAAGAAAGAAAGAAAAAGAAAGAAATCAAAAGAAAGAAAGAACAAAGAGAAAAGGAAGGAAAGAAGGAAGGAAGGGAGGGAGGGAGAGGGGAGGGGAGGGGAGGGGAGAGAGGAAAATAAGAGTTATCTCAGTTTTCTCCTTGGTTAGTGAGAGTTCACATTGACATGTGTGTAACTTATCATGATAGCAACAGGCATTTTAGGCTCATTTAACTAGAACCCAGGCACTGCTCATATGTACAATAGCTTCATTCCTTTTTCATTCTTTTTCTCTCCTTCCTTTACTTACCCCAGCATCTATTGATGTTCTGGAAATGCCTTTATTTTTAAGAGAGAAACGATGAGTTTTGGTATTGGGAGACAGTGCTCCACAAATATTTTCATGTTTCCTCATGGTCAGAGCTTTATGAACAAACAACACTGAACAAAGAACATTTGACTGAATATCAAATGTTTTAGTCCATTTGGGATGCTATAAGAAAGTACCATAGACTGGGTAGCTTACAAACAATAGAAATTTATTTCTCACAGTTCTGTGTGCTGAGTCCAAGATCAAGGCGCCAGCATATTCAGTGTCTGGTTAGGGCATCTGCTTTCTGGTTCATAGATGGTGCCTTCTCACTGTGTCCTCACATGGTGGCAGGGTAAAAAAGCTCCTTCAGGTCCTTTTATAAAGACTCTAATCCCATTCATGAGGCCTCCACCTTCATCCTCTAATCACCTCCCAAAGGCCCCACTTTCTAATACTGTCACTTTAGGATTAGGATTTCAGCGCATGAATTTTGAGGATACACACATATTTGGACCATAGTATGAAACCTAAAGATAGAGACCTCAGGATTTTTCTGTCCCTGAAACCGTTTGTTTACAGTCTAGGGTGGCAAAATAAAAACCCTCCCCTCTTCTCCACAAAAATATTTTTTTTTCCATTCAAGAGTAAAGTATTTATTTCTTCCTCTTTCCAGAAGAAAACATGGATGGATGTCCCATAAACTTCCAAACTTTATAACTTCAGGGTTCCTCTTCTCCTGTAGAGCCAACGCCACTGCACATGCAGTGACATCAAGCCCTCATTGTGTTGCTTTGTGAGAACGTGGCATGCAAAACTTGGTCAGATATAAAGTTATATATATATTACACACCTCACACATGTGTGCATGCACACACACACATAAATATATATACATAAGCATATATACATATTGTGGAGGGCTAACTTTGTAGCTTGCAAATACAGTAATATCTCAGATCTTTCACAGTTTGGACTTAGCATTTTCAGTGTACTTGCTTGGAGGAAAGAGGAATAGGTAGCGTGAACTAGTGTGGTTATGTTTTCTATTCAGATACTTTGAGGTCAGAGGTCACACACCAAACTAAACTGCCCAAAGGAAGCATTGTGAGACATTGGGCACATGTAGGGCAGTGTCTTCCAGGCTCAGGTTCAGGCAATACATTTATCATTGAGCAGCAAAGGATGATATTCTCCTTATTTCTGCACAAAAGCCAGACCATTCTGGTTTCTCAAAACAGAACAATTATGGCACATTTGAATATAGCATGTTTGAAAAAGCTGTTTTTTTCCAGCCTTTTACAGAAAGACCAGGGTTGTATAAAGACTAGGGGTCCTGCCTGCTGCTTGCAAATTTCTGGCAGCCCTGACTTCCCTGGCTTCTGACCTGCCACTTGTCCATGAATTTTCTCTCACTCCTGAGTCCCTCTCGGTGATTACTGCCTTTGGATTTTGGTTCCCTTTGACTTTACTTCTCCTGGGGCTATGGATTCTTTAGTGTTCTCTCCTTGGCTTTAAGTACTGCATTCTACCACTACCTCCATTCCAATGCTACACCCTACTTCCACCCCATGCAGAGTGCAGTGCCCTGGGCCTTGGCCTGTCTAGTAGGAGGCACTAGACAGAAATTACTAAGTGAGATTGTGTGTCTGGCTAGCAGTGCCTTGCTAGGTGACCAAGGCCAAGTCACTTACCTATCTGAGGTTCAATTGTCTCATTTATTTAATCCAGCCTCAGGAACTGGATTAAACCATCAATAAAGAGGCCATTGTTATGCCTCAGACAAATGATGATGGGTTTGCCAAAACAAATGCAGCTACGGTCACTTCAATACACAACAAACCAAGCTGCATCATGAGCTATTAGACTCTCACTTACACTGGGAAAGAGGGAGATTCCAGGAGAGTGAAGAAGAAAAATAATAGCAGAGAGAAGAGTTAAGTGCACCAAGAAAGAACATCAATGTTTCAAACCACATCTTGAGCTGTCCATTTTTTCTCAATAGTTTCCCTTAGGCCAATCACCAACTTGCCTTGGGAAGTGAATTGGCTCCATGGCAACAAGAAAAATGATACCTGAGGAAAATTTTGCAAAGCTAAACCCAAGAGAAACAATGCCAAGCAAACATTAAATATTTTCAAAAGCATTTTATTCTGCCCATGGTAATTTCCTGAGTATATATTGCAAGATCAATGCCCTCTATGACTCCTCTGAATACCCTCCTCACTGTGTTCCATTGTAGAAGGATCTTAAGTCATACAGACCCCAAAACTCTGTTCTACAGAACATCAACATCTACAAAAACAGTTTAGTATATAATTCCATGGGTGGGGAAAGGATTATGTGATAATAGATGCTGAAAAACGCTAAAGTTTTTGGGATTCACAATGCACCTTAGCCCGCTAAAGAATCTGAAAAGACTTTCAGGGAAAAACTTGTATAACTTATCTGGGTTCCGTATATGCTACTAGATCCCTAGAACTCTTCCATTTCACAGGAACATATATTTTGAGAAATTTTATTGTGGATGCTATATTAATTTTCTAAGGTTGCTTTAACAAATTAGCAACAATTGGGTGGCTCAAAACAACAGATATTTATTCTGTCACAGTTCCAGAGGCCAGAAGTCTCAAACCAAGGTGTTGGCAAGTGCACACTCCTTCCAAACACTAGGAAGGAATCCATTCCTTGCTTCTTCCAGCTTCTGATGGCCCCAGGGGCTCCTTGGCTTGTGGCTGCACCATTCAAACTTCTGCCTACATGGTCACATTGCATCCTCCTCTTCTGTTTCTCTCCACTTATCAGAATACATGCGATTGCATCTAGGGCCCTCTCAGACAATCCAGGATAAGCTCCTTGTCTCCATATCCATTTAAGGTCATATTTCTTCTTAACATGTAAGGTTATATTCACAGGTTCCAGGAATTAGGGTGCAGACGTATGTTTTCAGTGACCACCATTTAACACACTACACATGTTAATTGATAAACATCAAAGTATAACTTCAACTTGATTCAATTTAATTCTACTCAGCCATCATCTGATGAGCCTATAGTATGTGCCAAGCACTGTCTTAGGCCAGATCATAAAATGATTCAAAGCCTAATTATTACCCATAAGCAATTTACATCCCAATAGAGGAAATGGACATGACAGTGAACTAATACCATGCAGAGTGATAGGTGCTTATAAAGTTATAATCAAAGCAGAACTGAGGAAGGGATTACTTCTTCCTAGGGAAGTAGGGAGAGCTTTCCAGAGGAGGAGATCATTCCGTTGAGATTTGAAGAATGAGTAACAGTTCCCCAGGCAGAGCACCAAGGGAATTTCAGGTGGAGGAAACACCATGGTCAAACATACAGATCATGGTGATAGAAGAAACTTGTGAAGATAAAATGAAAAAATGCATGCAAAGCTACTAACACAATACTTGGCACTCAGCAACGTTACCTGTTTTTCCTAAACTAAAGAGGGTAGAAGCAGGAGATGAGGCTGAAGTCTTAGGCAGGCACCAGACTGCTCTAAACTTAGTTTGGTGTATTTGTGTCTTTATGTGTATCCGTATGAACATGGACAGGGCCATAGAGAGGAACTTAGAGAAGGTTCCATAAGAATGGGGTTTAGAAAATTACGTATGCGAATAGAAATAAAAACCAGTAAACTTCAGCCAATAGACATTTTGGAAGAAAAAGAATGGATTTAGTCAATAGCTAGATGGTTGGTTGACTGAATTTATTCATTAAAGCAAACAAACACACACGCACAATAGTTAGTCTGCAGATACTTCCACAGTAATTGGGGAGCAGTTGCATCACTTACATGGGACTTAATTTTTTTGGTCATGCCTCAGTATATGCTCTCAAAAGCCTCATGGAGCAGTGCTACGCCCAGTGTTGAGAGCCTGGCACTCAAATGGCACTTTAGAATGCTTGTTTCTAGTAATAGTCTCCACCTTGATGAATGGCCTTATTTTAATGACATTGGTATGTTGGCTGGGATGGAACTGGAGCTGGGTCTGCCAACCTCTGTTGCCAGTGAGACATTTCTCACCTGGTAACCATCATTTGCAAGGGCCTGGAGTTCATGAAGCTAAATTTTGATAGAAACAACTGAGTTTTCCCATGAGTCCTTGGGTGACCTTTTAGGTCTCAGCTCAAATTTCATTTCCTCAGAGATCTCCATTCCATCTAAAATAGCCCCACTCTGAGTGCAGTTTATCTTTACTACTGCACTCTGTGCTTTACCCAAACTACACCTATCACAGTCTACAATATCCGGTTCATTCATGTTTTCATGTGTTTATTTTTACTTTCTCATCTACTAGAATGTAAATTCTGAGGCCAGTACCTCCTCTGTCTTGTTCAACTTTATAGTCCCTACACATAGAATGGGACCTGGCATAGTTGTTGGTCAATAAATATTCCTCAAATAAATGAGTGAATGAAGACTGGAATCAGGGAATAATTAAACCGAAAAGGGGTCAGAATGGATGCTATAGGAAATAAAAGGTAATGAAATATTCCCTTTTAGGAATTGGATCAACCACTTCAGAATAAGTAACATAGCACAGAAAAAAATTAGATGTAAATGGTCATTCATAGAATGGGCTCTCACTTGAACTTTTTGAAGGAGTTCCCACAATAACTTTACCTTTGACATTTAACAATTGTCCATATTCTGTTTGTGAGGAATGTTTTGTACAGGGAAGAGCCAGACTGGATCCTCAAAATCTGATCTTCATGATGCAAACAAACTTCTGGGGGCATTTTTCTAAAAAATAAAAGAAAGAGTTCATCTTACTTTTATAGATAGAGATTAAACAGTATTGCTTGATTAAACAGTATTAAGATAGAGATTAAACAGTATTGCTTGACTCCCATAAATAAATGCAAATCATACTTACTGAAACTGAAAAAGAGTAAGTTCTAAATTGATTATTTAACTAAGATATTAGGAAGCAGTGAGTATTTCAAAACATGTCCCAAGTTTCTGACGTAGAGGAATTAGCCTCTAGGAGCCTGACATTTTATGAGTGACTGCGTTAACCTAAGTGACAATTGAAGATCATGGAGCTGCACAGAGGGAGAAGAAAAATAATGGCACAACTTGCCCTCAGGAAAGTAATTTATTCCAAGAACAATTCTAGAAGATTATACTTAAAATATGCTGTGGCTATCCCAAACATGAGATGGTAGATAATTACAGGCAGTAAAGATTAACCAAAAGTAAAGTCATACAAGATGGACGTCATTTCTACTTTTATGAGAGTTGCTTGTATCTCTCCTCATATTGTGACTTTAAGCCTCTGAACTTGACCCTGTCTTCTGGGATTATGCCTAAAGATTGGGTCCTTGGCCAAGCAAGGCAGGCTTGAGACAATTACACCAGAAGGTCAAGCTTCTTTCATAGGAATTTAGCAAGGCTTTAACCACTTCTCATGAATAGTTTTAGGCAAAATTAAGGCATGTAGGTTGTTGGATTCATTTCTTTGAATAAATCCACTCAGCAAAATATTAAGTAATATATTAGGTGTCAAAACGTTGGAGAGATCTGTACTACAGAACCTCAGCTTTCTGAACTTGACCCCCTTCTATCCAGTATGTTTAATGAACATATAAATGAAGACACAGACAGCGTGTGTACCAATCTTGCAGACACCAGAAAACTAGAGTACCTTCTCAGGTATTAATCAGCATTCAAAAAACTGGCAGAAGGGTCAAAACTGAACAATTCAATGCTTCAGTTTAAGGGAAACGTTTAACTGCAGGTTAAATAGAACAGATCTGACTAAGCAACAGTTCTTGGGGAAAAAAGACAAAGAGTTTTAGTTACCTGCAAATTCCATATGAACTAGAAGCAACGGGGCTTGTAGAATAAAGTATGCATTCACAACCATCCAGCACTGTAATTTCAAAGCTAAATAAGACCAAGCCTGGCTTAATTAATATTTTTGAGTGAACGAACAAAGGAACAATTTAATAAATGAGATAACTAAAAAGTAATTTTAAGGTTTTACTAGGCAAAACTGGTCAAAGAGTTTTATCAAGTATTTCTTCACAATTGTAGCTGTAAATATTTGATAGGTTGCTTTATAAAGTAGTAAACTCCACAAAGTTGGCCTTATAAAAGTAAATGGTGCCCTACCTTACAAAGAAGCTTTGAATTGCACAAGGGAATTGGGCCGGATGACTTCCAATGCTCTCTCCATCTTAGGATTCTCTTGAAATATTTTTCACCGAGAGATGGTAGAGATGACATCCACAAAAGAAGGGATTTCTTTTTCCAGACCAGAAGGGAATCTGGTGAGCACTCTTCTTCACCCTAGGACAAAAAGAAAGGGAGAGAGAGAGAGAAAAAAAAATATATGGGTTAAGTTACAATGACCTAGATAAAATCCTAGCTCTTCCACCATAGAATTGTAAACTTTGAACCTGTTAGTTATCTCTCTAAGTAAGTCCAGGTCTTCTCATCTATAAATTGGGAATAATATTATTCCTAGACAAGATGGTGTCCTGGCAGAAGAAGATAAAGAATATAGCATCTAGTATTAACTAAATGTGCAACGGCTAGTGTTCGAGGTGAAATCTATGTGTTCAAGCATAGGTCATGGCTGAGTGAGTCCCTGGGGGGCAGTTATTTGTCTCTTGTCCTGCCCTTCTGGAAAAAAATGCATCAAATTGCATTTATTTTGTATGTTGTACATCCTATTATAGATATTTCTTTCTTTCTAAGATTGGCTTAGCTTTTCTCATTTGCCTCCTATAAAGGCCTTGATCTTTAAAACATAAACACACACAAAGAGACAGAGAGAAAGAGACAGGTAGAGAGAGAGAGAGAGATTTTTTGAAACCCTGAAGTTAATTTTATTTTGGAAATAGATGTGCTCACCAAGTCAAGCCAGTCACAGATAAGCATTTCCCTCAATCATTTACAATTAAAATTTCCTCAAAACTAAGATTCAGACTATATTTGCAAGGTTGCAAAGATACGGTTTCTCTTGGGCACACAGATTTTGCAACTCAGCAAGCTTCAGAGGAATACCTGAAAGTTAATCACACCTTGGATATACTTTTGCATTTCCTTTGCATGAGCAGTACATTTTGAAAAACAAGAATCAGCATATTTGCTAGGTAAAATACAAAATGTTTTTAAAATATAGTTTCTGTTAAACATCTCACAAGTCCTTCTGAGATCATTTTCAGAGTGATGAACTCCTCTTAAGACAGAAATATAGTAAGTTGTCTCCAGAAGAGAATAACTAAATTTCATGTACATTGACACAGAGAGCCACAGAGGGGAAGATAAACAATATCGCTATCATGCTAAGCAACTGCATGGATCAACACTCCCTTCAACTCTCCTCTCATTACTGAGAGACTGTTTTTGCTGTGAAAGTGCACACCGTTCTGAAATTCCAGGTAAATGGAATCAGCTGTCATGGCAGAAATAAAGGACAAGGAAATTGACGTTTGTTGGCACTGTGCAAAGCACTGTGTTTTCTAATTTAATCCTCAGGACAAATCGATGAGGTAAGTTGCATTGGCCTCATTGTAAAGATAAGTTATTTGAGGGCTGCTGAGGTTAAGTGACTTTTTCAAACCAGGCTGACTTTTCAACTCACTGTGACTTTTCTTACTCACTGTGGTGAATAAGCATAAGAAAATATTCATCCTTAGATTCATTACTGATTTTTTTTCCTGCCGTTGAAATAATTATTTTACTTTGCATCGAACATCTTTGAGTCTATTGTCAGGTATTTCTCATCCACATTTTTATTTTAAAATCGGGGCTAATGCAATTCCATTCCTAGATATTTTCTTAAAGAATTGAAAACAGATACTCAAATAAGTAAATGTAACTCATGCTCACAGCAGCACAATTCACGATTGCCAAAAGGTAGAAACAGCCTTAATGTTCATCAACAGATGAATAGATAAACCGACTGTGGGACATATATATATTCTGTTGTGTATATATCTACAAAATAGAATAATATTCAGCCATAAAAAGAAATGAAGTACTGATAACATGCTACGATATGGCTATATCTACAAAACATGTTGAATGAAAGAAGCGAAACACAAAACATCACGTATTGTATGATTCCATGTATGTGAAATACTGTATCCAGAATTGATAAATCTATAGAAACAGAATGCAGATTGACAGTGGTCAGGGCTGTGGAGGAAGGGGTAACAAGAAAAAACGCTTGATGGGTAATGGACTTTACTTTGGGGTGATGGAAATGTTTTGGAACTAGATAGAAGTAGGTGATGGTTACACTGAGTTGTCGACCTTAAAATGATTGATTTTATGTTTTATAAATTTCATCTCAGTGAAATTTAAATCAATTATAAATTGATCTTTTAAAGTCAGAACTAATGACCTTTCATCCAAGATTGCTGCTGAGGGCTCTTCTGTTTTTTCTTTTCTAGATGGAGTCTTACTCTGCCGCCCACGCTGGAGTGCAGGAGCGATCTCGGCTCACTGCAACCTCCGCCTCCGGGATTCAGGCGATTCTCCTGCCTCAGGCTCCCTAGCAGCTGGGATTCCAGGTGTGCGGCACAGTGCCCGGCTAATTTTTGTATTTTTAGTAGAGATAGAATTTCGCCACGTTGGCCAGCCTGGTATTGAACTCCTGACCACAGGTGATCCATCCGCTCAGCCTCCCAAAGTGCTGAGATTACAGGAGTGAACCACCGCGCCCAGCAGCTGAGGGCATTTTCTTTGTTGAGGAAAGTAATAGTGATGATCAGATTTGTAATTTTCCTGTATTAAATGCCTAGAACTCTACAGTCAACAGATGGCGCTCTAGTTCCAATTGTTACAGAAGTTCTCTGCCCATCCGCAAGCAAAGCGTTGTTTTCATCAGTGAAAAGAGAATAAACACTGTGCTTTAACTTTTTTACGTAGCTAAAGAAAATAAATAAAGCGTCTTAATTCCTTTCAGAGATTACTTTCAACTCAATTATGAAGTTAATATTAGACAGCGACTTTTAGAACAGAAGTCATACTTGAAAATATTATGCATATCAAAACAGCAGATAGAGTTTTAAAAAGCAAGAGTTTTACAAGCAGATAGACCTGGATTCTAATTTAAACCCTACCATTTTCTCACTGTGCGTCCTTGAGCAATTTGCTGAAACTCTTTGAATCTCAGTTTCCTCTTCTGCAAAATTTTGACAATAATACCTACTTCTGAAGGTAGTTTTGACAATTAGAAATAATGTCACATGCTTTGCAAAACATTTAGTATGTAGTAACTACTCAGAAAGATATAGCTATTCTAATTAGTGACAGAGAACATACAAACATACAGGTAGGATTTCTCTGCCTTAGATCATATGTGTTTAAATGAGTTTGAAGCATCAGAGATCTAGTTGTAAATTCTGAGTAAGCTGAAAGTGTTATACGGTTATGCTTTCTCTAAACCAATCATTGAAGTGATGCCATATTAATATGGCAGAAAGTTTGTAATATATTTTTAGGTAGAGAGAAAAAAACAGATTATAAAATGGTAATATAGTGTCATCCCAATTTTGTTTAAAAACAGTATACATCTAGTAAGATATAAACCAAAATGTTAAGGTTAGTTATCACTGGTTTATGAGACTATAGTTTATTTCTATATTTTTAACACTTTTCTGCATTTTTAATATTTTCTATAATAAATAAGTATTCATTTTTCATGACAAAAAGAAATGTCATGTAATAATATGAAGTCAAACATATATCAAATATTGATACTGCAAAAGTTTTCTTTTGTGAACCAGTTGAATCCATAGAAGGACCGCTCTCAGAGCTCAAACACAGTGCTCCAGGGTGCTACCTGCTGCTTAGAATTCTCCATAGGAGAAACGAGAAAAAGAAAAACCAAGCCCAGTTATGCTTCTCTGTGCCAGTTTTTCAAGCCAGCATATATAGAAGTATCTAGAAGATATACAAATGATTAGGAAACAGGAAGTTCAGCCAGCCACATTATTTAGGATCATGTCAAATACATCCCTAAAAATTAAAAAGTAATAATGATTTCCGTATTTCTTATTAATCTTAATTCGTGAGACAAGGCCTTTGTATCAATTCATAATAAATTTAGGAGTATTCGTGAAAAATTTTAAATACAATATATACTTTGACCAGCAACCCCACTTCATGGACACTGACCTACAGAAAGACACATTTGTGTACCAAGTTTCATGGCCAAGAATTGTACAGGAAAACATTGTAAGAACAAAGATTTCCACTAAAGGGGAAATGATTTTAACATTATGAGACATTTATACTATGTAATGCTATCCATCTGCCAAACAGAATGCTATAGACTTCTACATATGGACATGGAATGATCTCCTACACGTATTAACTGTAAGAAAAATAAGCAAATTCAAGAACTATTTCCCAAAGAAACCCCTTTTATGTTTTAATAAATCTATATGTGTGTATAGATTTGTATATTTATATATGTAAATACATAGAAATATTGAAAAGGTCTAGAAAGATACATACCCAGTTATTAACAATGACTATGTCTAGGAAAGGTCGTTTTTAAAACTTTATATTTTCTGAATTGTTTTAATTCCTTCATACACACACATTTCCATTTATAAACTTGAATTCAGTTGAACTCTTGGCAGGGATGGAAGACATGGTGTCCATCTAGCCACAGAGACATAACTGATAGCTCAGACTGGTAGGAGAATCAATTAACGCACTCATTCAACAAACATTTATTGAATATTTACAAGATGCCAAGCCTATGCTAGAAACTGTAGGTGCAAAAATGAAAATAGTAAAACATTGTCTCTGTCTTCAAATTTTCCACGAAGGTATACATACCTCATTAAAAAAATCTGGATTTTCACTTGTTCTTTATCTTATATGTTTTTTATAAAGTTAGTAGAAACAACGGTTTCTTAGTGTTGCAGAAAACGCAGTAATGAATCATTAACAATGAATCATTAACAATGAATCAACAGTGGCTCGAGGAAACATCTTTATGACTTACATCATTAAGATTTGAAGAATTGATTCTGCTCCCACCTCCTAACATATACCCTTCTACCCCTAAGCTCACGGTTGATGCCAAAATCTCTTTATTGTGAGTTACACGGAGACAGGAGCAGCGACGCAAGCTACGTGAAGTCTACTAAATCCACTGTTGCCCTCTCGGTAAACCAGTATGAATGCAGCAACAGGAAGGACCACAAGATGGCAGACTGGAAACGAGTCATGGAGCCTACAGCAGGCGATGAGGTGCTACAGCCAGTGGAATCCCGTAGCCCTGGCATCTGAAGAGAGACTGGGAAGGGCTTTATAGATCTGTTGAACGGAGGGATCAGAGCGAAGAACAATTTTGGCACCACTCTAGTGCTTGCTCACATCTCTTAGTGTTCTATTTAGTTGTTTTTACCATCTAAAAAACAAACCATGTTCATCTCTTCTTCCCACCCCAAATAGATAGTCATACTCATCAAAATCAATCATAGCTTTCTATTTTAGTATGATTGAGTAGCAGAATTTTTAAATTGGACAGGATCTCCCCAAATTTGAGGATGAGGTGCTTCATGCATAGGGAGGAGGCAGAAAGATAGATAGGGACCTGGTGGGACAAAGAAGCACAAGTCCACATTGTCATAAGGAAAGGCTCTTTTCATGATGTATGGGGACTAGGGTTGAGAAATTATTTTCAGGAAGTTGTGTGAGTAAGGCCAAAACTGTAATTTTCCAGACTTTATACCTGTGCATGCAGAGACACATAGGTAAAGATGTTGAGTAATGTGAAAGTGTACATTGGTGCTGCTGTTCTTATTTAAGCAGATAAAGTATCTACATAACCTATGATCCAGCCATTTCATTCCTGGGCATATATCTCAAATAAATCCTCACACAGGCTTGCAAGCATATATGCACAAAGATGACAGTGTGGTTTGTAGTGTCCAGCAACTGGAGGTAACCTGGGTGCTCATAATTGGGAGAGTAGATAAGTAAGTGGTGGCTTACAGATATTTACAGGATCATGCATAAAAGGGCAAATGGCCAAGCAGCACATATTTTGACCTGCCAACACGGTGTTGACCAGGATGGCTCTTGGAGACAGAAGGAGCAGACATCTGGGACCTCCAATATTGTCCTATCATACTCTGAGACAGTGCACAGCAATCTGGCAGGGCCAACTGTCTGACTCTAGGAAAAGGACATTGAACCTTGAGCTAGGAGGTTTGAAAGCTGTGATTGAGGTGGCATTGGCCTCTTTTGAAAAGCAAAATCCCAAAGTGTATTTTGAGAACATTGATAATTTGTTGTCAAGACAAGTTGCATAAAAAGCCGGCCCGGCACGGTGGCTAATGCCTGTAATCTTAGCACTTTGGGAGGCTGAATGGGTGGATTGCCTGAGCTCAGGAGCTCAAGACCAGCATAGACAACATGGTGTAACCCTATCTCTACTAAAATGCTAAAAAATTAGCCTGGCATGGTGGTGCGGGCCTGCAGTCCCAGTTACTTGGGAGGCTGAGGCATGAGAATCACTTGAACCCGGGAGACGGAGGTTGCAGTGAGCCGAGATCACACCACTGCACTCTATCCTGGGCCACAGATCAAGACTCTGTCAAAAAGAGAAAAAAAGGCAAAAGTAGAATAATTAATACTGTGTGGTATAGACACAGAGTCAAATTTATTGACCAGAACAGAATAGACATCAGGAAGAGAGTACACCTGTGAAAAACTAAATGCACAAAAATACAGAAGTCTGACATTGCCAGACATTGGTAAAGATTTGAATGAATGGATATTAATACACTTCTGATGGGAACACACATCAAATTAATCGCTTTGGAAAACAGTTTGACACCTTCATATCAAGTTAAATAGTTTACATGCAAAGACCAAGCAATTCCACTCTTAGGTACCCTAGAAACTAGAAGAATTGTTGGGCATGTATACCAAGAGAAATGAATAAAACATGTATCACAGTATCCTTCGTATCAGTAAAAATTGAAAAGAAAAAAAGAAAAACCTTCCAATTTCCAACAACAAGAGAGTGACTAAATGAATTATATTATAGAATAATTATGCAGTGGAATATTACACAACCTAAAAATGAATGAACTAAAGCTACTCACAAGCATAGAAAGACATTTTAGAAACATAATGTGAAATGAAATAAGTCACAGAAGATGACATATAGCATGATACAAATAGAATGTTCAAAATCAAGCAAAAGTATACAATGTTATTGTTGGGGAAACATTAACTAAAAAGAACTAAACTACTTCTAAAAATGTAAGAGAATGACAAGCATAAAATTTAGGAGAGGAGTTAGTTACCTCTTAAAACGGAGGCACAGGCTGGGCTTGGGGACAATCACATTCCTGCAAGGGCTGACTGAGGTAAGATCAGTGATGGAGTCACAGATATGCCTTATATAACTTATGTAAATGTTATTGTGATTTTTATACATTAGTTATTACATTAAAAATGTTAACATATGTATTAAAAGTAAAAAATAAAATCCAGACATTAATGACAGGATGTATTCAGGCATGTTTAGCAGTTCACTTTTCTCCTGTATTTATTTCCTTTAATACTTCCTTAAATGTACAAGGGTTAAACATCATGCTCTTCAGATTCTTTCTCACAGGTATTCTGTCAAAGACGAACAGGGGTAGATTTGGAGAAAAAAAAGGAAAATCAAAGAACACTTCCGGGTACAATAGGGCCCTGAAGAAACAAGCTTTAATCTGTCACTATGGTAAAGGTGAACTTCAGATAGTAAAGAGAACTTCATTTTCTCTTTACATCACTTTGTCTGATTGAAAAATTCCACTTACATATGTTTTAGTCATTCAAACTAGCCCATCAATTTAAGGGTAAGTTATGAGGTCCTGCTATTTGTAAAATTTTAACTTGCAACAGGATATCTCTGCTAGCCTACAGAGTAGAGCATGGGCAGATTTATGCATTATTGGTTTGTGTCTGCTGCCCATAATTTAACAAAACTTACTTAAAATTCTGAAGGACTACTGAACAAAATGTGCTTGTCTTTGGATAACATAAAATTTAAATTCTCATTTTAAGTATTTAGCCTATTGTTTTTTAATGTTTGACACCTTAGACCCTTGTAATTTTGCAAAGACTCGCATACATTTGGATCAAAAGCAATTCGGCTAACTTTTTATTTTGTATAATATCATTCTCAGCCATATTTACTTCTTAAGTCATGTTTTTCCTGAATACCAGACTTCTTTAGTAGACGCTAAGGAATGAAAGCATGATATAAAGAACACAGGATTTAGAGTGTAAGGACATGAGTTTAAGTCTGACTTACTAAATGGTTCAAGTTTCTTGGCCTTTCTGGGCTTCAATTTACTCATCTGGAAAATGAAGAAAATAATTGCATTAGTCAAGATTTTTTGTGTGTGCAATTCAATTCAATTTGTTTGTCAATTCAATTCAAGATCACTTAAAAAACAAATTCAGGAACTTCACATTGCTGGAAGTTCAGTAGTCAATGCAATTAGATCTAGAACATCATAAGTCTCTTTCCCCATCTCTATTTTCTGCCTCTCTCCAAATACTCACATTTTTATTCAAACAAACTCTCATCATTTGGTGGGAAAAACTACTTCTAATTGACCTAGAGTCACATTCTTCCAGTTCAGCCAATTCAGGAGGATTTTTTTTTTTTTAAAAAGGATAATTCTCTCACCCAACATCAGATTGATCATTTTAATGCTCATTTCTAAGCCAATTACTGCTCCAAGAACTATAGGCTGTTATAACTGGTCTACCTGAGCTCACATGCTCACCCCTGAGAACAAAGCAGTAGATATACTAATTGACAGACTCACCAGGGCCACTCGTTTTGGACAAGAACAGATCCCCACAGCAGGCAGAAGTGATGTAGAGCTGAAACTCAATTTTCCACTACAGTAGTAATTTCTCTAGCTAGAGTGTTACAATGACTGAAAATTTGGGACACAGCACTTTTTATATTGTAGAATACATTACATCTTTGGTTAAGGTGATTTTTTAATTTAAAAAAGTATGAAAATATTCAAAGAGAGAACATAAGATCCTATTAAAGTAAGGCATCTGTTCAAAACAAGTCATTTATTGTGTAAGATTAGACAAAAGGCTATATATTTACAAAGCAAATTATATAAAAATGAAGGAAATAAATATTAGTTTTATGTTTAATATAGATTTTTTTGAGAAATAAAAGTCATCATAAAATCTCCAGTGACTTTAAGTGCCCACAATAAACTAAATGTCTAATTTTCTATCGAGAACTAAATGTGCTCAGGGGTGTGAACATGTCATGATTGCTTAGCTTAATGGGTGGGAAGTAAATGCACTCTTAACTAGAGGGAAAATTTTTTCTAAAGATCATTGCAACATTTATAGAACTACACACAATTTTATAAAATTGAATGGTTGGAAGTAACCTGCAAAGTTCATCATCTTTGCTATGGCTTTAGAATGACAATCAATGAAATATTAAAAACTATTTTGAAATAGATTTTTTAAATGTCTTCCAGGGAGACCCTCTCTGGGGAACCTATGTTTCATACAATAAATCGAACTCCATCTTCACCTCTTCCCTTCCAGTAGCCAGGAAATAATTGGATTACACTACAGCTCCCAGGGCAGTGGTTCTCAAACTGGATTATTCATCAGAATCACTTGGGAAACTTCATAAAATATAGACTTCCAGTCCTACTCTAGACATACCGAACCAGGGTCCAGGAATCAGTCCTTTTTAAAAGCCTCCCTAAAGTGTCAGTCTGGAGCTACTTTGATCTATGCACTGGCTTTGGGGAATCACAGAGTTTAGGACTCTAAATAATAAATATATATATACATATATATATATATATATATATATATATACACACACACACACATATTATTCAAGGGATATATATGCAGGTTTGTTACATGGGTATACTGCATGATGCTGAGGTTTGCGACATGAATTGTCCCATCATCTTGGTAATGAGCATAGTACCCAATAAGTAGTTTTTCAGTCCATGCCCTGCTCTACCCCTCCCCATTCTAGTAGTCCCTAGTGTGTACTGTTCTTATCTTTATGTCCACGTGTATTCAGTGTTTAGCTCCACTTATCAACGAGAACATGTGGTATTTGGTTTTCTGTTCCTGCATTAGTTCACTTAGGATACTGGCCTCCAGCTGCATCCGTGTTGCTGCCAATGACCTGACTTCATTCTTTTTTATGGCTGCATAGTATTCCATGGTGTACACATCCACTTTTTCTTTATCCAATCCACCATTGATAGGCACGTATATGGATTCTATGTCTTTGCTATTGTGAATAGCATTGTGATAAACATACAAATGCAGGCATCTTTTTGATAGAATAATTTATTTTCCTTTGGATTTATTCCCAGTAATTGCTTTGAGCACTATGGCCATTTTGAGGATATTGATTCTTCCAATTCATGAGCATGGAATATTTTTCCATTTCTTTGTGTTGTAGGACTAAGGAGGTATTTGATCATGACTCTAAGATGTCATCGTCAAGAGAAATGTATCTCCTATTTTATCAGGTACTGGGAGAGAAACAAGCAAGCTGTTTTTACTTTTCTTGTTTTTTCTTTGAGACAGGATCTCACTGTGTCATCCAGATTGGAGTGCAGTGGTGTGATCACAGCTCACTGCAGCCTCGATCTCCCAAGCTCAAGTGATCCTCCCACCTCAGCCTCATAAGTAGCTGGGACTAAAGGCATGTGCCACCACACCCAGCTATTTTTTTTTAATTTCTTCAGAAAAACGAAGTCTCACTATATTGCCTAGGCTGGTCTCAAACTCCTGACTTCAAGAAATCCTCCTGCCTCAGGCTCCCAAAGTGCTAGGATTACAGGCATGAACCACCACTCCCAGCTATGTTTTAATTTTTGAAGTTCTAACTATATGAAGGAAGTCTGTGACTCTCTCCATTTTCTAATTTTACCTTCAGAATATTGATGTTAATATTATGAATATTGACTATTAAAATATTGATATTGGTATCCAATTCTAAAACCTCTACAGGCAATAAATTTTCTGTTACATGCTCTGGATGTTTGAAAGTGCTACAAAAAGAGATGGAATTATCAAGAAGAGACGAAACAATAAGTAGACAAGTTCCCCTCATTTCATAATAGAGAGAATTTCCTGAATTTATTAAGAGTGGTTCCATCCTTTCTGAAAAGGTTATCAGTTCACATCCAAATGGGAAACTATCATGAAGTTATTAAGTACATGATGCTGAAGAATTTTAAAGAGATCAAGCCATGTAAAAGGTTTTTTATCCTGCTTTTCTCTGTTTGCAATACATTATAAACATTTTCCATGCAGTTATAATTCTTCATGTATACGTTGGAATGTACATGGCATATATGCATATGCATATACATAATCTATATATAAATGCATCAAAATACTAGCATGTTAGCAATAGTGGGATTAAAAATAATTTTAACTTTATTCATTTTTGTGTTTTTCAACCTTTCTACAAAAATATATTAAAGAATTAAAGAAAAATACATGCTTTATAGCTTTTTAAAATAAAGAATAAAAAAAGCCTTTTTTCTCAAGGCTGGTAAAACAAAGCATAGAGTACCTTATACATAGAAAAATAAAGTATGAATCTTTACCTAATAGGGAAAGTTTCCAGGAGAAATTAGGAAGGACCACTTACTATCTGTTTCTAATTGGAATTTATATCCAGAATCAGCCCCTATATTAATTCTCTTTTAGTAACTTTCTAATATTTCTAATGGGATGTATTACTTTATAAACAAGAAAAACACGATTTTTAAAAACTTGAAATCACAACTTTTGCATTAAAAGGAACTGTTTCACACTGGATTATTCTGTTACTGGAGATGCAACACCGTTACCTCTTGCTCTTACTCTGTTATTGTATCTCTTGGTATGGTTCTTATATTTTGCTTTTTCTTTATTATGGAGTTCCTCTTTTTAGAATTTTGGCACAGTTTTACTGTGATCTGCTCCAGAATACAAATCTGTGCCCTACATTCAATAGTATCCATTCTCAGCAAAAGCCTAACCAGACAATCTCATAAGAGGATGAATTCCTACCAATCACTTGCGTAGGAGATTAAGAGATAGCACTTACTTCTTTTTCTTTTTCTTTCTTTCTTTCTTTTTTTTGGGGGGGGGTTGGGGGTGGGGGGACGGAGTCTCGAGTCTTGCTCTGTCGCCCAAGCTGCAGTGCAGTGGCCCGATCTCCACTCACTGCAACCTCTGTCTCCTGGGTTCAAGCGATTTTCCTGCCTCAGCCTCTCGAGTAGCTGGGATTATAGGCACGTGCCACCATGCCCAGCTGATTTTTGTATTTTTAGTAGAGACGGGGTTTCACTATCTTGGCCAGGCTGGTCTTGAACTCCTGACTTCAGGTGATCTGCCTGCCTCAGCCTCCCAAAGTGCTGGGATTACAGGTGTAAGCCACCACGCCCGGCCCTAGAGATAGCACTTATTTCTGATAGCCAAGCAACAGCCTTAATATATCTAATCATGGCACTCAATGAGGTAATTGCTTTGAGTTCTACTACTGGAAACACTTCAATATGCAGAGATTCACTGAGTGCCTCAGGTAAGACATGACTGATGAGAAGTACTTATTACCACATCCAAATGGACGAGGTATGGTTTCATCATCATCATCACCATCACCACCACCATCTGTTTTGCACATTGCTACATCTCAAGTGCAAAGAAGAGATACTCAATGATTTCCTGCAAAGACTCACCTGGCAAGTAATATACATTAATATGAACCATCTCCCACCCATCTTCATGAAAGCAATTGATATAATGTTTGACTAACTCTCTTTCTCATATAATTCAAGTACTTGTTCTAACACTTTTAAAGTATCTACTCTGGCACTTATCAGCTAACTGGGGAGGGAAAGGGAGAACAAGAAAAAGATAACCGTGATAGGCAGATTGGGATGCAAGAATAGACCAGGTAGTACATAGTTCAGCTGTTTAGCAAAGGAATTGACTGTCCCAAGTATTAGCAAAAGAATTGATTGGCCCAAGTAAGACTCACCACTGTTGACCCCTTGAGCAGCTGGGAGCATTCACTCGCCTGTTCCTCAGTTCAGTCTCCCGTGCCATGGCAGGGGAGAAGCCCTTCAAGCAGCTTCATAACAAAGAGTCAGTGTTTGCTTTATCTGAGGGCAACATCCTACCACAATTCCCATAATAAATAGACTGCACAAGAGTGAGAAGCAGCTTCTTGTGCTAGATAAAACCAAGTTCCTGATACCTGATCACATCTGCATGAGTAAATTGACAAAGGTTCTTTGCTTGGCCAAACTTTAATCAGGCCTTTGAACCTTCTCCTAGGCCCATCTGTGCACTTCCTTGTAAAATACAGTGTTAGCAAAGAGCCCTCTTAAGTCAGCTTAGCAAGACTCTCCCCACCCTCAGTATCTGATTACCTTTGATATCTGATCAGGTTCCTTATCCTCCACCATCCCTCAGGTGATGTTTGATCACCCTGGCCTGTCTTCAGGAAGAATCCTGTTAGGTCGGTTTAGTCAGAATCCCCCTTACCCTGATGTTTCCCCTAGTAACTGTCCATCCATTACCCCACACCCTGCTCTATGGCTATAAGTTCCCACTTGCCCATGCTGTATTCAGAATTGAACCCAATCTTTCTCTTCGTGTGCAAGACATCTTTGCAGTGGTCCCTGTACCTATTTCAATGGTCCTGATACAGGTTTCCTTCCCATAATTTAACAAGTATTATTGATTTTTTTTTCTTTAACAGAACTCATTAAGACAATTAGAAGGCACTTACAACTCAATGCTAATCCAATCTTCTTCCTGTTGATGAACAAAGTATGGTGGGCATTTTCTCACTGATTTTTGAAGCATATGAATCTAAGAAGGATGGAGATGGATTCCTGTATGTGCTATATGCCTCTCAGGAGATACTTGGAATAAAATAGTCTGTGTAAGGTTACAAAAATGCATCTATTCTAGAATTTCTGAAACACTTACTAAGGAAAAAAGGAATGTTATCAACAGTTCATCTAATCACAGATCATCCAAACAGAGGTATTCTCACCTAGGAGTTTTAGGAAGTTGTTTTTGTATTTTCAAACAGAGAAAAAGCTCTAAATGAGCACACTCAGCTTTGGATACTATATTATTTAACCTAGGCTATCTTGTTTTCAAATTTTATAAGCTTAAAAATAAAATACTTGACATTCTAAGTCACAAAAAGTATAAAAAAGAAGAATAGAAAGTGATTAATGAGGATTAAGGACATCTGGCATGGCTTTCTGTTGGAGATGAAATTTAAATTGAGTCTCACAAAAAGGGTGAGACTCAGACAAGCAGAAAAAAGAAAGATAAAATTCCATGCCAGGGAATGCAATAAGTAAAACTTTGATATCATAAATTTGCACACTCTATTCAAGAAACTATAAGAGAAGTATAAGGAGATAAGTCTGGATTCATAGATAGTACTTTGGGAGAATTTTGCTTTAATTTTTTTTATTCATGTTTTATGAATATGAAATATTTTAAGCTTATAAAGAAATCCAGGAAGTATAGTATTGATAGTATAACAGGATAACTATAGTCAATAATAACTTAATAGTACATTTTAAATTACAAGGGTATAATTGGATTGTTTGTAACTCAAAGGATAAATGCTTGAGGTGATGAACACCCCATTTCCATGATGCTATTATTACGCATTGCATGCCTGTATCAAAACATCTCATGTACCCTATAAATACATACACCTACTATGTACCCATAATTTTTTTTTATTATTTAGAATAAAGTTACACAACAGAAAGCTATGTGTCTATCACAGACTTTAAATAGATGTTAAAATTTGTCATCTGTGCCGGGGCTGCGCATTTTAGGCCGGAGGCAGGCAGTAGGTTGAAGGGATAACACAACATCACAGGGCCAGCACAAAGTGTTTTCTTAGACTCTGAACTACACTCAGAGATTGGGAGGGAGGGAAAAGAAATGTGTAATAATTTCCCCAGTTAATCGTTTTTAACACTGTATCATTCTTAAATACTGATACCTAATGGAGATAAGTAAAAGACTGATACAAACTTTTAAGTTAAAATATAAACTATCAAAGAAAACTTTTACATGCTGCATCTACACAAGGACTACATTCCCAGAACCCACACTAGACCCTCCCCGTAGGAATACACCGATTTCTCTCTTTTGCTGTTAAATAGACTTCTGTGAAGAAAATATGAGATGTTCTCTTTCGGGTCATAAGGACTCACTGAAGTAGTACATGTTTATGGAGCTTCGCATTCTAAATACTAAAATTACACTGTTTGCAACTTAAATTGAGTGTTATCCCATTAGTCCATTAAATAAGAATGGGCAGAAACCATGGAACATTCTGGAGTCTTTCTCTGGAGGCAAGAGAAGATTGCCCCCACTGAGTAATATATAAAAGAATGGCAGAAGATAAAAATGTTGCACTTTGATTTTGTCATGACTCATATGTGTTCAATTTAGCAGTTACTTACATGAAGTTTCAAGTGAGCAGTGCTAACCCTAACCTTTGTTCTTCTCCCTCCCGGAGGAGGGCTCAAGTCTCCAGGATGACATGAAGGGCAAGGAGGGAAATCCAGGCAGTGAGCTGCTCAGATTGCTCCATTCCTGGGCTGGCTTACGCATGGCACCAGGCAATCAAGCCTGAGTCTCTGTCTGCTCTTCTACAGTGTCCTCCAGGCCCTATTGTCAACCATGCAAAACAGATAATACCATGAGAAAACACAGTCACTGTTATGGATGGAGTGTTTGTGTCTCCACCTCTGCTTCCCCAGTTCATATGTTGAAGTCCTCACCTCCAGTGCGATGGTAGCAAAAAATGGGGTCTTTGGGAGGTAATTAGGTTTAGTTGAGGTCATGAGGAATTAATGCCCCTATTAGAAGAAGAGACATCAGAGCTTCCTCTCTCACCATGTGAGGACACATCAAGAGGACAGCTGTCTGTAAGCCAGGAAGAGGCTTCCTCAGAAATTGAATCAGCCAGTATCTTGATTTGGGCCTTCCAGCCTCCAGAATGTGAGAAATCAATGTCTGTTGTTTAAGCCATCCAGTCTAGGGTATTTTGTTATAGCAGCCCAAGCTAAGACAGTCACATCATTTATTAACGATGAAAGAACCCCAGAAGTTATCCAACTCTCACTCTTTGATTTACAGGGATCATAGTGTAACAATTAAGATTATGAGATCTAGTTCAAAGACCCAGCTCTGCTACTTACTCTGTGTCTCAATATCTCCTTTGTAAAATGTATATACTTTGTCACTTACAGAACTGCTGTGAGAATTGGGTAATACATAGAGTACATTCAGAAGAGTGCTTGACATTATGTTTTCAGTGCTGGTTTTATTATATATTTGTATAAAACCCAAGAACATTCTAGTCTGTATTTCTTGTTTTGTATCCTCACAAATTCCTACCCAGTCTCATCCCCTTGGCAAGCTTATCAATTTACCTACATTCCCACCCAAATTAGGCATATACTTCCACCTCCCCACATTTCCAAGACCTTGTCATTTGTTGTTGGGGTGGTCTGATGGTCTAAACTACCTTATTTGGTGCCCTTGCTGCCCTTCCCTGGTGATAACTCTAATAGTAATTGATTTTCTACCAAGCATGCATAAAACATATCTAGAAGGTTTACAGCTAAAAATATTAACCTTGTTCTGTGTATTTTCTCTTGCACTAATACCCCCTAGCCAACACTGAAACTGCCAAAAGTTTATTAATGTGAACTGCCAACCTCAGTGCCAGCTGCAGTTTCTCTTCTAAGAGACATTTTTTCCAGGGCTTTTACCTCTAGGATGATCCAAGCGGGAGAAGAGAGAGAAAGCAGAGGAGCAATTTTAAAAGAACTATACGGAGAGGAGGGCTTAGATGGGTGAGAAACAAGAACCTTCTGCTGTATTATACAAAGAATGAAGAGAATGACTGTCTCGGAGACGGGCTCACACTCATTTCTTGTGGACCTCCTGCCACATAACAATCCTGGATATATAGAAGGGCCCTCACCCCTTAATAGACAAGATCAAAGCAGGGGAAGCCTAATGGGAAAATCTTGCATCCTGATAAAGGTGATACTAAACTGAACTTGTGGGGAACTTCCTTGTGTGAAGGAGATATATATTCAGTTTCTGTGGTCAAGTTTATCGAAAAATGAAAAAAATAACCATCCACTCTATCTTAAAGAAACCTATTTGTGTTGAATTAATTTCTTTGTAAATTTCACTGTTTTTGCCTATTTGGGGGTACAGCAGCACAGCTTCTCTCAGATATTGGATCTTCTTAATTTAAATTCAAACATACTAATTTCATTATATATTGTATATATCATTATTTTGCTCCCAAACAAAGTTCCTACATGGGACTGAAAAGAACAGAGAAAAGTCAAGCCTGGTGGTACACACTTTGCAATCATCCATGCAGAACAAATAATTGAAGCCATGAGAATAACTGAAATCTTGGAAAAGAGAGTAAAAGCGGAGAAGAGCAAGTCTTCAAGGGCAAAGTCACAAGAACCCACAAATGTTCTTGCAGGAGAATGAGAAAGAGGTGCTCTCCTACATGAGAGAGTAATTAACCAAAGATGTAGAGAACAAGAAAGAATTGGAGCTGGGCACAGTGGCTCACGCCTGTAATTCCATCCCTTTGGGAGACTGAGGTGGGTGGATCACTTGAGCTCAGGGGTTCAAGGCCAGTCTGGGCAACATGATGAAACCTCATCTCTGCCAGAAATACAAAAAAAAAAAAAATTAGCTGGGCTTGGTAGCATGCATCTGTGATCCCAGCTACTTAGGAGGCAGAGGAGGGAGGATAACTTGAGTTTGGGGGGAAGGGGTTGCAGTGAGCCAAGATTGTGCCACTGCACTCCAGCCTGGGCAACAGAGTGAGACCCCATCTCAAAGAAAAAAAAAAGAATTGGAAGAAAAATGTCAAGTAATGAGGGCTTGGCCAATCAAGTTGATTGAGGCAAAAAGAAAATGGGAGTTGAGAAAAATCTTCTGGATTTACCTATTGGGAAGCTCTTGTGATCCTCAAAGAAGGAGTTTCAGTGAAGTGCTGGAAGGAGATACTCCATTACAAGAAGCTGAAGAGGGTGAGGCTACTCTGGTTCCATGGAATAAAAAGACAGCTGTAGACATAGATCTATGGGCTCTGCTCATAGATCCTGCCTTCCTCATTCATGGGGCTGCAAGTACTATGGTCCTTCACCCAGACTCACTCAGTCCAGCTCCTCTGGTGGGCCATCTCTCACCCAGGAAACAAGCACATTGGGATATTCTGGAAAGGGTTTTGGCATTGGTTGTGGGATTCATCCAAGAATCCAGGATTCCAGCAGAACGTTTGTACTGAGTTGTGGCCTTCTCTCCACCTCCCATCCTTTTGGCTCCCACATTGTTACTAGGCTTCAGCTTTGGCTTTTGGATTGGCATTGCTATTTACCCACGGGTAGAAGAACATGCCCTGAATCCTATCACCTCCTGTCTTGGAAACTGGCTCGCTGACTAGCCTTTACATAACCCTCTCCAAGGTCTGAATTCTGTTTATAAGCCCTAGCGGGGAGTCATGGTCCTAAAGGACTAACTGCACAGAAGGAAGATACTGTGACCCACATGACTTCAGCTTTTATCACCATTTCCTAGAATTTTTTGCCACCTGCCCAAACCACAGGATTGGTCTTAAATGGAGATTAGCTATCATTTCTGTTGCATACAGTGTGTTAATGTAAAAGAGTCCTCTGCCTTCTCCTGACTAACATGATCTATCACCTGTAGCTATACCACTCTGGATGGCCTTCAGTTCCTTGGCTTGTGTTCTAGCTTATGAAATGTCCCTCCCAAGCTTTTCCCTTTATGGAGATAGTTTGAACACTATTCTCTGGCCTTAAACCCCACCCTACTTCCAAGACACATAAAAACATGCACGCGCAAAGTAAAGACATGTACACACACATACAACCTTCGATTTTAGATTATGCTTTCATTCCTATGGGTCCCATAGCTTGGTAGAGTCATGGATCTCCTAAAACTCCACCATCTAGGTGAAACCCCAACTATAGTCTCCCTAATCCCCCAGGCTGAGTAGACAGAATCAGATATAGCATTAGTTTATATCAACAGGAACCTACTGTCTAGATAAAGGGAAGCAAGAATCTTACTGTAATTGGCACTGGGAAAAGACACAACCAAGCACTGAATTAAATTTGGATAAGTTCATTTTAACTTTGGTGTCAATTCTTACAAAGTTCTAGCAATGACAAACAAGAAGTCTGACAACCTAATGTCTTAATTAGAAATAAAGCCAACAAACGTAAGAGAAAATTCAACATCACTGATCATTAGAGAAACACAAATCAAAACCACAGTGAGATAACATCACACGCCAGTCAGAGTGGCAATTGTTAAAAAGTCAAGAAACAACAGATGCTGGCAAGGCTGTGAAGAAAAAGGAATGCTTTTACATTGTTGGTGGGAATATAAATTAGTTCAACCATTGTGGGAGACAGTGTAGTGATTCCTCAACGATCTAGAAAAAGAAATACCATTGGACCCAGCAATCCCATTACATATATCCCATTATATATATTATTATATACATTTAAATAATTCTATTATAAAGAAACATGCATGTATATGTTCATTGCAGCACTATGCACAAAAGCAAAGACATGGAATCAACCAAAAGGCCCATGAATGATAGACTGAATAAAGAAAATGTGGTACATATACACTATGGACTACGATGAAGCCATAAAAAAGAATGAGATTATGTCCTTTTCAGGAACATGGATGGAGATGGAAGCCATTATCCTCAGGAAACTAACACAGGAACAGAAAACTAAACACTGCATGTTCTCACCTGTAAGTGCGATCTGAACAATGAGAACACATGGACACAAGGAGGGGAACAACATACACAGGGGCCTGTAGTGGGGTGGGAGGAGAGAGAGCTTTGGGATAAATAGCTAATGCATGCGGAGCTTAATACCTAGGTGATGGGTTGATAGGTGCAGCAAACCACCATGGCACACGTTTACTTATGTAACAAACCTGCATGTCCCCCAGATGTATCCCAGAACTTAAAACAAAATAAAAAGTTTTAAAAAATAAATAAATATGATGTACATCTATTTTAAAACTAGACCTTTTTTTTTTTTAAACTGTGGAGTATGGTTGACAAGGAGTGTGGCAGATATACTTCAAAAGCAATCAGAAATACAGTTTCTTAGGATCCGCTGATCTCTAACATTCCTTTTAGGTCTTATAGCCTGAGACCCTGAAAAAATAAGGTTATTGTAATATTATTCAGAAGTTTCCAATTCAAATTTTCCTGTATTGTTTCCTCTTTCCAATAGTTGATGCCTCTGGCAGCACTTCCAAGAATCTCTTTCCTGCATCAGAGAATATCTTTTGAAAGACAGTAAGTGACTAAATTAGTGAGATGATGGGTTAATAAGCTGATAGTCTCATATAATTTCTGTGGCAGGTTAAATGTGATGAGGGCTCAATGTTGGATCAAATTTCAATCAGGGATCAAATGAGGGGTAATTTAGCAAAAAAGAAAAAATCACCCTTTTTAGTAACTCTGTAACTAGAACTTTCATTATGTTACACATTGTGGTAGGCACATTAATGATCCCACCCACCCCAAATGTCCACATCTAATTCCCAGAAGTTGTGAATATGCTATCTCAGATGGCAAAGGGGACTTGCAGATGTGATTAAGTTTATAGACCTTGATATGGGGAAAGTACCCCAGATTATGTATACAGTCCCAATCTAATCATAAAAATCATTTAAGTTGAAGAGTCTTTCCCAGCTGTGTTCAGACAGAGATTGAATAACTGAAGAAAGGTCAGAGAGATGCAACAGTGCTAGCTTTGAAGATGAAGGAAAGGGACATGAGTCAAGAAATATGGGTACTTTCTAGAAGTTGGAAAAGACAAAGAAACAGCTTTCCCCCTAGACATCATTGAGCAACACAGTCCCACTGATGCTCACTGCTGCCTTGATTTTGGCCCAGTGAGACCTGTGTTGGACTCCTGACCTACTGACACTGTAAGATGATAAATTTCTATTGCTTAATCACTAATTTGTGGTAATGAGTTGTGTACACAGTAGAAAACTAACACATATATTGAACATATATATTTTTTTTACTTATGGTCCGCTCTCCAGTACAAATTCTGCCCAGAGGACTAATACCTTGCAAACTCTGTGTATAAATACCTTTTAAAATTTTACTAACAATTACATGTTTCATTTACATAGTGTTTATCATGTAAGATAGGCAGGCTATGGGTGAATATTCCCATTTAATAGATGAGGAAACTGAGCTTTAGACTGTAAAGTGTCTTGCTCAAAGTTGCAGAATTGATAAGAGAGTGGTTGGGATAGAATGTCGATTCTTGTCTTTTGACTCTTTCAATCTTTTTTCCATAGCACCAACTCTGTCTCTAGCATTATTTCATGTGCTCCTCATATCAACAGCAGAAGAAACAGATACAGATGCCATTGTTTTTATTTTATGGATGCAAAATTGTAGAGGAATTAAGTGATCAGTACTGAAACCAGGACAAGAACTCCTTACATTTAACTTGTAATCTAGGGCTCTTTCTGATTTGCACGGCCACGTATAAACTATGGTGTGTATGCCTAGGTTTAACACATGCAGGATATTTAAAGGAGAGAACGTATAGTTTAAATAAAAACAAACTTGACTTAGTATTGACCTAAGTTAGTTAATGTCCTTGAATCTTAATTTTCTCATTTGTAAAATACAAATAGTATATCAGCTTGACATAATTGTTGAAAGGATTTGTTCAGTTTTCAACAATAATGAGAAAGTTGCATTTAAACACAGCTCCTGGCATATATGAATATGTAAGCACATTGTGTCAGGGTATCATGTCAATTTCATGACAGCTTTATGTTCCTCCTCATAGACAAACAGAATCCACATTTTCAATCTGTCAAAAGTCACTAAATACTGGCTCCAATCAAGCTAATAAATCCAACCAAAGAAAGAGATATGGGGAAAACAAGATGTTCCCTTCATTATCATGGATGAATCTGTAGTGGTCCCTTTCCCTTCTTGAGTCCAAAAGGAAAACTTACATGAATGTGAAGGATTTAGTCTTCTGGGCTTCTGATAATTAGAGACACAAGAAAAAGTGAGTTTTAACTTCAGTGAACCTTTCCAAGAGAAATTGCAATCATGTTCAAGTCTGTTCCATTTGTATGGTCTCTATCAAATCAAAGTTAATGGGAACAGAGAGACCCCAACTTGAACAGGGAGCTCCTAAAATGCTAGGAAAATACATTTTCCACAATCATTTAAAAATACAGTACTACTTGACATAACTCTAGAAGGAACTTCTGTGGCTCAGCACAAACCTGCTCTCTTGAGATAAATACAACATTCTATAAGTAAAAGCCTCTTTTTAAAAAAAGAAAATGACTAATTAGCAATGGGACTGTAGATTGTGTTTTACTATGATGTAAGTTCTGATTATTTGGGGTATTTTTATATTCTCATAATGAAGATTGCTAATACTATCTTATCTAAAGCAATTTTGAAGAAATACATATTTCTTTACCCAAAATAATTCTTCATAGACACTGTCATTTTGGATAATAAAAAGCAGATAAAACATTTTATAAATAACTATTTAAACATTTATTATTTATTACTCTATGATTTTCCTTTGCGATATAAATTAAAGGGAGATTAGGAATCTTTGGAATATTTTAGTTCTTTGAGTATATGGATCATGAAATCCATCTCATGCTTTTTCTTCCCATTAAACATTGAAAACAGGTTATTAAAATAGACACACCGATGATATCTACCAACGACTTCTAAAGTCCTTGTATCCTCATGATATATATTAAATATGTATTCTTATATCCTATTGAGTAATCAGAAAATGTCATCAGTAAACCTGCATAACTGAAATGAATTCAGCATAAAAGTAAGGAGTCTCAGAATTAGATAGAAGTGTCAGCTCTCATGGGCTTCTTCACTTGGGCATCCTAAAAGCTATTTTAATTCAACATTCCCCAAACTGAACTCAACATCCCCTTCTACCCTTCTCCAACCTACTCTTCCTCTAGGTTTTCCATTCTGAATGGCAGCAGCCCCGCCTCCCACCTCTTCACCCTGGTTGTGAGCCTGGTTACTTTTCCCCCTCCCTCCTCACAATCAGCAAATTTCTACATCTTGACAGTCACTCTTTAAATATCCCTTGACTTCGGTCAGAATACCACCACCTAAGTCTATACATCCAACCTCTGTCACGTGGATACCGGAAATTATTTCTTAGCTAATCTCCTGCTCTGCTCTCATTTCTCTCCTCGCCATTGACACCTAGTTTCTTAACTATCACTTATGAGACTCCTGTGCTCAAAATTGTTCTTTTGCATCTCACTCCCTATAGGATGAAGACCATACACCTTAGCATGGAGTAAAATATTAGGTTGGTGTAAAAGTAATTGCAGTTTTTGCCATTACTTTCAAGAAAACTTTCATTGCTTAGATCCTCAAAAAAAAAAAAAAAAAAAAAAAAAAAAAAAAAAACTTACATTTTGCTGGTTGTGCATAAGTGCCCTGAACTTGGCCATTCTGAACTCTTGGAGGTTTGCTTCAAATATGGCATGCCCCTTCACAGCTCTGCACCGGCTCATCTACTGTCCTTACCAACTAAATTAGCTCCCCGCAACTTATCTGCCAATAAACTTCTGCTTGTTCTTTAAAAGGCTCTCTTCAGCTGCCCTTTCCTAATAACCCTGCTTTGCTCCAAGAGGCACTCCTTTCTCTCCCTGTACAGCATCCATTATGCTGACTTTACTTGTTTGTCTCCCTCGTTAAATGATAAGCTCTTTACGGGCTTCTTGTTCATAATTGCTTTCTGATAAATGAATGGTTCTAGGCTAACATTTTCCCCTGTCAAAGGAGGTAATTTAGCTCCAGAGAGGTTGAGCAACTTGCCCAAGGCCACATAGCTGAATAACAGACAAGCCATCCAGGAAGACACCACAGGCCTCCAGATGCCAGCCTAGTAATTACTGTCTGCATCCAGATGCTTTCATATTTAGCATAATCATATCTTACAGCAACAGCTTTCCCTGAGTTTTCTATGTTTACTAGTAAACTATTACTGTTGAATCAACTTTTTTTTTTTCACCAATGCCTTGATTTTCTCTTGGGAAACTACCTCTTACATATTCTCAGTGCTGTAATTAAAACAGGGCCGGCTCCATACCCTGACTTCAGAAAAAGGTAAGTGACACAGGGCTGCCCAATGGGAGTGCTATGTCCTCTGAGCAAATCAGAGACAATGAGCGTCAGCCCAGGACTTGAGAAAGAAAAGCTCTGTTTCCACTGGGCTATGAAGCTGAACTGAGAGAATAGACTCAGAAAGAAGTCAAAAGAGAGAAACACAGAGTTGAGAGATTTCTGAGGAAATGGTTTGAACACCTCCAGCCAGTCATTTCATATGCCAATATGGGGAAGTTTTGTCATGTGTTGACTTGGCTAAGCTACACTCTGTCACTCAGAATCCCCTTTGCTATAAATGTCTGATTAGAGTGGAACGCAAAAGACATTTTGCATGGGATTCAGAAGGTGGAGGTGAAGGCAACCACATTGTTTTTATGTCTGAAAGGGCTGGGCAGGGGCACCAGGTTCTGCTGCAGTGCATGTGCTTTGTCAGTTATCTACTGACTTTCCTTTGTTGTTGTGAGTCAACAGCCAGATTTACATCTACTCCACCTTCCCTCAGATTCTCTTACACTTTCACCGGCTCCTGGGCCAAGTGCATGTTTAGCTTGCACTTGGAAAGCATGACACTTGGAAAGATGACAAAGGGTGCCATCTTTCCTTCTGCAGGAAGGAGTTGACGTGGTCTGCAGATGATAAGACACAGACCAGGTTCCAGTCCATCCTCAGAGGTCAGATATATATATATATATATATATATATATATATATATATATATATCCCACTTTCCTGCTAGACAGCTAGCTCTGAAGTCTTCATGCTCCAGCATCAGAAATGAAGACAACAGCTATATGAAAACTCATGAACTAACCAGCTTTCAAAATTGCATAGATCTAATTCTTGTAATAAATCTCTTAGTGTGTGTGTGTGTGTGTGTGTGTGTGCGCGCGCACAGACACCTTTGATCGATTGAGCCGTTCTCTGATTGGACCCCAGCTGATACAGAATATTATCAAGTATCTTTTTCATTACATAGTTAATGTTTAAGTCAGTATGGTTTAAGTTTAAATTTAAGCCAGATGGAATTTGGTTTCTGTCACTTGCCACTAAAAAATGATTAATATGCAGGATTACCCTATTTTGACTAAGCAACTTGATATCCTGAGGGCAAGATCTGTCCTTCGCTTCTCCTTAAATCCCCAGCATGCAGCAAAATGTCAGATACATAGTAGGCACTCGACAGGCACATGTTGAATGAACTAACTAAAGGCCACAGAATAAAAATATTCTCTAGGGGACCCAGAGTTGAAGCCTCACACAATGTGAATCGTGTGGAAGATGAAATGCGAGATGAGAGGAACCCCATGCCTCTGCAGAAAGCCATGAAGATCCTGGGTCTGAGAAGCAGCTGGGCCTCCCACCTGGCCGCCTGGAGGAAGGCGCAGCACAGGCCTGACATCTCATGTTCACCACAAGCACAACAGGTGTCCTGGGGCCAGCCAGCCCTCGCACGGAAGCGAACTTCCTGTCACTGCCGACAGGGATTCACTAGATGTACATAACAGAAGTGGCGCAGGAAGGCATTTTTTCAATAGAAAATTTGAAAGCATATCAGATTCCTAGAAAAGGAAGCTTCTGAGAAGGTGATTTCACAGTAAGAAACCCCATGAATCATTAAAAGGATTTATATCTGAGATAAAACATAAATGTGAATCATTCTTTGTGCTTGTCTAGAACATTTTAAGAGAGCCTAAGGAAGTAAGTGGTTCATGGGAACCACAAAGACAAAAATTTCTCAACAGAAACCTTCCAAATGGTTTGACTGATATTCAGCATAAGTGAATCAGGCAATGAGCCAATTTATTTCCAAGAAGAAGCCTTCACAGAGAAAAAGATGTGACAATCACCTTGAATATTGAATCAAAATGGCAGAGGGCAGGCTAATCATGACCCCCAAAGATATCCAAGATCTAATCCTGGAACCTGTGAATATTACCTTATATAGAGAAAGCACATTTGAAGATGTGATTAAATTAAGGCTGTTGAGATGGGAAGAGTGTCCTGGATTATCCAAGTGGACCCTAAATGCAACCACAAGTGTACTCGTAAGAAGGAAAAAGAGGTAGATTTGACCATGGAGGAGATGGTGATGTGAAGAAGAAGTCAAGAGAGATTTGAAGATTCTGGCCTTGACAATGAAGTAAGGGGCCATGAGCCAAGAAATGCTATTCTAGAAGGTAGAAAAAATGTAAGAAAAGGGATTCTTCCTAGAGCCTCTGCTGGTGGTGGGATGGATGGGGGTGCATGGTCCTGCCAACACCTTCATTTTACCCTCTTAAAACCTATGTTGTACTTATACCCTCCCACCCCCGAGAACTGTAAGAGAACAAAGTGTGCTGTTCTAAGTCATCATGTTTGTGATGATTGGCAAAAGCAACCATGGGAACCTCATATTACGGACCAGACCCCAGAGCCACAGCTTGCTGGATGTAGAAAAGAGGAAACAGTGCTGAACATGGGCCTACTGGAAAGCAGGATGCTGCAAAGACCAAAGACTTACAGAAAAGAGTCCAAATTGGCTCCCCACCCCAAAGGGTACTCTTCTGAAATACAGAATAATCTGCAGCCCTCTATCCCTGCCCCAAAAGAAACCTCTCTTCTCTACATCAAGCATAAGAAAAATGCTTGATGGATTTCCTGGATCCACAACCATCTACTCTCCTAAATTTTTTTCTGGTGACCTTGGTATCTGTCCCATTGACTCGCCCCTTCCTTTCATCTCTATGCTTGGCTCCTTCTAATCGACATTTCACTTAGCTTGAAGGTTTCTTTCCCTGGCTTGACTTTGGCATATTGTCTTTAGGGTTCTACTGGTTCCATGTCTCATATCCCATTGGCCTGAGCAGCTCTTCTTCCATATTCAACCATGGTTCATGGAATCCCATCTGGAATTATCAGCCCAGCTCACCTTAGTTTTCTATGAAGAAGGTGTAGTGGAACAGAGAAAAGCACTGGCTCTGGAGCCAGAGAGAGACAAGATTTTGGAACCTGGCTCCACCTCTTGCTGATATGGATCCTTAGCTTCTTCAAAGGTTATTTTTCTAACCTATAAACTGGAGATAATACTTTCTTCATTGGGTTGCTGTGAAGATTAGAGATAATGTATAGAAATTGAGTATCCTTCTCAACACATATTAAATGCTCAATAAAAACCTGTTATTATAATCATAAATCAAGTGAATGGTTACTATTATACTTTCAGTTGAGAGTGTCTTTGCTGTGACTGTGGTCTCTGCAACACAGCCCCTCCCCTGAATCTACCTCCCCTAAGTGGTAGTCTCCTCTTAGGCAACTTGAGTACAACTCTTTTTTTCCCCTACTAGGAGAAGACCAAGCTCTGTATCAGTGAATCATAATAGAAGTAAAAATCCAATTTGGTTTCTTGTCTGACCATCTGGGTTTCTAAGAGAACAGAATGTGAAGTCAGACATTCTGGATTCAAATCCTAGTTCTATTTCTACTTTCTAGTTATGGCACTTTGGACACATTATTTATCTTCTCTGTGCTTCAGATATCCCATTGTAAAGTGGAGATAATAATAGTGACCAGCAACATAATAGAAAATTGTGGGAAGCAGTTGAACAGACACTTCAAAAGAGAATACATTCAAATGGCACAAAAAGTAAAGAAAAATACTCACACAATCAATCATCAGTTCAAAACACAATGAAATGCCACTACATACTCAGCAGAATAGCTAAATGAATATGACTAAGTCTTGGTGGAAAAGGGGAACAATTGAGATTCCTCTACACTGCAAATGAGTACAATACCATCCTGAGACCTGGCAAGAGGGTTCATTCTAGACCTGGTCCTACCTCACCTCATAAAGTAAGGAGCCCATGGAGCCAAACGAACATGGCAACTAAGAACCTTCTGTGGACTATAGTCCAAAACCAGGACTCCAGAATGTCCTGTCTGATTGGGTCTCTTCCCTAGGCCGATTTTCTAAAGGCAGACCACGTTGCTGGAATGTGTAAATCTTAGTCCAAGGGGTGGCCAAAGAAGGGTGGCATGGACAGAGCTTTCATATGCATATTAGGCTGGTTGCAATGTAAGACATAAAAAAGAGTTGAAAAGAAGAAAAGCAAGGCTTGCACTGGGGGAGAAGGGATGGCTGTCTCCATGCTATGTTGCCACTGAGGATAACTAGCACAATCACCATGAAAAATGGTTTGATAGGATCTACTAAAGCTGAACATAAATATACCACAAAACCCAACAATCTCACTAGATACATAACCAACAAAAGTAAATATCGCACTTTGGGAGGCCAAGGCAGGCAGATCACTTGAGGTCAGGAGTTCAAGACCAGCCTGGCCAACACGGTAAAACCTTGTCTCTACTAAAAATACAAAAATTAGCTGGGCGTGGTGGCAGGTGCCTGTAATCCCAGCTACTTGGGAGGCTGAGGCAGGAGAATCACTGGAACCCAGAAGGCGGAAGTTGCAGTGAGCCAAGATCATGCCAAGATCTGGGCAACAGAGCAAAGCTCCATCTCAAAAAACTAACTAATTAACTAACTAAATAAATAAATAAATAAATAAATAAATAAATACATTGGTTTTATTCATGTGTAATACACATACACATATATTGTTAAAGAGAGTAGTACCACTATTTATTATAGCCCAAAACTAGAAACAAGCCAAATTTTCTTCAACATTGAAGTGCACAAATAAATTGCAGTATAATGATACAATGGAATACTAACAGCAATGAAAATGACTGAACTGCTACACACAACAATGTAGATAAGGCTCACAAATATACTATTGAGCCTAAGAAGTCAGATATAAATGAAAACATCCCATGTGATTACATTTATATAAAGTCTAAAAGCAGGCAAAACTAATCTATGTTGACAGCAGTCAGGATAGTGATTAACTTTAGGGTGGTGGGGGTGCTTCTAGGGTGCTGACAGTGCTCTATTTCTTGATGTGGGGTACAGTTGCATAAGCATATTCAATTCATAAAAACTCATTGAAATGTACATTTATAATTTATGCTTGGTGTCATGAGACAGAGTAATCATATACTCTAGGAAGAATATATTCAATGGGAAGGGAGCTCAGGGACTCCCACTTCAACTCAGCCTGTGAACCAGTTGCCCTTAGATGTCTACCCAGAATCTACAGGAGAAGGATTTGCACCCTTTCTATGTGCTTCTGTTGTTACGTGTATTCTTTCATAGTGATTGTCAGCTTCCATAGGTGTCTCCCTCAATGTACCACAGGCCACTTGAGGGCAGAGACTGCTTCTTTTATTTCTAACTTTCCCAAGATTAGCATTGTATATGACAAGTGAATGGTTTTCAATAACTCTGAATCAAAGAATAAATCCCTGACCTGTAAGAAGTACCCATCTCTTTCTCTCCTCATATTTTTTTTTCTTTCTCTCTTCCTCCAGTTTTTCCTTCCAGCCAGGGGAACCTCTATTAGACAGCAGCTTTCATGTCTCTTTTGATAAGAACCATTATTAACAGTCTAAACTGAAACAGTGGCCAAGTCCACTTCAAAGTGTACCCAAAGTACATACCATGATTTACTCTCTAATTAGACAAAAGTTTCCATTGAAGAAATTCACTGATTTGTTGCTTAAGCAGCAAGCATCTGCAGTTAATGGGGTCTTTCAGGACGGTGGGTATAGCTTCTAGAGAATCATCCACGTTATGTGAAGTGGAAGATCAACAAATTCAACAGCTGATAACAACACAATGCACTTCACCTGAGGACAAACAACTACAACTAAGGCACTTTACAGGCTGTCATGAATGATCTGCAAAATGCCCCCAACAGGGGAAGGAGGGTCCTGAAATACGAGCTCAGTATCGGATGAGCACTTGCTTATGGTGCACAAGTACTAGTCTACAATTCTTTGCACACGGTATATTAAACATTAAGGTATAATTGGCTGAAAATGGCATTAAGCTGTAGAATTTTTTTCTATAGAAATACCCATATGTGCAAAATGATATGTGAAAAAAAAGTTCATAGAATCATTTGGAATAGGGAAAATTGGAATCAATTGCAATGCTTATTATTAATAGAATGTTCAAATTACGGTACTGTCATTTTATGAAGTAATAAGTAGCGGTTAAAAGAGCATAGGATGCCTCTATATGTATCAGCATGGAATTATATGAAATATCCAGAGAAAATACTGCAGAACTATATGTAATTTCCAATTATATGAAATTTTTAAATACAGAAATATGTTTATAAAATGCATAGAAAAACATCTGGAAAGATTTATACCAAAAGTTGATGGCGGTTATATCAGAGAGAAAGAGTTAGAGAAATGAGAAAGAGAGCCAGGAATGGAAGGAATGACATTTTGCTTTTTCTTATTTATATTTCTGATTTGCTTAAATCTTTTATAATGAGCTTATACTGCATGATAATGCTTAAAATCTTTAAGGTATTAGATTACTTTAGAAATGAGTTTGAAATAATCTTCATTGCTTACCTTGGATATTTATTCCATCTTCCTATGTACCAACCATTTGACTAACAGTAAAATAGAGATAATAATTACTACTTCACAGTGTGGTAGCAGGAAATGATCTATGTAAAGCTTTCAGCCCAATTTCTGCTACTGATAAAATTTATTTGTACAAGTTGATTATTGCTGTTTGTAATAAAGCATGCCAAAAATCAGTAGTTCAAAACAATGACCATTTATTATTGCTCATGTAACTATAACTTTGCTGGAGATTGGCTGGTACAAACGGGGTTTATCTGGGCTGCTGTCTTGAGTTTGGCTGTGCTCTACACACCAACATCCTACTTGGATCAACGTGATAATCAGAGCATGTACTTATGGTGACAGCAGAAGCACAGATAGGGCAAACATGCAAAGTCTATTAAGGAATAGGTTTAGAACTGACACACTGTAATTTCTACCTCATCCTATTGGCCAAATATAACACAAGACCTATCTCACAGCAAAGGGATATAGAAATACACTTCACTAAGAGTGACCAACCATCTCAGATTGCCCAGGACTTGGGGGGCTTCCAGAATGCAGAAATTTCCATAGTAAAACCAGGAAAGTCCTTGGGTAAATCTGGACTGGCTGGCCACTCAACATGTCTCTCTATTTAGTGAGATGAATTTCAAAGTTACCCAGCAACAAGTATGGAAAGGGATGGGATCAAGACTCAAGGCCAGCGATGCAATCCACTACACCTTTAATACTGTCATAATCTCAGCAACTAGAAAAACAGGCAAATAGTAGGTGGTCCAAATTAATTTTGGTAGATTGATTTTAAGTTGGCTGAACAACATCAGATCCCCCTAAACTCTCCATCAACAGAATATTTCCCAGAATAGACTCCTCAAATAAAAGGGTATTAAAGATGTTTCTGTAGTAACGGGGTATAGCATTAGACAGGTGATTAGGATAGATTATTAAAGAAGCTTAAGACTCTTTCAAACCTAATTCTAACTTCATTTGACAGACAATAAGATCAGTCTCTCCAAGACCAATGAAAATTGTTAATATCAATCTCCTTTCCTTCTAGGGAGAATATTTTGCTTATAACAGACTCTTACCAGGGGCAGGTTGTCTGACTTCTAATCATTTGCTTGTATGTGATCATGAATATTTATTTAGCCCCCTCAGCTTTACTAATCCTTTTCAAACGCAGGGACCCGTTGTGGGTGTTTGTTCCCAGAGGTTAAATCCACAGAGCCAGGGGGAGCTCCACTCTGCCTGTTGTTTCCCTATACCCACTATTCCTCTTCCTGTCTAGACTATACATTTCTCCTCTGAAGACAGATCCTTATGGATAAGATCAATGCATAGGCACGAATCAGAAAGATTTCTCTCAATTTACAACCATTTTCTTTATCTGAAATGCATCAAAGAAGAAAGACTATTAAAGCCTGCAAGTGTTAGGGTTTTTAAATTTAAAAAAATAATAATAAGGAAAAGCAGGACTCTAGACATCCCATAATGGGAATGGGCAGCTAAAATATAATACTTTGGGTTCATTTTCATATGAACTTGGATAATAAAACAAAGAAATAATAACATGCAATGAAAACACACTCAAATGAGAGAGCCAACCGGGAGATGACTGTCAAAAAAAGTTTGAGAGTTAAAATGGCAGATAGTTTCAAAGCTTTCAGGAAAATCAATTAGAGCCTAAGTGACCTCTAGGACAAGTATCTGGACACTAGCCACTTTACAAATTCCAATCTAGGCGTGAGTAACAAGTGAATTAAACTGCTTAGAGTTCTATCAATAATCAGGAATGTATAGTTTAGATAGATTACCTTAAATTTTAATCAATAATTTTAAAGGGACCCAGTAATCAGCTTCATTACACTCTACCCAGATGAAGTAAGTGGGGTCAACTAACTAAAATATAAAGGAGTTTTCAACTGCTCACCTCTCCTCACAAATGGGTACTCTCCCGACTGACTCTGTGACATTTATACAGCCTGTAATTCTGAACACATCACCTGCTTTAGGAGACCTAGCAGCAACTCCATATGTAGACTTAAGATCTTGTTAAGCACTTGGGCCTGATAGAAACTGACAAAGTCTTTGCCTTACCTGAGATTCCAGCACAGCTGAGCACCCAGGAGATTCCCAGTTGACAAATAGTGAGGGCAAAGAGCAAGCCGGTCCCCAAGCTGAGCTTCCCCCAGGTCCTTCTTTTGATCCACTGGCTTCCCAGCCCATCTGTTTTCATTCTTAGTTTAATTTGATGAGGGAGGTGGTAAAGAAGCACATCATTGCAGATGTCAAACGCATAAGGTAAATAAGAATCCACAGAGTTGCTACCCTCAGCTTTTCTCTAAGTGATCTCAGAGGGCATTATGATTATAACATTAAACCAGGATACCGAGTTTGGGGGCAGCTTATCAGTTAACCATGACATTCCATGAAAAGCGTGGACCAACCAACATTTTGTTAGAACAGACTGACTAATAAAGAGGGAAGGGATAAGACAAAGTGACACTGTTCCCCTGGCTTTTCAAATTATCCAGGGAATAAAAGAAATTGCAGGGCAAATATCCATCCTGAATTAAAAGCTACTCAGGGGATGAGAAACAAATGAAAATCTATTATGCCATAGAAAGAGTCTCCAGAGGCCTAGAGCAATTTTTTTAAATATGAGCCACTGATTAATGACTTTGGCTACAAGGGAATGCCTAGGGAATTAGAGACTTGTAATTTAATTTCCTTCTGGGAGTAGCAAGTCCAGAAGGAGAGGAAGCCACCTTACTAATTGGTATTAGAAAATTGGGGTTAAAGGAAAAAAGAGGAAATAAAGTTGAGTTCAGGAATCTTATGGAGATGATGTCATGTCAAATACAGTCTTCATAGAGATGAGAGCGATAACTGACAGTTACTGAGTGCTTACTATATGCCAAGAACTTCCAAGTGAATTCTGTTCTGTAGCGCAGGTACTACCACATATTTTATCAATTCTGAAACAAAAACACACATACACACAGATTTTAGACATACATATCATTTTCTATACATCATGTCTTTATCTATATATATTTTTATATAAGATTGATGTCACCTTACAATCACTATGGGCCAAAGGGCAGACATGATGTAATTCTCTTGTTGTCTATGAATGCGCAAACTCATATTCCTGTCACTTCAGTTGACTTATGCACATCATTGGCACTGTATATGCCGAGTTTAATTGCTGCTGTTTAAAAATATTTCACACTAAACCAAAGGTTTTTTGACAAGCATAAGATGTGACTTTAAATTTGGTATTAGTAAAGTAAATACTCATTATAAGAAAGAAATTTCATCTTTTTTTCCAAAGCAACAGCCAAATGCTTTATGGGGCACTAAGAAATGAAAGCATCAATAAATAAATGAAGTTGTGCTTCATTTTGTTTCTAGACATATGTAAAATAATTGTCTATTACATGACAAGCAATTCAAGCAAAGGCAGGGATATATGCAAAATAATTGTCTATTTCATGCCAAGCAATGCAAGTGAAGGCAGGAAAAATTGCCAAGTCCCCAGCAATAGATTAATGACATTTCCAAACTCAGAGAGACTGATTTGACTAACTTGTACATGAGCCTGATTTGACTGATTTGTACATCATTAGCAGTGTTATGTTTTGTTTTCTTATTGATACGTAAAATAATGGTGCATCTCCTGTCTGATGGCACTTAGATTCAATAAACTAGAGTACTGCCACATCTTTTTCTTTTCAGACAAGAAAATCAAGACAAAGGCAAGTTACTTGTCCCAAAACCCACAGAAAGTGAACTTTTTAGAGATATTTAGAATTAGTTCAGTCTGATTGCAGAACTTATTATTTTAATCAGTATGAAAAACTACTTTCCAAACATGGAAAGAAGGTTGGCATAATCTTTTGAAAAATTAAGTCAGAGCATGGCATTTCTCTTTCCAATACATTTTCATCTCATGCTGAGTAAAAGTTGAAGTTCTTACAAGGGCTTACTAGGCCTTGCAAGATCTGCAGTTCCCTTCCTGCCTGTTTGCCACTGCCTCTCAACCTCATCTTCTTCTATTCCCCTTCACTCAACTCTACTCCAATCCTATTGACTACTTGCCTTCCCCATGCCACGCTAGCAAATTTGCTCCTACTTCAAATATACTCCTACCTCAGGGCCTTTGCATTTGTTATTCTCACCACTGGGAATACTTCCCCATCACATCTTCACTTGGTCACTTTCTCATTCCTTCATCCCTGACCTATATAAAAATAGCAGAACTCTTGCTCCATCTCATGCCCTGTCTATTCCCTTTAACATGTTCTATCTTCTCCATAGCATATTATTATATGAAATATCATATATATGACTTTGTTCATTTTCTTGTTGATTGCAACAATGTAAGTAAGCTTCAGAAGGCAGGACCTTTGTTTTATACATTTCTGTATCTGTGTAGACAGTAGGCATTCGATAAGTAAATGAAGAAAATGAATGGATCTTCCTCTGACAAGGTCATTCCACTGTCTTTCCCTTCTGTTTTATTGTCAGTCCAGAGAATTATGCAAATTGGAATCTATGGATTATTATTGCTTGTAAATCAGTAATGCTCTTTTTCATCCCATTTGAGAGATTTAAAAGGGTTGACACTCGGGAGGCTGAGGCAGGAGAATGGCATGAACCCGGGAAGCGGAGCTTGCAGTGAGCAGAGATTGTGCCACTGCAGTCCGCAGTCCGGCCTGGGCGACAGAGCGAGACTCCGTCTCAAAAAAAAAAAAAAAAAAAAAAAGGTTGACACTCTTATGATAGAGTGTTTCGAAATGCAGATTTCAGAGCTAGACTACCTGGATTTTAATGCTGGCTCTACCATTTGCCTATGCAATGTCACAAAAGTTACTCAACTCCTCTGAGTCCTCGTTTCCTCATCTGTAAGACTGGGATAATACTAGTGTAGGACTTACACCTGAGGATTCTTATAAGGATTAAATTAAATAATACAGGGATTATTAGCAAGTGCTAAGTATTAAAATATATATATATTTTTGAGACGGAGTCTCACTCTGTCTCTCAGGATGGAGTGCAGTGGCACCATCTCGGCTCACTGCAACCTCTGCCTCCTGGGTTCAAGCAATTCTCCTGCCTCAACCTCCTGAGTAGCTGGGATTATAGGTGCATGCCACCAAGCCCTGGTAATTTTTTTGTATTTTTAGTAGAGACGGGGTTTCACCGTGCTAGCCCCAGGATGGTCTCGAGTTCCTGACCTCGTGATCTGCCTGCCTTGGCCTCCCAAAGTGCTGGGATTACAGGCATGAGCCACCGCGCCCTGCCAATAAAATAATTATTTTTATTGGCAAATTATTTCCAACCTACCTAATAGGAACCGTTAAGAGCAAGACGGTTCTCAATGGGGGAAATTCTTCCTCCAAAGAAGATATTTTCCATGCTAGAGACATTTTGATTATCACAGTTAGGGATGGGGTGCAGGATGTTCCTGTTATCTAGTGGGTAAGAAGACAGGGATGCTGCTAAACATTCTATAATGCACAAGGGGGTCCTCCACAACAAAGCATTGTCACGCCCAATGTCAATAATGTCATTGATGAGAAATCCAGGGAGAGATTATTTGTTTCAATGTACTTCACCCTTCAGTATTCCAGAATAAGTAAGACATGTAAAGGGGAAACGTTTTTGTAAACCACCTCCACTCCATCTGTCATGTTTTGAAATCAGCTTAAAGATGAAAATCCATGCTTATATTACCCTTCTCCAGAGGCCTGGCCTTAAATCTCTCCATACTATTTTCTTTTATGATTCAACCCAAAAGAGATTCAGATTCAGGTGTTGCTGTCCAGACCTCAGGATTCCCAGGCAATTGTACTTGAAGATTCTCGTGTTGGCCTTTTCAGTTCTGCATCAGACCACTAGAGGGTAGAGAAACACTATCAATCATTCAGCATTTGGGTACCTGACAGTTTTCAGTAATACAAATCTTAATAAAATGCTAAATTATTTCTGGCTTATGAAATAAAAACTGCCCAGAACGGCTTTATTAAACACCTCTATATGTACACAGTTTTAGAGGCTGATTCAAGTATTTTACTCTGTCATCACCCTCAAACTCTAAAGTATAGTAGTAATTTAAGTCAATATTATATGTTAAATGGAGGCCTAATAAATGGCCATTGATGATCTTATGACTATTATGATAATATTATGATAATATGTTATGACTATGTTGGTAAAGCTCTTTTTTGATGAAGATTTAATCATGCTGTGACTTAAATCATATCAAATTGATTTAAATGATTCTCCCCACCAGGAATTAAGCAAAAATTGAGAGTGAATTGAAATCTAAAAATGAACTCCAATATGGAATAAGTAGCATTATTTTGTTGAACCCTGACCCAAACGCAGCCCAAAGTATAAACGCTTATTGTCTTATCAATACTTCATTAGGATGAACCTGAATGACTAAACAAATTACAGCATTATCACCAACTATCTAGATATATCTCAATCCCACACACTCAGGTTTGAAATAGAGGCACTGTATTAGTCTGTTTTCATGCTGCTGATAAAAACATACCTGAGACTGGGCAATTTACAAAAGAAAGAGGTTTAATTGACTTACAGTTCCACAGGGCTAGGGAGGCCTCACAATCATGGTGGAAGGCAAAGAGGAGTAAGTCATGTCTTACATGAATGGCAGGAGGCAAAGAGAGAGAGAGAGGTTGTGCAGGGAAACTCCCACTTATAAAACCATCAGATCTCTTGAGCCTTATTCACTATCAGGAGAAAAGCATGTGAAAGACCTGCTTTTCTCACGATAATGATGATTCAGTGATTCAATTACCTCCCACCAGGTCCTTCCCAAAACATGTGGGAATTTGAGATGAGATTTTGGTGAGGACATAGCCAAACCATATCATTCTGCCCCTGGACCCTCCAAAATCTCATGTCCTCACATCTCTAAACTAATCGTGTCTTCCCAACAGTCTCCCTAAGTCTTAATTCATTTCAGCATTAACTAAAAAGTCCACAGTCCAGAGTCTCATCCAAGTCAAGGCAAGTTCCTTCTGCTTATGAGCTTGCAAAATCAAAAGCAAGTTAGTTACTTCCTAGATACAATGGGGGTACAGGCATTGGGTAAATACAGCCATTCCAAATGGGAAAAATTGGGCAAAACAAAGGGGCTACAGGCCCCATGCAAGTCTGAAATCCAACAGGGCAGTCAAATCTTCTCCAAAATGATCTCCTTTGATTCCATGTCTCACATCCAGGTCGTGCTGATGCAAGAGGTGGGTTCCCATGGTCTTGGGCAGCTCTGCACCTATGGTTTTAAAGGGTAAAGCCTCCCTCCTGGCTGCTTTCATGGGCTGCCATTGAGTGTCTACAGCTTTTCCAGGCACATGATGCAAACTATCAGCAGATCTACCATTCTGGGGTATGGAGGAAAGTGGCCCTCTTCTCACAGCTCTACTAGGCAGTGCCCCAGTGGGGACTCTGGGTGGGGGTGCCCACCCCACATTTCCCTTCTGCATTGCGCTAGCAGAGTTTCCCCATGAGTGCCCTGCCCCTGCAGCAAACTTCTGCCTGGACATCCAGGTGTTTCTGTACATCCTCTGAAACCTAGGCAGAGGTTTCCAAACCTCAATATTTGACTTCTGTGCACCCACAGGCTCAACACCACATGGAAGCTGCCAAGACTTGGGGCTTGCACCCTCTGAAGCCACAGCCTGAGCTGTACCTTGGCCCTATTTAGTCACAGCTGGAGTGGCTGGGACACAGGGCACTGAGTCCCTAGGCTGCACACAGCACAGAAACCCTGGGCCTAGCCCAGAAGACTATTTTTTCTTCCTACACCATTGGGCCTGTGATGGGAGGGGCTGCCATGAAGACATCTGACATGCCTGGAGACATTTTCCTCATTGTTTTGGGGATTAACATTCAGCTCCTTGTTACTTACACAAATTTCTGAAGCTGGCTTGAATTTCTCCTTAGAAAATGGGATTTTCTTTTCTGTCACATTGTCAGGCTGCAAATTTTCGAAACTTTCATGCTCTGTTTACCTTTTAAAACTGAATGCCTTTAGCAGCACCCAAGTCACCTCTTGAATCCTTTGATGCTTAGAAATTTCTTCATCAAATACCCTAAATCATCTTTCAAGTTCAAAGTTCCACAAATCTCTAGGGCAGGGGCAAAGTGCCACCAGTCTCTTTGCTAAAATATAACAAGAGTCACTTTTGCTCCAGTTCCCAATGAGTTCATCTCCTTCTGAGACCACCTCAGCCTGGATTTCTTTGTTCATATCATTATCAGCATTTTGGCCAAAGCCACTCAACAAGTCTCTAGGGAGTTCCAAATTTTTCCACATTTTCCTATCTACTTCTGAGCCCTCCAAACTGTTCCAACCTCTGCATGTTACCCAGTTTCAAAGTCACTTCCACATTTTGGGGTATCTTTTCATCAATGTCCCACTCTACTGGTACCAATTTACTGTATTAATCCGCACTCACACTGCTAATAAAGACATACCTGAGACTGGGCAATTTACAAAAGAAAGAGGTTTAATTGACTTACAGTTCCACATGGCTGGGGAGGCCTCACAATCATGGTGACCCACAAGGAGGTGCAAATCATGTCTTACATGGATGGCAGCAGGCAATGAGAGAGAGCTTGAGCAGGAAAACTCTCATTTTTAAAACCATCAGATCTCGTGAACTTATTCACTATCACAAGAACAGCGTGGGAAAGACTCACCCCCATGATTCAATTACCTCCCACCAGGTCCCTCCTGCAACTCATGGGAATTTGAGATGGGATTCGAGTGGGGACACAGCCAAACCATATCAGGCATTGATAAAAAGTTGAAGGAAACTTTGGAGGAAGAAGAGTAAAGAATTAAAGAACAAAGTGGCCAGCTGTTTTCACTTTCAACTAAAAGTTAATAAAAGTGCAGATACAAATACTACAGAAGAGATTCCTAAGCTTATTCCTGACTTACTCCAAGTTATCCATAATTATCTCTAAAGATATTGCAAAATTATATTCAAAAATTATTTTAATTTTCTTTGACTTACACACACATGCACACATAACCACAAATAAACAAAAAGGCTGTGTGAATATTTTGACACACAGCTGTCAAACTGAATGATGCTGTCAATTAGTAAATGAGAGTAGGAATCAATGACTAAGAAATGTTTAAGCATCACACCAGAAAGCATCAGATTTTAGGAGACTGCAAAGAATCGTGATTAACTGTTAAAGTCTGGTATTAGACTATCTGTGTTTGAAAATTGCCTCTACAAGTTAATAATTTTGAAGCTCTGGGAAAATAATTTTACATCTCTTTGTTGTAACTTAAAATAGCATAAATGTCTTAGTATACGTAAGTGCATATAGGTATAGCACTTAGCACGGTGCTTGGCACATGTTAACTCTCTATGTAAGTGTTTTCTATGAGAATTATAATTTCCTTTAATAGATAAACCAAGAGATAACATATAAATCTTGTCTCTTTTATTGGGCATGCCCTTTCTTTCTAAAGTATCATTAAATCATTTTATTTTTCAAGAAAAGCAACAGACTGAACATGTTGGACTTCATGGAACTTGAGAAATATGAAAAACTTGGCTCAGTTTTTGAGCCAACCCATCACAATGATCACAATAGAGGCAGTTCTCATGCTTTTCTTTTCCTTTTCTTTCCATTCTCCCATATGCCCACTCCATGTTTCTTTAAATGTAAGCAACAGGTGCAACGCGGGAGGGAGTAGAAGTAATCATTCTTTATTCTTTTTCCATTTAACCACCAACACTCAGGCCAGGCATGAGGATAATCATAAGGACAACAGGGAAAAAAGCCTCTTAAAACCATTCTGAGGCACCCTTTGGAAAGGTCAAGTGAATTAATGGGAACAAAAGTTTTTCCATTTATCAGGTTCTAGAAAGTTTCACCAGATGATTATGTTTTTTATTTTCTTCTTGTAATGACTGGTTATCATTAACTTGTGATGAGACCAGATGCAAGAGGAAGTGGGGAATCCAAAGACAGAACTAATGAGGGCAAATTCAGAATCAAAATCTTGTCATCATATCAGCCCCGAAACAAACAGTTAATGCCTTGATCTGCTACCATGGAAACAGACCTTTATGTCAGGGTGACATGGGTTCCAGGGGCGTAGAGCACACCTCATTTTGCACTTCATTCAACTTCAATCGATTGCATTTTATTCAGAAAAAAATCCTTATTTTGACAAGTCAGTCTCAAATACTAAAAGGTCCAAAATATCAGATGCTCAATGTATTAAGTCAAAATCCTATTTGTGAAAATCACTAACCCATGTCACAATCAGCGTTATGTCACATCACTGCATTATTTCATGAAAACAGGACTGAGTTGCTCAGAAATGAAAAATTAAAATATGCATGAGACTAAAACTAGGCACTACAAAGTTTGTATTAATATCATTCTCTTTTATCTCCTTGTCTTAAAATCCAGCACGACAGGGTCTCACTAGTTAAAAAATGCCTGTAAATGTTTCTTTACTTCACAGAGCATAATTGTGAAATGAACTCTTGCTTTGCCGCTTGTTGTATAACTTTAGCCTAAATCTCAAATTCATTATTCCTCTGTTTTCTCATTTATAAAATAAGGACAATAATAGTTCCTACCTCATAGGATAATTGTGTTCCTACCTCATAGGATCCTCGTAGAATTAAATGAAATAATATACAAAAAACTCTTAGTGCCTGGCACATTGCAAGCACTATCTATAAAGATGTTTGCTATAATAAAACCAATTATTTCATTATGATTATTTGATGACAGAAAGTTTGATCTTGCCTTAAGATGCTTAGTTTTTATTTTAATTAATTTGAAAACACCTGCTGGTAGTGTTCTAAACACTAAAAAATGAAACTTATTATATGTAGTGGCTAAACAAGGGAACAGAATGCCAAAAGAAGGGAAAAGTTAACTCAAGAGAATTTTCTATTTTCCATCATTTTTTTCTCTTAGGCTGTGTGCAAAACCTTTTGCTACATCCATTCACAGTTCATGACAAGCCCTAATGAATGTATGAATTAATGAATGATGAACAGAACAGTTTTCTGACCAACCAGTAGCCAGAGCCATTCATTCTAATTGTGGGACTGGATTGGAAATTACTTAGCAACCAGTTGAGTAAATGATGGAGAGGACTCTGCAGAGCAGTTTTATGATCATAATCAAGCAAGCGTCATGACAGCCCTTCTCCTGACCATATTTCTTGAGCTCTGCTTATCTGCAAGTCATCAGAATAAATAAGTCCAATTAAGGAAAACAGTGGCACATATTCCCTAGATCGTGGATGCCCAGAAACGTGTGGCCTCAAAGCCCTTGAAAAAATGTCTGACAGAGTCTCTGGCTCATATGAAAACAAATACATCATTACATAATGAAATAAGTATCAGATTGTAAATCTTCAACAGGACATAGAGTTGGTGTCTTGGGCAAGCATATCTAATTTCTGGGTAGGAATGCCAATTGAATAATATTTATTCTTTATGCCACCCTGTTGTTGTTCTGGGTTGGTTCTAACATCTCTATATAATCTTCTAAAAGCTTATAGTCAGAAGAATCTGAAAAGCTGAGTTCAGTCTCCCAGCAGTTTTCCTTATATGTGGTCACAGGCTACAGCATAAACATTTCCAGTGGTAAATTTCAACTCCACAAGAGGCAGTTTATTTACTCCATATACATTTATTAAGCACCTACTAAGTAATATATATTGGGTTTTGCGTTAGGAATACCAAATTCAATAAAATTAAGTCCTTTCAAGGGCATATTATCTACTGGAAGAGGAAAATGTGCATAAAAACAGAATCACATGAGATATTTCTATAGGAGTAAGCACAGAGTTCTATGTCAATATATAATAATAGAATTGTTCACATTTCTTTCATGTCAGGTACTGTTCTAAAATTCCACATGTATTGACTCTTTCAACCTCACGGCAGTCTTGAAAGTAAATTGAGGTGCTGAGAGGTTAAATCACTTAGAGTCACACAGTAAGTGTTACAGCCAGTTTAAGAGAAACATATAACCCATCCTGGGACAATTAAGAAGACTTCTTGGAGGAAGGAAGTAGAATATGAGATGCCATTTCATAGATGAATATGATTCAACTGATCATATTGGAGGAAGGACATCTTGGGCAGAGGGAAAAATGTGTGTCAGTATCACCCTTAGACCCAGAAGGAGGTCCTCTGCTCTAGGGCTCCTTCAGCCATGGTCTTTCTCATGGTCATGGAATCTATAGGGCCAAGAGGTCATGCCCACACAGCGCCCCAACCCCTTTCATTCTAGATTTTGCTGTGAAAATCAGGACCCCAGAAGTACCCACCGCCCCCCCACCCAATGACCGCACTTGCCCCAGGCCCCCTTGCAGGATCTTTTAGGGCTTCTTCTGCACATTCATCCTCCAAAGGGTGGGCCCAGATGCTGTGTGCTTGCTGCTAGGGAATGGCTGTTTTTATGGGGTGTGGATGGCACCTAGATGTGCAAGCTGGGATATCTACACACCTATGTGCAAAGCCTTTTGTGGTGCAGGATAGAACAAGAGGTAGGAAGGTAGGAAGGGAAAGCTGTGGGCTGGGTGCTAGGAGCATGCCCCTGTGCTGTCACATTCTGATGTGGAATTCTGGAAAGTCTGAGAATTCAAAAACTAAACCTGGCTTTCCAGGTGATTATAAAGGTATTTTAGTCAAAGGTGGAGGACACAACATGTTTTATATAACAATGTATCACCTTAATATATACATTTTAAGAATTTAGAAATATGGCCTGTGGCCTTCATTTATACTCAAGCCTTTGGCCCTTCAAATGTTAGAGGTGGACCTGCTGTGTGTGAGGCATGAAGATCAAAAGCACACCTTGTTTGGAAAACTAAAAGTAGATCAGCAAAGCTTTGGCCTAGAATGTTAAGCAAAGGAAAGGCAGGCAGGGTTCAGAGAAGTAAGTAATGGTTTGAACTTACTTCTGAGGGCAGAATTAAGTATCATTAAGGATTTTTTAGCTGAAAAGTAAGCCAGCATTGGGTTTAGTGCACTCACATTCCATGTATCAATCTGCTCTGTTCCCAGAAGAAACACCTGATATTTTTATTCTCTCTTATTCCCTTTGGCTCTATCTAGATGCAGAAAAAAAGAAAGAATGGTGATGTCTGTTATGGCTGTAGGAGTCCAAAGAGCAAAGCATGGTACAGTTGGAAAAGCAAACATCTGGGAGGAAAAAAAAAAAAAAAAGGAAAGCAATTCTGGTGTTCTTATCTGGCCTACTCAGCTGGAAAGAGCCTGAAATCACAGACAGGGAGAAGTCAGGTAGCCAATCTGGAGCCCAAGGGCCCACAGACATCAAGGACAGAACAAGGGAATGGATCAGAGCTAGATAAGTCATCAAAGGGCTAATAAGGTAGACTTCATGCACAAGAGGTAGGGAGTTTTTGGAACGAGGCTTGCTTTTCATCCAAGCCTTGTGACCCTCTCAGGTGCAGCAGAAAACTCTGTTATTGGTTGACTTCCTAGATCAAGGCCAGTCATGCTGGGCATTCGGGTCTGCAAGATAGTCTCTCATAGAACAGGCCATGCAAGGCTGCATCTGACTATAATTGACAGACACTGGACAAACAGAATCCTCCTTCAGTAGGTCTCTGTAGTAGATGGTTATCAAATTTTCTTGCCAAAAATAACCTGACTTCTTCATGGGGAATTATCCTTTCACTACTGTATGTCATTTTGGGAAAAACAACATGAGCAAACTCCAACCTCACATCCCACCAACAGGACAGATCTTTGGATTACTGTTTCCATCCCACCTGCAGCCAGTGGGTAGTGATGTGACCTAATCCCAACCTATCAAACGCCTACACTAAGACTTTAAACTGTGAGTTGATGAGGCAAGAATATGAGAACAGTCAGGGTGCAGATTACTTCAGCAGCAGACTCTGGTGTGTCAAGGAACACTGCTGTGATGGTGGCAGAAATGCTGGGGTAGATCTTGACCAGACTGCCCCAGGAGCACGACCTCGGAGGCAGAAGATGCTGCCCACTCTTTTCCCAAGCACAGACCTCCAGCCTCCTGTGAATGCCCTTCATTCTGTCAAGGAATCCCCAAGTGCTCCCATAGAATCAACCACATTTCCTTCTATGTCATAAGCAGATCGTGCTTCCATGCCAGCAAGTTAATTTGAAACCCTGGAGATGACTACTCATAATTATTTATGAAAACACAGATTTTCACATAATCACAGTTTAAACTTGAAAAACAGTGGCTTCTTCATTTTTAGCTAAGTGCATTTAACATAATGCTATATTATGCTTCTACACCCTCTTCTCACATTCCAGGTTGTGCTCAATGTTACAGACCCAGATTGGCTATTAGCTTACTCTGGGACAAGGGTCCCCACAAGAAGGGGAGTTATATTTTTTACTTCCCTGGAGCCCTGTGATTCCTGATACTATGCTGAAGAGCGAGGAGACGCTGACCAGGAAGTCAGATCGCTGAGGCAGAAAGGGAATGCCCTGCCGGCCCTTCTTTCTGTACACGGGAATACTGATCAGCTTGGGCAGGAAGTACCAATGAAGATTGAGAAGTCAATGTATGGGAAGCCTGGTTCTCCCTACTAGCTACTGATCACATTTGGGCAGATAGATTTTTTTTAATTTAAAATGTCATTTTGAAAATTAGAAAAGCATACACACACATATGCAACTAAACAGATGTTCCTATTCCTCCTCCTCTTCCTTCTACGGTACTCACAGGAAACACATGTCTGTGTTGTCCTAAGTCCAGTTACTAATTAGCACGTTTCAGTAGCACATTTTACAGAGGATAGAGAGGATTTCAAAGGGATTCCTTCCTTTTAAGTTGAGACAGCTGGCGCTAATTACCAAGCAGGAAAAGAATGTGCAAACAGATCATTGAAAAGCCAGCAGTGAAGCAGAAAGCTGAAGGGGTCTTTCGGTCCTATTGTAGAAACCCCTGCCAGTGGTTGGAAGGGATTCCATATTATCTACATCTTCACCTTACCCCCAGGAAGCAGCTGTCCAGTTTCATCACCCTGCAAGTAGGTGGGAAACACAGTCCAAGAACATGAACTCAAAGGTCATTTCACAGCATGTGTGTAAATTTCACATACATATGGTCAGAGCTCTTGTAGTAAACTATTTCATTCTCAGTCAAAGATGTACAGCAAAATAGAAGCTGAGAATGATCTTCTCCTTTTTAAACCTACCTAGGGTATTATAGATTCAAAGTTTATGTTTGTAATTAAGTGTTGCCATGAAATGAGGGCAATCTAGATACCCTAGATGATGCCTACTAAGGAAAAAGAAATCTTGACTCTCATTCAGTGACAATGCTAATGGAAAGAACACTAGATCAGCAATGAAGAGATTCCTGATACATAATAATTATGACACTTTCTGGAAAAAATTATGAGTTTTTCTGAGCCTGAGAATTTCATCTATAAAATTGGAATAATGGGGCTTACCACATAGAACTGTAGGTGAAAGTTTTAGAATATTATGGAAGTACAATATATATTTAATTTAAATATCCAGGTAAAGGTAAAATTTGTGGCATTCTGGAATGTGATTTCCAGCAAAAGCCAACCAAAATAATTCCAGCCCAGTGGAATTATGTGAGCACTCTATAGAAGGAATTGATTGTCCTGGGCTCTAAGACTACGTAGGGAAGATAGAAAGCTTGCAAGATGACTAAGTGGATTTTAGGAACTGGCTCCACAATTAAGAAAAGTTATGCCGAAGGTGCAGTAGAGTGACTAAAGGTAAAGGTTCTGAAGTCACACTGCATAGTTTCAAATTCTGCTGTACCACTGCCCACATTTTTGTGACCCTAGGCAAGGCACTTGACCCCAGCTATAAAATAAGTCTAACAATAATGATACCAACTCATGGATGGCTTCATTGTGAGGATAAAATAAGATGGAATACATGCACAATGCTTGGCAAATTTTAACTTTCATCTCAAAAAGTATCAGCATTATTGTTACAAAGACAATGTTGGTATTTTAATTACAGAGCTGAGTAACGAGTGCTTATACTTCATTATTTTTATTTTAATAATTACTATTAGCTAACATGTATATAGTGCTTACATTGTGCAGCTTTTTCGCATGTTGATTCAATTAATTCTCATAAAAATTCTATGGGGTATGCTAGTGAATGGCAGAAACCTTACTCTTAATAACTGTACAAATTAATGTGGGCCGGTGATTGAGGTTTTGGGAAAGTTTAAAAGTGAACTGTTATACTTGCTACACTGGTAGTTTGTGTAGCTGGATTTGAACAGGCAAATATAATGCATGCTTGCTGAGCTGAATGTTCCCCCTACACACCACGAGGACAAATATATTTAGCTGCCTTGGCATTATGAAGTAGTCATGCCTTGTCTTATCCAAAGCACTGTCATTTGTTCTTTTTTCTCCTTCATTATTTCTATCTTCAGGAAACTGAAAAAAAATCTGAAAAATAAAAGAAGTGCTCCCTCATTCCAAATATTCTACTTTTAAAGACAAAAATAATAACTCAGAATAATGGCAAGATAAATTTGATGAATCAAATACCAATTGAAAACCCACTTAACACCCACATTCACTGCCTGTGTGAAAAGTTCCAAGTTCTGTCATTTTTAACAAAGCCCAAAGATTTCACTCAGCTCTTTTTATATCAAAGAAAAAGAAATTTCTGAATCACTGTTGAGTGCTTTTTATGAAACACCTAATTTTTAGGAACAGTGCCTAGACCCATGCACACATCAAGGAACTCAATAAAGGCTTGTTGATTGCTTAAGTACTGATGAACAGTGTCTGGTTGATATCAGATACCTCCATCAATGGGAGATGTAGCAGTTTTTATGAGTAGGCTCTTTTGAACCGGGGGAGGCATACAGAGAAGATAATTTGTTAGTGGCTGACAATGATGGCTGCAGATTAAATATAAGCCAGTTGTATGAGATCTGTGAAGAAAACAACTTCATGCTTTAGAAGAGATATAGAAAGCCTCAGGAGTGCCACAAAGAGAAATTGTGACAAACAAGATTATCTAAACAATGTCCTGGGTCATTTAAAGAAGAGAAACCCTTTGCACACTGTACAGTCTTGTCCCAAAACATGCTCTTTTCCCCTCGCTGACTCTTTGTCACAGATTCCGGTTCTACTCATGCCCAACACTAGCGAACCAAGTTACTGCGTCCTGCATCTGTGCTCCTATTTATGTTTGGCTTCCTCTCCAACTTTTCTTCCATCGCTAATAATTTGTGTGTGACAGTTTTCAGACACCTGAGCAAAAATCATCTGCCAGCTCTTGGCATATAGTTCTTCTGCACTCAATAGACCCTTACACACTGAAATACTATATTCCTTTGAAATTAAAATCTTGCGATCTAATTATTCACCAGGTCTTCCACACTTAGAAATTTTTTCTCATGAAACTGCTTGAGAATAGGATCTATGATTCCCGCATCTCTTCTGTTTCCCAGTGAGCTGCTCTCTGTGCAATATATCACATTAGTAGTTACTCTAATACTGTGCTTAATTGTCTATAACCCTGCCTTCAGCTTGCCCATGCCATTAAGGTGGCTCTGTGAAAGAAGTGTAATTAGTTTTTGGTATCCCTACAAGAAGTTGCAGAACCATTAGTATTGACTCCATCAAAATCTACAGATAACATCTGTTCATATTCTACAGGCAGGTAAAAAGCTGCATGATCATGGTTAATGCATGAAAGGCCAGTTAACACAGTGGTTACAAGCGTGCTTTAAAAGATCCAACAGCCCATCCTCTGCTACTTTATAATTGGTGAGCTATTAACCTCGATGAGCATGCTTTTAAAGGTCCAACAGCCCATCCTCTGCCACTCTATGGTTGGTGAGCTATTAACCTTGTTAACCTGTTTTCTCTTCTAAAGATGAAAATCATAATTGTATCTATCTCACAAAGTTTTTATGTAGATAAAAAGATAATATAGGTAGTGCAGCACCTGGGACAGGGAAAGCCCTCAATAAATACATACTATTAATATCATGATTAAAATAATTAACCAATAACTCAAACACATTTTGAAGATGCAATGGACTAGCTAATGATATACAAGTTATCCAGACTTAAGGTTTCGCTTTTACAGACGCATACGTTTATTGAGTATTTAAATTACTTATAATTTATGGTCCTTAATCTTGAAAGCAGTCTGGCATCCAGGTATCATGATAGCTTTATAGTGATTCGGACATGAATTAGAATTGTAGCTTTCCACTTACTAGTTAAATGGCACTGGACAATTTGGCTAATTTCTGGAAGCTTCAATGTCCTTATTCGACACAAGAAAAGAAGGTAATTCCTACTTTGAAAAATGGTGATAATTACATGTATATTCCCTAGCAGTAAATGAATGACAGCTGTCATGATTTTTAGTCCTCTAATCTTCCTAATTATTCCAAGAGACAGACACTATGTAACTGAAAGATAAATCTGTAGCAGAAAGCTACACATAGGACACTATATAGAGCTCTGCCTCTTCACCTCCCTAGTGGCATTCCTTCAGAATTAAGAAAGGAGTGTATCTTTGGGGACAGACTCACATGGGAGAATTTGAAGTAGGCAATTTGTGGACTCATTTTCTATAGAGTTAGCAGAATGTGGGTTATCATCACAGGATGGGTATTGCCGTGCTTCCTGCAATCTTCGAATTGCCGCACTGTGGCATGGTATTAGTATCCTCTCTATGATGGGCTGATTACGAGGTAAAGCTGCATTGGCTGACCGCTCTATCAGGTGTCTGCTCTAATAACTCCAAGCATGATTACTTTTTTAAAAAACAAATAGAGACGTGGAGGAAAAACAAGGAGCCACCAACCAGTAAGCACTTCAAACCACACCACAAAAGACCAGATGTTGCTAGACTGTTTTTATTTGGACAAGTTCTAACTAATCTTCCCTGAGATCAAGCGAAGGATTTAACCAATACCTAGTCACCCAGGGTAATAAAGTTCATGATTATTTAGCAACATGTGGAACTGCGGAGAGTTCTTTTTCGTTTCTCGAGGGAAGGAGTGAGAAGGAAGAAAGAAGGAATATCAAGCTATACAAAGACTAAACTAAAAATTTAAGTAGTTCAATTTTCTTTTCTCCCTATATAACACAGAGAATTGGAGCCATCCCAGTTCCAGTAGTACAAATTGTGTCAAGAACCATGAAAATTTCAGTAGCTATAATTATAACTAGGAAAAACATATAAACATATTTTGAATAGGAGGCTCATATTCTGGTGGTTTAATGAGCAAAAGGCAAACAATAATAATAACAATAACACATTACAGATTGAAATAAGAGCTTTGAGATTTTTTAAACAAGAGAGAGAAAATCACAAAGGAAATGTACCCATTGCAGAAAGAGACACCAAGAAGAGCTGCCATTTAGATTGAGATATAAAGGCTGGAGAGAAGATAGATGTTTCAGGCTGAGGGAAGAGGGTATGAATAGACCTGGGGGAGCTTAGTGTAAGAAAGGGCCTGAGGGAAGAAATCAATAAAGAAGAATGAGTAATAAGGAGAGTGGCAAGATGGGGTGGAAAAATAGTCAAGGCCAACTCATGCAGTGCCTTTGGGTCATGACTCATACTGTTAGTAGAATAAGGAGCCATTGACCAGCTTTTAGAAGGAGAGGCAAGATGTGATTTAGACAATCTTGCATATCAATCAGAGGACAGCTTCTTGAGACAGATTCCTGAGGCTCACGTCTTCGTCTTCGCTTAACAGCTACATATTAGCTGGGTGACCCTTTGTTTCCTCATCTGCAAAGAACAATAATAGGACCTATTCCATTGTTTTGAGACTTAAGTGAATTATTTCATGGGAAGCCCATAGAACAGAGGCTAAGACATAGTAAATACTCAATAAAGGTTATCTATATATATGTAAATATGTATAAGCCATATATATTTATGTTCATGTAAATATATACATAATAATTTTAAATAATATATCTAATGATTTTATTTTTTTAAGTTACTGCACTTGCTGCTGTGTGGACAAAGAATTAGCACACAAGAAAAAAAGAGGAATCAGGAAAACACATTATTTAGTAAGATAAAATAGAAATGCTAAACGTCTAAAATAGAAGGGTGACAGTGGAGATGGCAGGAAGGAGATGGATCAATATATATATTCTGGCCATGAATAAACTGGACCTTTTGATGCATAGGATATGAGATGAGGAGAAGGGAGATCAGGAATCTTAGACCATTCACAATATCCCAAAGGTGGAAACAGCCCAAATGTCCATCAATGGATGAATGAATAAAGAAATTTTGACAGTATATATAAAATGAAATATTATTTGGCTATAAAAAAGAATGAAATACTAATGCATGTTACAACATGGACGAACCTGCAAACATGCTAAGTGAAAGAAGCCAGGGACAAAATATCACAATTTGCATGATTTCATTTATGTAAAATATCCAGAAAAAGTAAATCCATAGAGAAAGAAAATATACTGATGGTTGCCAGGGTCTGGAAGGAGGGGAGGATGAGAACTAACTGCTTAATAAGTATAGAGTTTCCTTTTGGAGTTATGAAAATGTTTTGGAACTAGATAGAGGAAAAATACTGTGATTGGATTAATGCCATTGGATTGTTCACTTTAAAATGATTAATTTGGGGCTGGATGCAGGGGCTCATGCATATAATTCCAATGCTATGGGAGGTCAAGGTGGACAAATCACTTGAGGCCAGGAGTTCAAGACCAGCCTGGGCAACATAGTGAAGTCTTGTCTCTACTAAAATATTGAAAAATTAGCTGGGCATGGTGGTACATGGTTGTAGTCCTAGCTACTTGGGAGGCTGAGTCAAGAGGATTCTTTGAACTGAGGAGTTGGAAGTTACAATAAGCTATGATCAAGCCACTGCCTTTCAGCCTGGGAGAAGAGATACAGAAATACATACAAAATAAAATGATCAATTTTATGTAATGTGAATTTCATCTCTATAAAATTCCATAAAAAAGAATGGATCTTAGGTTTTGTCTTGATCAACTGGATGAAAAGTTTCTCAAGTCAGATGAGGACAGTGAGTTCAGTGCTCTGTTTTGAGCATTTAAGTATGTGATGTTTATAATTTTTACGAGATGCAAGAAATAAGTTACATATACAAGTTTGGAGCTCAGAGGAGATATCAGAACTCGAAGCATAGATTTTAAAACTGTAAAAGTGGATGATATAAGTATCTAAAGGAGATATGTCTAAAGGAGAAAATGTAGGCAAAAGATTTTATTACTATTATTATACTTTAAGTTCTGGGGTACATGCGTAGAACGTGCAGGTTTGTTACATAGGTATAGAAGTGCCATGGTGGTTTGCTGCACCCATCAATCTGTCATCTACATTGGATATTTCTCCTAATGCTATTCCTCCCCTAGCTCCCACCCCCCAATTTTAAAAAGACCTAAGACAAGCTCTGAGAAATGGCAGCATTTAAGAAAATAACCCCACAAAAAACATTGATAAGTAGAAGGAAATTAAGAAAATAACCCTGGAAGCCAAGAGGTAAGCATGTTTCAAGCAGATAGGGTCCCAACTTTGACAAATATTGCTGAGAAGTCAGGTAAGATGAGCGGGGAAGAAGTCCATTGGGTTTGGCAACCTGCAGGCTATTGTAGATTTTAACAAAGAGAATTCCAGTTAGTGAAGATGCAGGAGCACATTGGACTGGGTTGAAAAGTGGAAAGAGGATGGGGAGGAGAGGCAGTTTGTTTGAAGAGCCAGGAATTTTGTGATAAAGGAAAACAAAAAAATATGGCAGGAAACTGTGTATGGTTATGTTAAAGAAAAGACTTAAAAGATAGGAAATACTACATTACAGCATGATTGTACAATAACAGTGAGATATTACCCTTAAGGGAAAGCAGAAATAATTTTAGGAACAAAGCCTTTGATAAGCTAAGCAGTAATGGGACCCAGAGCAGAAGTGAAGAAGAAATATCCTTTCTGGGAGGAGGAGGAACACTTCCCACATTGTGGAAGAAGGAGAGTTTGGATGCAGATATACTAAAATGGCAGGTTTTGTGGTGGGAAGATGAGTGAGTTCATTTCCAATGACTTCTATTTTCTCAATGAAGTATGAGTCTGGGTCATCTGTAGGAGGAGGATGTGTGGGAGATCTGAGGAAAAAGGAGTTGATATGGTACAGTCATCTCATAGAAATGAAGAAACTTTATAGGATTCCTGAGGAGTGCTGAGTGCCCGCTTGAGGTTTCTGAATTCTGAATCAGTCATCTTGGCTTTGTAACTTTCCTCAACAAAGTTTCTGCTTGGGTTTGAGCAAAAAGTAGGGAAGAGTTGAGCAACTTAGAACAGCCTTTATGATTCACCCCAGACCTATCATATTCCTCTTCCTGCTCACTGGCTACTGGGCATTGAATAAAGTTTAATGGGCCTGTCTGTTAAATATAGAAGGAGAGAAACATCAACATCAAGATATTTTATGCCTGGATAGCTGTCAGTGGCAACAAAGTCATACAAAAATCCTTGGGCCTCAACTCACTCAATGCATCCAGTAGGAAGCACAGTCTTGTAGTCACAGTCACAATTGCACTGATGATTGGTTGCCATGGAAATTTCCATGTTAAAAAGGCCAAAGTCGTTTCAGGAACTGAAGTATAGCCTCACTAATTTAGTGTGATCTATATCCACATTAAAGGATAAACAATAGAATCAGTGAAAAGAAATGCAGTTGTGTTCCTTTCCAAGTATGCTGTGATCTAACCATGTAAGCCTAAATTGTGTCAAAATAAGTTCTAAATAAGAGGGACTGAAATTAATTACCTTGTAAAGAAAAGTGAGAAAAGACAAATAAAAAGCTTCATACAGCCTACTGAAATAACAAAAGGAAAATTAGGATAAGAAGAAAGGATGGATTTTCATGGTGCCAGAAAAAGCTTCATATGGATTAAGAAGGAAATTGTAGCAACCAACACTCTGGTTATGGGACTCGATGAATCGTCTGTGTTGTCCTCTGAAAGTCCTCCTGTCTTTGTCTTTCCTCACATCATTTAGCCACATGTCCTCCTCTGCTCCTTGCCATCTGGAAACCACTCTTTCTTCTCATCGTGCTTCAGGTGTCAGTTTAAAAAATTCTCCAGGAACATCTTGCCTTACCTCACTCAGTTTTGTTTATGCCCTGCCTTTTATGGAGAGTAATTTCTGAAGACCATTTATTACTATTATCATTAGGTTTTGAGAAGTTATTATCTAATATCTGCCTTTCTGCTCAACACCATATTCCCAGTTCTTGGTTTATACCTTGCAATCAGAGACCAGTATATAACCATGAAAGGAAAAGAAGGGAGGGAAGAAGGGAGACAGAATATAAAAAAGGGAGGAAGAACAACATGAAGGAAGGGGGGAAGGAAGGAAGCAAGGAAGGAAGGAAGGAAGAAAGGAAGGAAGGAAGTTTTCTTAATCTATAAAAGTTTTCTCCTTTCTTTGAATTCACAGAATATTATTTCTGTACCCTGCATGTAATACTTAAATACTACTCTGATATCTCTCTTGGATTGTGTAATGTGCAAATATTATACACATAGTGGCTACTGAATAATCAGTTAAATGAAAAAGACTCATACCCTTACAAGTAAGAAACTAAGAGGTCCCATATGCTAGACTGGCATCAAACATCCCCCTCAGACATGATAATAATTTATCATCAATTTTTCAGAGTTTTATCTGAAATAGTCTTGAATGTGTGCCTTTCCGTAGAATAATGTCATCCTTAAATGTCCTCATTGGATGTAAAGGTACCAAGAGATTCCTATTTACTTCTTTATCCTTGTTATTCATCACTTATTGATCATTTTTAAAAATTTCTTTTATTTCAATAGTTTTGGGGGTATGGGTGGTTTTGGTTACATGGATTAGTTTTTAAGTGGTGGTTTCTGAGATTTTAGTGTACCCAGCCAAGCAGTGTACACTGTACCCAACATGTAGGCTTTTACCCCTCACTTCCCTCCCAAGCTTCTCCTCAAGTTCCCAAAGTCCATTCATCATCCTTACATTGCATCGTATTTAAACTCTATCAATTTTGAACAACTCATGGTTTTTCAAAGGCCTTTCCTTTCTTTTAACTGCAATATTTTCTGCTCAGGTCAAAATTCTACTCATTACATTCTTCACATTATCCAGGAAGGCTTCTGGTATTTCCACCACTAGCTCTGTTCTACACAATTTATGATATGAGTCCCCAGCTCACTGCAGAACTATGTCTCTTTTATCTTTGTATTTTCAAGGCTTAGTGCATACGTTGAAATCTAGTAGCTACCCCATGAATGTCTGAAACTCAACTCCTGTTTATTATGAAGCTATAACCATTATGGTTTCATAGATTTCACTCAGTCTTACCAAATATTCTCTCCAATAATTCTCCTGGAGAGAATTGTTGTAATTTATAAGATGGCCACATTGTGAGAGGCATAATACCTACCAGAAATAGACTTTTACATTAAATCATCCTTTCTTTTTGAACTTAGCTTGGTTAAACAAGCCTGTATCAGATATTTTACAAAATTATTCATTCCTATAATAATGATATTGAAGCATATCATATCAGTTTCATCCACAAAAAGGGTTATCAGCTTCTATCGTATAACTAAAAATAGTATTAGGTGAACATTTTACAGATAAGAATGCATGCTTTTGGTACAAAGCAAGGTTGATATATTTTATTTCTCATCGTTCTTCTCTTTCTTCCTCACCGTTCCTCTCACCCTACCATTTTTCTTTCCCTTATTCTTCTCCATTTCTCCTGCATTTCCAACTGCCAGTAACATATAAATCCACTTAAAGCAATCATGGGTATTAGTTTCGCTGACGCCTTTTCTAACATGAGGATTTAGGCAGCAGAAAGTATAGATATCGAATGTGGGCTTGTGTTTCCTGGTTCTAAATTACACCAAATCAGAAAAGAATTGCATTTATAAAACTGAGGGGAAACTTTATTGTTTTCTTAACCGGTAAATTAAAATTGTGTATATTTATGGCATACAACGTCATGTTTTGATATATTGTATACACTGAAGAATGGCTAAATCAAGCGAACTTTAGGTTTTAGTAACCCCTGTGTCATCTTTAGTGTCAAATGCAAAAGAAAGAGCCATGAAAAGGGGAAGGGAAAAGATAACACCAAGAGGATTTTCTGCTGGGACATTAAAAGTAGCATGAAGAAAGAGTAAATTACATTTCACTTGACAGTGACAAACCCACTAAGAAGATGAGGTAAAGGCAAGAAAGAGCCATGGCAATGCCGAGTGAAGGTCTAGTAGAAGGGCAGGGTGCCCTTCATCTTTTTGGATGGTGCAGTCTGAGCCATTCCTGCAGAGAGCCATCCTCAAGAAAGCTGTCTGTGACTCAGTGACCCAGCCAGAAATGATGTGTGGGCAAAGCAAACAATTACAGTAAAGAAAATGACTACCCAGAATGTGGTAGTGACAGCAGCACTTACTGGCACCTGTAGTCAGAAAAACTTATTCATTCACCTTTTCAAGTGTTGTTTATGAGGCACCTACTCTACACAAATCATAGGCCCTAAATAGCCATTCTCTTCCAGATTCTTAAAACCTCATATTTTGAGTGTTCCTAAATGGTCTCCTTGTCTCCAGGCTTGCTCTCTGTTCTAGTCTGTCCTACACACAAGGGCCAGGAAATTCTCCCTCCTACACAAGAGTGGTTATAAGCACAGACTCTGGAATTAGACTTCCTGGATTCAAATCCTGGCTCCACAGTATATTAGCCCTATGATCTTAGGCAAGTTACCTAAGCTACCCAAGTTAACAAGTTACCATCTGAGCCCCAGTGTATCAGTCAGCTCAGTTTACGTGGAAGAAACAAAAGTCCCCCACATCTTCAAAGTTTAAAAATAAAGCTTTGTTTCTGGCTCATGTTTATGTCCTTCATGGGTCTGAGCCAATGCTTTGCAACCTCCTCATTCTACAACCAAAGTTAAAGTTGCAGCCCCTCTCTGGATCATGCAAGGCAGTGGCAGAGGGAAACAGTGCAGCTCCATTAAAGCTTTTGCTTGGAAATGTCACATCACACTTTCATTCACATTTCATTTGTGAAAACAAAGAGGCAGGACTGAGAGGGAGGGGCAGAAAGGATGCTGACAATATAATCAACTACATCCAGATTCCTCATCTGGAAATAACTTCCTTACACTTTCCTCCCTGATGCCATACAAACACCCCTATCAAATACAAGTGTTCAGTCCAACAAACCAAAATATAATTTGCGTTATTCTGCTCAATAACTAAGTTAAACATTTCATATATAAATTGGCTCAATGAATATAGAGTTATAGACCTATGAAGGCAAAATAATAGAGCTTTCTACAAAAAAGTTCTACTTGTAAAATTGAACTAAGACATCCAGCCCTCATTGTTACCCTGACATTAAACAAGTTACCTACAACACAGGAATGATGTGGAGAAAACACGACTTAAGAGCATTCATATTCTCAATGGATATATCCACACATCTTCACAAATCCTCACATTTCCAAATACCTTTATAGCCTATTATCTATTCCATAAAATACAGCAAAGTAGGATGTCATCAAAGCAACTCCATTTGTAAAGATGATGAATAAAAAAGAGCAGTGCCACATAGAAGAATGACAGTCAGCCAGGACATGAATCTGGCTAGACTAACTATCATAACGCACAACCCTAAATCTCAGTGATTTAATGCAATAAATTTTTATTTATTGATCTCATCCTAATTCAGTGTGCGTTAGTAGTGGCAGGAGGGTGGGGCTAGAAGTTCTGCTCCACATACTCTTTCAGGAGCTCAGCCTTCTTCTATCTTGCCATCCCACCCTCCTCTATGTCCTTGGAGTCCTCTCCTTACAGGTGTGAGATAGGGAAAGAAAGTAGAGGACTGCATTTAGGAGAGTTTTATCACCTAAGCCTGGAAAAGCTATATATCACTTTCATCATATTTATTGACCACAACTCAGATACAAGCCTGTAACTGACTACAAAGAAGGCTGGGAAATATAGTCTAGTTACGTGTCAAAAGGAAAGCAGTTTGGGAAACAACTAGTCAATCTGTACCACAGTGACATAGTCTCACTTTCTAGCTAGGTGACTTGATCCACTACACAGCTTAAGGCCAGGGATTCAAATATGTGAATTTACAACATCACAAATTACAACATATTCTGTACATTTGGCCTTATGTGCCATGTACCTTTGGGAATGACAAACATCTGTTTGTTTGTTTTGCTATTATAAAGTATTGGTTCTGATACGAATTGCTAAATCATTCTGTGAAAACCGGAGTCTGATCTCTGGAATGTGCTACTTAGGCTGATCACTGAATTAGGCTAATAGGTAAAAGAGAATAGCCATTCAAATGCTAAACACACATGGCATAACACACAGACACAAAGCGCCATTATTCTGTGTTTTGTGCAAACACACAAACTCCTCCCACCAAGGTTGACATAATGAAGAAAAAAAGAAGAGAAAGGATATGTACACAAGGAATTGAACCAAATCAAATGTTTTTGGATATGCTTGACTACCTGCCTTGATAAGGAATAAAATGAATTCACAAGATTTGCCTGCCCTCATAGTCAATAATTGTTAGAAAATTGCCAGGCCCAAGATGGATGACATCATGCAGGGCAAATGAAGATCATTTCTTTCTACATTGATTGGTGCTTGGGTTTTGTTTATACTTCAGCTGCCTGGGCCTTGTTGTAAGTAACCAGATATTGTAGGTTTAAAACAAGCTTTCCATTTGCATCACCGGGCAATGAGTGCAGCCAACAGGAAGCCCAGTGATTCAGATAACTAGTTTTAATTGAAATCAATACCAATGCAAGCAAAGCTGACTGGAATGGGAGCACTATGCTCTGATGGAATCATTTCATGGTCTCTGCCAATGACAATCATTATCAGGAATGAACTGTAACTTCTACAGTGACTCATAACACTTTCCAGGAGGAAAAATAAAAGAGTTTCTGGACCAGTAAAAGTTTTCAATTAGGAAAAAAAAAAATTACCTCTTTAGGTCTCTGTTACATTTCAGTTATAGACTCCTGTTCAATTCCAATTTGAGATTCCATTAAATGAAAAATGGCAATTAGCTATAGTACTTCCTCTTCTGCCAACCCTTCTCCAACCTTTCCCTTCCACTCTAATCACAGATTAGGTCTGGTGAAGAAAGAGAATAATTTTTATAATTAACATGTATCAGACATGTTCCAGGTGGAGAATTATGTTCTAGTCCAGCAGTCAGCAAAACCAGCAAACTCTGTCTACAAAAGGGCCAAATAGTAAATATTTTAGGCTTTGTGGGCCATACAGTCTTGACTGTGACTACTCAGTTCTGCTGATGTAACCAAATGCAGACATAGACAATACATTATGAATGGGCATCTCTGTGTCCTAATAAAACTTTATTTACAAAACAAACAGCAGGCAGGATTTGGCTTGTAAAACCCTGTTCTTGGCTTTACAGGTGTTATCATTTAATCTTCACTGAGGAGTGTATTCTTATTCTGATTTTTCATATGAGGTGAATTGATAACCCCAAGACTTCTCTTCTAGTAATGAGTGAAGCCATGTCTATCATCAAAGACATGTCTCACACCAAAGCAGACTATAGTTTACCCATTTTGCCACTCTACTGCCTGGCTGAAGAAGGAGCAAGGAAGCCTGGGAAACAGCAAAAGCTTCAGTGCTGAGCCTGATTATTTACAAATACAACTACCAGTTTAAAGAGTGTCTAACTCTTCCCTCTTGGTGATCCAGTGTTGACTTGACCAAATTTTTCATGATGCAAACTATGTACAGAGTCAGCTGCCACCTAAAAAAGCATTGGGAGCATGTAAACTCCTAAAATACGCTTGCTTTCCATGACCCCTGGAGCTTCTAATCCACATAAGAGATCAAAAATTGTGCCATGTTTGAAGAGTGCTTAAGAATTAATTTAGTATTTCACAAATACTATGCTTATAATATCCCTGTGTTTAATGCCCACCACAAGGACAGGGAATGAATGTGTCTATATTCCTGAAGAGCCTTGCACTGCACCTAACACGTAAGAAATTCTCCAAAAATATTTGTGCCATGCCTTCATGGAATATCAGTGTAACCAAAGTGAGATACTATCTTTGTTCTTCACAAGCTGACACGCTACCAGAAAAGAAAATGTATAATATACAAATATTGTAGTCTGCCCTTCATGATTGCTTATAATCATCAAAAGATAACTAAAAGTGCTATAGTTGTTCAGACGAGAAAAGAGAGTTTAATTACAGGCACATCTGCATAGAAGATGCAGCATCAAAACTGGCTCTTAGAACATGAGTAGGATTAGGTAGACGGAGATGTTGGAGGAAGGGCATCTCAGGCAAAGGAGACATGATAAGCAAATACAGGGATATGGGAAAAGATGGGGCATCTTCATAGAACAGACACTGCTTGGTTTGATTGAGCATTGGGCAAGAGAGTAGGGGTAATGAAAGGCAAGGCTAGAAAAGGAGTTTGGAGAAAGCACGTCTTAAATTATCGTAGAAAGATTGTGAGATAAAAACTAATGAAAGAAAATGTATTTTCAAACAAAATATTTCAAAGTTTTCCATTTTCTCCAAAATGCAGAATTATTTTTCTAATATATAAGAAAGATGGCAGGAAAAAAAGATCCTGAATTGTAATACAGCAGAAATATTATAGTCATAAGGTAGAGGAGATTATATCATACACAATCATCTATAAAGTTATTAAATTTGTTATTTTTTAGTTGTGTGGATTTATATCTATTCTAACTTCATATCATGTCTCAGGAAGTATCATCACCTCATAAGGTAAAAACCAACCTAATTTTTCTCACCGTTGTCTTCCTAGAGCCTAGCAAAGTGTCTGATATATGGAAGATACTCAGTAAATGTATAAAGAAGAAATGAGTGAAGTAGTACTGTTCTTCATGTTCATTAAAATGACCATCTTATCTGCTTATTTCTTGGTTTGGGTAAGTATATGTCAGCTATTTGAAAGCCAACTAGGAAAATGACAAGTTAATTTTTATTAAAAGACACAATGATATAATAAACATTAGTTAGATTAAGATTCTTACCCTGATTTTCGAGTTGATTCATAAAAGAATCAAATAAACCTGGGTTTTTATTTTAAAATCAGAACCATTAGAATTTAGCCATATTTGAGAGGTCCATATAGTTATTTCTGATGGTTACAAATAACTTAATACCAAAGGAATCATATACTTAAATCAAAATAATAATGATCTGCCTCCTAATTATTCTTCCCCTTCACCACCATCCCCTATTGTTGTCTGACCTACTCTGCTCCAGGGTTATCTCTCTGAAGTTCAAGTATGATCATGTTTTAGCATTTTGAAAGCCCAGATTAATGGTTCATTTAAAATTTAAATATTCGCAAAAGCTTATTAGTAATATCCTAGTAAGCATAATACAGCAATATATAAGGTAAATTTTGGCCTGCAGTTGGGAGGTTTTCATGAGAATTCCTATGTTTGTCTGGATTAGTCTTTGGGGTCTGGCTGGAGGGAAAGCATTCCCTGCATTTCCTGATCACTGAAGCTAAAGCAGGATTTCCTTGCCAAGTAGGCAAAGTGCAATCTTTAGAGACACCCTTGCCTCAGAGTAAGATGATGAAACCCCCAGATGGTGGTTTGCTATTTTCATATGGCATAGAAAAGTGTACAGTGTTAATAGATAATGAAATTGAAGCATGAGAATGGTCCAGAGTGGTGCAACTTCTGCAATAAATGCAGTGTTTCCATTTTTTTCTTTTTTCTTTTTGTCATTAGCTACTACTGTTTACTTAAGAAAACATTTATGGTTGATAGTGATTATGGTGGTGATGGAATTCATCCCATTGCAATGCAAACATTCAGCTAGCTCCTGAGGTTATTATACTGGCTCTGTTTGAGCAGCGTGGCTTCCAAAGTGGAGGTGGAAATTAAGTGGCATTTACATAGCAGAGCTGTACGGATAATTAGTAATTCAACACACAGCCATTCAGGACAAGGCCAACATGAGGAGTCATATAAGCATCATATGATAACCATTTAATGGGCTGTGTGAAATGAGTGGGTGGTCTAGGCTCAGCTCCGACCAGGTACTGGTTCCCACACTTCCAGGCTCAGGAAAAGGTCTAGAGTTCAAATGCATGCAAAGAGTCATCCATACAACTCTTGCTGGGTAGAGTTAGCTATGAAAGCTCCCATTAGGCCTGAGGCCAGAGCTCCTTCTGGATAAATAAAGTCATTCAATGAAGCTGCAAATGTGTGACATTTTAAGTGCACTGACCTAATTAAATTATACCAGTTAGTAAAACTTTTCAACTTGAATAGATTTTCCATTCCTTTGCCATAATATTGTGAAAGGGACTGGGCAGAGACATGCTAAACCTGGGGAAAATTTGGTGTTTGGATACAGGAAGAGCAGAAAGGCCTCATGTTGAAGCCTTAATAACAGGAAAAATAAAAAGTGGCCTTCCACTCATGAGAAATGCTTCAAGTGGCCTCACACCATGGGAAAGCGCCAGTCTACTGGGTGGAGCTCAGACATCTCTAGTTATGAAATTTTCATCTCTCCCTCATCCCCACTGGATTTGTGAGAGTGTCCATCTTCAGTAGTACCAACCCTTTCTGTGAATACAGATCACTCTTCCAAGTTCAGGGCAAACAAGCAGAGAAGAGCAAAAAAAATATGTCATATTATGCTAAGATTTGCTAATAGCATATTTTAACACTAATGAATTGTAGATGTTCAATTCAACAGACAGTTGTCACAGGTGTATTGTGTTCTGTTCTGGAGACCACTAACCTTACATCCCAGGCCCCATCTAAAGAGAGTAAAAGCATAGGTCAACACGTAGATATACTTTAAAACCTTTAGGGCAGGGGTCAGCAAAGTTTTCTTATAAAAGGCCAAATAGTAAAAACTGCTGCCTTCGTAGGTCATGTTAGTTTCTACTCACAACTACTCAATTCTGACACTGTCGTGCAGAAACAGCCATGGATAATACATCAATGAAGGAGTGTGGCTATCTTCCCAACAAACTTTATTTTAAAAGCAGGCAGCAGGCCTACAGGCTGTAATTTGCTGACTCCTGTCCTAGAACATATAAAGTCACCCAAAGTGCAAAGTAAGAGAAAACAGAAGGAAAAGCCAGGGTTTACTGACTATTTTCTTCAAACTATGATCTGATTTCTCTCAGTCATGGCTATGGTGACATGAATTAATCCCCTAGCCAGATGCAGAAGTAACTTCGCTGTCCATGTATTTTATTAATTCATGATTTATGCTTCATCTACTTTCAGCGAAGTAGCTGTCACTGAGAATACACTTGTAAAGGCTTGCCTACTTGGTGTGATGGAAGAGACTTCCCCAACCAAGGCAATTCTAAATAGAATTATAAGTTACCAATTATAAATTATTTGAAAAGACAAGTTGTCTTCCTCTACTCTTAGTTAAGATGGGCTATACCAAGTTTGAGCAAACAAAACTAGCAAGGAAAGAGGGCTCCTTACGAAATGTCCAAAGCAGATCACAGACCAGTAGAAAAGAACTTTGGGGGATGGAGTATGAGCTAAATTTGGAGTTGGTGTCAAATCGTAGCATTATTGATCATTAAAAGAGAGAGAATGGAAGAAAAAAAACATTGACATTTTCTGAGCAATTACTGTTGCCAAGCATGGTATTAAATACTTTAAAATGAGTTATCCTGGCTGGGTGCCATGGCTCACATCTATAATCCCAGCACTTTGGGAGGCCGAAGTGGGCAGATTGCTTGCTTGAGCTCTGGAGTTCACGAGCATCTTGGGCAACATGACAAAACCCTGTCTCTAAAAAAAAATACAAAAATTAGCCAGGCATGGTGGTGCACGCCTGTAGTCACATCTACTGGGGAGGTTGAGGTGGGAGGATCACTTGAGCCCAGGAGGTGGAGGTTGCAGTGAGCCAAGCCAAGATCTTGCCACTGCATTCCAGCCTAAGTGACAGAGAGAGACCCTGTCTCAAAACAAAACAAAACAAAACAACAACAAAAATATATACACACATATATATAATAAGTTATCAATTTAATCTTTCCCTTTTTATTTCCTGTACAGATATTTATTCTTTTTAAAATACATTTTTTTGCATATATTTGAAGTTTACAACATAATATTATGAGATACACATAGATAATAAAATGGTTACTATAGTGAAACTGATTAACATAGCTATCATTGCACATAGTTACTTTATTTTTTGTAGCAAGAGGAGCTAAAATCCCCTTAAAACTCCCTAGTACAATACAATTCTATTAACTACAGTCATCATGTTGTACATTAGATCTCTAGACTTGTTCATCCCACATATCTGCTACTTTCTATCTTTTGACCTGCATCTCCTCATTACCTCTCTCCTCTTCTGGTTCTTAGTATCTGCTGTATTGTTTTTTATATCTCTACTCTGTATATCTGACTTTTTTTAATAGTCCACATAAATATTGAATATTTTTGCATATGCATAAATATTGCATGTTGCATAAGTAAGCTCATGCAATATTTTTTCTTTCCGTGTCTTGCTTCTTTCACTTGACATAATATTGTCCATGTTCATCCATGTTGTGGAAAATGGCAGGCTCTCCTTCTTTTATAAGGCTGAATAACATTCCATTGTATTTATACATTACCATATTTTCTTAATCCATTTGTCTGTCAAGGGATATATAGGTTGTTTCTATATTTTAGCTATTATGAATAACACTGCAAAAAACATAAGAGTACAGATGTCTTTACAAGATGATGATTTTATATCCTTTGGGTAAACGCCCAGAAGATGGATTGCTGGGTCTTATGGTGGTTCAGGATTTCCGTTTCTCCACACCCTCACCAACATTTGTTATTTCTTGTCTTTTTAATAATAGCTATCCTAATGGGTGTCAGGTGATATTTCATGGTGCTATTCGTGTGTGTTTCCTTGATGATTGGCGATGCTTAACACATTTTCATACATCTGTTGGCCATTTTTATGTCTTCTTCAAAAAAATGTCTGTTCAGGTATTTGTCCATTTTCAAACCTGGTTATTTGTTTTTCTGCTATTGACTTGTAAGAGTTCCTTATAAATTTTGGATATTAACCCCTTATCAGACATGTGGTTTGCAAATATTTTTTCTCAGTCCATAGGTTGCCTTTTCATTTTGTTGATTGTTTCCTTTACTGCACAGAAGCTTTCCAGTTTTATGTACTCCTAATTATTTATTCTTGCCTTTGTAGCCTGAGGTTTTGGTATTATGTCCCAAAAATCATTGCCAAGGTTAATATCAAGGAGCTTTTCCCCTATGTTCTATTCTAGGAGTTGTATTACTTCAGGTCTTATGCCATTTAGTATTTTCAATCTTCTGGGGAGGTATATTTAGCCATATATTACAGAAAAGAAAATGAAAACATCCTTAATTTGCACAACTAGTAACTCCAGGAATTGGGATTTGAACCCAGCTATATCTATCTCCAAAGTGTATGGCTTTCTGGTAACACTCTTAAGCACAAAACATCAAGATTTTGCCCACCTCAAGTCAATAATTCTTACTTCATCTTAATTCCGTTTACCTATGTGACATGCTTTTATTCTCTGCTTATTGTTAAATCAAATTATTATTAATACATTCTTTAAAAAAATGCCTAATTCTATTATTGGTATATAGTTATTTATGTTTGAGATTACTGGGCCAGCAGAAATCGAATAATAGGCCACATGTCAAAACTATATCCCCTCTTCCTTCTCATTTAGTTCACTGGAGCTGGCTTCCTAATATTCCATAACTTTTATGCATTTAGCCACAAATCAGGCTTGATAGTATAAATATAAGAAGAGCTAACATTTATCGGGTACCAAATATGTCACAGTCACATCATTTCATACCCCTTTGATCATCCTATGAGGTGGGTACTATCATATCTCCATTTTAAGAAAAATGTCTCTTATTAAGAGAATAATTTGCTCTGGGTCACTCAACTAGTAAGTAGCTGAACTGGGATTCAAACTCAGATCTTTTCTTAAATTATTTATAAATTCAGGCCTTACAGAAAAATCACAGGGATACCTTTTCTGCTTATCCATGTATGATAAGACCCCGAAGAAGATAAGCACTTTCTTTTCTATAACCAGCTAAACATACTTTTGAGCCCCAGAAAAGGAGTCTAAGGAAGAATAAGCAGTTCTCTCACTCCAGCCTACTCACTCTTCCTCCTATCTCAATAGTCCCTACAGAAATTGGGAGTCAAAAGTAGAGGGAAAAAAAAAAAGGTAAAGAGGCAGAGGACAGACATTTTTGAAGGAGAAACAGGAATAGCTTAATAAAGTCCATTCAAAAATTATCTTTGGAAAATATATATTTATATATATGCCTTGGTCCAAGAGCAATCACAACTAAAATTCAAATACTGTCCTTGCCAGAATCTTTTACTGACGTAAAGGTAGAATTTGTGCCAAATATGAAAGAAAGTCAACAAGTTCTTTCCTCCTTTTTTATTTCCCAGCAGCCAGCTACTTACAGCACCCCCTGATGAGTTTTTCAATCACAAACTTAGGAATCCATGACTTTTTACTGAATTTCAGAAAGCCCCACATGCTATGTGCATTCTCCTAAGGCTATAAGTCAAATAACAAACTATGCATTTTATTTCCAAGTAGGAACAATCTAGTTTCTCTGACAGTGTCACACATACATTGTTCTTTTAAATCTCTTCGCCTATATGAAATCAAGATATGATTCTTAAACAACAAAGACTGTAATTGTATTAGCAACACAATGAGTCACCCTATCACTTAGATCCTGAATAAATGTGAGGAGCATCTGTTGAAATGGAATCCGTGGGCTCCCTTTAATGGGCCAAATGTCTCCAAGGACAGAATAGTGACAGGAAGCAATCCAGCTGCTCAGACTGCAAATCTTTGGTCCTTGAAAGAAAAATCAGGAAAGCATCATGAAAAAAGTAAATGTGCACACTTTACCTTAGGAAAAGATTAACAAAGCTTAGTTAGAACACTGATCATTTGACTGCCTGCGTTTCTATTTATTTCTCACAGGAGGTCTGGCAACAGTGAATTTTCCTCCCTGGGGTGCTCTTCAAATTATGATTTTCAAACTTTTTCAAGGCCACTTTAGGGAGGCAAAATATCATCTACCTGCCCTACCTACTTCCATTGCTACTGCAAAAAAGCAAACAAACAAAAATAGCAACAACAAAAAACACAATCTCATGAAATGAATGGAAAGAAGGGTGTTGTTGCTAATAAGGCACCAATGAAAGAGGTGAGCAAAATGGTTCTTCAGTGTCAAGAACAAAAATATAGCATGAAAATTATTGTATGGAGTAGGAGGTGGGGGCATCTCAGCAATCTAAAACTACTCAAAGCATATCTGAATGGCCTTGGGTGACTTGCAAATGCCCTTGGACCAGGGCAAGGCTACTTTGTAAGAGGAAATAAAACTTTTCTCATGAGAGAACGTTGCCCTTGTGGTTGGGGGAAAGGGTGCTGTGGAAAGGGAAAAAGTTCAAGTTCTAGAGTTGAAAGGGAGTTTATACAGTAGTTGTTCCAAGTCCCACAGGGTTGATCGCTCCTTGTTGTCATTCTTACTGCTCCCCAGTCTCACTGATATAGGGCAAGAGGAGCACAATGTAGAATCTTGAAAAGACTCTGACATTGCTTGCCTCAGCTCTCTCACATGTGTCTTGGGGAGAAGGAAACCTCAAAGCTCAAAGGACACATCAGAAAAGCTGTGCCTCATCTTCTTGCTCTAAGAGGATTTGGGTTTAATTTCCTTTTCCATTCTGCCAAAGGCAGTAAAGAAAAGAAAGATCTCAACCTTGCTGAGGGAAGGAAATGGCAGGGATGGCATTGAGAATGGCAGAATAGCTCTGGACAAGGTCATGGCAATTGATGAACATGCCCAGAGGTGCATACTTTGGGGCTGGCAACAGAAAAAAATGCCAAGCAAGCTGAGCAGCATGGAGCAGTGACAGACAACGAGAGGAAGCAAGGGAGTAAGGCCAACTCTGAGGAGTATATGCAGCAGATGAAATCTGAGGCACCTCACTGCCTTTGCTGTGAGTAAAGATAGAATGAAAAAGTATGTAATGGATCCCTTAGGTATTGTGCTGTTAAAATTAGTCACTGACAGACTAAGAAGTTCTGGGAAGTTTTGTGAACAGGAAGAAGGTCATTATCATCAGCATCATAATATACATTCACTGGGCATTTCCTATGGCCCAGGAATTGTGCTAGCTCTTTGCATGCATTATCTCTTTCGTCCCCACAACACTTCTATATGGTAGGTATTGTACTTCCCTACATTGGTATGGCTTTTTTTACAAAAGAAGAGGAAAGGGAACTCCTTGGAAGGTTGAGAATCTTGCCCAAAATCACACAGCTGACACTTGGCAGAGTGAGCACTGTTTCTCAGGTCTGTCTCACTCCAAAGGTGGACTCTTTATTTTTTATTTTTATTTTATTTATTTATTTATTTATTTTGAAATGGAGTCTTGCTCTGTGGCCAGGCTCGAGTGCAGTGGCACGATCTCAGCTCACTGCAACCTCCGCCTCCTGGGTTCAAGCAAATCCCCTGCTTCAGCCTCCTGAGTAGCTGAGACTACAGGTGCATGCCACCATGCCCAGCTAATTTTTTGTATTTTAGTAGAGACAGGGTTTCACCATGTTGGCCAGGATGGTCCCGATCCCCTGACCTCATGATCCGCCCGCCTCAGCCTCCCAAAGCGCTGGGATTACAGGCGTGAGTAAACGCACCTGGCCAGGTGGACTCTTTAAACAACGCTAAAGCACTCCCAGCAGTCCTGCCTTGGTTTTCTGCTTAAGGTTTTCATTTATAATAGTCATATTCACTTATCAACTCATTAATGCGGCGAAGACTTATAAGGAACTAGTAAGTGCCAGTCCCAATGCTCAGCAATGGGGAAACATTTACAGACAAAAATTAGCAGGATCCCAGCCCTTTTAGAGCTTTCAGCGTAGTGGAGGTAATAGGCATAACCAAATGATTGTACAAATAAATGTGAAATGAAAAATCTGACAAATACTATGCAGGATTTGAAAGCAGAAGAGTGGGAGGCATTTGCTAAGTCTGAAGGTTCCCTACAAAAGAGACCAGTGAGTTGACAATAGAGAATGAGTAGAAAATAACTAGGGAAAGGGTGGTGTTGAGAGCCGTATTTCATCGTGTAGTAAAGCCCTGTGGTGGGGAAGAGGGAACAGGACATATTGGAGGAAATAATAAAAAGATAAAGGGTTATTACTGAGGCTACAGAGAGAAAAAGATAAAAGGTCTCTGGAGGATTTAAAAAAATAGTAAAGTCCTAAAAAAGAAAAAAAGCAGAATCTCACATATGTTTAAATGTTGAGAGGAAGGACTCGGTAATAATAAGAGCCAACATATATCTTGTTGGTCATACATTCCTTATACAAATATATGTATATGTTTTACATATATTTATTCATTTAATCTTCCTTATAAAACTTTGAAAAATGGGTATTCTTACTATCCTCATTTTATAGATAAGGAAATAGAAGCACAGAGTTTAAGTAACTTGCCCAGCTAGTAAGTGTCAGAGCTCCAGGATCATTTATCTTAACCAATATGGAAGGGGATAAATATATTAGAGAAAGTATAATCGATAGGTGGAGGTAGTAGTTCTTCAATCTCAGTCTACATTAGAATCAGCAAGTGTGCTCATGAACATTCAGATTCCCATACATTACCTACCTTCTAGGTTTCTGAATTAATAGGTCTAGCCTTTTTCAACACCAAGTCCAGGTGATTCTGATGCAGGTGCTCCAGGGGCAAAGCATGAGTGCAGAGGTAGAGAGATTGCTATTTTTCCTAGGGGAGGTTGGGAGATTTCCTTCTAATGGCTTCTATTTGTTCTCAGAAATATAATATAGCAAACATGAATACTACAAGACAAACTTGAGTGTCATCTCAAAGACTCTCATCAACTACGAAAGGATTGAGAACAACCCGTCCCTGACCTTGAGAATTACGGTCCTGGTGGACTGCTGCATTTCATGCCCACTCTTGTACCAAGAGGAGCTAAAGAAGGCTTTATGTCTGTTCCTCCAAAAATTGCAGGAAGGAGTATATATCCTACAAGAGTGATAGGAAGGCCAGGTGATTGAGGAAAGACTAGATGAAGTGTTGAGATAAACTAAGTCAGCCAAGGGCACAGTAGGCTAGAAGCCCTATAAGAAGAACCCAGTAAGATCCAGAAGAGGAAAAGATATATTTATGGCTGAAAGGGAAGTACATGGGAGACTTGGTTTATTTACAGTGTCCTTGTGTTTGCAATGGGCATTGTTTAAAACTTCTTTTATCCCAGAATTATTTCCCAGAACTTCCTACCAGGTCTCCCAGAACACCGAGATTTACATCTGAAAAACCAGTGCACAACGGGGAACATCTGTGGTCTTCAACTTACACAGCTAATGGCCTTTCCCCCACTCTTACATCACCAGGGACCACAAGCCAACACATGCTGTAAGGATGTAACCAGCTGTAGGGAAAACATTCATTATCAGAGAGAATTACCCAAGTCCTAAATACTCGGCTATGCAGGAAAAATAAAATTCTACTTAATGGAACTAGCAAAAGTTGACTTTTTGAAAGGCTTTCATGGGTCATTCTCATTGCCTATTTCAGTCACCCTTAAGTCACAAATCTACAACTGGAGTCTGTGATGTTCAGGCAACTCTCAACTATCTGTACATCCAGCAATTTATAATCCACATATAACCCAAATGCTGCATTTAGCTAGTAATCTCCACTGCCTCCTCCTCATCATCCGTAAATAACTTCCCTGGCACCTTTTACTAGAGGAAGATGCTTTTCTTGAGTTTAACTTTGTCTCCCTTCAGCTTTCTACTGTGAACTGAAACAGTCAATGTTCAAGTGTAAAGTAGTACCCCACGAAAGTGAACTAGGTACAAAATGTGGCATCCCTACCCCCACCTCCTCGTGAGTTTGTGGGAAGAGGGTGTAGTACACTTACTAAGTTGAACTATAAGCAGAACTTCCCTAGGTAGCCAGAGGAAAATGTCCATGAACTCAAGCCAAGCCAAAGCTGCCATTCCCAGCCTTGTGGGCAGCCAGCCCACCCTTTCGGAAGTGCCTCAGACAGTGCTTTGTTATGTTTCTCCAGTGAGGAAGCTTCCTGTAGGTCGCGGTGTCTCCTGCCTTGCAACCATGAGAATAGCTGGAGCTCAGTCATCTGTCCCCCTCATCCTGTCAGAAGGAAGGGTCAGAGAATTCCCATTTAAACAACCTTAGCAGAGTTGATGGAAAAAACATGAGAAGAAGGAAAACTCCTGAGAGTCCAAATGGTTGTGGAAAATTATTTATACACACACACACACACACGCATCACAGTCTATATGTGTATACACACCTATAATGTATATATATTTATAATACAGAAAAATAATAAATAATATGCCTAATAGATTATAAGTATATACATATATAAACATACACATATATGTATATATACATGTAGATATGTGTACATATGTATGTATGTGTTTTATATATATTATGTTTATTGTTTGTGTATTTATAAATATATAAAATATTGCCCTATCTTCCTCTCCACACATATTGGCTCGGATTTCACAGTGCTTCCAAGCATAACCAAAAGACTCAAAAGAATGAAAATTAAAAACACAATGCCAGTTTCCAGCAGGATGGGTGGTAGTTGTCAAAACTTGATGTTCAAAGCCAGGATTAAAGGCTGATCTAGCCCATGGTAGACAGGTGCTTGAGGAAAGGAAGGATTTGGCAACTGCTTCCAATATCCTTCCATCTCCAAACATACAAGTTCAACAACCCACATTGTTCCCTTATTCTTTGTCCAAATGAGAAGAAATGCTTCTGCGAAGACATTTGTTTTAGCTTCCAAATGGTCTCGGAACACCCTGAACATCCTAGAATCTGCCTGCTGGGTGGAAGCAGGGTGGGAAAAGACATGCTGACGACCACTTGGGTGGCAGGCTGTTCCTTCCATGCCCAAGGCATCTGTACTTTGAAGTTCGGAAAACTTCCTCCATGGCACACTGATTTCCATACACTTTGATTCTTCAAGACTTTAAGTGATATGATAAGATAAACTTCCCCCGAAGGAACAAGGACAGCTGAGGAAGAAGTTATAAATGTTCCCAAAAAATCCCCTAATAATCAGAGCAGTCCATAGCAAAGTACTGTAGGCCTGTTGTTGAAAAGAGAAAACTCTGCCTTCTTTATGATAATCACTTTACTAATGGAAGTGTGTTTGTGAAGTGCAAATCTCCTTAGATGAGTGAAAAGTTTCTTTTTTCTAAACTGCAGAATGAGATTGCCTGTCCCAAAGCAAACACGACAGGTGCATGTGATCTTTCTTCCAGCTGTTTTGGTTATTTTCTTTCTTTTCTTTTTTTTTTTTTTTTTACATTTTTTTGAGGCAGAGTTTCACTCTTGTCACCCAGGCTGGAGTGCAATGGCGCGATCTTGGCTCACTGCAACCTCCACCTTCCAGGTTCAAGCAATTCTCCTGCCTCAGCCTCCTGAGTACCTGGGATTACAGGCACCCACCACCATGCCTCGCTAATTTTTTTGTATTTTTGGTAGGGAAGGGATTTCACCATGTTGGCCAGGCTGGTCTTAAACTCCTGACTTCAGGTGATCCACCCACCTTGGCCTCCCAAAGTGCTGGAGTTACAAGTGTAACCCCACCACGCCCTGTGAGGCCATGTGGGGTTACATGTGAGCCACCACGCCCTGCCTGTTTTCGTTATTTTCCAACTCAGAGAAGGCCAGCCTGGCTTCATTCTTACTGGCTGGATTATTGTCTGACTGTTAGCACACACGTTTACCTAAGGATAAAAAGTCTCCAATGCAAATCACTGGTATTTAAACAGTTCTAAATCAACAGGTTCTCCCATGGGATTGTGTGTGAGCTGCTCGATATGAAAAAAACAGAAGCCAGCTCTGAAACTAAAGGACATAAAGGTCCTTTGCTACTAGAATGCTCATAAATGCCTCTGACAAGCATTTGAGACTCTCTGCAATCTACTTCCACCTGCCTTTCTAGGCATCACACCCCTGTCTTCAAATCAGGTCCTTGTCTCAAGCCCCATCAAGCTGCTTCCTGCCTTCGTTTTCAGCATAAATCACCCCACTAGCTTTTCTTGTCCTCTCTCCTTGCCCTTACCCTTGGGATTCTAACCAGCCTGAGGAATTCAGCTCCTTATGTACTTTAGAATTCAGACCACTGCATTCTCTTTCCTCTAAATTTTGTTGTACTCTTAAAATTATCCCTTCAAACTCTTCTTTTCTCCAGTTATCAGTACTAAACAAGTAATTGTTTCCCTAACTACATATAAACAAATTTTAAAATGCTATCTGTGGTATGAAAAATACTAAAACATGTTAATGGATAGAGGAAGAGTAGGGTGGAGGTAAAATTTTAGATAAGAGATAAGAAAAGATATTGTTGAAGAGGATACCTTTGAAATGAACAAAGGAAGCCTGCCATCAAATGGCTGAGAGGAGAATGTGAAGAATTTGAGACACTTGGCTTGAGAGGACCCCAACTGGTGTTTCAGAAACAAAAAGGAAGCCGGCTCAGGATGAGGAAAGTGATAATGATGCATTCAGAAAGGAGGGCAGTGGGAGATTATGTGGGTCCTTGTTGGCTGGACAAGAAGTTGGATTTTCCTCTAGTGCAATGGAAAACCTTTGGAGGACTTTAATTGAGGAAGTGATATAAGCCAGTTTATGTTTTCAAAAGAGCTCTCTATTTGCAACGTGAAGAAAAGACAGGAGGGAGGTAAGACCAAAGGCCTGGAGCTGACTTGCTGGGATTCCAGGTGAAAGGTAAGAGAGGCTTCCCTAGGATGGTAGTGGTGAGATGAGAGAAAGTGGAGGGATTGGGGACATATTCTGAAGATGCAGTCAACAATTTTTGATGATGAATTGAATACAGTTTATAAGGGAAAGAAAATAATCCAGAATAACTGCTAGATTTTTGACCTAAGCAACCAATGTGACTTGGCCAATGTTATATTATATCCAGTCAATAAACACTATGATTATCTTCCAATTACTGAATATTTATCATGTGTTTTGTATGCTTTAGCCATTGTTTATAATCATTAGACAAGCCTGTGAGTAGCTATTGTGACCAGCATTAAACTGATGAGGAAAATGGGGCTCAAGAAGTGAATTTGCCCAAAATCACACAGCTAAGCCAGGTTTCAAATCATGGCCAGTGGGACTCCAAAATGTGTACTCTCTCCATTCAGTTACTACTCCCTTAGCTTGTCCTCTGATTGCTAGATGTACTTTACCACTGAAGTTTGTCCTTCAGTTGTGTAGGCATAGAAGAGATTGGACAGCAGGAAACCATAAGTGAACTCCACTCCTCTCCGGATGGTGGATCATATAGATTATTTTTTCTTTACACATTTAGGTTATTGGGGTTCTTTGTTTTGTTTTCTATAAGGAAAACTGGGGAATCAAAGCCAACTCTGGAGACAAACTGTATTCCAATTCCAGCCCTACACATAATATTTGTATATGCTTCAGCAAGTTTCTTAGCTGTGAAGAGTGTTAATTTCCTTGTCTATAAAGTGTGTATATAATAATATTTACCTGGGCAGGTGGTATGAAGATTAAATGAGAAATGTAGGAAGCATTTAATGCAAAGCCAAGTAAAAATGACAAGTAGAAAACTCTTAAATAAGTGGTATATATTTTAGTGGGAGCTCCCAAGAGTAGACATCAGGACACAAACAATTATTCAAGTCAGTATTTTATTTTCTGTAATTTATTTCTGTCTTACTAGGTGAGGCAACTCAGACAAAAGAGAAAGTGACTTGCCTAATAGTCAAGATAAATTAGAGTCAGGACAAGAATTCCCACTTCCTAATTCCCTGAACACATCCACTAAATCACCCAGTCTCTTGGGTATTGTGTGTTTTTTAAACTGCTACCCAAATGATTGCTCCTGTATTCTGTAAGCACCCAAATCACAGCTGCTACAGACTAGCCATTCGAATAAATAAACTAGAAAGTCATGCAATCAGGCTCAGAAGACTCCTAAATCAAATTTCTGCTAAGGATACACACTACTGAAAAATCTACTGCTCGTAGGAAAATTGTCAGTATGGCTTTAAGAGTTATTTTCATTTGGGATATATACAATCCTTAATCTGTGTGTCTTAAAAGAAATACATTTTCTACTCTACCCTATCAAGTCACAAGACGTAAGGAATTCTGATCTTCAACACAGAGATCCCTTGTCCTTAGGCTAAAACAATTCCTTTGAGGTTATTGTTAGAATGAGAAGCCGTTCTGATGCCTCCTTGATGATCAAAATTACCTGAAGAATTTAGTAAAAATGATTTCTCCATCTCCAAACTCTCAGAGATTCTGATCCAGTAGGTCTGTGGTGGGGTCTAGGAATAAATATTTGTTAAAATCTGTTTATTAGCCACCAACAAGGCAAATCAAAATCACAATGTGATATATCACACCCATTGAAATAGCTCTGATCAAACAGACAAGTTTTGATGAAGATGTGAAGAAATTTGAATTCTCATACACTGCCAATGGGAATGTAAAGTGGTATGGCAACTTCGGAAAACAGTTGGGCAGTTGGGCAGTTAAACATAGAGTTCCCCCTTGTCCCAGTAATTCCTCTCTTAGGTATTGATATGGTTTGGTGTCCCTACCCAAATCTCGTCTTGGATTGTAGTTCCCACAATCCCCATGTGTCACGGGAAGTACCTGGTGGGAGGTAATTGAATTATAGGGGCAGTTGCCCCCATGCTGCTGGTCTTATGATAGTGAATTCTTGTGAGATCAGATGGTTTTAAAGGGGATATTTCTCCTTTGTTTGGCAGTTCTCTTCCTGCCATCATGTGAAGAAGGACATGTTTGCTTCCCTTTCTGCCATGAGTGCAAGTTTCCTAAGGCCTCCCCAGCTGTGCTGAACTATGATTCAATTAAACCTCTTTCCTTTAAAAATTACCCAGTCTTGGGTATGTTTTTATTAGCAATGTGAGAACTGACTAATACTGTAAATTGGTACCAGAGAGTGGGGTGTTGCTGTAAAGATACCCAAAACTGTGGAAGCAACTTTGGAACTGGGTAACAGGCAGAGGTTGAAACATTTTTGGAGGGCTCAGAAGAAGACAGGAAGATGTGGGAAAGTTTGGAACTTCCTAGAGACTTGTTGAATGGCTTTGACCAAAATGCTGATATGGACAATGAAGTCCAGGCTGAGGTGGTCTCAGATGGAGATGAGGAACTTGGAAACTGGAGTAAAGGCCACTCTTGCTATGCAAAGAGACTGGCAGCATTTTGCTCCTGCCCTAGAGATCTGTGGAACTTTGAACTTTATAGAGATGATTTAGGGTATCTGGCAGAAGAAATCTCTAAAGAGCAAAGTGTCCAAGAAGAAGCAGAGGCCAGGTGTGGTGGCTCATGCCTGTAATCCCAGCACTTTGGCAGGTCGAGGAAGGTGGATCACCTGAAGTCAGGAGTTTGAGACTAGTCTGGCCAACATGGTGAAACCCCTTCTCTACTAAAAATACAAAAATTAGTCAGGCATGGTGGCATGCAACTGTAACCCCAGCTACTAGGGAAGCTGAGGCAGAATTGCTTGAACCTGGAAAGCAGAGGTTGCAGTGAGCTAAGATCACACCACTGCATTCCAGCCTGGGTGACAGAGTGAGACTCTATCTCAAAACAAAAAAAGAAGCAGAGCATAAAAGTTTGGAAAATTTACAGCCTGAGGGTGCAACAAAAAAGAAAACCCCATCTTCTGGGGAGAAATTCAAGCCAACTGCAGAAATTTGCAGAAGTAACTAAGTTACAAGGAGCCAAATGTTAATCAACAAGAGAATAGGGAAAATGTTTCCAGGGCATGTCAGAGACCTTCACAGTAGCCCCTCCCATCATAGGCCTGGAGGCCTAGGAGGGAAAAATGGTTTCATGGGCTGGGCCCAGGGCCTCCCTGCTCTGTATAGCCTCAGAACATGGTCCCCTGCATTCCAGCTGCTTCAGCTCCAGTTATGGGTAAAAAGGGCCAATGTACAGCTCAGGCTTGAGCCTATGGGTGCACAGAAGTCAAGAATTGAGGTTTGGGAGCCTCTGCCTAGATTTTAGAGGATGTATGAAAACTCCTGGATATCCAAGCAGAAGTTTGCTGCAGGGGCAGAGCCCTCATGGAGAATCTCTGCTATGTCAATGCAGAAGGGAAACATGGAGTCAGAACCCCCACACAGCATCCCCAATGGGGCACTGCCTAGTGGAACTCGGAGAAGAGGGCCACTGTCCTCCAGACCCAAAATGACAGATCCACCAACAGCTTACACTGTGTGCCTGGAAAGACAGCAGGCGCTCAATGCTAGCCCATGAAAGCCACCAGGAATGGGTGCTGTACCCTCCAAAGCCACAGGAGTGGAGCTGCTCCAGATCATGGAAGCCCACCTTTTGCATCACCATGCCTTGCATGTGAGACATGGAGTCAAAGGATATCATTTTGTAACTTTAAGGTTTAATGACTGCCCTATTGGATTTCAGACTTGCATGGGGCCTCTAGCTCCTTTGTTTTGGCCAATTTCTCCCATTTGCAAGAGGCATGTCTACCCAATGCCTGTACCCCCATTGTATCTAGGAAGTAACTAACTTGCTTTTGATTTTACAGGCTCGTAGGCGGAAGGGACTTGCCTTGTCTCGGATAAGACTTTGGGCTTGGACTTTTGAGTTAATGCTGGAATGAGTTTAAGATTTTGGGGGACTGTTGGAAGGGCATGTTTGTGTTTTGAATTGTGAGGACATGAGATTTGGGAGGGTCCAGGGGTGGAATAATATGGTTTGGTTGTGTCCCCGCCCAAATCTCATTTTGAATTGTAGTTCTCATAATCCTCATGTGTCATAGGAGGGATTCAGTGGGAGGTAATTGAATCATGGAGACAGTGAGCCCCATGCTGCTGTTATGACAGCGAGTTCTCATAGTAGTGAGTTCTCATGAAATGTGATGGTTTTTAAGGGGCTTCCCCCCTTTTCTTGACACCTCTTCTTGCTGTGCCATGTGAAGAAGGACATATTTGCTTCCCCTTCTGCCATGATTGCAAGTTTTTTGAGATTCCCCCAGCCATGCTGAACTGTAAGTCAATTAAGCCTCTTTCCTTTATAAATTACCCAGTCTCAGATATGTCTTTATTAGCAGCCTGAGAATGAACTAATGCAGGTACATACACAAGAAAATTGAAAACATATATCCAGGATAAAGCTGGTATACAAATATACATAGTGGCATTATTAATAATAGCCAAAAAGTGGAAATAGCCCAAGGGTCCATCAACCAATGAATGGATAAATAAAATATGGTCTGTACATACAATGAAATAGTATTTACCTATGAAGGGTAACAAAGTACTGATACATGTTTACAATATCTATAAACCCGGAAAACACTGTGCTAAGTGAAAAAAACCAGTCATAACACATATTGTATGATTTCATTTACATGAAATGGCCAGACTAGGCAAATCTGAAAGACAGAAAGTAGACTACTGGTTGCCTAAGCCTGGCAGGTGTTAGCAGGTGGGAAAGGTGAGAAAGAAGGAGAAAGTGTACTTCTAATGAGTAAAAGGTTTTGGGGGAAGGGTGATTAAAATATTCTAAAATGCATCTTGGTGATGGTTGCACAACTCAATAAATGTACTAAAGCCATTGGTTGAATTGTACAATATAAATGAGTGAATTGTATGGCATATGAATTATATCACATTAAGCTGTTATTATTACCAAAAAAATCTACTCAGGTGATTGTGAGGTGTATCAATTTAAAAACCACTGTTTTAAATTTTTTCTACTCAAAATGTAGCCCATACACCAGTAATAGTAGCATAATTTGGGATCTTGTTAGGAATGCACAATCTCAGTGTTGGGATGGAAGAGGTTCTGCATTTTAACAAGAACCCTGGGTGATCAGTGTGCACATTAAAATTTGAAAACCAATGCTGTGAGATATTATTTAGAACCCTCTCAGTATTTATCTGCCCAATCCCAAATAACCACACCAAAGACTCTGAACTCCTTAATTCCTATAAGCATGCCAACTAGCATCAACAGTTCATCCAACGGCAGGAAAATACACCAAAACAATCTTGGAGAAAGCTTCAAAGAGAAGACTTTCAATAAATCTCTTTAGTGTGTCATAGGAGTTTTAAGTAGTGTTGCTAGAATCTCACTGGAGAACATAAAAGTGTTCCAGATTTTAGTGAAGGAGAGAGAATAGGATCATGTTAACCCCATAGTCAATCAGCAGAGACAGAGAGGTATAGGTAGTTAGAATTGAGAGGAAGGTGGATGTTTGCGTAATCTGACATATAAGTTAAGTCTCTCATTTTTCACTTGCCTTTAGTTGTCTTAATGGACAATATGTGATTTTTTTACAGTGTCACAAAAAAACTGTGATTTTTCTTTCACAATCACTGTCACTAATTTCCCATGTTTTATCATCCCATTTAAAGTACAGTTAGGGTACTTTAAAAAAAATTTAATTCTTCATCACTGAGATGTGATATTGGTCCCTAGGGGCTATGTTTTCAAGTAGATAGGTACAATTCGATCACTTGGCATTCCCACTAACAATACAGGGTCAGCTTACCTCAAATGCAAGCCATTGTACAGCCACATGAAATTTTTACAACCACAAAACATGGCAATAAGGGACCATTTTTACACTGTTACTTCTATGTACAGTGGCTGTGTTGTACAGAGGTTATTTAGACAAACAGTTGATCTCAGAAATGCCATTTATTTGTTGTATGAGTTTCTGCAAGCTATTTATGCAGTTTATGCCCCAGTGTACTCATCTCTAAATTGATATAATAGCTTCATAAATTTGTGGTCAGGAAGAAATGGCATAATGCACATAAAGTACTTAATACACTTCTTAAGCACTCAATAATGTTAGCTATTATTATCACTGTCATCAAGATCCTAAAACTGGGATATCAGCAATGTTTGGCAGCATATTTGCTTTTAAATTATTTTATAATCTGACTACAATTTAGTTTGGACAAGGGTAACATACTTACAGTAAAAATTAACAATCTATAAGGCTGAATGGATTCGGTTATAATGAGATAGGGCATCAGGTGAGATGTCTGAAAGCCTGAGTTAAAAACCTTTACCAGGAAAGAGAATAGCTGGTCCTGTCAGACAAGATATTTATCAATACAAGTGATTGCTGTGGGTTTAACTCAGTGCCTTCAAAATTCATATGGTGAAGTCTTAACCTCATTCCAGTACCCAGTGACCTTGTTTGAAAATAGAATTTTTGCAGATTTAATTAGTCAGGTTAAGATGAGGTCATACTGAAGTCAGGTGGGTCCCTAATCCAATATGTGCTTAGGGGAAATTGGGATACAGACCCACATGCAAAGAGAATACCAAGTGACGATGAAGGTAGAAATCTGGGTGATGCTTCTACAAGCTAAGGAATGCCAAAGATTGCTAGCAAACCACCAGAAGCTGGGTGAGATGCATAGAACAGATTCTGTCTCACAGCCCTCAGAGGGTACCAACCCTGCTAAACCTTGATCTTGGAGTTTGAGCCTCAAGAACTGTGAGACAGTTAAGATTCTGTTGTTTATGCTACCCAATTTATAGTATTATGGCAATGCTAGTAAATGAATATGGTGCTATATGTGTGGCTTGGTAGTACATAAAGCAGGTCAATGGTTCTACATCTGTATCATGGTTTCAAATCACCTGGAGGGTTTTTTTAAAACATAGATAGCTGGCCCCCATCCCAGAGTTCTAATTCGGTACATCTGGGGTAGGGTTGGAAAATTTGTGTTTCTCATAAGTTCCCAGGTGGTAATGCTCAGGTTGCTATTCTGATGACATTTTGAAAACCTCTGGTATAGGTTTTTCAGACAAAGGAGAGAGATCTCGGGGGTTGACGAGTGGGGATTAAGAACCTGTCAGCAGCAGGAAAACACATGTCTAAAATCCTACCTTCTCAGAAAATCTCCAAGTCTCCCCATCTGAACTTCCTCTCCCCATGCCAACCCTATAACAAATTGAAAAAATTAGTTTATTTTTAATCAATGAGCAATATTGTTTTCAATCATATTAAGGGATCCAGCCATATCAAATCAATCAGTATTGGGAACTGCTACTCCAGGTCCCTGAAAAAGAATTTCCTAACAAACTCTTAGGAACTGAAGTTTAAGACTTCAGGGTACATTAGAATTACCTAGGAGACCTAGGACTCACTCTAGACATATTAAAGCAGAATTTATAAGGGTGAAGTTAAGGCAACTAAATTTTAAACTGGCTCTTCAGATAATTTTGATGAACTTCAAAGCTTGAAAAGTATGTGTTTGCCTTAGACCTTCCTAAAATCCACTCAATTTTTTTCTCATATGTGTACAATAATCTTATCTTTGTACTGTGGTAGAGTTCTGAGGCAGTAAGGTATAATGATATGGATACAAATTTTGGACTTAGTGTGACATGGGTTCATGTCCTCCTCTGCCTATAAATAGCTGAATGGTTTTGGATAAGTTAGGTAGGCTCTCTGAGTCTCAGTTTACTCACCTATCAAATGGGGAGAGCCATACTGTCTCTGAAACAAGTTGAAAGTTAGCACAAACATTCACACATGCTTTTCACAAAACAATAGATATTTATTAGAAATAAATGATATTATCTGCAATGCTACTGGGAATTGTATCTATGATCATTACCTCTTAACATAGTATCAGTCAATAAGTAACAATGGAATCCCTTATTATATTTACCAAGTTTTACATACACAGCATATAGTAGGCACTTAATAAATATTTACTTAGATGAAATGATACCTTATAGCATAGGTATCAAGAATTCAGAATTTGGAGCCAGGTTCTCTGGGTTCAAATTATGGCTTTCCTATTTAATCTTTCTATGACTCAGTTTCCTCATTTATGGCATAATAATAACAAACACTGCAATCACAGAGATGCTGTGTGTATTCAATGAATTAGCATGTGTAATGTAATTAAAATGGTACCTAGTGTTACATAAGGACTTGCTTTATCAATATTAATTTTAAAATAGTAAGCATGTATGTGTTAAAGGTATGCCAATAACAGACTGGCAGTGAGAAACAGGGAAAGCTTTTTAGGGAAGATTGAGTTTTGAGCTATTCTCACAAGGAGAAGTAAAATTCAACTATGTATTATCACATTCTGAAAATGTTCAAGGTCATTACAGTAACTACCCAGGGAAAGTGAGTAGGAAATTAAGCCCTCTAAAGAGTCTGATTACATACATAAACAACCACCACAACTTGTACCCTACACCTGCGTGTTATAATAAATTAAAATAATGAGGATCAAGGGGCAAGAGAGGTGGAGACAAGGTTGCATTTTTTAGGCAGATAACCACCATGTTTTTACTATTCATTTGGGTATGAGCTGGGTCTAGGTGATATGATACATGAATATTTCCAAATTTCCTTAATATCCAGATTTCTCCAACCACAGTAGAGTTGTGTTTAAGACTATATCCATTACACCATGGTTTGGAGAGTATTACAAGTTCCCCCAAATATTGGTGCCTATCTGGAATCTCTTGAATTAAAAAAGAAAATGTATGGGAAACACATACCCGGCACAAGAAGAATATTGAATGGAAGTTAACAGACTCTGAAGAAAACCAAACAACATGTAAAACTTGTATATTAAGAACAAGCAATATAACATAAATAAAAGAATGCAGGATGTTAAAGAAAGGAGTAGGGAAGGAAGTAGAAAGGTGGTTCTTGGCCTATGCCATGCATTTTCCAGCTTTGCTTAAAGCACCCTCTACAGGGAACATAGGTTTTTGGAGGAATCCCAGATTTTGTTCAATTAGTGCCTTTTATCCAGGAGTTCCATGGTTCTGGTAGAGACTGCACAGAAATCATGGAAGACATGAATTATGAACCTCAGCTGAGTAAATGAACAATTTCATGTAAGAGATGTGTGGCCTTCACTTTTCTACCCAGCTGCAAACGGGAGTTCTGTTGAACCCAACTTACAAAGATGTGTAAAAAAACTCTGTAGCCCAACTAACCTGGGTTTGGTTTCAGATTGTCATTTACTATATGTGATCTCACGCAACTTAACCTTTCAAAATCTCCATCTCCCTGTCACTTAAATGGGAATAATAATATTAGCTACCTCAAGGGGTGTTCATTCATTCAACACATACTTTTCTGAGTGTTCACTTTGTGCAGGGTAATATTCAAGATCCTAGGACTACAATTCTACACAAAATAGACAAAATCTCTGCCCTTGTGGAAATTATATTCCAGTTTCACACATGTGGCCAAGGCAGAGCAGCTTGCAAGGTGGCCTGGACCTGTTGCAATACCTTCTTTTGTTCTGGGCATCACTCAAAACTAGCCACTTTTTGGGTCACCCTGATGGCGTAGCACCATCAAATGAGGTATATACCGTCTCCAAAATCCAAAGTGTTTAATATCTTTTTAGGATGTGGGAGTGACCAGATGCAACAACTTATCCTTTACCTTAGAAGAGATATCTTGGCGTGTCTCACACAATTAGAAGCACAGAAATTTCAATTCAATGGAAGACCCCCAGAATTTTGTGGGATTTATTTTCCACCTTCTGGCAGGCAAATGTCTTACCAATATGGCTAGAGTAATTGTTACTTCATGCTCACCAGGTCGAATCAGCATAATAGTGACGTCCCATGGAAGGGATTTAGATTGCATTTTTGGGTTAGGGTGGGTATTTAATGTTAGGTGTGCTTAATACAGTTCTACGTCAGAGGTGATCCTCAACAAATGTTACTTATTGTTCTGCTCAGAATCCCTCCTGTACATCAGGATCTGACCCAAGCCCAGCAGAGGTGGAGGAAAGCTGCATATGGAATCCTTTCTGTACAAATTGCTCTGGGTTTTCCTTTCCCTATTTACCATCAGAATGTTGCTCACAAAGATGTGAATGAACATTTAACGCTAGACCCCAATAAATATTTCTCAAATTAAAGCACCATTTAATTGCATCTCAGCAGTGCTCCCTTGTGAGCACCCATTAGGCATAATGAATAATTCATAGACTTCCTAGGGTGCATTCTGCTCGTCTGAAGTACAAGAAGAAATAACGAAATAATGAGGCGATTGCTTTTCAGCGCCCTCCAACTCCACTCCACCCCTGCCACTTTGCAATGTGTGGGACGTACCTGCCTGGCTGGGCAAGAAAGGCTGCAGGACAAGCAGGTTGGGGAAAGTGCATGTCATCCTGAGCAGGTTAAGCTTGAGTCTGGACCCATCCCCCAACCCCCACGTTTTCCTAGCATAGGAAGACTATCTGGAGGCCTCTGCCCTCCCCTGACACTTGGCAGCCGCTGCTTCCTGGGCTTCGCAGTGCAGCTGGCTCTCCAGGCACTGGGTAAAACAGAAGTCAGGCTGGGGGTGGCGGGGACTTTCCTAAAGGAATCGCGTGCAAAGGGCTGACAGCATGGCATCCACAGGCTGCAGCAAGTGCCCAAACCCAGAAATCCGACAGCCACAGTGGCAGCCAGAAGGCTCTTTTCTCACAGTGGAACTGCAGGGGGTGGGGGGAGGGGAAATGATAAAAGAATTTTCTTTTTTAATTTTTGCGATTTTTCATCCATCTCAATGCATCAGCTGTTTGGCAGCAGCACAAGTCAGAGACATATGTCCATCGGATTTACTCCTTTTTCACTGCTTCCATTGAAGGCCAAGAAATTCTTCCACTGTGACTTCCTCCCCCATTCCGGAAAGGAAGTCCTTAGAACTTTTGCCTGTAGGACCCCAAATGTCGCAAGCCCTTAGAACAGTGGTCCCTAACCTTTTTAGCACCAGGGACAGGTTTCATGGAAGACAATTTTTCCACTACCGTGGGGAGGGGGGTATGCTCCACCTCAGATCATCAGGCATTAGTTAGACTCTCATAAGGAGGACAACCTTGATCCCTCACATGCACAGTTCACAATAGGGTTCGCGCTCCTATGAGAATCTAATGCCGCTACTGATCTGACAGGAGGCGGAGCTCAGGAGAGCAGCCTGGGAGTTGGGGAGCCCTGCCTTAGAACTTGCCTATAGGACCCCAGATGGAGAACAGGCCATGGATTGTTCCTCTTCACCCCAGACCCTTCCTGCCCCTTCATATTTAATCCATTATAATAGCTATCATTTATACAAGGGCAACTATATGTCTACAAGAATGATTTCACCTAATACCCATGAGATCCATACTGTTATTATTGCCATTTTACAGATCAGAATGCTGAAGCTTACGTAGGTGAGTTTGTCTAAGGCCGCATAGCTAGAAAGCAATGACGCTAGGATCACAAACCGGGAAATCTGAATCCAGAAACAGAACTCTCAAATTCCCATGTTCTCCCCACCTCACCCCTGTTTTGACTGATATCATCTCTTCAATTTGTTTCTTTTTAAATTTCAACCCCAGTTTGTGATTTGACCTAGGCGAATGACAAGCTCTGTATCTTTGTTTGCTATTTAGTAATAAGAATAAAGAATGCATGGGAATCTGTAAGCTTAGTTCTTTGACCCTTTTAAGTTTTCCTTGTTTTTTGAAATTTTTCTTGGAGCTGTATGAAATACGATAGCACAAAAAAAAAACAGTATGGTCTAGATTGTCAAGAAACTCAGCAATATCATATGCAAAAACCAGTGCATCCAGGTACTAGACTGGAATCCTCTGGACTTGAAGTCAGAATGCCTGGATTTTAGTAAGTACTGCCTCTGCTCCCTGCTGTGTGGACGTACCCAGGTAAATCGTTTACCTCGCTGAGCTTAGTTTCCTTATCAATAAAGTGAAGAAAGATGTAATATCTACCTAGCCAGTATCATTGTGAAGATTAAATAGAGTAAGTTGTGTGAGATGCTGTTTGCTATTTAGCCTTCTCTTCTGCCACCTTTATAGTCAGTGCTATGTAACCAAGGGAAAGCAAGGCAGTGGGCGAAGAGAACAAGAAAGATAAAGTTGCTGCTAAGAAAAGAAGCATAATAGCTCTCAGGAGAACCTACTATTTCTCCCTTCCTCTGGGAATCTCCTGGGAAGCCCCCACTATTCCCAGGACCAGCACCAGCCACTCCCAGCTGGCCCTTCCCCCATTCTCAGCTCTCCAGAAGGGCCCTGCTTCAGGATAAGGTCACATTCCAGTTACCCCAATTTCAAAAGTCAGCTCTAAATCATAAACTATCTTCCTCATTTCCTTGACATAGGCAGCCTACCAAATGAGCAAGAGAAAATGCCCACCATCAGTTCATTGGTGACATAAAAAGAGTAAAAATATGTGCTCCCTGATTGGGCAGAAAAAGCTAGGTTGTGGGGTTCTCATGTGTTCCCCTTTCCACCCTAAATCATAATCAGAAATGGAGGCAAACAATGAAATTAAACCTTCATGGGTTGGTTTGTTGCAGGTAGGTTGAACAAAGAAAAGAAAAAAACAAAAGATACTTAAAACTTCTGGAAATGATTATAGCCGAAGAGGATAGATGGCTTTCTCTCAGTTTATCTCTGGGGAACATCTTTGACCTTTGTTTCTTCATTGCCCTCCTTATTCCCCGCAGAAGAGTCATTACGTTGTCCTGAAAATCAATACCGGGTAGGCAGCAGTCTTTACCCTTCCATCCCGCGGCATTCACAACTTGCGTGGCAACCCCTCAGATGCATGTCTCCCCTCTCCCCGCCTCCATTGCTCTTATCCTTCTCTCTCTATTTCATTTTTCTTGCTGTTGCTAATCTCTCCCATGTTATGATTACAGTTTCTGGCTTGTCTCAAATAAGAAGAGATTTCAAGACTTTGTCACATCCTCCATGCCTACATAGGGCTTTCCCAGGTCCTTTTTTGTTGTTGGATATGGATATCTTTTTAAATGGAGGAAGGAAGGAAAAGAAGAAGACAGGCAAATTTGTGGCATTAAACACAAACTGAAGCAGGACAGGGCAGGGCAGGCATGTGGGAGAAAAAGCCTAAGGCCACCTGTTTGGAATAGATTAGTGAGGTTTAAACAAAAACATCCCCAAGCCTCCACTCAACCTCCAGGAAAATGGTGCATTTTCCGATTGCTTACTCCCACGCTTCATTCTGTGAAGGGGAAATAAAGAGAGGATGACTTGAGAGCAGATGGGGGCAAGGCTATCTCAGAGGAAGATCGGGGCTCACGGGGTGGTCCACAGTTTTTTACACAGTTGGAGAGTAGGACAGGAAGCAGCAGCTGCAGCAGCCTGCCTCTGCTGAAAAACTGCCTGATGACCCAGAACTAAAGATTTCATTTTATGGGGCAGTGCCCCACCTTCCTGAGACAGGACATTCATCTACTTTTTCAGGATAGTACCCATGCCATACTGATGGTACTCTTGAGCCGAAAAGGCAACATAAAGAAGCTGACCAAAAACGATTGTAAATTGGCAAATGCAGTTGTATAAAACACATCTTATATAAATATATTTACATGAAAAATAAATCACTTTATTACAAAATAATACAATTAAGGATGTCCTAGAAAAATCTGGAACATTTATATGTTGTATCCATACCTGTAATCACTTCTGCTCCCTTCAGGCATGTGCCTGTGCGCACACACACACACACACACTAGCACATACTTAAACTGTCTGGCTATGTGATTTTCTTAAAATTGCTTATCCTGATAATTGATATATTCCAATCATGTCCTCCTGGAGAAAACTATAATCCCTAAGAAGGTCCTTATTAATGAACTTGTAATGCCTGGCTGATGGGGAAGATGGCCACAGTAGGTTATGGTTATGCTGACATTTAGACAGATTGGCTTGGCCTTCAAATCTCATGGTATTGGAACAGATTGTTGGCTGAAGTCTGAATTGATACAAACTACAGTTTTCTGGAGAAGTTTGGTGATATTAAATATCCATTCCCTTTGACCTGATGATTCCAATTTTAGAATGTTTGAGGGTTTTTGTAACAGGAGTGTTTTCAGAATGAAAACTGAAAACAACCTAAATGTGCATCAATAAGAGATTGGTTAAGTAATTATATAAAACATGATATAGATCCACACACATTAACATGGAAAGATGTTCCCAATATATAGCTTAAAGGGAAATGGAGATTACAGATAATATGTACAATATGACTGAAATATATATTATATATAATATGTTATATATATATCATATATTATATATCTTCACATCCTGCTTAGGCATAGGAAAAAGTCTACAACAAAATATTAACAGAGTTATATCTGGATGGTGTGATTATACCTAATACTCTTTTTTTTTTTTTGAGATGGGATTTTGCTCCGTTGCCCAGGCTAGAATGCAGTGATATGATCATAGCTCACTCTAACCTTGAACTCCTAGGCTCCAGGGATCCTCCTGCATCAGCCTTCTGAGTAACTAGGACGACAAATGCATACCTCCACACCTGGCCATTTCTTTTTGTAGAGATGGGGGTCTCCCTGTGTTACCAAAGCTGGTCTTGAACTTCTGACCTCAAGCTATCTTCCTACCATGGACCCCCAGAGTGCTGATATTATAGGTGTGAGCCATTACGCCTGCCCCTACCAGTACCTTTTTCCTTTTTTTTTTTTTTTTTTTGAGATGGAGTTTTGCTCTTGTTGCCCAAGCTGTAGTGCAATGGCACGATCTCAGCTCACTGCAACCTCCGCCTCCCAGGTTCAAGTGATTCTCCTGCCTCAGCCTCCTGAGTAGCTGGGATTATAGGCATGCGCCATCACGCCCGGCAAATTTTTGCATTTTTAGTAGAGACAGGGTTTCACTGTGTTAGCCAGAATGGTCTCGATCTCCTGACCTCATGATCCGCCCGCCTCGCCTCCCAAAGTTCTGGGATTACAGGCATGAGCCACCACGCCCGGCCTCCAGTACTCTTTTTTAATCCAGACGTTTATCTGCATTTTCTGATTACTTTTGCATTAAGAAAGTATTACTCTATATTCAGAAAACATAATAAAGCCATTCTAAACAAATTACACTAGGATGGGCTTCCTTATCTACTCTGCATTGCCGGTCTCACTTCTAAGTACACAAGATCAGTTCATCAAAGGCAGTCAGTCCTTCTGAGGCCAGCTGAGAATGATGTGGAGGGGTTGTTATTCTCCATAATGTGGATCTGCTGTCAAGCAGATCATGCCATATCTGCAGTCAAAGAGACCTCTAAGATGTGTTTTAAATTCTGACTCTTTGGCATTTTGGCAGTACTGTATACTAAGCAGCAAGATGAGGACCAATTAATTCCACAAATTCAACTATGACTAATTTTTAATCAATGAATTGGCTCTTTAACTTGGGCTTTTGGGAAACACAAAGAGGGAGCAATTTATTGAGAGTTGCCCTGAGATCATTTACCGAGATTTTAAGTGTGTATGTCCTCACACATGCACACACATACACACACACACACACATCTCTGTACTATGGTGACATTTAGTATATTCTTGGATGTGTTGTTCTTTTCCAGCAATTTCTGTTATTGCATATCAGGCAGCAATTGAGGCATTCCGAGCTTTTGCCTAGATAATGACTCAACAGAACAAAGCAGCCAATTCTTGACTTTTGAATTTCGAAAATTTTTTTGACACTCACGGCAGACACAATGGCATAAGAGGGAAAAAAATCAATGAAAGAAAAATAGAATCGAAGAAAAACTAAGAAGTTCTTAGTCTGGTCCGTATTTCTGAGAAAACCCGATGTATCTGGCCCTTTCCCCCAGTCTAAGTCAGGACACTGAGAGGACAAAATAAAACCCAAAGGTCAGTTTGGGAGTCGGAGAACAAAAATAGCACATGCCTTGTTTCCCAGGTGAAGTTTGGGATATGGGAGGGTCTACCCCAGCATAGGAAGACAACAGTAGAGTGTCATGGCTGTAATATATGTATAAGCAGATGGGCCTATGGCAGGTTCACAGAGGCACACCCTAGCATCACCCCAGCAACATGGGGTGCAACATGATGCATACACCCCAGCAACACGGCAAGCAGCCAAGAGCAACACACACACATGTGACATTGGGTTGCAATGAGCTCCAAGAAACCTTGCCATTGGAATAAGGGGATACCTGAGTGTCCATTTGCACTGCCGTAACAAAATATCACAAAATGGGTAATTTGTAAACAATAGGAATTTATTTCTTATGGTACTGGAGGCTGAGGAGTCCGAGATCAAGGTGCCAGCTGGTTTGGTATCCAGTGAGGGTTGCTGTCTGCTTCCAAGATGATGCCTTGCTGCTGCATCCCCCAGAGGGACAAACACAAACACTGCTTTCTCATGTGGTAGAAGGGACAGAAAGGCAAAAAGGGGCTGAGCTCACTCCCTCAATCTGTTTTACCTAAGGACACTAATCCCATCCTTGAGGGCAGAGCCCTCATAACCTAATCACATCCCAAAGGCCCCACCTCTTAATACTGTTGCAATGGGGATTAAGTTTCAACATAAATTTTGGAGGGGACATGAATATTCAAACCATAGCAGGGGGCATAGTAACCTTTCCCTGATGCTTTGATATTATTTTTGCCCCCCAAATGTAAATGCAAAATCAAGAAGGAAACAGGAAGAATAAAATAACATATCTACTGAAATTACCTTGAATTTACTAAGCTTAGGTTGCCACCGCTTGCTAAATGAAGAATTTAGTTAGAAATAAATTCAACTCTATTTAATTAGTTTTGAATGGCAAAAACTGCAATTTCTTTTGCACCAATCTAATAGAAAATTAGAAAAATCAATATAAAACTTGTGTTTTTCCTGAGTATTGTACCTGATTTAAATAAGCTAGGGATGCCAACTGAGGGATTCTTCGCCACCTAAGGAATTCTTGGCCACAGCCTGAGCTATATTATTGGCATAACTCTTTCTAATCTTAATGACCAACCCCACTATATTTGTAGAGTCCTTGGCTGGGTACATACTTATCAGCCTAGCTTCACAGTCAAAATAAGCCTCACACAGACCACTGTATCTTTCTGGGCCCTCCCTAAGAACAAGTATCCTTGGATAGGCCCCTTTATCATAATTGCAAGGGCCTGTACATCTGCCCATTATTTGGTATGAAAAAAATGATTTTGGAGTAAAATGCCACTATTCTGAAGGAGTTTTTCTATTTTCTTTTTAAAAACTCTTTCCAATCCCCTGGCTCCACCCAGCATACACACAACACACACATACACACACACACACACTCACACACATTTCTCTCAACATATGTGTTCCCCCAACAAACAGACACAAACATCTTGACCTTTACATCCAAATGTGGTCCCCAGAAAACCAAAAGAAGTAAACATAAAGCAGTTATCTCTGCATCATAACAAAAATTTTGCAATATCATTAACACCTTCTAATCCTATCTTCATCACCACGTGCATACTATATACAAGAAAAAAGTATTCTCTAGCTCATTCCTGAGGAATACGAAAAACAAGATTGATAAAGGCTGCGTTAGTGCTTAAGTTAAAAGAGAATGTATAGGGATGACCAGTGATTCTTCCATAAACCTTGAAGAATGTTTGGCTCAAAGAGATAAGCTCCTAACAACTCAGTGCATGGAGGGGGAAAGCATGAAACAGGGAGCAGAAAGGAATACTGCATTTAGTCAAAACTTCAGAAGAAATCATTGAGAACAGCCATAATAAAATTTAGACAGAAGTAGATTTAACTTGAACACTGTTGGGAATTGCAGTTCCCCTGATTGCCAGAGGCTTTGTATATCTTTTATATTTTATTAGCAATTTCTCCCTGAAAAAGGAAGCAGACACACAGTATTCACTTTATATTAACAATGCATCATTTTTATCCTCTTGCTTACTCTGGGTCATTTCTTTATAGTTTGCAGAAGATGTATACAAACTCCCCACTGACCTCCAGTCTAACAATAGAGTTCTAATCATTCTAGAATAGATGTAAAACTTTGACATCCATTCTACAAGAAATTTCCAAGCAACATGGGATTCTGGGATTGTACATCTCATTAACAGAACACTAGTGTTTTATTAATTTGGCAGTTATGTGCTAGATGAAGTTGAGCCAGGACGGATGGCTTAGGACACTGCTACACTGATTGCTATGCAGCAGAATTGCTTGCTTACTTGGCTGCGTGCACAACTAAAATGCAATTTCCATGAAGCCGAGAACTATATTGTTTTTATATCTTCAGCCCCAATTGTCATTAAATATTTGAATAATAAGTGAATGGAGTTTCTTAAAGTTTTTAAGATCCAGAGTAAGGAGGAGCTGAACTCACTGGGTAGCAGTGGCAAAATACAAATATTTCCCATGAGGTTTCCTCTAAAAGGATCAGAACAGGATTACACACAGGCAGGACAATCTTCTAACAGGTCTCTGGGTCCAGTGAAACTGGCATGGATAAGGATCAGGATCTACCAACTTTTTAGCCAACAGGTATTGGCATAAAGCAACACGATTTTTCAAAGGAAACAAGATGGAAAAGATAAAGAAAAGAGGCAAAACATACGAAGGAAGAAGAGAAAACATGGGAGGCCACATACAAATCAGAGGTCTGTCATTCTGCCTCAGCAGCCCTCAGATCACAGGCTGGTGCATCTGACCCACGCGATCTATGGACTTCGCAGTGTGTGTACAGGCCAATGTATTTACAATAGCATAACTGCTCATAGATCAAGAGTTTCTGGGCACTGATGCACATTTTCTTATGCATGGAGATGAGGCAATTTGGAAAAATCTAGCCAATTTAGTTTTTTGGTTTTTTTTTTTTTTTTTTTTTTTTTTGAGACAGGGCCTTGCTTTGTCACACAGGCTGGAGTGCAGTGGCACGATCTTGGCTCACTGTAGCCTCTGCTGCGTGGGTTCAAGCGATTCTCCTGCCTCAGCCTCCCAAGTAGCTGGGATTACAGGTGCATGCCACCACACCTGGCTAATTTTTGTGTTTTTAGTAGAGACAGGGTTTCAGCATCTTGACCAGGCTGGTCTTGAACTCCTAACCTCGTAATCCGCCCATTTCGGCTTTCCAAAGTGCTGGGATTACAGGCATGAGCCACCATGCCTGGCCTACCAATTTAGTTCTTACTGATGCCTATTATGGTAAGATTTTCTGACCCCAAACTCAGGATACGTTGTCTGATCAATGTCTTGTCCGATAGGGGGGACACTGAATTCCAGGACTGCTCCAGAAGATTTAAAATACATGTTTTAAAATCCCTTTTATTGAAATTCCAGACCATGAAAAAAAACCACAAAAGGTACTCTAAAATTGATCCTAAACCCAACTCCCCAGTTCAAAACTCAAGATGCTTTATAGAACTTATAACCAACTCTGTTGAAAACATTGATTCTCTACATACACAGCACTCCTTACACTAGATGTGCAAGGACTTTTCCAAAACTATTCAATTCTCTAGGGAACACCCACTGGTTGTCCTATAATTTAATTCAATTTTAACATTATCTACCTGTAGTTAGTGTCAGATCTCACAAGTTCATGGGCTCAGTCCCACAAGATTTCCCCCACTTCAGATGCCAATCACAAGTCTGGGCCTCCCATACTTCTGACCCACTGTCTATATTGGGGAATCCTATGACCACTCCCCTTCAGGTTTAATAATTCGCAAGAATAGCTATTAGAACTCAGGGAAATATTTTACTTTTGTTTGCCAGGTTATTGTAAAGGATATTATAAAAGATAGAGATGGATAGCCAGACGAAGAGGTACATAGGAAGTAGTCCAGTAGGGTTTCAAGCATGGCAGCCTCTGTCCCTGTGCAGTTAGGGTATGCCACCCTGTAGGATTGTGGATGCATTCACCAACCCAGGAACTCATCAAATTTCATCGCTCAAGAGTTTTTGTAGAACTTAATCTCCAAGCTCTCCCCCTTCCTGGAGGTGAGGGGATAGGGCTGAAAATTCCAGACCTCCGATTGCTTGGTCTTTCTGGTGACCAGCCTATCTTGAGGCTATCTAGGGACTCCACTGTAAGTCCTATCATTAGCATAAATGCAAATGTGTGTAAAAGGGTCTCATTATGAAAAACAAAAGACACTGTTATCATTCAGGAAATTTCAAGGGTTTTAGGAGCTCTGTGCCAGGAACTAGAAACAAAGACCAAATTTTTTTTATTATACCTCACCAACCCTCCATATAAACCATAATTAAATATCCTAAATGCAAAAACTGTAAATATATATTCTATTATTTTTATGTCCTTGTGATAGTTAAATTTATGTGTCATTATGGTCAGGCTAAAGGATGCCCAGATAGCTGGTAAAACATTATTTCTTAGTATTTCTGAATGTACCTCTAAAAATGTTTCTGGAAGGGATTAGCATTTGCATCTGCAGACTGATACAGTAGTTCGCCCTCATCAATGTGGCTAAGCTTCCCTAATCTGTTAAGGGTCCAAATCGAACAAACAAAATAGAGAAAGGGGGAATTCATTCTCCATTTGAGATGGGATGTCCATTTTCTCCTGCCCTTAGACATTGGAGCTCTTTGTGGCCCTTCAGACTTGAACTGAATTAACACCATTAGTTCTCCTCGTTCTTCAGCTTGCAGACAGCAGATCATGGAACTTCTCAGCCTCCCTAATTGCATGAGACAATTCTCATAACAAATTGACAGATTGATCGACTGATGATTGATAGATTAGATAGATAGATAGATGATAGATAGATGATAGATAGATAGATAGATAGATAGATAGATAGATAGATAGATAGATATAGATCCTATTAGTTCTGCTTCAAAACTGGACCAATACAGTCCACTTGGTATTTAAGTTACTTTAATAAGAAGTAGGCTTTCATGAAATTTACTATCCTGGTTTAATTTCTTTAAAATAATTTTCCTTGAATTTTAACTTTTAGAAAACAAATGAGAGATGTTTTCATTCAATCAGTTCTTTCACGCTGAAAAACTATTGTATAAATGGAACGATGAGAATGGTTTTTTCCCCTACCTATCTCCAAGGCTGAATGAGAGCTGCTTATGACAAATTATGGGGTGGGCTTTAACGCAGATGTGTCTGAATCTCGGAAACTATATCTGTATGAAGACCCAGACAAAGGTAGCATGCTGAGTAGAGTCAGGAGAAAATACCTAGGAAATATGTAACTCTGAGGAGTTAATGTGTTTACAATTACAAAATCTTGTGTCAGTGGTTGTTGGTAAGGTGACTAGCATCTAATAGTAGAAAGGACCCAGAAATCCTCAGTGCCTGTATGCAGTTCAGAAGCTGCCTGTTTGACATATGTTACACAGTATTCTTTCCTTTGGATTAAAAAAAATAATAACCCAAAAGAGGAAAAGTAAGGTCCCCTCTAACCACTAATTAAGCCCTATCCCCTTATCTGTCTCTCTCTCTACCCCCTCCATAGGTAACTGTTAAGAGTTGATATTTACTACTCCAGGTCTCTATAATTTTTATTACTTGTATTATCTCATGACTATATATAATTTTATTATCACTTTTGGGGTTGGGGGTTTTGTTTTACAATTGAAGTATATTTTACAAATAATAAAGTATACAAACTCTTGAGAATTCAGCTCGGTGTATTTTTTACCTATATGTTTCCATTGGACAATCAATACTTTGAAACTTTCTAAACCCAGAAGGCTTCCTCGGGTCCTTTTCAAGTGAACATCCCCTGACCCCAAAGGTAACCACTATTCTCAGCCTTTTACCACAGATTAATTTTGCCTAAGGTCAGATGCAAATTTTGGGACTAAGAAATCCCTTATCACTGCTGTTTGTGATTATGGATTATTTAAAAATTAGAATATGAACAATAAAATAGACTGGTTGTAAAATGGCATAGATATTTTTAGATGTTTCAAAAATCCTTTCAGTAACTTCCTTTGCTTCAGGGTCAAAGTGGTGAGGAGCAGGGCATGTGTGCAGACAACAGAGATTTCCTGAATTGATGCCTTCATTCTCTGGCCCACGGAAGGGAGGTCAGGTTGTCTTTATCCAAAATTCAGAGGAAAAGCCTCTGTAGGTTTCCAGAAGGTTAGGAGACTAGGCCTCATAAGAAGTCTGTTTGAGGCTGTGGGGAGGGGCCTCGCCTAGGAGCCCTCCATCACTTGTGTATGCTACGAAATTTAAAAGTGGCAGCCTCAGCCGGGCGTGGTGGCTCACACGTGTAATCCCAGCACTTTGGGAGGCTGAGGCAGATGGATCGCTTGGCTCGGGAGTTCAAAACCAGCCTGGGCAACATGGTGAAACCCCATCTCTACCGAAAATACAGAAAATTAGCCAGGCGTAATGGCATGCGCCTGGGGGTCTGAGGTAGGAGGATTGCTTGAGCCCAGAAAGTCGAGGCTGCAGTGAGCCAAGATGGCACCACTGCACTCCAGCCTGGGTGACAAAGTGAGAACCTGTCTCAAAAAAAAAAAAAAAAGTGATAGCCTTTAGTTACTTGGGTTGCACTCTTCGGTGTGTCACATCAAAGCCCAGAGTAGATCTGAACAACAGAAGAGACACACACCAAATGACCCACCATGCTATGACTCTAGCCCAGACATTTGGGGATGTTCAAGCTGTGTCCACTTGGGACTTTGCCGTTACAACAATAACTAGCATTTACTGAGCATCCACTCTGGGTCAGGCATAGGGAGCTACAGTCATGGACTTTTTAACAATGATTGCATCAGTGATGGACGGCATATACAACAGTGGTCCCCTAAGACTATAATACTGTATTTTTACTGTACTTTTTCTATGTTTAGATATGTTTAGTTACACAAATACTCACCATTGTGTTACAATTGCCTCAGTACTCAGTGCAGTAGCATGCCATGCAGGTTTGTAGCCTAGGAGCAATAGGCTATACCATGTAGTCTAGGTGGCTCTACCATTTAGGTTTTTTGAAGTACACTCTATACTTCCAAAACGTATATAAAATGCAGTCATGTATTGCTGAACAATGGGGTTACATTTGGCTATTGGTTACATTCAGTCTTCTGTTACCTGGGCTGCACTATTATGTGTGTTACATCAGAGCCTCAATTTCTTTTTCTTTTTTTGAGACAGAGTCTCACTGGGTCACCCAGGCTGGAGTGCAGTGGCGTGATCTCAGCTCACTGCAATCTCTACCTTCCAGGTTCAAGCAATTCTCCTGCCTCAGCCTCCCATGTAGCTAGGATTAGAGGCATCCACCACCATGCCTGGCTAATTTTTGTATTTTTAGTAGAGACAGGGTTTTGCCATGTTGGCCAGGCTAGTCTCGAACTCCTGACCTCAGGTGATCCTCCCAAAGTGCCATTTCCTTGCAACAAAACAGCCAAATGTATCTCCATTGTTAAGCAATGCATGATTATATTTTATATACATTATCCCAACCTGTCTTCAACAATTACCTCATGTTTTTGGTATTATTATTGTTACAACCCTCATTTTACAGATAAATCACAAATCAAAAAGTTAACTGATTTTCACAAAGATCACAGATTGTAAGTGTTAGCCGACACTGGACCCAGGTCTGCCAAATTCCTAGCTTGGGATTTATTTTTGCCTGTGGTAAATTGATTGTAGTAATAGCCCCCAGTTCTTTACTCCTCCCTAGGTCTGTGACCTTGCCATGTAACTCTACAGTTCCTGCCTATTTTGACTGCACTCAGCCATGTGACTTGCATTGGCCAATGATATGACACATATAGACTTGCAAAGCACTTTCGCAGTTGAGCTTACCTGCTCTTACTCCTCCATCATGGCCTGATACCATGTGTGGGCTAAATAGAAATAGTACCAAGTCACCCTGGTAGTCCCACTGAGGCTGTCAGAAATCAGCCAACAGCCAAACAACTCCCAAACATGTTAGTGAGCCCACCCAGATCATCTGAGTCCTGTCAAATTTTGAGCTAACCAAATGCTTCTTGTTGTAAGCCACTGAGGTTGTGTGGTTGTTGATGCAGAATTGTTGTGGCAATAGATGATTAATACACTACACTGCCCCTGCAGTTAGACTGCCTAGGTTTGAATCCCAGCTCCAATACTAGCTGAGTGACCTTGGGAAGTTACTCAACATCTCTGTGCTTCAGTTTCCTGGAAATGAGGAATGTAGACGTATAATGTGGATTATTGTAGTATCTATTTCATAGGGTATTTCTAAAAATGTAAAAGCTTTTTTATGACATATAAATTATATAAAATACACTGTACAAACCTTTAGTGTACATATTGATGGATTTTTACATACACTTATACACATGTATATATGCTCATATAACCACTAACAAGATCCAAATATTTCAGATCTTCAAAATGTCCCTTTATCCCTGCCTGATCAGTAGCTCCTCAAAAGTAAGCACTATTCTGACTTCCATCATCATGTATTAGTTTGGTCTGTTTTTGAAATTCACATAAACAGAATACAATATGTACTCTGTTGGGCTTACCATATTTCACTTGTGTGACTCTGTGTGAGATCATCCATACACTTCAGTATAGCAGTGGTTTGTTCCTTTTCATTACTATGTAATATTGCATGGCATGAATACACCATAATTATTATCTATTCTGTTCACATTGATGGACATTTGAGTTTATTCCACTTTGGAGCTTTTATAAATAAAACATTACAAACATTCTTGTACATGTCTTTTAGTGGATATAAGATCTCATTTATATTTTACTCATATACCCAGGAGCAGAACTGTTGGATCATAGGTTATACATATGTTTAGATTTATGAATGCTGCCAAAACAGTTTTCTAAAATGTTGTGCCAATTTACAATCCCATTAGCAATGTATGAGTGTTACGATTAATTCATATTCTTGCCTGCATTAAGGGATAAAAAGTCAAGTCATAGACTGAGAGAAGATTTTATAACAATATATAATTGACAACTTTCTGAAGAAAGAACTACAAATCAACTGACCAATCAAAAACTTCTACAAAAGCAATATAGACAGTTCAATTAAAAATGGGCAAATGACCTGATCAGCTCTTCAAAAAAGAAGATGTTCAAACGGCATATAACAGGTTCATCAACATTTGTTATCAGAGAGAGATGCAAATTAAACCATAATGAGACAACATTACTATCAAGAATGCTAAAATTAAAACTATTGACAATGCCAGGGGTTTTCTTTTGTTTTTAATAGATGGCATCCAACATACACATCATTCAGCAACCTGTTGTTCAGTTAACATACAGGCTTAGAGAGCTGAACATGTTGCTACAAATATAACTAACTCATTCCTTTTAAGTTCCCTTTAGAATTCCGTAGTATAAAAATACCACAGTTCATTTCAACATTTCCATTCCAATGGAAATTTACTGTTCCAAATGAACAGTAACGAACAATCATATATGCCTCCTTGTGCACATGTGCAAATGTTTCTCCAGAGTAGACAATAGGGGATAAAGTTTGTGTGTCACAGAGAATGTGTATTTTTAGCTTTAATCATTACTAGAAAAATCACCTCTTTATCAGCTGTATTAGTCGGCTGTCCTGCCAATAGTGTATGAGACATCTAATTTAAAAAATTAGATGTCATCCAATTTTTAATTAATTTTTTAAATTGATGTTTAAAGTGGAATATTATCTTAGTTTTGCTTTCTGTGCTTACTAGTGAGGTTAAACATCTTTTCATGACTTTATTGGCCATTCGTATATCCACTTCTATGAATTGTCTTTTCATAACTTTGTTCTTTTTCTGTTAATTATTTATTTTTCTTACTAGCATCTATTTCTAATGCAAATCTTCAATATTTGGTGTGTTTTGTGAATATTTTCTTTCAATCTACCAAGTGTTTTCTAACTTATACTGATCTTTATTGTGACAAGGGTTTATAACTGTGATTCAGTAAAACTTAGTATTTTCCCTTATGGCTTTTGCTTTTATTTCCCGTTTATGAAGGTCTTTCCTATACTAAAGAATGCATATATTTTTATAATATAGTTTTAGTATTTATCTTTTTAATACACTTGGAGTTTCTAGTATAAGATATGTCTGACTTTTTCTCCAAGTAGAGGGCCAATTTATTGAATAATAAATCCTTTCACCTCTTATCTGAACAACGGAGTCATAATATACCAAATTTTATGTAAGAGAATATATATTTCTAATCTCTGTTCTGTTTCATTGACTCACTTATATATCCCTGCACCAACACATTGTTTTAATTAATATCTTTATTTTATTTTCTAGCAAGTGCTATTACAAAGCCCCTGCTTTTTTATTCCTTTCCGAAATTGCCTTGCTCTTCTAGCACATTTACTTTCATAAAATTTTTAGAATTATTCTGTTAAATTTGGCTTAAAAATCATACTTATATTTTTATTGCAGTTGGGGTTGCATTGAATTTGTAGATTATTTGCAGTAAAATTGACATTTTAAAATATTGAGCATTTCTATCCATGAACATGGTTAATCTTCCTATTTATTTCTGTCTTTTATATCCTTCAATAAAGTTTTATAGTTTTCTCCACAAAAGTCTTAAGGAACCTCTTTACATTATTTAAATTTTTGAATGAATTTTTGAAAATTTCTCCTATTAAATTTTCTTTTCTATTCCTTTTTTTTTTAATTTTTGGAGATGAAGGTCTCACTTCATCACCCAGGCTGGAGTACAGGCATGATCACAGTTCACTGCAGCCTCAAACTCCTGGGCTCGAGAGATCACACCTCAGCCTCCCAGCTAGCTAGGACTACAGGCATACACCACCATACCTGGCTAATTTCTATTCTATTTTCTAATGGGATATTACTGATATATAGGTAAGGAATTTTTGTTTGTTTGTTTATTTGTTTTTACATAGTTTTTTTTCTTTTTTGTACTTCCTATACGAAGGTTCAATACATAGTATTTTCTAATAAATATCTTAATGTGCTTTTGGTATTTTCCTGATATTACCCATACTGGTGGAAAAGATTGAAGATAATATGCCAGCTACCAGTATCCCACAAGATTACCTGTGAAGAATTCATGAAAATATACTAAAATAAGTTTTCATAACAATTTAGTATGGAACGAGTCTCTATTAAAACTGTTCAGGGAATATGTTTCCAAAAATATCTCATTATAATATAGGTATTATCATCCATAAAATGATCTGATACCACATTCCACCCACCACACCAGCCCAGTCCCTCTAAGCTTCTAAAACAAGTCCTCACTATCACTGGTTCCCTACTCTTCTCCTCGGCAGATTTCCCCCAGCATCTGATCTTGCTGCCCATCCCTTATATTCATCAGTTCTTCTCTTCTTCTCTCATAGAGCAGTGGTCCCATTAACATGGTAAGAAACTGTTTATTTGCTTAAACAGGCAAAACAGGAGAGGAAAGCTGCACTTCCCTTTCCCTTCCTAACCATGTCTAAATACTGGCTGCCCTTAGTACAATTCTAAAATGGGGAGGGGGAAACAACCAGAGATATAGGTAAATTTAAAGATCCTTTCCCCTTGACTTCCTCTGGTTTCATCTTCAGAGTAATAAAACCAACCATAAAAACTAGTATTTATTAGGCCAGGTGCAGTGGCTCACACCTGAAATCCCAGCACTTTGAGAGGCCGAGGCGGGCGAATCACGAGGTCAGGACTTCGAGACCAGCCTGGACAACATGGTGAAACCCTGTCTCTACTAAAAATACAGAAAATTAGCTGGACATAGTGGCGGGCACCTGTAATCCCAGCTACTCGGGAGGCTGAGGCAGGAGAATCGCTTGAACCCAGGAGGCAGAGGTTGCAGTGAGCCAAGATTGCACTACTGCACTCCAGCCCCTGTGACAGAGTGAGACTCCTGCTCAAAACAAAATAAAACAAAACAAAAACTAGTATTTATTGAGCACTTACTAAGTGTCAGGCTCTGTGTGAGGTACTTTGTATTTATCATATTTAAGAACCCCAACAACCTTGTAAAGTAGAGAGTATTATTATCTTCACTGGGTAGAAAGGATACAGAAGTCCACAGAAGAAAAATAACTTTCCATGTTGCATAGCCAGTAAGTTTGGCTAAGTTAGCCACATCTGAACCAGCCCCTGTTCCTCAACTCTTCTCTAACTCGATAATGTTGTGGGAAGAAAATATGGAGCAAAATAAACACTCTTTTATCTGACACTTATATATTTGTGTTTATGACATTAAAACCTAAAAGATTTTACACATTTCACTGCTCAACACAGTAATCACTGTTTTAGCCATGAAGTACACCCATATTTTGAACCCACTGCAGGACAGAAAATATCGTCTCTTAGTGACACGGGAGCACATATCTGGAGTTGTGCCAAAATACTACTGGTTCCCAAAATGCTCTTGGCCACATAAATGCAGAGAAAGAAAAGCATAGATGGGACTATGATATTTTACCTCAGCCACATTTTGTGGGATTCTATGAACTTCAGGCTGTGTGATCTTGAGCATGTCACTTCATTTCTCTCCGTATATCTCCGCTGCCTCAGTGGTTAAACAGTGGTAATAATGGCACTTACCTAGTATGTTTCTGAAACTATTAAATAGTACCTATATAGTGATCAGAACAGCAGCTGGCCATTTCAAGTGCCATATGAGAATTCTCACCGTCCTTAGATCCTTCATCATTCCGGGTGACAAAGTTCAAATCTACTTTTATTCCAACATCTCAAACTGGATTCCAGTTTGGGGAGTGGTTTGGAGATCCAATTTTGGGGGGTCTTCAAAAACTTTTAGAAGTTTTATTTTCAGACCTACTCGCTTTTCAAAGACAGTGGGATATATGTTTCTGATCCACTGAAAAGAGTATTTGTTTGGCTTAATTTCTCTCTCCTCCTGCTAAAAGCCACTCACTACTCAAGGTCTACTATGAATCTTTTAGGAAAATAAATACTTCTTAAAGGCTTTTCCTTCGAAGCAGACCATGGTGTTTTGACCAAGTACAAATCTTCATCAGTATATCCATGTTTCTGAAGCTGGCCTCCTGTGGCTAAACGAGCTTTGCTCCCACATCTTAAGTTTCTCTACAATTGACTCACTGGGAGCTGGGCTAACCTGTCCTAGCCTCCCTCACTTCAGCCAAATAAAAACATTCCTGGTTCTCACCTGTGCAGTCTAGACCAGCCCTGCTGCCCTGCTGCCCTGCTGTAGTGGACTCCTGCCAAACTTTTGCTGAAGAAAACCTCAGAAACAGGAACAGGAAGCCTATTCAGGGATCAAGTTTCCTTGATATAGATCTGTCCTCTGTACTGCCTGCCTGATCCCTCATCGACCTTTTATTCTCCCACTCCTTGTGGCCTTATCTTCACTCTAACTCATTGACTTTGGGTGTCCTTGAACCAACTTTCTCTAATGGCAGTAGATTTCTTGTCTTCCAGGGCTCAGCCAGCTTTGTGACTAACCCCAGCCTGCCCCAACTGCCTGCTACCTTAGCTTGCTTTTGGCTTTGCAGTTTTCCTTGGCTACAAGCCCAAAGTAGTGACGTCATTCACCTGTACCCCCAGGGCTGACATATCCCAACCTTTTCCCTTTATGTCCCTGTGAAATGCCCTGGCATCCTAGTTGAAGGAATCTCACTAAATAAAAAGGGTCAGAAAGAATTTTTTTACACTACCAGGATGTGAACGATATGATACGGCATTGCAAAGCCAGAGAAAACACATTCAGAGGGTCCTGTTTATTCTTCACAGGGGTAATCTTGCTGTATTGGAGTTTCTAAAACCAAAGCATGCAGTTTTCAAATATTATTTTGAAGAAAATAACTCAGATAATCTGTGTCCATTAGTAGATCTTTTCATCTAGTTATAGGACCTCTATATATAAGATGAAAGGACAACAAACCACTTGTAATCCAGAGATTTGCATTCATATCATTTTTATACTACTGGCTGTGTGACTTTGGGCAAGTCCTCTAATTCTTCCAAACCTCAATTTTTCACATATATAATATTGGGTCCAAAAACACCACTAAACTATAGTTTTTTGAGATTATGGGATGTGTCTTATTTTTATGAGACTCTTCCCCAAAATGTGGCCTAGAGAAAATGCTCCAAATTATTGATTTCATCAGACTGATAAAAGAATCAAATAAGCTGAAGTATGCATAATCACTTTGAAAATTATAAAGCACCATATAAATATTTTTATTATTATGAATGCATTGTGTGCCAAAACATTTTATAGAATTCAGAACATATTTCCCCAAAAACCCATGGTGCAATTCCCTATCCTTCAGATCACAAATTAGATGTTACCTGAAACATTTGTTTCCCCTCCTGCGTGCCTTCATCAGGCTTGTCCGGTCCCGCTTCTTGTATCTTTTTGTCTGAGCTCCCCACTAGATTGTAAAATCCTTGAGAACAGAGCCATATGGCCTATGTCTGGGTCATTGTACATATTAATACTATATATAGCAATTAGTACATGCCAGTCTTCATCTTAAGTGCTTTACCTATAAATATTAACTCATGTAATCCTCACAAAATTCTATAACATGGAAATTACTCTTACACCCATTTTATAAATGTGGAAACGGAGGCATGGAGAAGTTAAGTGACCTTCTGAAGCACACATAGCCAGTGAGTGACAGAGCTGGGATTTGGACCCAGATAGACTAATTCCAGGGTCCATGCTGTTAACTACCATATTAGAGTGCCTTGGTTGGTTGGGTAGGTGGGTGGGGAAGATATTCCATGTACCATTTGTCCTTTGTTATCTCTACTTCCAGACAAGACAATAATGTGAAAAAGCAAAGCTGAGGTTTTATACCCCACCATAAATAAGCTACCCAAAGGATTCTGGTGAGCTTGGAAATTACAGCTTTTAAGCCAAAATGACTCCTATCAACAAAGACACATTCACTTCTCCAGCCTGCCCACTTACACAATTTCCACTCTCCTCCCTCTCCCTCCTTCCCCCGTCCCCCAACAAACACATTGACTATGCACTGGATACACTGTCAGTCTGGTCAATTAATTTTGCTATGTACTTCTCCCGTACGTATCTCACTCCATCCTATGATTTCAAATGTCCTCCAAAAAACATTATCTTTCATACTTTTGTCCAATTTAAATCTCTATATTGAACTGCACACTAGACATTTTTACTTGGATATTTTACAGGACAGGCCTCATATTCAATGGATATTCAATTCAACATATCCAAGTCAGGACAAATGAGCTTCCCCTTCAAGTGTGTTTTTTCTAAGGGTAAATAGCAGCAAGCACCATTACTAGGTACTCTAAATAAAAACCTGGAAATCAAGTTGATCATCCCATCTTTGCATCTTATACCTACTCAGTAATTCATGAAACCCAACAATTCTCTTAACAGTATCTTAACTCCACTCCCATTCCCTCTCAGCATTGTAATCTAAGGCACCAAATCTCTCCTCTGGACAATTCTAAGAGCTTCCTAACAAAAATCCCATTTTCATTCTTGCTTTTCTCTAATCTACTCTAACACAGCAGACTCAAAAAGAAAATCATCCCCCAGCTTAAGTCCATTCAAAACCTTCCAGATGCTTTGTGGAGAAAAATAAAATCTTTACTGTGGCTTGCAAGACACTGGGTGGTTCTGCTCCCACCAACTTCTGCAACTTTAACTCATGTCTTTCATTCCCTGGCTTACTAACCTTCAGAACTTAGGGATCTTTCATGAATTCCTTGAATCTGCCAAGTTCTTTCCTGTTTCTTCTAGGCTTTTGCACATGCTGTTCCTTCTGTTTGGAACTCTCTCTTCCTTATTTACTATTTAGTCAATCCCACATTTATCTTTTAAGCCTCAGCTAAATGTCACTCCAATGAAGAAGTTACACATGTTCACCCACACATGCAGACTACATTAGGTTCCCACATTATACATTTTCATGGCATAATGAAATTTTCCTTCACTACACTTTGTTGCACGATGTATTTCCCTTTGATGGCCTCATCAAAGTTTATTATATGTATGATCATTTATTTTAGTCTATCTTTTCTGATAAACTATAAGTTCCATGAAGTCAAAGACCAGTCTTGTTCACTGTTCTGTTTACAGTGCCTAGCACACATCCTTAAATTAATGAATGAATGAACCAATGCTATCCTGGTAGTTTGGAGTGAAATAATAACAATAGACATTCAAGGTACACTTTTTTATTTTATCCTCATAACAACTTTGTGAGATGGTATTATCACCCTTTGACAGGTGAGGAAGCCAGTGTTCATAGAAATGGGGTTAGTTGCCCAGATTGCATGAGACACGGCTGGTATACAATCCAAATCTGTGTGTTCAATAGCTCAGTTCCACTGAGCAATGAGTTACTTCCCAAGTTATTGTAAAATTTATTCTTCCAGGAACAGGGATAATTGTGATCACTTCACTTTTTAAAGAATAAGTTATTGCCTATGAAAAAAATTTCTCCAGATGCTTTGTATTTTATAAATGCTGGATAATATTAGTATCTCTTTGGCATTTACAGGGAATTCTTCGGGATAAGCAAAACCAGTGTACCACCACTTTCCATTTAAAGTAAAGCCCACTAAAATCATTAGGTAAAGTCCTGATAAATTAAGAAGTATTTCACATTCATTGAAACGAAAACACATAGAGAAAGAAACTGAGTGTATTAAAGCAAATTACACAGAAAAAGGAAGTTGGTGAGATAAAGGCATGATCTAAGAAAATGGAAGAGATACTGGAAGAAAGAGAAGACAGGTAAGTACAAGGACACATGGAAACAAAGAAAGAAAAACAGACTACTCAAGTCCCTGGGAGAGTCCAGAGGAGCACATGGCAAGAAAGATGCTGCTTCTGCTTCAAAGCAAAATAGTAGTGTTTCTGACTATCTAAGAGTTTAGTAGCTAATAGCCAGAGTACCTGATGACTAGAAGGTTTGCTCATACCAAGGTTTTAGAATTGATTGGTCAGTCAAAATTTAAACATAACATTTCCTATTTGCGTCTAATGTCTTTGTTTGCAACATGGGTGAAAGTGAGAGGAAATTTGAGGATAGGAGTTTCTCCTCTGCTAGGCCAAAGTGTGTGTGGCCCCATCTCCAGTGCCCTATTCCCCACTTCTGAAACCAGACTGGGATTTGTCCTGATCCCCTAACTGAGTTCTTACACAGACCTGCTACAGTCAGTCCATTTTTTTTTTTTAACTCTGAATGTTTTCTTCTCCATAGAATGGAGATAGACATTCTGGGCTGGTCTTTCTCAGTGCTATTTGGCTCATAGAATCTGAGAAGTGGGAAGGAGTTGAAAGAAGAATGTTTAGTGTAACGTCAAACTGGACATGTGACTCTCCATTGCATTATCCCACCCAGCCACCACCCCTAATTAGTTCTTTCACCCCTCCCTCAATTCCAACACTTTATTAAATGTTAGTTTTTTATAATTACTTACACTGTATAGTTTTTCTAGGATTATGTTATATTCACATAAATGGAAAGATTTTGAGGTCTTTAAAAATTATGGTGATACAGTTCCTACTTTATGCATTATGCACAAGAAAATATAAATGAAGGATAAGTTAAAATAACAGCATGAGGTTTGCAAAATATTTTTTAAGAAAATCTAAATTTCCAATGTTGTTTTGGTATTCAAAGGAAAAATTAAAAAGTAAGTTGCATCCTTGGAGACATCATCCCTGTATAGCAGTGGTTTCCAAGGTGTGGTCACTGGTTTAGCTGCAGTAGCAGCATCACCTGGATATATATTAGAAATTCAAAATCTCTCCAGGCTCCAGGTAACTGAGAGGGAAAAAAAATAAATTCAAAATCTCTGTCCCACACCAGATGTACTGAATCAGAAACTCTGAGGTTGAAGGCCAGCAATCTGCTTTGTTATAAGCCCTGCCCCTTGAAGTTTGAGAACCACTGCTTTACGCCATGAAGTAGAAGGCTTGGATGTAGATGTGTTGAGGGAAGTAATAGGAATACAGCGAGTGTGTTGGTGTGTTTTCGTTGTTAAAAATGAGAATAATATTAGATTGAACTATATGATGTTGCCAATAGTCAACCATTTCTGCCCTACATAAAATATAATATAGAATTCAACATAAAAATGTATATTTTAGGTTGATGATCAGTGTGATAAGAACTCATGAACTTATGAAATTTTCATAAATGTTCCCTAGTGGTCTAAAACCAACCTGATCATGGCTTCTAATCTCAGAAATGAGCTCTAAAGTAATTACAGGTATGCCTTCTAGTATCCAATAGAGATCATTGGCAGGCAGCCTCCAGCATACATTTCTTGTAAGAAAGTAAGTACTATAGTTGTCTTTCTCCAATAATTAAGACAATCAAGGAAATACAATACCTACATGTTTGCCTGTACATATCTCTGGGCCAAAATAGCAACTGACTGTATTCCCATCCCCTTCTTCTTTCAGGCATATGCCTCCCTCTTCCAAAATGTTCTTCCTTCCCAGCTATTTTTATAAGCAATTACATGCTTATAAAATAACTGACTTCTAGGATGAGATGGAAATTAGCACAGGGCTCACCAATAATTCTGAAGCAAAGCATGAAAACTGAAGCTCTTAGCTGGAGTCAATGCAAATGAAGAGTGAGTCCCATGTTTCTCTTGTCATCCTGGGTTTATCAGTTAATATGATGCAGTAGACTCTGTTACTGGATATGGCCTAGAAAGAAAAACAACACACCTTCTGTTCAATCTATGTTAACTAGATGAGTAATGTTGAACCAGATGAATATGTTAAATGCACCTTACAATATTTGAGATCTTCAAAAGAAAAAGATGGAGCTCACGTTGGAGGGGAAGAAGGAAGAAAGAGGAGGAATGGAAAAGGGAGTAGAATGCTTTTCTTGGGTGTACATGCCTTCTTCTCAAATTACAGTGACAGTGTTTGAAAGATCAAAATTCTGTCATATATACCCTTAAACAACAATGTCCCTCACCAGTATATATATGAGTAATAGATATATATACTGGTATGTGATGGTATACCATCATGGTAAAGGGAATCAATAAGTAGTCAATACTCATAAATGAAAGCAGAGACAGAAAAAGTAAGGGATCTACAAATTTCCATTAAACAATTGTTTGACACCATATTAAAGATTAGTTAGTGAAGACTCTTTAGCCATTCAAATTTTAAAATAATTATGCCCATTCTTACCATCTGTTCCCTATCCCAAATTAATGATATTATGATCAAAGTGCCTGCCCAGTTTGGAAATAATCCACATACTCAAGAGATCACATTTGTGTGTGTGTGTGCATGTGTGTGTGGAATATTAGTGCTCTGACTTTTGGTTGGCTGTCATTGACTTGTTTGGAGAAATGAATTCATGCTTCTCAGTTCATTTCCAGAGCAACAGACAGATGGATAGTAACCTGCCAGATCAAATTCAAGGTTACAGTATACTTGAAGAGTTTGCGGTTATGTATTTTCTTCTTAATGACAATCTCAATCTTACCTCCTTATCCATACCATGTGACCTCAATCAGCCACCTGAGAGTTGAGGGCATTGCCACTTTGCAACCAAACTAAGGTGTGATATGAGTTCTACAACTTATCAAGAGCCCGGAGATCTTGAGATAATTAGAACTAGGTAAAGGCAATAGATTATGTATCTGTTCTTTCTTAGTTATTCTTGCATACCCTCAATAGAAAGGTGAAAATTTTGTTCTGAATGTGTATGTATATTTGATCATAAGAGTGGGGACAAAGCTAGCTCTTAGTCACTGTGAACCAAAGATACTTCCATCTGGTCAGTTTTGTCTGTCACCCAAGTGTTAAAATTGTATTCTACTCTAAATAAGACAGAAATACTTGTTTCTATTAATTATAAAAGCCTCACCATATTTAAAACTTTTAGCCTGGCCTTTTTGATCTAGTCAAATAAAATATTGGGTTAAAAGGTGCTTAACTTAAAGTAACATAAGGTCAGCATAATTCTTCACACAGAGATACACACACACACACACACACACACACACACACACACACACACACACAGTGTTCTTATTTCCCCCAGGAGGACCCAATGGCTCTTTTCCCTCATTTTACCTCGCTCTTCATTCCCACTTACAGGCCCTCGCATAGTTGCTAGCCCAATCCACAGCCTAAGGGGATCTTGTCAGCACATTCAAGACAGCACATTCTCTGCCAGCTCTCACCAATACACACTTCATTCTCCCTGCTTGTGCCAAAATAATTAATAAGTGCTTTGTAGCTTTTTCTCTAGTGCTCTCTGATTTTCCTTGGCTAAGGGTTTCTTAACAGAATACCAGAGATTGGACGGCTTAAACAACAGAAATTAATTTCTTCATATTTCTGAAGGCTGGGAGTCCAAGACCAAGGTGTCACCAGAGTTAGTTTCTTCTGAGGTCTCTCGCCTTGGCTTGTAGATGACCATCTTCTCTTTCTTTCTTCACATGGTCTTTCTCTGTGTCTATGTCCAAATTTTTTCTTATAAGGACACCTGTCATATGGAATGCGAGCTCACCCTAATGACTTCATTTTACCTTAATTATCTCTTCAAAGAAGCTATCTCCAAATACAGTCACATTTTGAGGTATTGGAGGTTAGGACTTCAACTTCTAAATTTTGAGGGGACACTATTTAGACCATAACACCCATTTAAGAAAATGAAAAGGGAAAGTGGGAGTATGGAAAACACATGACTGATTACCTTCAGTACATCAGAGTCAGGAAAAAAAGAACTCTTGTCCCCGAGTAAAAGTGATGTTCTGGGACTTCAAACAGCATGAAAAGAAAAGCAATGGAGTGCAGGGCCATTTACTCACTGAACACTAGAAGCACTGTGCCTTGGCCCTATGAACTTTTCCAAGGCCTATGAAAATGCCTGAGAGCTGAAATTTAATCATTTCCAAATACAAAAAGAAAATTATTACAATAATAATAACTAAAATTAACTTCATGTCCAATGAAGTGGACATTTGGCCTCTCCTCTTACCATTTCATCTTCTACACTATCAATTATTATCTTTCTAAAACACGGATCTAATATGTACAATGTCTTATGTAAAATGTTCCAGTGGTTCCTCATTACTTACGGGATGAGGATTCCAGTTTTCAGGCGGGCATAAAAGGTCAGGTTTCATTTTTTAACTACACCCAGCACTCTAATTACTCCACCTTCTCACCCTTCTCCAAACACACTATATTCCGTTCTCTCCTGCATCTGTGCCTTTGAACGCGGTGCTTATTCCTGGATAGCCCTTGACCTCTTGGTTCCACCACTGAAAATCCTTTATCTTTCAAATCCCAGCTTCAGTGTTACTTCTGCTGTAAAATCTTTACTCTGAGGCCATGTTAATTACTTTTCTGTGTTCCGTAGCACTGTGTACTCACTCCTAAAAGTAATTCTTAAATATGAATTCTTATATATGAATGAAACTTCATAAATAATGATGAAATATTATTTCATAACTAGCGATTTCCATACCACTACCCCATGAAACCTATGAGTTCCTTTACTGTACAAACCATTACTTTGTCCATTTCTTTTCCTTTCTCCTTTTCATCTCTTCATCCTTTTCTACTTCCTTTCTCTTTCCTCTTTTTTAAAAATCTTCATCAGCCATTTTCTATTACTCCTATGTTAACTTCTGCCTTTGGAAGAGCACTCCTATCTGCATGCAAAGTCACAGATTCATAAAATTATAAATGTGCCAAATAACGAAAGAAAAAAATGGATAAGTCCTAGTTCCACAAATGGCAAGAAGTGACTTTTTTTCTCTGGGAATAAAGGCACTCAAATCTTCCACAAATTACCACCACCTGTGACAACCTTCGATCAACGAAAACAATATCTTGTTACAATGGTAGTTAGCTTCTCAAATAATTTCCAAGTGCATTATGAGGAGATATATTGGGTTAAGATTTTTCCTTTCAAAATAATGAGTAATTAGCAATTATTGTTTTCCATTAATTATTGGAGTAGAAATTTACATGCCTGAAGATGTTCAATCAAAAAAGTACAACCACGAATGAAAGATGTGTTAAAGGGGATATCATTGTTGAAATTGCAATAAAGTACCACTTAGGGGCCTTCCAAGTATGAGAATGTATCACTACATGAAGTAAACTACACAATAATGAAAGTAGCGAAGACAACGCAAATCCTGCATAAAATGAAACATAAAGTACATATCAGTCCATTGATACATGGAGCTACATTCCAGATCTCCAGATGTCCTGTTATAGTCTTTTTCTATTGCACCAAAATACCTGCATGCAATATTTTCCAATTACTTGAGAAAAAAAATGAAAGACTGAAAGCAAAGAAAATGTGAAGCAGAAGTGCGAACAGAAATCAAAGCTTTCCAGTTCAGCAGACCTAAAGAATTTGACTGCAGGACAAAGTGATCATTTACCCCAGTCAGGAGGAAAACTGTTGGGCTGAAAAAAATGAAAGAGATTGTGAAATCCTCTGATGATATTGATGACATTTCACCCTATCCAAAGATTAACTCAGTGAATGGCGTAACTAAAAGAATGTGACTTAAAGATGTGCCTTACAAATACTGAAACTCCATGTTTTTCAAAGAGATTAATCATAATAGCATGAGGATAAGGCATGATTCTGACTAACAGAAAGAAGCTAATCTGGGAGATCCTCTTGAGTAGATTAGCCATTCCATGCAAAACGTCACAGTGGCAATCAGAAAAGGCATCTCTGAAATGTACAATGAAGAAGGACGTTAAAAGAAAATTTATTTACCCAGAGTCAGTGAATAATACAGTTTAGTCTTTATGTAAAAGGCTCAGTCAGAGCAAATGATGGGGTGTCCTTGAGGGGTTCCAGAAATTTGAACCAAGGATGAGAATCTGAGAATTTGTTGCTGCTTCATTCAATTTCTGTCACCTCAATGGCTACTCATTCTCTTTTCTACCCCCTACAGTCATGAACAATCTGGATTTCATGTCACAAGAGGAAACAGAGTCATCACTTCAAGTACTGCACCAATCAAGTCTGTTCTGGTAATAATGTGAGGTAAATGAGACATGTAATGGGAAGAAGTGGATAGATTCCCATGATACATAATAATTAGTAGGCATCACTTAAATAGAATTTATTCTATCAGCAAAGTTAGATGGTTCTTAATGTATGTCAATAAAGGTGGGAGTGAGGGCAGACAAAGGCCAAGGAAGAGGAAGATCACAACATGAAAAAGAAAAATGCCTAATAATAATGAAAATATTAATAGCATATTATATTAAAATTCAAAGGAACAAATATTTTAGTTGTATTATCTATGTGAAGAATATGAAGGCTATTTGAGCAAACAGATATGAAGGATGTTAAAAATGTATATTTTTCTGCATTGGACTACAAGCAGTTTCCAAATTGAAACTGGATAATGTTCCCAAAGTAATGTGAAAGACACTTATTTGGAATTCAGAATATATGTTCCCATAGAAACATTGTTGAAAATGTCAACTAGGTTCCTAGGTTACCTGTGAATTCTATTTAAACCACATATGTAGCTAAAATACTATTAATTTGTATTTCAAATCAGTAGAAAATAAAACTATTGCATTGGAAGAAGAATAGCTATTGGAAGATGAGATAACTGAAGAAATAATTGTATGGAATGCCTGATAAAGGGCATCTAGGAAATATCAAGAGGGTTAGATGTGGATGGTACAAATCTTTAGGTGCATTTGCAGTTCTTTCTTCTCTAGCTGTGTGCTCTCCCTTAGTGATTCAATTGAGTGCATAGCTTTAAATATCACCGGTTTGCTGAAATTTCCCAAATTTATAACTCCAGCTCAGACTTCTTTACTGAAAGCCAGTGGAGTTATATGCTTTCTCCAAGTCTTTTGTTCTGCTGTTCCCATTGCCTACAATGCTTGTCTCTGCGTCCCCACACAGTAAACTTCACTGGGTTCACTGGAGTCTCACTCCATTGGGTCTTTTCTGAAATGTCCCCTCCCTAGGCCTGCAATGGCCATCATACCTTTCTTAAGAATCCCAACTTCCACTGCAACCCTTTGCATGCCCCATCCCTCTTTTATTTTTCTTCTATCATTATCACCATCTAATAGACTAAACATTACTTGTTTTCTGTCTTCCCCATTCTAGAATGTGAGCTCCCTAAGGGCAGTGGCATTTGTCCCCAGCACCTAGAACAAGGCCAGGCATATAGTAGGCACTCAAATATTTGTTAAATAAATTGACTGAATACATGAATTAAATACCTGAATGAGTAAATAGATGACCTTCTTTTTTAATTTCATGAGTGTTCTGTTGGCATGGCTTTTACTTACCCTTATCATCTATTACAGAGATACATTTTTTCAGACGGCAAATAGAAAATAAAAGGGCCGTAACATCATATATCAACTCTCTATCTCCAGTCTTGCCACTCCCCAATTAATTTTCCACCCAGCAATCACAATAATTTCTAAAACTCAGACCTGCTGAAACCGTATCTATGAAATTTCATGGCTTTGAAGACAAAGTTTATCATTTTTAACCTGGCTTTCAAAACCACTCATGGTCTACCTCCTTCATATCTTTCCAGCTCCATTGTGAGTTAATTATGTCTCCAATAGGGTAGAAAATGAGGCAGTAAAGAGGTTTAGAATCAAAGATGACTCCTATAGTGTCAACGGCAGTGGATGCTGGATCAGGGTAGTTTGGTGGCTGTTGTGAATATTTAGTGAGCTGGCCACCTGCCATTCATACATAGGAGGCAATCCCTAAATCCTTGTTCATTACTCAGAGTCCCTATACTTTTTAAGCTTAAAGTCAGTGAGTTAATCTATTCTTTCTTTTCTTGAATTAAATGTTATACAAAATCCTAGTATTAAAAAACATATTTTAAGTGAAGCTGTTCTATTTAAGGTAATGGGGGTTAGGGAGGGTAGGAATCAAGCCCTGATCATTCATTTTCCATATGCTGTAGCCTGGTCCCTGAGGCCCCTTTGAGTGACCCCTGCTAGTGAGGCTCCAAGCCCTAAGAATATCAAGCAGAATATCAAGTATGCACTGACACATAAGAAGAAAGCCTTTCAAAACAACCATATCTACTGGTTATTTATAAAAATTGCCCAGGTAACTGAACTGCATTTGCTTCTCTCTTCCCTACTGCTTAGTGTGTAACAAATAGCAACATCTTTAAATGGCAGGAAACAACAAGACAAGAAATATGTCAGCATCTGTATTGCTCAGGAGATGGAACATTATGCAGGTTTGTGCAGAATGATTGGCTCTCAAGGGAGTAATTAGTATTTGGCGCACTTCTTACTGGCGCTACCTCAGCTTCCCTGCCAGAGGATTCTGAGAAAAGGTTTGTTGTTTCAGTTTCAAAATTGCATTTTAGATTGACTCTTTGAATAGAGTGCATGTAGGGACAAATGGCACAAATGTTTAGCAAGCGGTGTTTGTATTCACATTCTGTCTCTGAGCCTCAGGTCCATGACAAGCTTATTTTTTAGAAGTCTAATAAAAAATTGATATTAAGAAATTTAAAGAAGAGTTTTCAGCAGCCAGAAAACATAGCTTTTATTTTCAGATATGAAGATGACAGAGCTTCAAAGGAGGTTGTGGGGGTTTTCTTTGTCAAGCCATTTGCAGATGGCCAAGTTTATTTTTAAATTGAGAAATAAGACCCTATCCAATTTTGAAGACCAAATTTGTGCCAAACAAAATCAACCTGAAGTATTGGTCCACTTTGAAGAAGAGCTATGGCCAATGAAAACGTAATGATGTCTCTGATTTGCAATGAAGTGCATATACAAATTGATGAATTTCTCTCTATCTCTCTCTCTCTCTCTCTCTCTCTCTCTCTCTCTCTCTCTATATATATATATATATATATAGTTTTTGTTTGTGAGATGGAATCTCACAAACATAGTTTTTGTTTGTGAGATGGAATCTCGCTCTGTCATCCAGGCTGGAGTGCAGTGGCGCGATCTTGGCTCACTGCAAGCCCCGCTTCCCGGGTTCACGCCATTCTCCTGCCTCAGCCTCCCGAGTAGCTGGGACTACGGGCGCCCACCACCACGCCCAGCTAATTTTTTGTATTTTTAGTAGAGACGGGGTTTCACCTTGTTAGCCAGGATGATCTCGATCTCCTGACGTGATCTGCCTCCCTCGGCCTCCCAAAGTGCTGGGATTAGAGGCGTGAGCCACCGCGCCCGGCCTACTCTATTTTTTAACACTCTCACAGTGCCCTCGAGGCCTTTCCTTCACTTCCTTGCAACATCAGCCAGCTCCCCAGAGGACATGGGGAGCCAAGGAAGCCTATTAGAACCAACTGGTTAGGCATTCCTGTCCACAGCCTATCATGACTTTGGAAGAGCCAAGAGAAAGAAACAGAATTATTTTGGGGATACTATTGTGTTTAGCTTATTTCAAGACTGAACTAATTGCAATAATAGCTTTGAATAGCCTTTCAATGAATCTGAAACTACTAATGGATAAATGACTATTTGTAACTATACCACATACACCCTTTCTCTCCCTCCACCCACACATATATGTACCCAGCTATAATGTGTACATGCCAGCACACACACACACACACATCACATGCATGACATATGCACACCAAATACAATATATCACACATATTCACACTAACACGCCAATAAAAGACCCCCCCAAACACACACATGCTTTATGAAAACACACATACACATACACAAAGCACACAATACATAGCCCACACACATGCACATTCCACAGGCATACACACACTACTACATACCAATACATACACTGCATGCCATACAAATATATACATATACACATCATGCATACACCATATACACCATGCACGTGCATATACAACATAAACACATAACGCAAACACATACCACAGACTATACACACCACATGAATTTATCACAAACTCATATACACATCACCCCAAATGCAAATATACACACATATATCACAAATACACAGACATATGCATATGCAACACATATAGACATAGCCCCACACTACATGCAAATATACCACATACACACATGTACACATAACACATACAAATTCACTACATACACATATGAACCACATACAAACACACCCCCATGCCCAAATGCACAACACAGAACACACAAACTCCAAATACAAATGCATAGACATACATATCACAAACATGCACACACTGTGTGCAAATACACACCACACATACACAGCCACCATGTATCTATCTGTCCCCTATACAAATACACAAATGCCACACACATATACACACACTCCAAAACACACATATGCACAAACACAATACACATATACACACCCCCAAACCACTTACAAATACACACATACACATGTCACATCACACATAACACATATATACAAATCACAAGCAAATTCATCTTCATTTTCTAACAGAGATTCTGAAAGAACCTAGGAGAGGAAACCTACTGAAGAGAATTGAGACTTTGGGGTACAGTGTGTAAGCTGGATTCAGCTTGAATTTCAGCAATCCAAGTTCAGGAACCATGTTAATCGACTGCCTACAGATCATCTCTGGTTTTTTTACTCATGTATGTTGTGGTTCAGAAATTGGATTTTTGCCATTTCTGGACTCACACTTTTTGCTTCATCAGTTCATATGTTGACATAATGCAACAGAAGAGAAAGTTTGGAAAAGGGGTTTACTCTTTGGAAGACATTTTTATTTTTTCTATAAAAACTAGACCTTAAATTTTTTTAAATACTCTTAACCTCAAAACATTGTTCAATTTTCAATAAATTAATTCATTCTTTACAAATCCATATTATTCCTCTAACTTTCACAGGCATGCCTCAAGACCTCGATACATGAAAGCAATTACTGCAGATGCCTGGCTGTTGGCACTGTTCAGCTTTAATGTAGCAGTACAGAAAGTTATGCCTTCCACCTGTGATGACTGATCCTAGAACCTGCAGACAATGAGTCTAAGCTGAATACAAACAATAATTATCCAAGTAAAGAGCCCTTGTTCAATTCAATGGCGGTTCAATTCAACAGCGGCTCTTAATGAAACACTAATCTCTTCCCATTGATCACAGAAGAGTTATTTTAATTTCTGTATCTTTGACATTCTGCTTTTGGGTGCAGGAAAATCCTTGCCCGAAATATATGCTATAGGGAGGTAGTGTGGAGTGAGGTTCAGGGAGAGGGTTCTGGAGTCAGCTTGCCAGGGAGAAGCCAAGTCCAACTCTCGCGTTGAGTTGCTTACTAACTGGACATCCTCAGGCAAGTCACTTAAACCCACAACAGCCACTGTTGTTCACTAGTCGGCTTGAAGTATAGCTAGTACCTAGATCATAGGATTGTAGTGAGAATTAAGTTAGACAAAATGCTGAGAACAGTGGCTAGCAAAAAGTAAGCCCTCAATAAGTTGCAGGTGCAATTAATAGGAAAGAAGATTATAAGATTTGGTGCTTTTCTTGTCAGCATGAAAATTGAGGTGTTCACATTTATTAGGCATCTTCTCAAGGCTAAGCTTTGACTTCAACAATCCTGTGATATTAGATATGATTACCTCTATTTTTCAAATAAGGAAATCGATGATTAAAGAAGTTACAGTAACCTTCCCAATATCACACAGTGAGTGGCAAACTTGAAATTTGAAACAAAGGTGGAGTAATCCCAAAGTCTTCTTTCTTTCTACCCCACAACTTCATTATGCATGTTTCAAAGACCTTTCCTAGCTACCCTATAAAACTGTAATCCTACCTCCTAAAGGTCAAGCTAATAGTATCTGTCCATTTCTAGCCAAATGGATTCAGTCTAGTGTGGAAACATACTATATCAGAATAATATGGGAAAGGGATCCAAAGCCATCTTGATTATAGAATGTAACTTTCACCATGGAGGAGGGAGGAACTTACAGATAGTTTAGGTTTTATAGTTACCCCATAGAAATACATCTTCCCAAGATTATTCTGAAATGTGGAAGTGATTCAACGAAAAATGAAGACTTTTTTTGGTGGCATGTACAGGGAGAAAGACAAAGAAAAATGCACACTAAGAGAGAAATGAAAGAAGGAAGAGCAGAGAGAGAGAAAGAGAGAAAGAATTCATTTCATCCCAAAAGAATTGCAGAGGAATCACAAGACCCTATACATCAATATGGTGTATCCAAGGACGTTGAGAAGGAAAGTGATGGGTTCAGGACGCCAGGGTGTGGAAAAGGCCAGCTAGCCTGATAACACAGTACCAAAAGTCCTTTCTTCTTCCTATATTCTGTATCCAGCCCAGCGTTTAAAAGCCTCAAAAAATCAGCCCTCTTAGAAGAAAAACTGAGAAGCCACTCTAGATGTCCTAGAAGAAAGATAAATAAAAGTGCTGTCAGAGGTCATGATGGGACCTCATCTCCTTCTCCTCTGTCTAGTATAAAGGGTCCCACTTCTTCCATGGCTGCAGAATTGCAAGTCTGGTAAAAGCCTCCAGGATGGAGTGAAAGGAAAGGTGAGAAGAAGATGGTTAGAAAGTCTAGAAGGTGAGTGAGCTGGGATAACTGGGCCATATTTCCTAGGATTCACTACCTTAATCAGTGAAATTCTGGGATTAGAGTGCCTTCCCTCACTCTGCAGATTATCTGAACTTTAATGTTTTCACATCTTAGAAGATGACTTGGTTTCCGTTACAAAGTATCCAGTGTTTTTTATATATCCATCTCCCACATTCTCAAGTACATAAGGTGAGATTGTGGTGATAGTTCCATGTTTATGCATTTGGAAGAGAACCACAGCTTTTTCAGGAGCCAAGAAACAATACCATAGAAGAAGCGCTATTTACAAATAATTAAAATGCACACATGCATGTACACATACACACACACACACACACACACACACACACACACAGAGAGAGAGAGAGAGAGAGAGAGAGAGAGAACAGATGCAGAGAACAGACTCAGCCCTCTTAGAAGCATGTCAATGGAGGCATGTCAACACTCAATGAACAGGACGGCCAAAAGCCAGGAAGGTGAACTCACCTTTGGAACTGATAAGAGTCATTGTTTAGCTTTCCATTGTTCTTTGTTTTGATCTAAGGCTGCCTCTCCTATCACTTTCCCCTTGTCACAGTCTCTCATTGTCAGCACTGAGACTGAAGAAAATTGTTCCTTCCATGTAAGAGCAATACACTCCCCTCCTTTTGTCTTTTTCAGGAAATTAGTAGCTCATGTTCCACTAACTGGAGTGTTTTGCCTTATCTCATTCTTATAAGTGAAGTGGGAATTTCAATGCCATAACTTAGAATTATTCTGTCCAATTCACCCTAAATGGATCCTGTTCTCATTGCAACATTTATCTCTAGGCCTCACTAAAGATAATATTCAGGCTTACGTACAGGCACACAATTGTCCTCTCTTCGGCAATGAGGTCTTTAGAAATGTGATGAAATGTGACAGGTTTTTGAATTAGGCTCTAGAAACTGTTTCTTTTATGACTAAATGGATTTCTTGCCATTTTAGAAGCCAGTCTCTACACTGTTTTAAAATTTACTTTAAAGAAGGACCTGGGAAACTCTGGGATTTCTAAATAGACAATACTTGCTCATTGTTCCAGAACCATCTTACAGGCGTTCATTACTTTTTCTGATATTTATTTGAAACTTGAGGCTTAAAAATAACATCTAGTCGTCAGATGGAAGCTTCAATGTACTCTTTCATTATGTAAGTACTAAGGATGATACAAACAAAAAAAAATGCAGGCTAAGGTCATGGCTTTTTACAGTGTACAATTGAGGTTCAAGAGAAAATTTATAGCACTAAACCTGGGTGACATTCTTCCATGATGCACTAGTCCACCCAATTGAATTTTTCATGACTGGCATCCGTTTTGATTGGTTGGAATATGTGCTATGTTAATGGTTAAGTATTTTACCATCTAGCTCAATTCTTTATTTCAAAAATACATCAAGCCTCAAAGAAGTTCAATGATTTTTCCCGGAGTCATACAGATATTAGATAGCCAAGAGTGGGTCTGGTCATTTGAATTCTACTTCAATATCCTTTTCACTAACATATAATCATCCAATTATGTGCAACCATGACCTATGTTCTATTAAGACCCCACTGTTACGATAACAAAAGAAGGGCCTTATAAATCAATATCATAGCTTAATTATTTTATAGCATTTAACATACCGTAAAAACACATAGACTGTTATAGCTTATAATAAACACAAATATCTTTTCTCTGACCATAGCATAATAGAAACTAAGCTCAGAAGGATTTATCTAGGAACAAAAGAAGGAAATTGAAATGTACTAGTTTCTCTGGATTTAGTCCTGATTGTCACTGATAATTCTGTGACTTTGTGCATGTCCTTAGTTTTCACATAGGAAACTGGGCAAGTCTAAAAGATAGGTGCTTCAGTGAGATTCTCAGGTGAGTGGTTGAATTAGGTGACAATTAAGATCCATTTCAACACTGAGATTATATTATTACCTGATCTGTATACCAGGAAATTAATTTAAAAGACCCTCCTCACTGACCCTATCAAGGAGCCCTACTTCCAGCACAGATGATCACAGTGAATTCCACCCACAAAGCAGCTCTGATACGGAGAAAACCAACTCACAATTTCTAACAAGCCATTGTAGCAAAGACTGTTTGCCTTCCACCAATATTTATGTGCTCCTTCTTTTTACTATTAATAATATAATTCCCCACCCAAATTTTCACTAGGTTCAAAGCTTTCCAACTTTAGATGGCAATTCCTAGGCTCTCTTGCAACTGGGTGTGGTTTTGTGACTAAGTTCTGACTAACAACCTGTGAGCCAGAAATGATGTGTTAAGGGTTCTTGTAGATTTTGCCCTTAACTAGAAGAGATGTGCCCTTCACTTCCTCTTTTCCCCTTCTCACCAGCTAGAGAAGAGTTGCTATAGCCAATTTGGACACAGAGATGGAAGCTGTGTGTTAAATATAACAGAGTTAATATAACAGCCCTGCATTGCCTATTCTGGACAGACACATGAGGGAGAAACTTATTTTGTTTAAGCCACTGCACCATGAGTCTCTATTTTAACAGCTTAGATGTTTTGCCCAATGGCACAGTTATAGTGAGTTCTGCCATGGAATACAAATGAGGACTCCAAGAAGAATGCATCAGTCTTAGATTCTATTCAGTATTACCTGCCTACAGCATTCCAGTTCCACTTACACAGAAATACTTTTAATCATAAACTAAGACATCTCAAGCTTCAGAATTTATAGGAAGATTTGCTGATTCCTAGGGCCAATGACAGTTTTAACCCAATATATGCTTTAAAATAATTAATGGTAGAATGAGTCTTTACAGTTAACATATTGTAGTCAAATATTACTTTTCAAAAATTCCAATGTCAATAAATAGTCCTTCACTACAGAAACACAGTGCTTTAAATAAAAACAGTAGGGTCACCAGAAACAAAGTTGTCAGTGTTGGGTTGCTATAGCTACCAGGTTATCTTTATAAAAGTGTGTCTTCAAATGGAAGAGATTTGTGAATCCTGAAATCCCAGGAATGTGAGGACCAGAATCTGCTAAGTTTTCTGCCAGCATACTACCAGAATTATCCACAAAAGTTTCACTTACTGGTCAGTTCACTGCCACGTCTCTCCTTCAATGCTGGGCCAATTTAGAAATCATTATGTCAGTATTGTTAAATCAAGTTTTGTCTAAAGCTGCCTCCTTACATATTTTAAGTTTGCCCTAAAGTTTTTTCTGTATATCATAAACTATAACCTATGGAGTTCTATACAGACTCTAGTATACTCTTGTACCAATAACCGAGTTTTGGCCAATCAAAAGTGGCCAGCTGTCCAAACTGTGTTCAAATGAGACAAACATCGAGCTGTAACCAATCTGGATGTTTCTGTATCTCACTTCCATTTTCTGTATGTCACTTTCCTTTTTCTGTCCATAAATCTTCTTCCACCACGTGGCTGCACCGGAGTCTCTGAGCCCACTCTGGCTCGGGAGGCTGCCTGATTTGCAAATCATTCTTTGCCCAATTAAACTATTTTAAATTTAATTTGGCTAAAGTTTTTTTTAACAGTATGTAAGCCAAGACCTGATATTCTAAAACACCTGCTTAACAATAAAGAACGAGCCGAATTTGTGCGGTATATTTCTATACCTTGGAACACTACTCAACAATAAAAAAGAATGAAATAATGGCATCTGCAGCAACCTGGTTGGAACTGGAGACTATTATTCTAAGTGAAGTAACTCAGAAATGGAAAACCAAACATCAGATGTTCTCACTCATAAGTGGGAGCTAAGCTACCAGGATGCAAAGGCATAAGAATGATACAATGGACTTTGGGGACTGAGAAGAAAAGGTGGGAGGGGGGTGAGGGATAAAAGGCTACAAATTGAGTACAGTGTATACTGCTCAGGTGATGGGTGCACCAAAATCTCAGAAATCACCACTAAATAACTCATTTGTAAGAAACCAAACACCACTTGTTCCCCATAAACCTATTGAAATTTTTTTAAACTTTTTTTTTAAAAAGAATGAGCCACAATTTGGTAATGATAATTGTGGCAGATGCTGAAGACTGGTTCATTTAACAACCATTTCAATCTCCTAGCATGCCCTCCTGCTGTGAGATACAGGCTGGAAAGTTAAATCTCACATTCTCCAGAATGTTCTGCAGGAAACCTAGGTTCTTCTAAGGCCACTCACATTCTGCAAGCTACCTGATACCTTATATTCAATCTCTTTCTGTTTACATTGGCTGACCTAGATTCTATCCCTGCAACTAGGAATCCTGACTGACAGAGTCATATTTTAATTCTCTGCTTCTTTAAGGATTGAAGGCATGAGGAGGCTCATAAAACAATTTTTATGGCTGTCTTCTTATCATTGGCACTTTTAACATTATTTTGTTTAGAGAAAGAGAAGTAAGCACCACACAGAAGACTAGGTCTTGGGAGCTGTGAGTGCTAATCAGAAGTGCTAAATAGCTACCTTCTTATTCCAGACTGACTCACTAGCCATCTGCACAGACACAGTCATTTTTACACTGGTCTCCATGTGGCAGCCAATACTGGGTGACTACACAGGGCAATGGAGTTCTTGGATGGGGATACATTTGATAATTTACTATACTTTTTTAGAAGGTAAAGGAGTCAGCAACAGGAGACACAGCCATTAGAAACCCTGTCAATAGACAGATTGTTAGGCCTGCTTCATGTAGGTTTTTCATTCTCAAAGTGTTATCCCCAACCAGAAGCATCAGCATCACCAAGAAATTTCTTAGAAAGACAAATTGTCACAGACTTACACACTCCCCAGGCTTACTGAATCTGAAACTCTGAGGGTTGAGCCAAAGAATCTGTGTTTTAGCAAAGCATCCAGGTGACTCTGATGCAGGCTCAAGTGTGAGGACCACTGGTGTATGTCATCCAGGCCTATTTGAGGTTAAATGATATTTAAGAAAGGTAGTAGCAGGGCAGGAAAGTGAAAAGGCAGTTGAATAAACAAGACTTTGATTTAAAAGGAAGCCCACTTTAGAAACAGACTATAATTTAATCCTTTTCACATATAAAATGGAAAACGCTTTAGTTGAAAGAGCATTGTGCTGGGAATCTAAATGATTGGATTTGAATTTTGGAATTGTACTAATAAGCAACTTTGAATGAATCACTTAAACTTTCTGGGCTTCTGTTTTCTCCTTTGTAAAATAAAGGAGATGAAATGTTCTCCAACACTCACAAATGCTATTTTCTATAATTGCTTCCTAGGTACCATGCCCTTTTTGGTAAAAACCTGATGATAGAATTTTTCCAGCATTCTATTTCTCTACTTAGGAGCAATTCCTGAAGGAAAATTACTAAAAGATATTATAGTTCTTCATCCCAAGTTAGTAGTCCAGTAGAATATTCCAGTTTAATTCAGATCTGGTGAAATGCACTGGATATCTGAGAGGTCCAATATAACATTTAAAACATAATGGGGATTACCAATATCCTGGAAATACATCCAAATTACATATGAGTCCCTTGTGTTATTGATTATTTTGATTGCACATGAGACTTGAATGTTAAGGACTAAATTTGAACACATCAAGATTCCGTGTGTGTGTGTGTGTGTGTGTGTGTGTGTGTATTAAACACTTTAATCTCCTTCCAATATTTAAGAATTGAGATTCACTGGGATTTAGCCAGGACTGAGGCAAGTAGTCATTATCCTTGGGAAAGCCATAAATTATGCTCCTAAACGATGTGGAAACATTCTAACACTGACAGGAGATTGTGTCCCTTCCGTGAATTTGGGAATTTTAGAGGAAAAGAAAAAATAAAAAAAAAGTCATCATTTGTATAATTGGAGTTTGTGAAAAATGGAGGAGAGGAGAGCTTGGCCTACCTAGATAGCAGCGGAGGCCAAAAGCAAATCAGTTAAATAGTTTGCTGAAGATGGAATTCACAATTTGCAATTAAACACATTGCAAAGCTCTATAATAATAAATTAATAAGATAGCTAAAGAAAGGTACAGCAAAAATAAGTGTCCCTTAAGGCTAAGACCATATTTTTCTTCCCACTCATTTTTTGGCAGATAGTAACTACTTAGTAAATATCTGGGAATAAAGGTTGAACATGAGAATATTTTAACTCTTTGAATATAATCACAAAGAAATACAATATTTTAGCTGTGTGTTTCAAGCAGGTGTCAGTTGCTTTACTTTTAATGAGCCTAACATATAGCATTTCTTTCAAATGTTTGTAATGGCAGTGGAAGTGGGCATGAAAATTTCATGCAAGTTTTATTATGTTGAACCTTATAAAATTATAAATATTCACTGCTTTGAGTCGATAACAATGGCAAATTCAAATGGTTCAATCAGATATCTTCTTTGGTCTAGGAGACATCATCTACATTTAAGAACTGATTAGCACTTTCTGTAAACAGTGAGTCACAAGAAGATAATCCTGGTACTAAAAGGGATGGAACCACTAGATGCTATTGAGACCCTTTCTAAAACATTTTTAAGCCAGTTTTCTACAGAGGTCATTTCAGGGCATAAAAAATAAATAAATGAAACATAGCACTGTCATGGAGCTATTAGAAGCAACAATTAGCCAACAGTTTTACAAGTAGGTTTTAAAATTAAATAGTGCTTATAGTTGCACAATTCTATGTATGTACTAAAAACCACTAATTATACACTTCAAAAAGTGAATTTTATAATATATCTATTATATCTCCATAAAGATTAAAAAATAGAAGGGGCTAGAGGTACAGAAAATGGAAATACAAATGCACTCTCTGGACCATTCTGCAGCTACAAGGAGGAGGAAGAGCACATTACTGCCAAACCCCAGACATCTGCCTGGTTGCCAGCCAACCTTCACAGCATCATCTCTGCGAAGATCGCATGTCACAGCTCACACCCTTGCCAAGTCATAAGCGTAAAAATACATGCAGTATTAATAGCCTCTGGTATTTCCAGCACGATGCTTGAATTCTGGAAAGGGATCCCCTGAACATTCCTAAATTGAACCATGGTGAGAACTGTCATCTTGCAAAATGCCATTTGAGTCTTTGCGGGATCTTTTCTCAAATCTCACTTGTCCAGTCAAGCTCATATGGCTGGTTCTAGGACAGAATAGATGTAACTATAAGCAGTACACTTAACTGGAGCTGTGGGAGAGGGAAGTTATGAATTTCAGATGAAGGCCAGAAAGCTCAGCAAAATGTGCATATGCACAGACCCAGTGTTATATACAACATCAAGAGCCGAAAGGCCTTTGAATTCCTTCCATGGACACCATATTAAGAATCCTTGATCTGTATTCTACACAACATGTCCCCACTGCACTCTATTAAAGTATTTTAGTGAAAGTTAACATTGAAAACTAGATACTAGGATTTTAGAGAAGCCCTAAAAGAGGCATCTTTTTCCTTTACTTTCACAAATAGTGGCCTTTACTTTCTTGATTAGAACCTACAGCTTCTAATGGAATGCAAATGGCACTGGGCAATGGGGGAAAGAATCCGGTAGACTGAAACTATAATTACTTTGCTTTCATTGCCATGGGCTCTCTGTCTTTCTTTAAATTTTTCTGCTTGTCATTATGTATAATATTATTCTATTCCCAGCATTTCTTTGCCATTGCATTTTAAAATTGCATAGAAGCCCTATTTTTAATAGTAAGCCATTTCCATCAGTTATCAGTAGCAATTGCAATCTGTTGCAAAAAAGAGTTCCGAAGAAACCAAAAATTCAGTCATTTCCCACAATTTATGACTTGATGCTGACCATACTGAGGAGTCTCAAGACATGGTTTTGAGTGTATTTCAAAAGTGCCTCTTTGGCCAGGCATGGTGGCTCATGCCTGTAATCCCAGCGCTTTGGGAGGCCAAGATGGGGGGGATTGCTTGAGGCCAAGAGTTCAAGACCAGCCTGGTATCCTCAGGATTGTGTTTAAATGCCCTGGAGAACACAAAGGAAAAATAGCTTCTTCCTTTAGAGAACTCTACCAATTAAGAAAGTAAGACTGATTATAAGGCAATGAGAGAATAGAACAATTCACTAAGTACTTACATTCATGGACCATAAATTGAAAAAAGTGCTCTAGATAAAGAAAAAAATATTCTGGGTTCTACCATCTTACCTGTCTATACTAAAAACAGGACTTTATGAATGCTGCACTGAAATAGCATAATTAGGGAGGGAAAAAAGACATGTCAATAATCACCAATAAGCTTTTATTTTCTGGCATTCTGCACAGCTTCATGCTATACAATAGGCACATAAAAATATTAAGAAGTCATAGCCCCTGTACGTAAGTTGCTTACAACTCAAGTTTATAGTTCCCAAATGATAAGAAAGAAAAGGTTGCTTTCTTTTTTTCCTACTTGAAGAGGAAGTGTTGAAGGAGAAATCTGTTCTGGCAAGATTCTCAACCAGAAACAGAAACATTTCCATTAGAAATATAGCAAATAGGACTGTTCTCCTGAGATTTCTAACCTAATTAGTCAGATGAAAACATTTTTCAGATATTCCTCTGCTCATGTGTTTAGAGATGATAAAAAATCATTGAACATATTTTCTTCTCTACTATCTCTGGAACACAGGCTGTATCACTTGAGGTAAAAGGAGACTGACAAAAACAAATCTGAAGGTCATTTAGAAAGAGGGCAGGCCTGGAATGAAAATAAAAGAGCCCTGAACAATTCTCAGACAGTCCCAACCAATTCTCATTTAAGATATTAATGCTTAATGGTTTTTAATCCCTAAACCAAGTTGCAATAAGACTAAGCGGGTAGTGATGAGAATGAATGAAGTTAGTTGAATCAAACAGAATTTTATTAGAGGGACCTTTGCTGTGATTACAATCCAATCCAGAATCACAGTTAAGCAATGAAGTTTCATGAAGCAAAGACATGTTGAATCCAGTGCACATTTTGTTTATAGTTGCCAGCACTGAACTGCCTTTCAAACTGCCAGGCACACTTTACCATATTAAGCACTTTATAGTCACATGCCCTGAACAGTGGTCTTGGAGAGAGAGAGAGAGAGAGAGAGAGAGAGAGAGAGAGAGCTATTCCTTACTGCACCATATAACATGCACGTAGAAAATTACATAAAATATACATGAACTTTTTGGCAATTATTCAAATAGTCCAATCCAGTCAAGAAATAGAATATTGTCAGTACTCTATAAGCACGCTCTGTGTTCCTCTCTCCTGGAGAAAACCACTATCTTTACTTGTGTTCATCATTTTCTTGCTTTTCTTTGCAGTGCTACTACTTATGTATGCATTCCTAAACAATAGTCTGGTTTCACCTGTTTTTTAATTTCATAGGAACAGAATCATAATGTAGGCATTCTTTTGTGGCACAATTCCTTTGGTTAACTTTACATTTGTGACAATTTCCAATGATGTTGCCTGTAAGTGATTGTTCATTTATATTACTGTTTAGTATTTAAATTTATTTATTTGTTATACATATAGCCAGGGCCCATGTATGAGAGTTCTCTAGGATATATTGCTGGAATTGCTGGGTCATATGGTAGGTATATCTTCAGCTTTCCTCAACAATGTTGAGCTTCCTTTCAATTTCACATCCTAATTTTAGCCAATTTGGTCAGTATGTCATTGTCATTTCCACTTAATTTTTCTAATTGCTAGTAAGATTGAGTACCTTTTCCTATGTGTACTGGCCTCTCCCACTTCTTAATTTAACAATCAACATCACCCTAACTCGGCTTCTTTGTATAGCACACACATATGCAGCAAGTAGCCTGACCATTTTCCAGTTGATTTGGAATGCTTTCACCATTGTGATTATAAAACTGTTATATCAACTGTGCTTCAATTCATATCAGTCATTGAAACAGTCTGCGAAGGATGGAATGCTTTTTTGTTAAATCTACCGTTTGATGTTATAAACATGTTTGAATCCCAGCCTATACCTAGTCCTTAAGCTAATCATGGTGAAGTTGTACCAGGATAAAAGATGAAACATGAACTCTTTCCAGCACAAAAAGAAGTCTGTTTAGTACAGAAATTGAGGACCTAAGATCCATCAATGCAGGGCATTATGATAGTAGCTTATTGAATTGGTTTCTATTTTCTGAGTGGAATTACAGACTTTGAAATTTAGGGTAACACTAGGATTCTCTCTTCCTCTGACTGAAAGAGCCCTAGAATTTCAGAGTAAGAAAGATGTAATATGTTATTATGTTTCTTATAGAGGCATTCATTAACTATTTACCTCACGTGCCCCAAATGGTCAAGGGCAAGCTACACTCTCACTGATAAAGAACATTTTCTGAAAGAGCCTCTATTTTGCAGAAATGTGGCCTGCTCTGCACATCCTTGGGGTTACAGAGCAGAGAGCCTCCCTATGTTTGGCATTAATCTTTTAATCCTCTTAGATCATTTGGTTTATTGTCCCAATCTACCTGTTTTCATTGTTTTTCTGTTACAAATCAAAAAGAAAATCTCAGCAATGCTCAGAAGTATTTTTATAAAACACAAAACACTAATTTTGGTTGGCATAAATTAAAATAAAACTTTGTCTTCATTTCTCAAATTTATTGAATATATATCCACCTTCCAGTTTTTTTATCTTTTATAAGGAAAAAAATTCCAACACCTGTCGACAAATAAGTATACCTCTTTAAGTGCATAACTACAGAAGATACAGAGGACAAGAAACTTCAAAATGCATAATTGCTCAAACAGCCAAGAAACTATTCAAAGGCCTACGTCTTCCTGGGCTTTTTGTTTATTTTGCTTTTTGTTGTTGTGTTCTTTTCAGAGTGAAGGCCAAATTTACAGAGCACTAAATTCAGAATATGAAGGAAAAATAACTTACATGAAATGTGATATAAAAATAGCCAACCAACTGCCACTCAAAGGAAAATAAAACCAATTATTTAGCTAAATTGAATATTTGGTCGGAACAGTTGCTTTATCTGGATGTTGCCTTAATCTCTTCACGAAGGATATTAGGAAGGTACAATTGTCTCAATTATTAAGACATTTGCATTTTATCAGAGGTATCTGCATGGGGAAAATTTCCAAAATGGGTAACTACTTATAGATTTCTGGCACACATTTTTGACAAGGAAAATGTTTTTCAACTTTATATCGTGATATATTACAATAGTCTTTTTCTATTGAAATCCACTTCACATTTATATCAGATGTTACATTCAATATAATAACCCGAGTGCACAGCAGTGTTAAGTCCTTAGTAAACACACATATTCTTGTTGAATGAATAAATGAAACATTTATGTGGCCTACAATTGACTTCATTTTAAAGGTTTAATTCATATAAGTAGGGTGTACCCATAGTTTTTAAATAAAGGCACATAAAATCTCCAGTTTAGTCAGTTTAAAGTTTTAAGCCAAAATTAGTCTAAAAGTAGAGTAAGAGAACTCCTGTCTCTCTAATAACCAGCATTAACTTCAACAATCCAATCAATAAATTATAAATTATCAAAATCAAATCAAAGCCTGACTTTCTCATTTGTTTGAGGGCAGAAAGAAAGAAAAAGACAAATGAAAGGAGGGAAGGAAGGAAGGAAGGAAGGAAGGAAGGAAGGAAGGAAGGAAGGAAGGCAGGCAGGCAGGCAGGCAGGCATTTTTATAATAACATTAAGGAAAAGACAAGTTTAGCACCCCTTCTCCAAATACAGCATGGTATACCAGAAAAAAACATAGATGTTAGCTCCATTCGTATTCAGGCAACAAATACTATTGAGAACCTATGTCAGGTACTGTCTCGAAAATAAACAAAAAAAATGTTTAATGAATAAAACACAGCCCTTATCAGATGATCTTACTGTTGCTTGGTGGTGCGCTATTCAACCCTGTATTCAAATCTCATTTTTACCCTTTATATGACTTGGTACAAATTACTTAATATCCCAAAGCCTTGATTCTCTCACCTGTAAAAATTAGGAAAGTTTTAATTTATTTCTCAGTAGGTTGCTAGAAAGATGAAATGTGGCAGTGTACTCTATGTACACGTATATGGTATATCAATAGCAGGCACTAACATAGATGAAGTCCTCTCGTCTGCTGCTCTTTCGCCTGCAAACAACCAGTTATCCCCAGTAAGACATGAAAACAGAAAAGATATTTACATATTTATGATATAATGTATTATTTTGAGATCCTTTTAAATCGAAAAGCAAGTATCATAATACACATTTTTTGGTTAGTGGAATTTGTAATACCAACTATATTACCTATATGTTCATGTTTTTCTTTCTATTTTTCATTTACTAAACTACTCATAATGACTTCTATATCATTAAATGTGACCATGGGAGTGAAACAAACATGTCCACAGAGTCTTCTGGGTATAAAAGACAAAGATTAACAGAAAGAGGATTGAGAACTGAAATAAAAATGAGAGGGAGAGACCAAAAACAAGCAAACAAAAATACCTATTAATACCTCATATCAACCTTGTATTATGTATTTAAATAACAGTACAAAATAATTTAGTTAACCTAAAAAACAGTGGAATCAATATGAAAGTCAATTTTTTTTTTTTTTTTTTGCAATGGAGTCTTGCTCTGTCACCCAGGCTGGAGTGCAGTGGCATGATCTTGGCTCACTGCAACCTCTGCCTCCTGGGTTCAAGCGATTCTCCTGCCTTAGCCTCCCAAGTAGCTGGGATTACAGGTGCCCACTACCACGCCTAGCTAATTTTTGTATTTTTTAGTAGAGACAGGGTTTCACCATGTTGGCCAGGCTGGTCTCGAACTCCTGACCTCAAGTGATCTGCCCATCTCAGCCTCCTAAACTGTTGGGATTACAGGCATGAGCCACCATGCCCGGCGGAAAGTCAATATTCTCTAACCTATTTCTTGTTTTAGTTGGCCTGCCTCATTTGATATTACTTTTATTGTTTTTACTCTTAATTTGATGCAAAGGTTTGAGAAAACAAGTTCATCTCTTCAGCTTGATATGGTCAAAGAAAAAAATCCAGAAGAGGAGGGAATGGCAAAGTGTATTGACAAGTGACACAGTAACAAATTGGAGAACATATTTGCCAAATGTAGAAAATATTAACGTTCAAAATATATAAAGAATTAAAGAAGTAAAAGGAAAACAACCCGAAGAAAACAAAAAAGACAGAAGACTTAGGCAATTCACAGCAGAATTCTATATGATCAAAATATTAAAATCTCTCACTAATAATTAAAGAAATAAAATTCAAAACATTAAGAGAAATTTATTTCTATCAGATTAATTATATTCACTTTTGCTAAGGGTGTTCATAAATAGAAATTTTCTTACAATGTATTTGGAAATATAAATTCATGTATAATGTATGGAGGCCAAGTTGACAATGCCTATAAATAATTAAAATGTATATGCTCTTTGTCCAAGAAATTCCACTTCTGGGAATTTATCCTATGGTTATAAATATGAAAATCTATGAACAACAGTTTCTTATATCATTTTTATATTAGTAAAAGTTGGAAACAGTCTAAATGTCCTTAGATAGGGAAATAGTTGAAAAAATTGCAATTAAGCTATAAAATGGAGTATACTGTGATATGGCTTGGCTCTGTGTCCCCAACCAAATCTCGTCTTGTAGCTCCTATAAGTCCCATGTGTTCTGGGAGGGACCCACTGTGAGATGATTGAATCATGGGGGCGAGTCTTTCCCGTGCTGTTCTTATGATAGTGAATGGTTCTCACTATCCGATAGAGATCCGATTCTTTTAAAAACAAGAGTTTCTCTGCACAAGCTCTCTCTTTGCCTGCTGCCATCCACATAAGATGTGACTTGCTCCTCCTTGCCTTCCACCATGATTGTGAGACCTCCCCAATCATGTGGAATTCTAAGTCCAATTAAACCTCTTTATTTTGTAAATTGTCCAGTCTTGGTATCTCTTTATCAGCAGCATGATGGATGAATTAATACACACTGCAACAAGACTATTTCTCAAAATTATATGCATACATGTGTAGGACATGAAAACATGTCCCAAAATACATTGTGAACAAAAATTAAACTGTAGAACAAAATGTACGATTTATTCCAATTAGTGCGAAAACATTATATATGTGTGTTTATGTCTTTGTTATGTATCTAGAAAGAAGGCCTAGAAGATATCAACCAATCTACTAATAGTGATCTATTAAAAGGAGAAATTAATTAAAAGCATTGAGGGAGAGGAGGGCATATTCTAGGTAACATTGCTTGAGAAGACAGAATTATCTTGAGACACCTGTTTGCAGATGACATGATTGTATATTTAGAACACCCCATCATCTCAGCCCAAAATCTCTTTAAGCTGATAAGCAATTTCAGCAAAATTTCAGGATAAAAAAATCAATGTGCAAAAATCACAAGCTTTCCTATACGCCAATAACAGACAAACAGAGAGCCAAATCATGAGTGAACTCCCATTCACAATTGCTACAAAGAGAATAAAATACCTGGGAATACAACTTACAAGGGATGTGAAGGACCTCTTCAAGGAGAACTACAAACCACTGCTGAATGAAATAAAAGAGGACACAAACAAATGGAAGAACATTTCATGCTCATGGATAGGAAGAATCAATATCATGAAAATGGCCATACTGCCCAAGGTAATATATAGATTCAGTGCCAACCCCATCAAGCTACCAATGACTTTCTTCACAGAATTGAAAAAAAAACACTTAAAAGTTCATATGGAACCAAAAAGGAGCCTGCATTGCCAAGACAATCCTAAGCAAAAAGAACAAAGCTGGAGGCATCACGCTACCTGACTTCAAACTATACTACAAGGCAACAGTAACCAAAGCAGCATAGTACTGGGACCAAAACAGAGATATAGACCAATGGAACAGAACAGAACTCTCAGAAATAACACCACACATCTACAACCATCTGATCTTTGACAAACCTGACAAAAACAAGAAGTGAGGAAAGGATTCCCTATTTAATAAATGGCACTGGGAAAACTGGCTAGCCATATGTAGAAAGCTGAAACTGGATCCCTTCCTTACACCTTATACAAAAATTAATTCAAGATGGGTTAAAGACTTAAATGTTAGACCTAAAACCATAAAAACCCTAGAAGAAAACCTAGGCAATACCATTCAGGACATAGGTATGGACAAGGACTTCATGACTAAAACACCAAAAGCAATAGCAACAAAAGCCAAAATTGACAAATGGGATCTAATTAAACTAAAGAGCTTCTGCACAGCAAAAGAAACTACCATCAGAGTGAATAGGCAACCCACAGAATAGGAGAAAATTTTTGCAATCTACCCATCTGACAAAGGGCTAATATCCAGAATCTACAAATAACTTAAACAAATTTACAAGAAAAAAACGAACAACCCCATCAAAAAGTGGGCAAAGGATATGAAGAGACACTTTTCAAAATAAGACTTTTATGCAGCCAAAAGATACATGAAAAAATGCTCATCATCACTGCTCATCAGAAAAACGCATATCAAAACCACAATGAGATACCATCTCACACCATTTAGAATGGCGATCATTAAAAAGTCAGGAAACAACAGGTGCTGGAGAGGATGTGGAGAAATAGGAACACTTTTACACTGTTGGTGGGACTGTAAACTAGTTTAACCATTGCGGAAGACAGTGTGGTGATTCCTCAAGGATCTAGAACTAGAAATACCATTTGACCTAGCCATCCCTTTACTGGGTATATACCCAAACGACTATAAATCATGCTACTATAAAGACACATGCACACGTATGTTTATTGCGGCACTATTCACAATAGCAAAAACTTGGAACCAACCCAAACGTCCATCAATGATAGACTGGATCAAGAAAATGTGGCACATATACACCATGGAATATTATGTGGCCATAAAAAATGATGAGTTCATGTCCTTTGCAGGGACATGGATGAATCTGGAAACCATCATTCTGAGCAAACTATCACAAGGACAGAAAACCAAACACCACATATTCTCACTCATAGGTGGGAACTGAACAATGAGAACACTTGGACACAGGGCGGGGAGCATCACACACGGGGGCCTGTTGTTGGGTAGGGGGCAGGGGTAGGGATAGCATTAGGAGAAATATCTAATGTAAATGATGAGTTAATGGGTGCAGCAAAGCAACACAGCACATGTATACTTATGTAACAAACCTGCACATTGTGCACATGTACCCTAGAACTTAAAGTATAAATTTAAAAAAAAAGAAGGGAGAAAAAGATACAGATTTTTATAATGTTGCACTTTTACCCTAACTTTACCATAGGAAACAAGAGTTCAACCTTGATCATAGATGGCAACTCACTCCCCATGTCAAAGAGAAATTAGAGAACTATGTGAAAGAGTATATAGGTGTTTTATCACACTTAGCAGATAATGTGTTTTTTACAAATTGAAAGTTTGTGGCAAGCAAGTCTATTGCTGCCATTTCTCCAACAGAATGTGCTTACTTTGTGTCTCTGTGTCACATTTTGATAATTCTTGCAATATTTCAAACTTTTTCATTACTACTACATCTTCTGTTGTCATCTGTAATCACTGATCTCTGATGTTACTACAGTAATTGTTTTGGGTACCACAAACCATGCCCACGTAAGATGGCAAACTTATTCAATAAATTTTGTGTGACATCACTAATCATCAGGGAAATGCAAATTAAAACCACAATAAGATTCCACCTTACTCCCACAAGAATGGCCATTATTCAAAAGTCAAAAAACAATAGATGTTGGCATGGGTGTGGTAAAAAGGGAGTGCTTATATACTGCTAGTGGGAATGTAAATTAGTAAAAGCTTTATGGAAAACAGTATGGAGATTTCTTAAACAACTAAAAGTAGATCTACCAATTGATCCAGCAACCCCCCTACTGGATATCTACCCAAAGAAAAATAACTCATTGTATCAAAAAGACATCTGCATGCATATGTTTATTGCAGCAGGATATGGTTTGGCTCTGTGTCCCCACCCAAATCTCATCTTGCAGCTCCCATAATTCCCACGTGTTGTGGGAGAGACCTGGTGGAAGATGATTGGATTGTGGGGGCAGGTCTTTCCCATGCTATTCCTGTGATAGTGAATGGGTCTCAAGAGATCTGACAGTTTTAAAAAATGGGAGTTGTCCTTCACAAGCTCTCTCTTCGCCTGCTGCCATCCATGTAAAACATGACTTGCTCCTCTTTGCCTTGCTTGTGAGGCCTCCCAGACATGTGGAACTATAAGTCCAATTAAACCTCTTTCTTTTGTAAATTGCCCTGTCTCGGGTATGTCTTTATCAGCAGCATAAAAACAGACTAATACATAGCACAATTAACAATTGCAAAGATATGAAGTCAACCTTAAGTGCCCATTAACCAATAAATGGATAAAGAAAATGTGGTATATATACACCATGGAATACTACTGAGCCATAAAAAATAATGAAATAATGTCTTTTGCAGCAACTTATTCTAAGTGAAGTAACTCAGGAATGGAAAACCAAATACCATATACTCTCAAGTGGGAGCTAAGCTAAACGTATACAAAGGCATACAAAGTGACTTAATGGACTATGAAGACTCAGAATGGGGAGGGTGGAAGGCCAGTGAGCGATAAAAAACTACATATTGAATACAACATACACTACCCACATGATGGGTGCACTAAAATCTCAGACTTCACCACTATACAATTCATCCATGTAACCAAAAACCACTTACACTCCAAAAGCTATTGAAATAAAAGAAAAAGAAAAATATATAAATAAAAATAAAACAAAATAAAATCAATGTTTTGTGTGTTCTGACTGCTCCACTAACTGGCTATTCCCACATCACTGGCCCTCTTCTCAGGCCTCCCTGTTTCCTGACGCACAGCAACATGGAAATTAGGCCAATTAGCAACTCAACAATAGCTTCTAAGAGTTCAAGTGAAAAGAAAATTTGCACATCTCCACTTTAGATCAAAAGCTAAAGATGACTAAGCTTAGTTAGGAAGGCATGTCAAAAGCTGAGATAGGCCCAAAGCTAGGCCTCTTACACAAACAGTCAGCCAAGCTTTGAAAGTAAAGAAAAAGATTTTGAAGAAAATTAAAAGTGCTACTCCAGTGAATAGCCATAGATTAAAAAAAAAGACAGAGAACCAGTCTTATTGCTGATATGGAGAAAGTTTTAGTGTCCTGGATAGATCAAACCAGCTACAACATTCCCTTAAGCTAAATCTAATCCAGAGCAAGGCTCTAACACTCTTCAGGTTCTATGAAGGCTAAGAGAGGTGAGAAAGCTGCAGAAGAAAAGTTTGAAGCTAGCAGAGATTGGTTCATGAGGTTTAAGGAGAAAAAGCCATGTCCATAATATAAAAGTGCAAGGTGAAGCGGCAAGCACTGATGTAGAAGCTGCAGCAAGTTATCCAGAACTAGCTAAGATAATTGATGAAGGTAGCAACACTAAATAATAGATTTTTAATGTAGATAAAATAATCTTCTACTGGAAGAAGATGCCATCTATGACTTTCATAGCTAGAGAGAAGTTGATGCCTGGCTGCAAAGCATTAACGGTCAGGCTGACTCTCTTGTTAGGGGATAATGCAGCTGGTGACTTCAAGTTGAAGCCAATCCTCATTACCGTTCTGAAAATCCTGGGGTCCTTCAGAATTATGCTAAATCAACTCTTCCTGTGCTCTGTAAATGGAACAACAAATCCTGAATGAAAACACATCTGTTTACGGCAAGGTTTACTGAATATTTTAAGCCAACTGTTGACACGTACTGCTCAGAAAAAAATGATTTCTTTAAAAATATTACTGCTCATTGACAGTGCACCTGGTCACTCAAGAGCTCTGATGGAGACATATAAGAAGATTAATGTTGTTTTCATGCCTGCTAACACAACATCCATTTTGTAGCTCAGGGGTCAAGGAGTAGTATCAACTTTCAAGTCTTATTATTTAAGAAATACATTTCATAAGGCTATAGCTGTCATAGATAGTGATACCTCAGGGGTTGTATTAGTCCATTCTCACACTACTAATGATGCAGGATTTTTCTTCCTGGTCACTTTGCAAGCCAGGGACTTCTGGCCAGCAATGCCCTGCCTGGGTCCCCACTCAGCCATAAAGGCATGCCCCAGCTCGCCTGTGTTATAGCTTGGACCCACGTTCAGTGGTTTCCAAGCTCATATACCACACCCAAGAAGAATGAGGATGCTTGAAATTGAAGGATGAGGAAGATGGAATAATTTTATTGAGCGATGAAACAACTCTGAGCAGAGATGGGACGCGGGGGTGGTCCTCCTACCCAAAGACAGTGAAGTCCCCCATGTGGCTGGGTCCAGTGCCTTTTATGTACTCAGAATAGTGAGTGCATGCTGATTGGTTTGTGAATGTGCAAAAAAAAAAAAAAAGGTTAAAGCAAAGACACCACTCAAAGGTGGGCATGACAGTGTAGAAAACCAATTAGGAAAGGGTAGGTGCATTTAAAATAGGTGAAAGGTGGGGATCAGAGGAAAGAGCACCAAATGGGAAGACAAGTTCTCAATGCCAGTCCAAGGATTTAACTTGTAGCTTGGCTATCAGGCTTTAAACTGTCTTTGGGTTAGAGGAAGTAACTGTAGATGTGGTGGAATAGCAAGAGAGCTAGAATTAGAAGTGGAGTTTGAAGATGTGAGTGAACTGTTGCAATCTCATGATAAAACTTGAAAGGATGACAAGTTGCCTACAATGGATGAGCAAAGACAGTGGTATCTTGAGATGGAATCTACTCCTGGTCAAGAAGTGGTGGACATTGTTGAAAATGACAACAAAGAATTTAGAATATTCCATAAATGTAGTTGAAAAACAGCAGCAGAGTTTGAGAGGATTGACTCCAATTTTAAAACAAGTTCTATTGTGGGTAAAATGCTATCAAACATCAGAGCATTCTACAGAGAAATTTTTCATGAAAGGAAGAGTCAATCCATGTGGCAAACTTTACTGTCTTTTTTTTTTAATTTAATTTTATTATTATTATACTTTAAGTTTTAGGGTACATGTGCACAATGTGCAGGTTAGTTACATATGTATACATGTGCCATGCTGGTGTGCTGCACCCATTAACTCGTCATTTAGCATTATGTATATCTCCTAAAGCTATCCCTCCCCCTTCCCCCCACCCCACAACAGTCCCCAGAGTGTGATGTTCCCCTTCCTGTGTCCATGTGATCTCATTGTTCAATTCCCACCTATGAGTGAGAATATGCGGTGTTTGGTTTTTTGTTCTTGCGATAGTTTACTGAGAATGATGATTTCCAATCTCATCCATGTCCCTACAAAGGACATGAACTCATCATTTTTTATGGCTGCATAGTATTCCATAGTGTATATGTGCCACATTTTCTTAATCCAGTCTATTGTTGTTGGACATTTGGGTTGGTTCCAAGTCTTTGTATTGTGAATAGTGCTGCAATAAACATATGTGTGTATGTGTCTTTATAGCAGCACAATTTATAGTCCTTTGGGTATATACCCAGTAATGGGATGGCTGGGTCAAATGGTATTTCTAGTTCTAGATCCCTGATGAATCGCCACACTGTCTTCCACAATGGTTGAACTAGTTTACAGTCCCACCAACAGTGTAAAAGTGTTCCTATTTCTCCACATCCTCTCCAGCATCTGTTGTTTCCTGACTTTTTAATGATCGCCATTCTAAATGGTGTGAGATGGTATCTCATTGTGGTTTTGATATGCGTTTTTCTGATGAGCAGTGATGATGAGCATTTTTTCATGTATCTTTTGGCTGCATAAAAGTCTTATTTTGAAAAGTGTCTCTTCATATCCTTTGCCCACTTTTTGATGGGGTTGTTTGTTTTTTTCTTATAAATTTGTTTGAGTTCATTGTAGATTCTGGATATTAGCCCTTTGTCAGATGAGTAGGTTGCGAAAATTTTCTCCCATTTTGTAGGTTGCCTGTTCACGCTGATGGTAGTTTCTTTTGCTGTGCAGAAGCTCTTTAGTTTAATTAGATCCCATTTGTCAATTTTTTCTTTTGTTGCCATTGCTTTTGGTGTTTTAGACATGAAGTCCTAACTTTATTCTCTTAAGAAATTGCCACAGCCGCCCCAATCGTCAGCAACCACCACCCTTATCAGCCAGCAGCTGTCAGCACTGAGGCAATACACTCTACCAGTAAAAAGATTATGATGAGCTGAAGGCTGGGATGACTGTTAGCACTTTTAGCAATAAAATGTTTTAAATTGAGGTATATACATTTTTTTAGATATAATGCTATTGCACACTTAACAGACTATAGTGTAAACACAACTTTTATGTGCCCTTCAACTTCAGTGTGAAGCCAATGCTCATTACCATTCTGAAAACCCTAGAGTCCTTAAGAATGATGCTAAATCTACTCTGTATGTGCTCTATAAATGAAAAAACAAAGCCTGATGACAGCACATCTGTTTACTGCATGGTTTACTGAATATTTTACGCCCTCTGTTGACAACAAAAAATTCATGTGACTCAATTTATTATGGTGGTCTGGAACAGAACCTGTGGTACTTCCTAAGTATGCCTGTTGTTCATGGCTATTGGAAATGGGATGTGAGTGCCACTGCTCAGCTCCAGCCTCTTGAGGCCACACAGAAACTTCAGACCCAGTTACACAAGATCTCTTCATTTTTCAAGAGAAGCCAGAAATTTAGATTTTTGGCTTTGGTGTTGAGGATACATTTAAAAATTTCTAAACACTCTGTAGAGGCAGACAAAACATATCCAATAGTCAGACAGAACCTGTGTACTCTGGCTTGGACCTCCCCTCAACACTTACCCTAAAATAATTTTGTGTGTGTTTATGTTGGAGGGGGAGTGAACAAATCAATCACATAATGTTATATAGAGAGAAGAAGAAATAGAAAGGAGAAGAATGTCAGCATTAGTTCTACTAAAATTTGAGTTCGCATGGTTTCTTCTTTCATCCTCTAATTATAAATCAGTTGCAATCATTTAAAATACTTATAGTAACTTCACCTCATTATGAAATCTATCATGGTGAATTTTATAAATGTATTACATGATATCCAAGATAATTTTGTTGGACTCAAACTTCTCAAAACACCAGAAGAACATTTTTAAGAAATCACTTCCATATATTCAAATTCTGGTGTCAAGTTTACTTGCTTACTTGGTAGAAGGGATCCTTTTATGAACTCAAGTAAAATGCCCATCAGACTGACTCTTTGTGGCTAACCTAGGGAATTTGCTTATTTCCTCTTTCCTAGCCTGCACTGTATTGTGTAGGAGTTATCAAAATCTCACCTTTGCCAAGGTTTCACTCCCAGCACTCTTTAAAAAGAAAATCCTTAATTAATTTCTGATTGAAAAGGGGCATGTTTACAATTCTTCTTTAAATAAGCTTCTTATATATTTAAATAAAACCTGGTACTCAATTTATCTTTCTAAATTTCAGTTGGTCCAACTGACCCAAACTTGACAACAGAAAGAACAACTCTAAAAAGAATAGCTATTCTTCATCACTGGCCAACTGTTTAAATACATACAAAGTATCTTGGATCAGTCTCCTATAATGGTGTTTAATAACCAGATTTTCTGACAGCCCACAAAGAATACAAAGTTTTATTTTCTTAATAATGATACCATGTCTGTACGATGGTGAAATAGGAAGGGTTTCAGTGACTCAGTTTTGTAAAACACAGGAAAACAAAAGACCAGTGGGCACCAGGAAACTAAGTAAGACCTATAAACTTCCCTATTTCAAAGAAGCAGAAACACTAAGAAATGGAAGCTAAGGCTCATATCCTTCAGGGAGGACTTCAACTCTCTGATCTTTCAAGTCAATGTTAGCTTTTTGATATTGATGAAATAAATGATCAAGTTTCAATATAGCAAAGTCTTAGTTATATGCCCTGATGGAGAGATCAAGGTGACATGGACAAACCAAATGGGAAGGAATCAACAGAATATTTTAAAAGAATGTGTTTGGCTCTGGCAGGAATTTCATGCTTTCATGTAGTAGCTTCATAACTCCTTTCCTAATCAGGTTTGGATTGATTTAAATAAAAATTAGTTTCTGTTTCCTGAGCCACTGAAAGCAGAGAGATGACTTAGAACATTCTTCTGGCCAAAATTATTGCAGCTTAACCAAGGGCAAGCAGTAAGATAGCATCCCACGCTCAGATGATCTGGAGCTCAATTTAACACACATTCTGCTTCAGAAAAATCCAAAATTCATGACTAAGAGAACTTAACCCAAAAGCAGTGGCATCACCTTCCTTTACTCCCACTGAGTGAAAATAAACTGGAGGATGGCTAAGCCCCAAAACAGTGAGTTGCTAATCATCATAGTTATCATACTTCTTTTGGAGGAAATGAGATTTAATCCAATGCCTGCATGTGCCTTTTCAGGAAATTGCTCATCTGTCTAATTAAGCTCTTCTTTCTTCACAAGCCTGTGAGTACATTCAGACACATGGCTTCCAGAAAACCTTTTTGCCCTTTTTCTGTTGGTCATTGGAAATTTCTAATTGGTAATTGGAAATCTCCATTTTAAGGAGATTCCATCACTTTGTATTAATCACTGGTTAAACTTCATTGACACTGTTTAGAAAGTGCCATTTCCTATTAGGAAGCACTTTTGAATGAGCACAAATTAAAAAAACCTCAGAGACTATGCAGGTGGGTTTACGACCTTGTCACTAGCATAAAGCATCTAACTGCTCAGAGACTCCAAGTATACATGTGCTCAGGCAAGCATGTTTCAGCTTGTTTATTTGTTTCCCAGCGAAATAGCCATTGTACTTTGCCCTCTGCCCTTTTCATATGATACCACAGGGAACCTGCCCTGTGTCCTGGCTTCCACCAATTAACCTTGCTTTATTTCCTGTCCTTGCAAAGTTAGTACAACCCACTTCACTTCCACCATAATCATTTTCCATTTCCTTCCTTCCAAGCCAGGTTCTTCATTTCTACCTCAATTAAAGAAAAATTGTAACATTTATGAAGTCCTGTGTCAGATCGTGCGAAGATGAAACAAAATAAGACAAGGGTTTTGCCCTCAAGGAGCTCGTGATGCAGTGGGAAGTAAAATACAGCCTCAACCCAAAACCCCACATTCAACTGTGATGGGAGCAAGGAAAAAAAAGTCCTGTTTAACATGTTTAACAGTGTGTGAAGGAAGCAATCAAGAAGAAGCAAGTGTCATTCTTCTCTCTGTCTGTGAAAAAAATTTATTATTACTTTAAAATGCTTTTCTGCTTTGCAAATAATGCTATTCACACATGTGGCCATACATATGTCAAGAGGGAAGAGAAGGGATTTACCAAGCATGTTTGTCCTTTTCCACTGACCTGTTGTATCTAAAATACTTATAGAAAGGAAAAGTTGTCCTTATTTATTAAGTTATAATCACATAGAATATAATTATAAATGACATTAAAAGACACAAAAATGACAATATTGAAGTCAACTGAAGCTAAGGCTCATAAAGCATAATATACCTCTCAAAAAGCATAATATACCAATAACAGAACAGGCCTGAAACCCAAATTTCATTCAGATTTACCAACCCTTTAGCCCACTTTGAATCAAAACTACACAACCTCTTAGATCTGTTGAAAGGCATCACAATATAGATAACTATAAGCCTTCAAGCAGATCTCTGGATTCAAGATTTAACATTCCAGCAGTACTGGAATGCTTTCAGCTCTATTCATGCACACCAAAATGGCTGGAAGAGGATTTAGTTGATCTATGTGCATGCAGCCAGGAGCCTGTGGGCTCCTCACATCTGCTACATTTATAGGTTGAGAACAGATCCAGGCAAGGTCAGTTCCATGTAATTCAAACATTTGAGTTCAGGAAGTCATTATTTGAACATGCATTATGACCATCCAACAATTACATGGTGGCCTGAGGAAGCCAAAATTACTGTATTACAAAAATATTCACAAAGGGCTGACTGATCTGTTATAATACTAGTCACCACTTACCCCCCTCCACTGAACACTGGCTTGTATCCCCACCCATCACAACACTAGCAATTCTAACCAATGGTATGAATGTCATACACATTAGATCAAACAATTCAAAGGCAAACCAAAAGATTGCCAAGCAAAATGGCAAACATCGCAAAACTTGTAGGATTTCATAAGGCTAACAGTAATGTTGAAAAACGTGTTGGATCACACACACACACACACACACACACACACACACACACACACACACACACGCATAAGCCAAATAAGCTAACAGAGGTAGACCTACTGAATAATAAATAGGAAATCAGCAAGGATGCTGATGTGATAGGCATGGCAAAAAATATATATCTATATATGAATAAAAAAGGATTTTAAAAGGCCCTTAAGGGCCAGTCACGGTGGCTCATGCATGTAATTCCAGCACTTTGGGAGGCCAAGGTGGGCAAATCACTTGAGGTCAGGAGTTCGAGACCAGCCCGGCCAACATAATGCAACCCAGTCTCTACTAAAAATACAAAAATTAGCTAGGCATGGTGGTGCATACCTGTAGTCCTGGCTACTGGGGAGGCTGAGGTGGGAGTATTGCTTGAGCCCAGGAGGTTGCAATGAGCTGTGATGCCGCCATGCACTCCAGCCTGGGTGACAGAGTAAGACCCTGTCTCAAAAGAAAAAAACAAAAATAGAATGCAATTCAAGAAATCAAAAAAGTCATTGGGAAAATTAACAAAAAAAAAAGTCCCTTAAGAAAACTAACAAAGTCCTTACTTTACTTACTTCAAAAAGCACCCTCATTGTGGCCACATTGTCAAAGTCATACATATATTAAATGAGGATTTCCATATTGCTATCATATATTTTTATTCAACAATTAAGCCAAAAATGAGTGATCAGCATTTGATTCATCTGTGTTTGTTTCCTTAAAGTGCTAAGTATAATTTAACCTAATTTAAATATAATAATAAACAAATTATGAGATTTAGTTTCCCTTTGAAGATATAGGCCCAATCCCCTTTATTTTCATTATTCTTAAAATATTATAAGTGGATTCATTTTCAGGAACTTTATGTATATAAGTATTTTATGTACATAAATTTTTCTTGGGTAACGAGGAACCATTCACTGCTCCAGCCATGGTCCTTGCCCCAGAGAAGCATCTAAAAACCTGCAAGCCTGCATCATCAAGCAAGTCATAGTTGAGCTCTATGACATCAACAAGTGCAGAGGGATTCTTCTGAACCCTATGCACACATAACCATGGTTAATTAACTTAGTGCTGATGGCAGAGTTTGCCCCTTGCTTTAAATTAGGCTTTTCCTTTGATTAAAATGAAGGGCTTAGCCCACTAAATTTATTTTCCCAGGAGTAATGAAAGAACATCTGTCAAAGAAAAAAAAAGTCTTTAAGTGATGAATGCTAAGTAATGCACCTCAGGTAGCTAAAGATGCTCAGTTGAAGAGATCAACTGCAATGCTATGAGACACATATTAGCATGAGAGGATCCTGCCCGAAATTAGTCTTATACACAGATAAAATACAGCCTCCACCGCCCTAAATGTTCCAGTCCTCTCACCATAGCAAATTTGCTGAAACTCTATTGGAAAAGAACGTCTCCTTCTACCATAAGTTACAAAGCTCTCCATGGGAAATAATTTTATCTCATCCCTTTCCTCTGAGGAGCTGACCTTGTACAATATCAGGAGCCCAGATGTTTTGGAGTCAGACAGGCAGATCTTAAATCCCACCTTTGTATTTATAAGCTGTGTGATTTGGACATGTTTTCTACCCTTTCAAAGCCTCAGTTTCAATCTCTGTGATACCCAAATAATAAAAAGCTGTCTCATGGAGGCAAAGGGACTAAAAACTTAAGCAATGACTCAAGAATGCCCAATAATGTGCTTCATAGTAGACACTTAAAAAAAAAAGTTAGTTCCCATCACTTCCCCAATGCCAAGAAAGACTATGGGGAAGCATAACCCCTCTGGCACCTGGTGGGAAAGGAGGAACTGAAAGGGGATAAAGGGAGTGTAAGAGGAAATGGAGAGGGTGACACACAGACTAACTTCACCAGCACCGCCCCCATGCTCTCATTTCACCCGGGGCCAGTCTTAATCTCACATGGAAATGAGGGATAAGATATCTGCGTGTCAGACAGAAAGTACAAATTCAGTGCATCTGACTCAGAAACTTGGCAAAGATGCCGAGAGCAGATAATAAATATAATCACCCTGATTTAATTCAGATGGAGACCTCAGGGTTCGATCACTTCCAGCTGAGAGGTTCTCCTGTCATTGGAGGGAAGCCTGCTCTGACCTACCTGTGACAGTTGCTAATGGTTTTCTAAATTAGTGTCAAATATGATCTTATGAAGGAGTCATTTTTCCTTTAAGATGGTTTATGAAAGGAGTTTTCTGCCAGCACTTTGAAAAACAGAGAAATTCAACCAAAATCTGGTCAATGTTCATGTTGTTCTTCTATTTCAAGACCTGAGCACTTTCAACTACAATCAGTCAACAAATATTTATTAAGTCTGAAAATATTTGCTGTGTCAGGCACTGTGGGTGATGGAGAAGAGGTGGAGTGCATGGATTCCACTCTCAGTGAATTTTCAACCAGCCTACCTCTACAAAGTGATTGACCAATGAGACAAAACCAAAAAATCTATACTCAAGTGATAGTATACAAGAATGACCCCTGCCTCAGAGAATTGTGATGAGCTTCAAATATACCAATAGCGCAAACAGACATACGGACATGTGTGTTTCACAAATTAGTTATCCTACCCCCTAGAAAAAAAAAAAACAGAGAAATGTGAAAGCCAAGACAGCAGGGAGTCACAAAGATCAGGCTATCAACTATAGATGCTATAGAGATTTTGACAAAAAGAATGCCACTATTGACCTTTTAGAGAACTGCTTCTGGAGGGTGATGAAGATCAAAGCCAGTTAATGCAAAGAGTTAGGAAAGGGAAGCACAATTTCGCAAGTATAGCCAATAGGCGTAAATGACACATTTGAGAGGCTTGGGAAGGAGGATGAAGGGAGAAAACTGTAGCGTTTGGTGAAAGTTAGTCTGCTTATTTTTTAAGAAATGGAACTCTGTTTAAATAGCAGGTTTCTCTAGTAAGAGGGTAAAAATTAAAATGTTCTAGAACCTACCATAACTCTAACCTGATGCCAACAGGACAAGTACATGGTCTTGTGTCTCCAAGGAACTCAAAGATAGGTGGAGAAATTCTTTTACCTTTTAATCAAACAGTTCTAAAATAAAAATAAAAATAAAAACTTGCTTCCCTGGGATTTTTTAAAAAATAGCTTAGTTTATTTCATCAGCATTCTATAAAACAAAATAGAGACTGATCTGTTCTATCTGCAAAAAACACAGTTAAGGTACTTTTGACTAGGAACCTATTAATCCTTATTATATTTATTAAGAGTTTATACTTTAAGTCAATAATGACTTATTACATTGGCTTATTACAGCCCTCTTATCACCAAGTAAATGGTATAGGAAGCATAAAAATGTTAATGACAAGGCCTTTGCTCTCAGGAGGTTTTTTAACTCAATAGAGAAGACAAAAAAAATGTATAAATAACTTGCAGATAAAGGGCACTGTGACCAATTTAATAAAAGACTAAAGATATTCATTAAGAGAAGAAAAGAGAAAGAGGCTAATTCTGAACTAGAAGAGCTTAGACAGCTTCTTGGAGGAAAATGGACTTCAGTTGGGCTTTGAAGAAAGCATAAGCACTTCCAAAGCGATTCTGGTGGGGCTACACAGGGGTTGAGGGAGGTACAGTTCCTTTTGATTCCAGGCGGGAGGAGCTAATAAGCAAAGTGAAGAGTAAAAAGGATGGTCATAAACAAAACATCATAACAGTCTTGAAAGATGGTCCAAATACCCACTGTACCAAAACGGACTTCAAAACTCGAGCCCTCTAGATGGAAGATCTGTGCCTCTAGGCCTGTCTAATTCATTTCTGTGTTGTTACTCATGCCACTGTTTCCTAACTTCAATATTTCAGCTCTAGGGCCTATTTTTTTTCCCATTGTACTCATACTGCAGAAAGAGGAAATAACTCATCCAGTGGTGGGGATTTCTTAGCAGGGTTTTGAAGAGGGTTGCTGGGGGTGGCTGACTCTGCCAAAATGTTTCCTTTTTCTCTTGCTGTTTGTCAGATATTGCTGTTGAGCAACACTAGGGAGTGTCATCAACATGCAATCTCATCTGATTTATCTTCCCTTACTCACTCAGACTCAGCCCTTTGCCTCTTTTTTTTTTTCCTGGCTTATTTAGAGTTTCACAACCTCTTACCTTTAACTGCTGAATAAGTGTAAAACATGTGTGTATCTGGCATCAGATATTACAATCTCCAAGAAAAAGTATTCACAGTCAGAGATGGCTGTGGCTACCTAGTATACATCAATATTTTGCTTTGCTGTTATTTCATTTAGAAATTACATTTCCATTTTCCTCACAGATTCACATTCGAAACAATAAATTTTCAAATTTGTATTTTCCTCCAAGTCTCTCCCTTTTGAAAGGTGGATGGCTGAAATAAACATTTCTCTGAGCTCTACAGAGCTCAGAGTGTAAGTCTGTCCCAGAGAGCCATTAAAAAATTCCACACCAATAAACCACTGACGTAAATACAGGCGATGGAATATTTGGGTCTAACAGGATCCTAAAAAGGACTTTCAATCACATACACAGAGAAAATTAACTTCATTGACACATCAAAACTTTTGCAATGTCCTGGAGGCAGGGCCACCATGATTATTCTTCAACCCAACTAGCACAGACAAAGGATCTTATCGCCAAATCAGCCTGACTTCTTCGGGATCGATCAAGAAAACTCACCCTCCTCCCCCAATCTCTCTTCTCTGCACCCATCTTAATATGAAGAAAAATGGTTTGGGTTTTGAGTTGAGGATTCTAGAGCAGAATTTTAGATCTGATTGTTAAATAAATAGTTTGAGCCTAGTGAAAGATATGACTATACTAAAAATGGCTAAATAAAGCAGGTAAGAAAAACAAGGCAGCATATTGATCCTTTCAACAATGTATAGCTTTTATAGACCCTGCCATTCCATGCCAGTGTCTGGACTCACAAACTTTGGGGCAGCAAGCATTTTTAAAGCATTCAGTTGAGCTAAGAAGGACTGTATATGCATTAAAAAGTTTCTAGGACCTGTCTCCATTTCCCTGGATATACTTAACTCTACCTATTACCTTTTTATGTAAGTATCTTCTGCACACAAATACTGAAAAAGGTCAAGTTCTGGGAAGTCACCTGTTGGCTCTGTCAACATACAAAGGAAGCATCTGCTGTAAGATATTTCCTGCCTGAGGCCGTCTTTGCTTCCAAGTTTGTTGCTAAATCCCCAAAGCCTTCAATAGCACCTAGGGCCTAGCAGGAGATCAGTAAATATTTGTTGAATACTGAATGAATTCACAAATAAAAAGTGCTCATTGTTATTGATGTGCTCTCTTAATTGCCTACCTTGCCACAAACTAGACTTGCCTTAACCACTGGTCTCTATTCTTTCTGAATCCTTACCATATGTAAGGATTTGTCCGTATGGGTTCCCAAGTACTGTATCTCTAACCTCTGGAGTCTTAGTGTGAATTTGGTCCACAGGCACCAACAAGACTTGCTATCTCAGAGTTGGACTGTTCATTAAAATGACTTCAACTCTTCACTATCTGGCTTACCTTGGTTATCATAGTCCTAAATTCCAGAGCTACAGTGACACAAGTCCACATCCACATATAGCATGAGAATATAAAAGGTATAAAAGGGTAAAATTTAGTGGGGCAGGGGTGGGTGGTGGTAAGTTACTAATTGTGATAGTCTGATAGTCAGAATTCGAGATAGCTCCCAATAACCTCTGCCTCCTGATGTCCATTCCTTTATATAATCCTCCTTGAATGTGGGTTGTACTTAGTGGTCACTTCTAACAAACTGAATATGGTGAAAGTAATGGTATGTAACCTCTAATTTTGGGTATAAGAGACTATCTCTCTCTCTCTCTCTCTCTCTCTCTCTCTCTCTCTCTCTCTCTCTCTCCAGTAACCAGTGAGGAACTGAGGTCTCCCAGCAACCACCTGTGTGAAGTTGGAAGCGGCGCTCTCTCTCTCTCTCTCTCTCCAGCAACCAGTGAGGAACTGAGGTCTCCCAGCAACCACCTGTGTGAAGTTGGAAGTGGATTCCTTAGCCTCAGTCAAACCTTGAAACGACTGAAAACCTGGTCAACAGCTTGTCTAAAACCTCATGAGAGACCCTAAGCCAGACTCGCTTACCTACAGAAGCCTTTATCTGTATCTCTGAATAAATGTTTGTTATTTTAAGCTACTACATTTTGGTGTTGCTACATAGCGATAGATAACTAATATGCTAAATCAGGGATTGGCAAACACCCTCAAAGGACCAGATAGTAAATATTTTGGGATTTGCAGGCCACACAATGTCTGCTGAATGCAGGTGCATGGAGGTCTAGGCCCAAAGTCTTTTTGGGCATTAAGGGAAATTCATCTCCGTCTTTTTCTAAAGCATTCATTTTATTTTCTACCCATTCTACAGAGACTACCCATTCTACAGAAATTTCCTCAATGGAGAAAAAGGACTAAAACATTATACTTTTTCATTATTACCCTTATTTCTGCAGATATTTATCTTCCATTCAGTCCAGTCACTTGAAGACATATAGAGAACAACACAATCAGGTCACTCAACAAAAACTACCTATGTACAATGAATGAAGTGGCAACATATGAACATTTATTGTGTGTAAGTCGCCCTCAAGTAGCTAAACCATGGACAGTAAAACAGGAAAGTTATCAAGGAACATAAGAAATGTAAAACGGAATGTCATGGAAAGGTCAAGGAAGGAGAGATAGTTCAGCTGAGCAGATAGAGAAAAAGCTCAGTGCAAGAATGTGGCATTTGAAATGAGCTATGAAGAGTTAGGAGGTTGTAATGACTTAGGGGAAGGGCTTTCCAAAGACACCAGGACCAACAATAAGAATTCTTGATTTTTCAGGGAATCATAAACAGCATACAGATGTCCCTAGCCTTAGCAAACTGTAGCAGATTCAGATCTTAGACCACATGGAGTGGTGGAAAGTACATAAGCTTTGAATATAAAAAGACATGGAAACTAAGGGATGAGGTCCAGTCACAATGTGGTCACTTACTGATTTTACCTTAGAGAAATTACTTATCCTCTAGAAGCCTCAATTTAATCTTCTGTAAACATCAAGAGTGATAAAACAAATTGTCAGAGATGTTTGTATTTGTGAGCAAAAAGCATAGCTCCTGGTACACGTTATATTTTAAATAAATGCTAATTATTTTATTCATATAAAGTTTCTCCATAGCAAAGATACCAAGACCTAAATACTTCCTTATATGTAGATAAATTTCCACTTTAAGATTACTCCGCATCTAACTCCTAAATTCTCTTTCTAAAATTAACTCTGGGATTTGGAGACTAGAATAATAAAAACCTCACATGACATTTTTCCAGGAGCAAGCTACTGAAAAACTGCTAAATATAGAATATGCAAAGAAGAGGGAAATGGAAAATTATGGACATATAGGAAAATTATGGCTATAAAATTTCAAAGAAGTCACTGCAAAACTGCAAGTGCTGAAATTTCCTATAAATCTGAATTGTATTTATTTTAAGAGAAATATTTTGGAATTTTGGGTTTGAGAAACTCCTCACATTTTGGCCTACTACTTCCAATTACACTGGGACTTCACTATCAGTCCTCACACTACAGATGTGTCATTATCTAAACAATCATTTTCATTTCACAGAAATCCCAGGACTGTTTCTCTAACAATTGAGCCATAACAGTGCTGTTCCCATGGTTACCAAAAGTTCTAATTTCAGTTCCTCAATATGCATTTTATCATGTAAGATTATACAATGCTTCAGAATAGGCCACTCTTAGTTCCACATGTTCTTCTTTCTATTATTTTTCTCTAAGTTTCTCACACCCAATCTCCACTGAAACTTCCTGTTTTGCTCATTTTTTGACTAAAGTTTGTGTGCCCAACCTCTGTAGTGATCACGTTTCTATATAATAAATTCAGGGCAAAGAGGCAAAGCTAAGTAGAAGGAATTAAGCAAAGATTAGAAGAATCAGCCTCTTGTCAGTCTCCATGGCCCCATAATCATGGTGGCAAGGGAAAAACAATGTGAATCCCAGGATATGAGGTCCTTAGAGATTGAGTGTTTCCATTTTATCTGTTTGAATTTCTCAACAATACAGGAATTGCGAAGTTCACAGCTCTAGAAGTTGCTTTCTCTAGAGATTGGGGTCTTACACCAGAGTCCATAGAATGGGCTTCAGAGGAGGTCATCGAGTACCTGAAAGTATGTGTAGAGGTGTGTATGTGTGTTTGTGTGTCACTCCATGTAGCTAAGGACATTCACTTTAATAGCCTTAATCAGATTCTCAGAGACATCTAAACACCAAAGACGGTTTAGAAAAACACTTCTCTTAAACAAGATCTGTGTTTTGTGACAGGGCCCTGAAAAGCCAAGTTGTTAATAAAAATCATTTTTGTAAAATTACTATTATATCCTCATTCATCGAAGGGGCATTAAAATGTGGCAGAAAATTTTTGGAAAATTAGTACAGAAATGTGTAACAGGACCCATAATGATGTCCTTCCTCTTGGATCCAGTGATTGCACGTCAAGGAATGTATTTTTAAGAAACAAGTTAAGAAAGGTAAAAGAGTAAAGAGGTGTTCGTTTTGATATTATTAATAACCAGGGAAAATTAGAACGTAATATGAGAGACTAATTGAGCAAATAGTGTGACATCAACACAATACAACATTATAAGGCCACAACTGCAAATATTCTCTAGGAAAATAGACAATATTTATGATGAAATATTAAATCAAAAAGTAAATATGATTATGTGTAATATGAGTAAAACTGGGACAAAATATGCCAATACTTGAAAAATAATTTGCAAAATAGTTGTACTAAAGCAAAGATATTTTATGTGACTTTTTCATTTTAAAATTCTCCCAGACTTTAATATCCTATTAAATAAATGTTGAATTAGAAATAAAAGAGTGACTTCTGTTAAATGTGGCAATTTGAGCATGTTTTGATTTTCATTTCCTTCCCACACTCCACTAAAATGACACCAGAGATATGGAAAAAAGACACAAATGTACAAGGAATATGGGGACAGGGAAGGGAATGCCAGTGTGAAAATTACGGCATCTATGAAGCCAACAAATGGAGATGACTAACTTATTAAAAAGCAGAAAATTTAAACACATCAACAATGGAGTATGAAAAGGAATAAAGCTTGTTTACATCAAAGAACCCTGGAAAGTTTCAAAATCAAAGACAACTTTGACCTCTGAAAGAGGAGGTAAAGGTAAACAGACACATTTGAAAGCAACTTCTGGAGCAGAAGCCAAAAGCAGTTACCCTTACCCCTTGTCCAGCTCTGCCTCTCCTAACCTACTCAGTCAGAGAACTTCCATTCTCGACCCAACAAAAAACTACTGTGTGGAGAGACTAAAGCAGAGGGATCTCATACTACAAATCGCTGAAGTCAGAGGAACATAATGAAAATTAAACACTTAAAGCACAGTTGACATTGAATAGTGGGAGCCCCCTTTCTGCACCAGCACACAGGTTAGACTCCTGGGCAGGAAGTCTTAGAAGGACCATTCTATAACAAAAAAAATCTACGGATAGTGATGATAATAGATACTCCAGTGAAACATTTAGTTCAATTGTGCTAGCATAAAGCCCATCAGAGCTCCCAGTCAGTCTTTTAATTCATCAAACTTAAGTCTATGAGCGGACATCAGAGAGCACAGCACATTTAAGAAAAGCCTCTAACAACAGGGACAGCAACCAACATAAACACACAGTAAAAGTAACTGGGAGAGATGAGACAGGGTAGAAACAGAAAAACTGTTGTCCAAATAAATTAATATCCTCAGAGAGGAAAGAGAAGATATCATAGCTATTGGAACAAAAAGCAAGATACTATTTTTAACAGAACATTAAGAATACAAGAAAGAGCTCTGGAAATTAAATGTATGATATCAGAAATTTCACATGCAATAGAAGGATTGCATAGAAGGGATGAAGTGGAGACAGTAACCTAGAAAGTAAAACAAAAGACAAAGAGTTAGGACACAAGAAAAATAGGCCAGAACGGTCAACATTTAATCAACAGAAATTCCAGATAAATAGAATAGAGAAACACAAAGGGCAAAGTTTTGTCAAAGAAATAATCCAAGAAAGTTTCTAAGAACTGAGCTTGAAAGTACCCACCAGATTCTCAATACAATGAATAATGGAAAATCCACACCACGGCCCAAAATCATGAACTTTCAAAATCAAAATACCAAGAGTGAAAGGTCCAAGATCTTCCAAAATTAGGAAAAAAAAAAAAGTTCATCTACATAAAGTCAAAAATCAAAATAACATTGTACTTGATTTTTCAATTGCAATCCTGGTGATGGAGTAATGCATTAAAAATTCTAAGAGAAATGACATTTGATATTGAACTCTATGCCCAAATAAATTATCCATCAGGAGTGAAAACAGACCAAAAATGTTTTAGACACGAAGGGTCTCAAAAAAATGCACCTCCCATGCTCCCTTTCTGTGGAATTTGTTGGTAAAGAAAGACACGAAAGAGGAACCAGGAGATGGGAACCAGGAAGCGGGCTCTCCAATACAGGAGAGAGTTGAAGGGAATTTCCATGATGATAATGAAGGGAGATAACTAAAGAAATAACAGCGTAGCCGGACTAGAAAGAACCAAATCCCTCCATCCAGGGGAGATAACTTCAAGGATTTTAAATAAATTTAAGAGATTATTTGACATATTTGAATGCATTGAGAGAAGATTTAGAATTTTGGCAAATGTTTGGACTTGAATTGTGATAGGTACTCAGACAATTAAACAGAAGAAAAAAAAGCTAGACAATGACTCCAAAAAATTAAAATTTTATAGAAAAGAAAGCTTAGAGAACATGACGTAGGTCATCTGTGAATAAAATCTATGTAGTTACAAAAATATAAGTACTGAATATTGATTTAATTAAAAAGTAACATGGTTACATTTGGAAAATGAGGAAAGAAAAGTGTTTCCAGGGGAAGGAGGAAGAGGCATGTCTTACAAAATAAAATCTTTGCCTTCAGAGTAAGAAATTAATAGATAATACCTAAAACTGAAAAAAAATCAGTATAAACACATTATTTAGAAATATGGAAACAAATACTGGAAGAAACAAGTGGAAGAATTTAATATAGAAATGGAAATTGAGGATAGAGAGGAGTTGGGAAAGTAACTGCAGTTTTTAAAAGTAAGTCTTACTAACTGTTTGCTTTTAAATCTATTTAGATGTATAAATTGTACAGAATGAAGAAAATAAAGTCAAAAGAGGAAAACAACCAGTTATAAAATAGAATGAAAAGGTAAATCTAGGCCGGGTGTGGTGGCTCACGCCTGTAATCCCAGCACTTTGGGAGGCCGAGGTGGGTGGATCACTTGAGGTCAGGAGTTCAAGACCAGCCTGGCCAACATGGTGAAACCCCATCTCTGCTAAAAATACAAAAATTAGCCAAGTGTGGTGTCAGGTGTCTGTAATCCCAGCTACTCATAAGGCTAAGTCAGAAGAATTGCTTGAACCCGGGAGGCGGAGATTGCAGTGAGCCAAGATATCGCCACTGCATTCCAGCCTGGGTGACAGAGTGAGACTCTGTCTCAAAAAAGAAAAAAAAAGAAAAGGTAAAGGTAAATCTGGGTGCTTTTTAAGATTAAATATTTAAGAAGGCCAAATGTTGAGTATTCCAGATGACTTTTCAAATGGCAACTTCCATTAATGCCATAAAAGAAGAACAGAAAAGAAGAAAAGAGAGAGAGAGAGAGATTGAGGATAAGGCTGGGTGCAGTGGCTCACGCCTGTAATCCCAGCACTTTGGGAGGCTGAGGCGGGCAGATCACAAGGTCAAGAGATCAAGACCATCCTGGCTAACATGGTGAAACCCCGTCTCTACTAAAAATACAAAAATTAGCTAGGCGTACTGGTACATGCCTGTAGTCCCAGCTACTCAGGAGGCTGATGCAGGAGAATCGCTTGAACCCAGGAGGTGGAGGTTGCAGTGAGCCGAGATCATGCCACTGCACTCCAGCCTGGCAACAGAGAAAGACTCCGTCTAACACACACACACAAAAAAAAAGGACAAAATTTTTTTTTAAATAAAAACTTGTAAAAAGGAATTTCCTAGGACTAAAGAACATGAATGTGCTACCAAATTAAGAAAGATTCTACCAAGTGCCTTGGGAAATAAAATATACTCCAACTTTAAACACATCATTGTGAAATTTTAGAACCCAAAAAAATAAAGACAGAATCCTAAAACTTTCTAGATAGAGAAAAATATAAATGGAACTAAGCATGGTATCAGATTTCAAATGAGCAATGCCAGCTTTGTTTTCTTCAGTCTGTTCTCCTTAGATTTGTCTACATTTCCCTCCTAATATTGATATAAATGATTATTATAAATAAATGACCATTTTTATCTTTCCTTTTAAATAATGAAAGCATTGCAAAATTATAAAAGTAAACAAATTAAAAAGTGAACAGTTAATAAAGCTTACTTAAAAACAGTAGTCACAATGAAAAATATAGCTTTAATGTCAGAAAAAATAATTTTAAACTGATAGCTCTATATCTAGTTAAATTAGCAGTCAAATATAAGGGGACTTTTCAGTTCATGAAAAATGGAATTAAAGGATAAAAAGTAAAAGTACAAACTTTATTTTTCAACTTTATTTTCAAACTTTATTTTCCATCAAGTTCAAGACTCTTTTGCAAGCAATGATACCAGCCATTCAGTTCATCCTTAAAGAACTGCACAACAATTCCTAGTCCAGAGAAAAAGAAGAAAAAGAAAAAAAAGAGAGATAACAAGGACTAACAGAAAGGAATTACAATTATATCACCTGGACACATCATGCTTAAGATTCAACTGAGAGCATGCCAGGGATGCTCTCTAACGTAATCAAGGGAACGTTCAATGAAACAAAGTGATTTATCATCTATAACTTCAAACCTATTTGTGTCTTGACACCAACTCTGTTAACCTTATGTCATCATTTCTTAGAGTCTTTGATATGCAAATAAAAGTTTCTTTGTATTAAAAAAAAAAAAAAACCTGAGAGGCCTGGAGATTTAACCATGTCAAGGCAGTCTTTATTGCATTATTAATTGAAGAAAAACAGGTGCATTTTTCACCAATTTTTTGAGAGACTAGGAAACAAAAAGAAGTCAGAAGGAGCCACATCAGGATTGTAAGGTGGATGCCTAATTAGGTCCCACCAAAACTCTCACAAAATTGCCCTTGTTTGATGAGAAGACTAAGAAAAAGCATTGTCATGGTTTTCCAGGAATTTTTCTGCTAAACCTTTGGCTAATTTTCTCAATACATTCTCATAATAAGCAGATGTTATCATTCTTTGGCCTCCAGAAAGTCAAAAAGCAAAATGCTTTGAGCATCCTAAAAAACTGTTACCATGACCTTTATTCTTGATTGGTCCACTTTTGCTTTGACTGGACCACTTCCACCTCTTGGTAGCCATTGCTTTGATTGTGCTTTGTTTTCAAGATTGTACCAGTAAAGCCATGTTTCATCTTCTGTTACAAGTCTTTGAAGAAATGCTTCAGGATCTTGATCCCAGTTGTTAAAATTTGCATTGAAAACTCTTTTCTTGTCTGCAGGTGATCTGGGTGCAACAGCTTTGGCAACCATCAAGTAGAAAGTTTGCTCAACTTAAGTTTTTCACACAAAATTGTGTAAACTGAACTAATTGAGACATCTATGTTGTTGGCAATTGTTTCTGCTGTTAGTTGTTGGTCCTCTTCAATTAGGGCACAAATAAGATGAACTTTTTCCTCAAAAACTGATGTGGATGGTTAGCCACTAAAAGATTCATTTTTAACACCATGTCATCCCTTCTTAAAACAAGTCATCCATTTGTAAACTGTTTTTCTTTGGGGACATTGTCCCCACAAACTTTTCATAGAGCATCAATGATTTCACCATTCTTCCATCCAAGTTTTACCATAAATTTGATGTTTGTTCTTGCTTCATTATTAGCAGAATTTATGTTGCTATTATTAGAGAATAGGGGCTTTTTTGACACTGATTTCTTATCCTTCTTAGTGCCTCAAACTAAATCCTGTTCAAACATGTTATAACAAATTAGTATGAGCTCATTTTTGTGCAAAAACTTTTGAAATCCATGCATAGTTTTTCATAATATCCATTTTCCTTGACCTTTTTGAAGACCCCTCCTATAATGTGGAATAAAAGTATTTCAGATATATAAAGATTCAGAATGTTTACATCGGAATCTCACACATCCTCTCTTAGTAACTTACTTAAGGATGCTTTCCAAAAAAAAAGAAAGGAGGAAACCAAGAAAGGAGAACTTCAAGCCAAGAGATTAGGGAACCATGCCAGAAAAATAAGAATTATTAGTGGTTAGATGAAAACTGCAAAGAGTTCAAAAGAACAATTAGTCCAGATGGAGCAAAGAGGCACCCAGAAAAAATAAAGACTTATTAAAATTGACACTTTCCTTAGTAACTGAAATAATTTAAGAACTTAATAAAGAGAGACAATGTAAATTAGAGAACAAAAATTAGAAACTCAAAGAAAAGCAGAAAAAAATAGCTATTAAAGAATAGAACTTAACACACTATTTGATATGCTATGAACAGTATTTTAATATTATAAAAATGTGAATGGTACTTGTGTATTTACAAATTTTAGACACAGCCTATGCACCTGAAATCACAAATTGGTAGCCAAATGCTAACTCCAACTCACAGAAGTGCTTTATTTGACCTACTCTGTGTTCGTGTGTGTATCTTGATTGAATGAGTTTCCACTACTTTTAAATCTAGAGTTTTAAATCTGGAGTTTCCACATAAATGTCTGCATTGGCAACCTTCTTTGAAAACACTAGGAGATTTGCATCACTGGATCCAATATTCATGCAGGCAACATTGAGCTTGCACTGGCCAAACCAAAAAGATATGTAAATCCCATTAACTCATGCCTCTCTGGCCTCTGTAGCATTTGAAGTTTCAACACCTCCTACACGCAGAGAATGAAAGGCTTAATTATGGTCACAAAATAACAGAGAAATATTATGAATATTTTTTGATAATATAAACATTGCTTATGATTGAAGCTACGAGTCGAGGGGTGAAGTGAAATGAAGAAAATAATAGAGATGTTAGTATACCTTTATTTTTGAAATTTGAAAATCATGGGCTGACAGAATAAGGTATAAATATTTCACACATTATGTGAAGTTATAAAAGTCACAGATAGAGGAATTAAAAATAATAATATAACTATATTAAGACAGGAAAAAGAAAGTGAGGGATTTTCTAAATCCTTATGAGTCATAGCAGATTGTCCATAGATATCGGAAATTTGTAAACCAAAAACTAGTGAGATAAACATTTTAATCACAGTATTAACCCCTAAAAACGAACCAAAAGTAGAGTAGCTTACAGAATTTGCAATAATTTCTTCTAGGCTTGAGACAGTATGTGTATGGTTGGATGTGGCCAGGGAGTGTCACTTTTCACTGGAAGCTATCTTTTCTCACACTAGCCATTTGGAATCTAGAATCTGCCTATGTGGTAGACACAGAATTCATAGGGTTGCCAAAAAGCTACATGTGCAGGAGGGCTGCCCAAAGGAGGGGAGAAGCATGCTCTATTGGGGGTTTTAGACTGTGGATCAACAGTGAGGGTGTTCAGTGTGTGCTTTTATCCAGACTTAGCAGATGATCACTTAGACAATCAGTCTCCAGTTCAATCCTGGCATGTAAGAATTTAAATTGTGTTTTAAATATCAACCAGTCTGGTGAGATAGGCCTCAGAGGATGCTCTTGGAGGGCTAGTAAATTGATACACAGAGTCTGTTTAGGAACAATGTGGTGATATATCAAGAACCACAAACATAATCATAGCCATTGACCTGGAAGTCCCAATTCTGAGAACGTATTCTAAAAAAGAAAATTTAAAGATATTTTATATATGTTTTAACCACATGCCTATTTAACCTCTCAACTATATACTGCAATACCTGGGTGACCACGAAAGTATAGTTCATTATCAGACAACATTCTTATTCTCTGTTGGCTGATTATAAACGTTTCCATAGTGAGAGGACAGGACAACTTCGAATGTTAACTTTTAATATCGTATAATCTTTCAGTAAGCTTCAAATGATTGAGTGCCAGTCTCATTTCCTACCATCTGCCTCCCTCTTTCCTATTTTATCCTTAAGCCACCCTCCAAACCCTCCATATATGTACCGCAGTTTCACCTCCATTCTAGTGGCATTCTAGGTGGTCAAGGCCATGAGGAAAAAAGAAGCTCTATCCTGGAAGCTCCATCCTGGAAGAAAAGAAATGAAGCTTCAATAGAATTGTTCTCCTTAGGAACAGGCTCAGAACCTCAGAGTGAAGCATCTGCAGGCAAACCAAAATGACTTCATGTTACTCATTTGAAATAGCATAATAAGGATAATTTATTAAAAGACATTTTTCCCATTGCAGGTAAGAATAAAGATTGCATATAGTTATGTTTTCTATAATATTGTTGATATTAAAAATTTATGAGTAACTTAATTCCCTGACTATAGGAGAATCTTAAATAAATTCTAAATACTTTCTCTTCCCTGCCAGGTTTTCACATGGCTGGATCCTTCTCATCATTCTTTAGAAAGGCCTTTAAGGCTGAGTGTGGTGGTCCATGCCTGTAATCCCAGCACTTTGGGAGGCCGAGGCAGGAGAATCACTTGAGGCCAGGAGTTCAAGAGCAGCCTAAAGCAACATGCTGAGACCTTCCATCTCTACAAGAAACCTTTTAAAATTTAAAAAATTATAATTAAAAAAAGAAAGACCTTTGTAGATCACCACCCACCACCATCCTCCAACATCTTATTTTCCCATCTCTATCTTTTATTTTTATCATAGCTCTAATCACTATTTAAATATGTATTCCTAAAAATTTGTCTCTATCTTTATCATCTCTCTTCTTCCATTAGATTGTAGCCTCCATGAAGTCAAGGACTGCCTATCTCGTTCACTACAGTATCCACTGTATATGGAACTGAACCTGGCACATAATAGGTGCTTGATAAATATTTGCTAACAAATTAATGAATAATTTTCAGATATTGACATTATAAACATAAAAATATATAGTTTGATGGAAAAAAAATGTATGATTGCTTAAACACAACAGCATAGATATAATTTTAAGGATGTTATTTTGCACATGAAACAAAGAAAAAATTACAAGAGTTTTATTTACCGACATAATTATTATGAATAACTTTTTTTTTTTTTGAGACGGAGTCACTGTCATCCAGGCTGGAGTACAGTGGCGCCATCTCGGCTTACTGCAACCTCCACCTCCTGGGTTCAAGCAATTCTCCTGCCTCAGCCTCCTGAGTAGCTGGGACTACAGGCACACGCCAGCCATGCCCGGCTAATTTTTTGTATTTTAGTAGAGACGGGATTTTTCTGTGTTGCCCAGGCTGGTCGCGAACTCCTGAGCTCAGACAATCCGCCCACCTCAGCCTCCCAAAGTGCTGGTATTACAGGCGTGAGCCACCATGCCTGGCCCAATAACATTTTTTCTTATATTTTTTATTAGTTACTTTAATGCCCTTAAAATATTACTTATGGGTTTTTAATCATCTACTAGTCTTGCTTGTATGTATTAAATAACATGAAGAGAAATGCCTTGGCTTTCCTGGTGAAAAAAAAGTTTACAGGCTGTAATATAACTTTAAACTCTTGAAGTATTCACAGTCTAATTTAGATATAAGGCTTAAACTGATGGCTTTAACAAATACATAATAAATCTTGGTGGAAATTAACATGTTTTCGTAAAAGGTGAATTTTAATGTCTAAATTAATCATAGAAGAGTTTTTGAGCTTATAAAAAGAGGAAGTACAAGCCTCATTTTGTTTATATGCCTTGAAGTTTTTCCACAGGAGGTAATGACTATCCACAAAAGATTTGCTTCTGCTGAACTGGCCTCACTATGCCAATGAGGGGATAATGCAACAGCATCATTCCTTAGAAACTCAAGCTCCGGGCTGCCTGGTATAGATACCTCCATTGTAAGAATTATCTTGTTGCTTTGTCATTACTTGTTTACACATGTGTCTTCCCTAGCAGGTTATAAACTGCTTGAGGGCAAGAGAGTAGATCTTCATAAATTTGTTGGATTAAAAGAATTTAGTAATTTGTGCTTGAGATTAAAAGACTTTGGATGCTAAAACTTTGCAGGAAATTTGATTTTCAGACATAAAAAATGTATCACTTACTTTGTGTGTTTACTCTCAAACATTATCCACAAGAATTTGAGTCAGTTTGTAATAAATAGTGCAAAGGGAAATGGTGGATTATAATACAAAACTTTTTAAGCCAAAGAAAATTTAATTTGAATATATAGTCAAAATAAGAACAATTACAGAGAAAAAAAAAGAAAATCTGATCTCTACACATCATAACTGACATTGTTGCTTTAGTGGAACCTCAGCTTTCGTGTTGATATTACTAGTAGCCAAAGCATAAAGGAGAGACACAGTCAGTTATAACTCCTTTTTTTTTTTTTTTGTATTTTAAGTTCCAGGGTACATGTGCAAGATGTACAGGTTTGTTACATAGGTAAATATGTGCCATGGTGGTTTGCTACATAGATTTTCCCATCACCTAGGCATTAAGCCCAGCATGCATTAGCTATTTTCTCTGGCGCTCTCCCCCAACTCTGCCCTCCCCATAACTCTTATTTTTGAAAGTCAAAAAATCAGTTAGGCATTGGAAGAAGCAAATCATTTCTAGATTTTAGCTCTGAATGAAATACTGATTAATCATGTGAATAATATTCTCAGTGGCATCCCCAGAGCAAATGCAACAAATAATTTCATAAGGTTGTTTTTCAACTTCTTCCCCAGTGAAAGCCCAGAGCAAAACATCACAGACTAATTCAGCAAAGGCAATTCATAACAATTCATAACACAGCAACATTGTCCAGATACATCATTCTCTATCCTTTAAGCCAGGCAGGGGTGAGCAAAATACAGACCCCAGACCAAATACAGCCCATTATCCATTCTTGTAAATAAAGTTTTATTGCAACACAGCCAGATGCATTTATCTACTTCACGTCGATAGCTGCTTTCATGCTAGTGTAGTGTAGAGAGTAATTCTAATGACCATATGGCCCACAAAACCTAAATATTTACTATCTGGCTCTTTACATAAAACTTTTGCTGACCCCTGCTTTAAACTAAACTTCCATTATTATCACTTTTCTCCACAGAACTTTTGATAAGAGTTGGATACAAACAATTTGTGGATTTGAGTTAGATTCATACGTTAGATAAAACCACATGAAACTGCCAGTTTTTCATTTTTTTTAGAAACAAAAGGCCAACTCTATATTATTCACTCTAATGCTTAAGAAAAAATTGAAATCTTGTTACAAACATTAAAGAGGCAACACATATTTTGCTTGGATGGATAATAACACTCACATATAGGAGTGGGACATGAAATATTATTAAGCAAAGCCAGGATATTTCTGAAAAAGAAATTTTAGTCTTCCCACAACATGAAATCAGATCTAAATGCTACCATTTGCTATCATTGCAAATGAAAGAGAAAATACCAAATATCCCCATTAAAAGACCAATTTAATGACAAACTTAGCAATGATGACTACCCATTGACATGATGGTTTCTAGTGAATAACTTCTTGTGTTTATAATACGTGAAATAGTTGTGCAAAAGACTCACCATTGCATCCATAGAATTATCTGTGCACTAGAGACGTAATGGATATTCAATCTATATGTCTTTCATTAATTAGGAAAACAAAATTATCTCATGAGATTTTGAACAAAATATACAGCTAGATCAGTCTACGCACTGAAAATTGTACAGCTAGAAGCATCAGCAGAATGTCTCACATCAAGTAAATTATTAACAATAGGTGTTTATTTGGGAATAAGTTTGTATATTTCTTAAATGAATAACCAAAGTATGTTATTAATTTCCTACTATGTGCACACAGGGCTAGTGGCTACAGAAAAATATATGGCTCAATTCCTTTAGGTAAGGGACTTTAAATCTAGTTGGTGAAACACATATTAAAAGAAAGAGCACTAGCCCATAAGGCATGTCTTAATAAAGTGACAAATGAATAAAATTGACAATCAGTGAACCATTACATGCTGTGTTGAATTCATTCTCCATGAAAATTCAACATGAAAGAGGCCAAGAAGCCTGGATTCCAGTCTTGCTTGTGACATTTCCTAGCAAGAATGTACATTATTTTATTTAACAGTGTTCCACTTGTTTATTTTACTGGAGTGTATACTCTTCAGTTCTTGAGAAGTCTGAGATAATTATCACATCACCACTAACAACTAGTAGTGTTCTTTTGAGCCCTAGGTTTCTGTGGAAGAGCTTCTGTGGAAAAAGTTCAACAGATGTTGACCTCAACTTGCATGTTAAGTGTTTTGGGGAAAATATTTTAAATATCGTAATACTTAAAACACTCCAGAAAGCTCTATGCCAGATGTTAACACATTGGAAACTATCAATGCATTAACTTGTGTTTCCAGTTTGACTTGCTTTTTATGGGCCTCACATTAAAGGCTTCTTCTGCAAGAGTATCCTGAGATTACATAGTAACCTGTTAAAGACTTCCCATTTGCAACTAGTTTTCTGAGTAAATTAGGATCTTTTTTGATAGTGTGTAAATACAAAAGAAATACTAAACTAAATTAGATGCTAAGGATTATGTGAAATCACAAGTGTCATAGTAAGCTCTCATTCCAAGTTTTTGTATTAATCAAAACAACCTTAGTTTCATTTATTGACTATATACTGAGGAAATTTATTCAATTTGAACTTATAAGGTTATTTTATGAATAAAATATCGTTTCTATGTAGTAAAATTCCATTTACATTTTTATTTAAGAGGAATTACTTCTGCAAAAAAAAACGCTAGAAATAACTTGAAATGTACATTCCGAAACAAATAGTATATGATTCTCCACACAAAACTTAGCTTGATAACAAAAGCATAAAACAGTTACCTTGTTTCCTGAGATTTTATAAAATCACACACTACACACACCATATATAAGGCAACTACCAGAATCTGCTTACTAGTTAAAAATACTTGCTCTTCCCACTTGGTTTTGCACAACACCTGCAATTTAATCAGGATGTTTTTGGGTGTGCCTGTACTTCCCTGTCAACATTTCAGTTTTGGGCAAACGCCAACCTGTAAGAGATTTTCATCTGGAGACTGTTTCCCTTCTTGCAACATCAGTTGTACTGTTGCCAAAAACATCACCCTACTAAGGGAACATCCCCTTTTATTCACTCCCATCCATTTCTGGACTCAAATAATAAACACTTAGTCCTGCATCTGAATGAAGCTTTTTTTTTTTGCCTTTTCTTCACCTAAAACAATTCTCACTAACCTCAGGGGGTCAATCTTTTTCAACATGTTCTTAATACCCCAAGTACTAAGCTACTCTGTTTTTTGTTTGTTTTTTGTCTTTTTGCTTTTGTTTCATTTTTTTTGTCAAAAAGGCTCATAATATTTGGGGCTGCAAACTATTCATCATCCTGAGAGAATTCAGCTCTCTAATTCTGCACAGGAGTAGAACAGGCATTTCTGTTTCTACCCATTGTGGTATTTTAAAATATTAACCTCAAAAGATGCTCCATATCATACGTTATCAAGGAAATTCAAACTGAAACAATGAGATACCACTACACACCTTTGAGAATGAACAAAACCCAGAACTAACAACATCAAACGCTGACTAGGATGTGAAGCACAAGGACCCATTTATTGCTGGTAGGAATGCAAAATAGTACAGCTACTATGGAAGACAATTTGGCAGCTTTTTAAAAACTGAACACTCTTAACATATGATCCAGCAATCCTGCTCCTTGGTATTTACCAAAGAAATGGAAAACTTAGGTCCACACAAAAACCTGCACACAGATGTTTATAACAGCCTAATTCATAATTGCTAAAATTTGGAAGCAACTGAGATGTCCATCAGCAGATGAATGTATAAATAAACTGAGGCACATCCAGAAAATGGACTATTACTCAGTGCTAAAGAGAAATGAGCTATCAAGCCTTGAAAAGACATGGAGAAAGCTTAAATGCTTGTATACTAAGTGAAAGAAGCCAAACTGAAAAGTTACATACTATATGACTCCAACTATAGGATATTCTGCAAAAGGCAAAAATATAGAAACAGTAAGATGATCAATGGTTGCCAGGGGTTAGAAGGGAGGGAAGGAGGAATAGCCAGAGCACAGGGGGTTTTCATGACAATGAAAATACTCTGTATGATACTATATGGTGAATTCATGTCATTATACATTTGTCCAGACTCGTAGAATATACATCACCATGAGTGAACCCTAATGCAAATTATGGATTTGAGGTGATTATATTGTGTCAGTGCAGGCTTATCAACTGTAACAAATGTAACATCCTGATAGGAGATTTTAATAGTGGTGGAGGCTATGCATGTGTAGGGGTGGGGAGTATACAGGAAATCTCTATACCTTCCTCTCAATTTTGCTGTGAATCTAAAATTACTCTAAAAAATAGTCTTTTAAAAAATGCTAATCTCCTCAGTACCTATATACCAACACAGAGCTTTGTCCTTTTTTACAAGGTAGACACCCTTTGTTAAGCGTGATCAAACCTGTGAGCCAATTTCCTAGAAAAAATGTAATGCTAGGGGAGACTGTTCTGATTACCAAACAATGACTCAGTGTGTTAAAAGGGCAAACCTAAACTGAAAAAATCCTGTTGAAGACAGGCATGGTTTCCTGAGAAAGAAGATTATGAACAAGTAAGCTATATTTATCTAGATCTGGGTCTGCATTCTGTTAGAAATACTTTTGTTTTTCATCACTATTGCATTTTTAATATTCCAGCAAACTGTGATTGCTTAAATTGCTCAAAGATGTTAAATATTTATACTTTTGTGGAAGTCTTAAGATCAAGAAGAAAATGCACCTAATAGAAACAATCTGCTGGAGTGGTCAATAGGCCTGTTTAGACTGTGGCGGATGACATTATTCAAGCTGGCGAGTTATTTAGACTTGGATATTTTAAAGAGTAGAAATACTAAATAGCTAAATTCTATCACACTCAATAATTATTTGTATAATATTGAAGATATGATATTAGAATATTTTCTTTCAAAAAACTATGCTGAGTCTGTTCTGCTATGTGCCAGTTCATTGCATATGTACAGTAAAAAATTAGAAGTTTACCTTCAAATATCTAAAAAAAAAGTAATAATAAATTAGATAATTCCTAAGACTAAAGAACAAAACGAAAACTTTTATTTTCACTGTGGCCTTCAATATACTTCCCCATACATATAAACTTTTCTTCCTAGCTCATTACACACAAGCCACTCTGAGCTTCTTTCAGTTCCTAAACATACCTAATTTCATGCTTGCTTAAAGACTTTCTACCTGCCATTCCTTTTTCTGGAATATTCTTCCCCAATTTTTCACAAGATTTAACCACAAGAGCAGGGAATTTTAAAAGCAGGGACTTGGGAGTACGAATACCAGGACACTGTGAATTAATATATGTAAATGACTGAAATATAATTAAGTGCTTAATAGTTATAGGTCATTATTGTGTTGCTTGTCATCATTAGCCTTCTATTCTCAGCTCTGATGTTACCTCCCCGTAGAAAGAAGCCCCCTCTGAACATTGAAAGTAGAGATTCTCCTGCCATCCTTCCTTCTCCAACCTGGTCACTCTCTGTCACATCACCTTTTCCATTTCCTCCCTGCAAATGAGGATTGCCTAATGAATAGCATTTTATAGAAAGGCTAAACTCTGGAAACACTTGCCATATTTTTAATAGTCAAATTCTTTCTCTAGTTTCTGTAGGTAAAGAATTTGTTAAACTTGTCCCAATGAAAGTGACAAAAAGTCAGCACTTATTTTTAGATAAGTAGAACAACCATCTAAATGGCATTACAGACTGGGCATGGTGGCTCATGTCTGTAATCCCAGCACTTTAAGAGGCCAAGGCGGGCAGATTGCTTGAGCCCAGGAGTTCGAGATCAGCCTGGGCAATATAGTGAAATCCCATCTCTATAAAAAATAAAAATAAAAAATTAGCTGGGCATGGTGGTGTGCACCTATAGTCCCACCTACCTTGGTCGTACCACTGCACTCCAGCCTGGGTGACAGAGTGAGACCCTGTCTCAAAAAAAATTAAATTAAATTAAATTATATTACAGCATAGTGGTTTGTTGTTTGTGGCAAAAGAAGCCAGAACAAAGAAATCAGTGACTATATATAACATGCTTTCTTTCTTTGGGCAAGTCAGGCAGTAATATATTTTGGAGACAGTGTCTAGGAAGGTAACAGGAAGACTCTTCACATTTTAAAATCTAAGACAACCACACTGAGTTATTTATATTAAATTTGGGTGGGAAGTATGGCAGAGAAGAGAAGAATCTTGGGCATGATTTTCCAGCATCCTCTCAGAGACCCTAATTATTCTCTATCTCTTCTTGAAAATTAAAAATTTTTACTTTATGAAAATCATTACCCAAAAATATGATATTGCCTGAAAACATAAATACATTTCACAAAATGTTACATAAACTCTTGCACACTGGATGTAGTAAATCATTAAATATAGTGTTTATCCCCTAACTTTTGAAAAAGTTAACTTGGAGACAAATCAAGAAGGCAAATCAGTGTCCTTTGGTGCCCATTCGAAAAAGTCCTGGGGTAGAATTGATGGTTGACCTGACCACCCTGTTTCCAACATGAACATGCTGATATTCCGATATTTATTCTTCCCATCCCTTTCTCAGGTCATTATTTCACCCCTCCCCATCTTCAGATGAAAAGAGAAAGAAAGAGAACACTGCCATGGTAAGGTAGATTTAGGTTGGGTCTTCTTCCCACACTTTAGTCTTCTACCTGAGATCATCCTGTTAGAGTTTAGTGTACTTAACAAGTCCAGATGTCTCTGACAGTGATCTCTTCACCAAACACTTTTTTAGTACTTCTCACTATAACAACTCCACTCATCACAGGCAACCCAACCTTCTTATTTCACAATCGTTTGTTTTACAAACAAGAATCCTAAAGCCAAGAGAAAGTGAACAACTTATCAGGTTTATTCCAAATCAGCATAGAAGATGATATGGGAACTCATTTCCAACAAATTTCTTGACTCATGGATGAAATGGGAGACAAGTTGCTTCATTTCATGTTTTGAAATAACTAAGTATTTCTTCTCAAGTTTGTTCTTATAAGGGCCCCTAGGATAAAGAGCAGCCTGATTCTTGCATAACCACTTGGAGTGGGAGAAAGGGAAAGTCATGTCCTGTGAGGGTGACTGGGAGGCAATGGGGAGGGTGAAGGATGGGTGGAGTGGACAGGAGCCTAGCCACGGAAGGACACTTCATGGTTGTGAAGAAACAGTGGGTCCTAGGGCCAACTGATCTGACTCAGCCCCAGGAATTATTATTATCATCAACTTTGTCTTTGCAAAATAAATGTTGCCACCGCCAATGAATGTGCAAGCACTTGTTAGATCAGTGGAATAGGTCTTTATATACATATATAAAAACATACACACTTGCATACGATTTATTCAACACTCTCCATGTATAATACCCTATGCTAGGAACTTTGAATGCATTATCTCATTTAATACTTACAACGATTCTGGAATGAAAGCATCACTATCTTCATTTTAGGTCTGATGCAAATAAGGATGGTAAAAATTAAGTAACTTACCCAAGATCGCATAGTTACTACATGGACAAGCCAAGCTACTAACCTAGATCTCCCTGATTGTACAACCTTAAACACAGATAGCTAAACTTCTCACAGGGAAAAAAAAAAATATCTATTTCCATAGAGAAAAATTGTGCCTGTGCACACATCTGATTTTGTCACTGCATGAATGCTTCTTTAGAGCATAGATTTTATTTATCTATTTTCGTATCTATATCTCCAAAGCAGCCTACTTCAAATCTAGGCATACAGATTCAATAAACATGTGTTTTATTTCTACATAAATGCTCACATAAAGAGCTAATTGTGATTAATAATAGCAATGGGAGTTGATAGATAAATGGCAGCAATGAGACCTCTACCCTCACCATCACTAAAATGTTTTCAAAGAATCATGGGCAGAAGAAAGTAGGAGGTGCTTCAGCAGCAGTCTGAGATGAAGGTGCAGTTGGAGAAGGATCCCATCATAAAGCTGCAGAGTCAACACCCCCATCCTTCTTTTCTTATTACCATTAACCATAGGACACGGAAGGTAGTGGGTGTGGGTTGTACTATTACTGACATCATTTTAGAGAGCTTTTTAGGGGCTCTGATGTTACAACACTTTTCATAAGTGACATAAAACTACATTGTGTGGACGAGCACGGTGACTCACACCTATAATCCCAGCACTTTGGGAGGCCATGGTGGGATGATAGCTTGAGCTCAGGAGGTTGAGGCTGCAGTGAGCCATGTCCATGCCAGTGCACTCCAGCCTAGGCAACAAAGCAAGACCCTGTCTCAAAAAAATAAAACAAATAAACAAAAAAAAATATTGCCACATTGTGTATATATTTTTGTCAATCATCATTATTTCCATTATGTTCTTCAAAATGTAACTGGCACATCTAATTCATTAGAGAGACAATTGATTCAGAGACTTAAAAACAAATATATTTAATTCCCTTGATCTGTCTTGATTAAATATCCACCATAAATTATTCTATGGTTATTTATAGGCTGTGCTCTCAAGGACAATTCAGAAATTAAATTATAGACATGATCTATTTTATTCTCTGTGAACAGCATATGGAGAAGAAATGACTTCCAATAACATGTCCTTTTAAAACTTTCTACCAAAATGATAATATTTTCAATTATTACACAGTCAAAAATTAATTGCAGTGTGCTGAACTCTACTAATATTTTCTATCTACCAAAAAACATTATCTGCGTACCAAACTCTACTAAGTGATTTTGAGAATTCAAAGAAATATATATAAAAAAAAGGCCTTGCCAGTGCACTTAAAATCTAGGTGGTGAGAGAAGAAGCAGCACAGATCAAGATAAGCAGGATAAAAACAGCATGTGTAAACTTCAGATGAGTAATAAGTATTACAGAAGAGGAGAAGAAAGAGCCAACTGACGTCTGCCTCAGGTGGTCAGAGAAGTTTTCATAAGAAGACAAGACATGATCTAGAACTTGAAGGATTGGTTAACAGAAAAAAAATGTAATTATGTATTAGCTGCTGTTGATAATTACACTATGCTGTGTTTCTTGCCTGAGTCTTCATACTTTTTCCAAATCCTTTCCCCTCAGCTGCCCTCTGGAAACTGGAAGTCATCTAAGACACCTTCCTCTGCCACACTTCCCTACATCAATTTGGTCAACACATCCTGACGATTTCCCTCACAAATGAATCTTAAATACAACTGCTTTCCTCCATTTCCACTGCCAACATCCTAGCCTCCTACTTGTTCTCACAAGGGTACTTCTGGCTCTCTACGAACTCTTCTTCTCGTAGCCTATGCAATCTTTTTTTAAACACAAATAGAATTATTTCTGTGATGAGATCATTCAATGATTCCTCATAACCCTTAGAATAACACAGAACACCATTAATATGCTCCCAAAGGCTGTGTGTGTTTCTGGTCATCACTGGCTTCTGCAGCCTCATATTCAGCCATTCTCTTCTAACAAACACCTACTATCTAGACTTTAGAGCCGTCCAACTCACCACCAAGTGTTCCCTGCCCCTAATGTTCCAGAATGTTATTCCCCTCAATATTCACTTTGAAAAGTTCTATTTAGTCATCATACCTCAGCTTAAAAATCCATTCATAAGAAAAGTTTTCTCATATCCTAATTTAAATTACCAACATGCCTCCATCCCCATTCCTGATAATATATCTCTCTCAAAATGCCCCCTTCTTTCCAATTTTATATTTAGAGTTTTACTTAAAGACAATTTCCCCATTAGTCTCTAGGCTCAATTTAGCATGAATCCCAGCACTTTGGGAGGCCATGATGGGTGGATCACTTGAGGTCAGGAGTTTGAGACCAGACTGGCCAACATGATGAAACCCCATCTCTACTAAAAAAAAATACAAAAATTAGCCAAGTGTGGTGGCACATGCCTGTAATCCCAACTTGGAGGTTGAGGGAGGAGAGTAGCTTGAACCCAGGAGGCAGAGGTTGCAGTAAGCCAAGATTGCACCACTGCACTCCAGCCTGGGCGACAGAGTAACAGTCCGTCTCCAAAAAATAAAAAAAATAAAAAAACTGTTAATTCAGTTAGGGTTAGGGTGCTAATAATACCATGATTAGAGATATATACAGAAGTGCTTATTGTTGAAATGATATGATGTCCAAATTTACCTTTAAAATGCATCAAAGATAAAAGAGGGACAGATGGATAAAACAAGCACAGCAAAATGTTGATCATTGTTGAGTTAGGTAATTATTACCTGGGGTTCATGGTGCTAGTCTTTCTACTTTTTTGTATGTTTGAAAATAATCATAGTAAAAGGTTTAAAAAAAAGAAAAAGAAAAAAATAAAGTGCTCAATTCTCCCCCATAAACCTTATGTGGTAGGCACTATTACAGTCACAATTCTGGGGAAACTGGGCCTAAAGAAAAATAACTTGCTTAGCATCACAGATCTATTAAGCAATAGAACAATTTTTTCCATGATAAAATGTTACTTATCCACTCTTGCACCATGTTGCCCTTATAACCTCCCCCAGATAGTTACAAACAAGCCTAACTGGTAACTTTTGCAGATATGTCTTCATCCAACACTATGGCCAGCTTTAGAGATTTAAGAATGAGTAAAAATAGAGGAAGATATTCCATGTAAATGGAAACCAAAAGAGAGCAGGAGTAACTATATTTATATCAGGTAAAATAAACTTTAAGTCAAAAACGATAAAATGAGACAAAGACAGTCCTTATGTGGCCGGGCGCAGTGGCTCACACTTGTAATCCCAGCACTTTGGGAGCCTGAGGCGAGTGGATCACGAGGTAAGGAGTTCAAGACCAGCCTGGCCAAGATGATGAAACCCCATCTCTACTGAAGATACAAAAATCAGCTGGAAGTGGTGGCAATCACCTGTAATCCCAGCTACTCTGGAGACTGAGGCAGAGAATTACTTGAACCTGGGAGGCGGAGGTTGCAGTGAGCCGAGATCGTGCCACTGCACTCCAGCCTGGGCGACAGAGCAAGACTGTCTCAAAAAAAAAAAAAAAAAAAAATCCTCATGTAATGACAGAGGGATCAATTCTTCATGAGATAATTGTAAATGCATGTGCATTCCACATCAGAACATCTAAATATATAAAGGAAATATTAATATATCTGAAGGGATAGGGGACTTCAGGGGTAGGGGAAGAACAGTAGGGGACTTCAATACCCCACTTTTAGCAATGAACAGGTTTAATTTTTTTTAATTGACTTAAACACCTTAGCTCAAATGAACCTAACAGACATATAGAGAACATTCTATCCAACAGCAGCAGAATACACATTCTTCTCAAGTCCACATGGAGCATTCTCTAGGATAGATCATATGTTAGATCACAAAATAAGTCTTAGCAAACTTAAGAAAATTGAAATCATATCAAGTTATCTTTTCTGACCACAATGGTATAAAACTAGAAATCAACAGGAGGAATTTCAGAAAATTCACAAATGCATGGCAATTAAACAACATGCTCCCAAATAACCAATGGATCAACAAAGAAATTAAATGGAAAGTTAAAAAATATGTTGAGACAAACAAAAATGGAAGCACAACATTCCAAAATTTATGGGATGTAGTAAAAGCACTTCTAAAACACAAGTTTATAGCAATAAACTCCTACATCAAAAAAGAAGAAAAATCTCAAATAAACGACCTAATGTTACACTTCAAGGAACTAGAAAAACAAGAACAAACTAAGCCCAAAGTTAGCAGAAGAAAGAAAATAATAAAGATCAGAGCAGAAATAAATGAAATAGTGACTAGAAAAACAATAGAAAAGATCAACGAAACTAAGGGTGTGTTTTCTGAAAAGATAAACAAAATCAACAAACCCTTACTAGACTAATTAGGAAAAAAAGAGAGAAGACTCAAATAAGTAAAATCAGAAATGAAAGAGGAGACATTACAACTGATACCACAGAAATACAAAGAGTCATAAGAGTCTACCATAAATAATTATATGCCAACAAATTGAATAATCTAGAAAAAAATGGGTAAGTTCCTAGACACATACAACTTACCAAGACTGAATCATGAAGAAATAGGAAATCTAAAAAATACTATTAACAAGTAAGAAGATTGAGTCAGCAGTAAAAAGTCTCCCATCAACGAAAAGCCCAGAACCTGATAACTTCACTATTGAATTCTACCAAACATTTAAAGAACTAATACTAATCCTTTTTACACTCTTCCAAAAGATAGAAGAAGAAGAAATACTTCCAAACTCATTTTATGAGGCACCATTACCCTGATAGCAAATCCAGACAAGGACATTAGAAAAAAAGAAAATTATGGGACAGTATTCCTGAAAAACATAGGTGCAAAAATCCTCAACCAAATACTAGCAAACCAAATTCAACAGCACCTTAAAAGGATCATTCAGCATGATCAAGTGCAATTTGTCCCAGGAATGCAAGGATGGTTCAACGTATGCAAATTTATAAATGTGATACATCATATTAACATAATAAAGGACAAAAAATGTATGATCATCTCAATAGATGACAAAAAAGCACTTGGCAAAATTCAACATCATTTCATGAGAAAAAAAATCCTCAATACATTATGTATAAAAGAAATGTACATCAACACAACAAATGAAACAAACAAAACCCCAGCTAACAGTATACTCTATGGTGAAAAGCTGGAAGTTTTTATTTTATGATAAGCAACAAGAAAAGAATGCCCACTCTCAGCACTTCTATTCAACACAGTACTGGGAGTTTTAGCCAAAGTAAATAGGAAAAGAAAAAAACTAAATACTCCAAATGGTAAAGAAAAAATGTAAATTGTCCTTGTTTGCAGAAAACATGATTTTGTATATAGAAAACTCTAAAGGCTCTACCAAAAAACTGTTAGAACCAATAAACAAATTCAGTAAATTTCAGTAAAATTCAGTAAACAAATTTCAGTAAAGGATATAAAATCAACATACAAAATCAGTAGCATTCCTGTACATTAACATCAAACTTTCCAGAAAAAAAGAAATCAAGAAAACAATCCCATTTATGGGAGCTATCAAATAACAATAATAATAAAATGCTTAGAAATAAATTTAACCAAGGAGGTGAAAAGCCTGTACAGAAAACCATAAAACATTGATGAAAGAAATTGAAGAAGATACAAATAGATGGAAAGACATTCTATGCGCATAAATTGTTAAATTTTCATACATCCCAAAGTAATCTAGAAATTCAAAGTAATCCTTATCAAAATTACAATGTCATTTTTCCTGAAAATAGAAAAAACAATCCTACATTTTGCATGAACCACAAAAGACCAGAATAGCCAAAGCAATCTTGAGCAAAAAGAACAAAGCTGGAGGCATCACAGTACCTGATTTCAAAATACATTGTAAAGCTATAGTAATCTAAACAGCATGGTACTGGTATAAAAACAGACACATAAATAAGGAACAAAACAGAGTCCATAGATATATCCATGTATTTACAGTCAATTGCTTTTTGACAAAGGCACCAAGAATACACAATGGGGAAAGGACAGTCTCTTCAATAAAAGGTACTAGGAAAACTAGATATTTACATGCAGATGAAAAAAATTAGACCTTTATTTCACACCATGTACAAAACTCAACTTAAAATTGGCTAAAGACTTAAACATAAGACCTGAAACTGTAGAACTACTGGAACAAAAAGTAAGGGGACAGTTCCATGATATTGGTCTCGGTGATGATTTTACATATATATATATATATATATATATATATATATATATATATATATATATAAACTCAAAAGTAGAGGCAACAAATGCAAAAAGAGATAAACAGGATTACATCAAACCAAATAGCAAAGGAAACAATCAACAGAGTGAAGAGAAAAACTAAGAAATAGAGAGAATATTTACAAACAATTCAAAATATATAAGGAACTCAGACAACTCAATAGTAGAAAACAACTGCCTTAAAAATAAGTAAAGGATCTGAATAGACATTTCTTAAAAGAAAACATGCAAATGGCTAAGAGTATATAAAAAAATTAACATCACTAATCATCAGAGAAATGCAAGTTAGAATGGCTATTATCAAAAACATGAAATATAACAAGGGTTGGAGAGGATGTGGAAAAAAGAGAACCCTTGAACATTGTTGGTGGGAATGTAACTTAGTACAATTATTATGGGAAACAGTGTAGAGTTCCCTCAAAAAAATATATATAGGACAGATGCAGTGCCTCATGCCTGTAGTACTGGCACTTTGAGAGCCCAGGAGTGGCAGACCAGTCTGGGCAACATAGTAACACCTTGCGTGCCTATGTTCTCTGGTCCTCAGCAGGCTGAGGTAGGAGGATCACTTGAGCCCAAGTGGCCAAGGTGGTAGTGAGTGAATTGAGATCAGGCCACTGCACTCCAGCCTGGGTGACAGAATGAGATTCCATCTCAAAAAAAAAGAAAAAATAGTTAAAAACAAAACTGCCATATGACCCAGCAGTCCCATTACTGGATATACTGTATACCCAAAGGAAAGGAAATCAGCATGTTGAAGAGACATCTGCACTTCCATGTTCATTGCAGCATTATTCACAATAGCTAAGATAGGGAATCAACCTAAATGTCCATCAATGGATAAATGGATAAAGAAAATGTGGTATATATACACAATGAAATATCATTTAGCCTTAAAAAAGAAGGAAATCCTGTCTTGTGACAACATGGATGAACATGGAGGACATTATATTAAGTGAAATAAGCCAAGCACAGAAAAACAAATACTGCATGGTCTAACCTGTATGTGGAATCTAAAAAAGTTGAACTGGTACGAGTAGAGAGTGGAATGGTGGTTACCAGGTGCTGGAGGTGAAGGCAGGGAGTTGGGGAAATGTTGATCAAAGATACAAAATTTCAGTTCAGTAAGAGGAATAAGTTTAAGAGGTCTACTGTACAACATGGTGAGTACAGTTAGTAACAATGTATTCTATTTTTTAATATTGCTGAGAAAGTAGTTTTAATTTTTCTCAGCACACACAAAAGAAATAAGTATGTGAAATAATGAAGATGTTAATTAGCTGGATTCAGCTGTTCCATGATGGGTACATTCCACGATGTATACATTCCACAGTGTATTCAAAACAACGTGTTGTAAAGATAAGTATATATATATATATACTTTTGTCAATTAAAAAATAAAAATAAAATAAAGAATGAATAAGTAATCGTCCTTGCCCTCCAAGGGCTTAGAGTCCAATAAAGAGACAAAGTAATGGCTAATGTAAGAGACTTATTTACCACATGAGTGGTATCAGAGCTCCAAGGAAGAATAAGCTCTCTCTATCTGGGGACATCTTCTCAGGGAAGGTCACATCTGAACTGGGTAATGGTGAGTAAGTGGCATCACAAGTAAACATTGGAGCACTGACCATACATATTTACTTCTGAGTCACTCCTTTAAAATTACATAAAGTAAATATTTAAGCCCCATCTTTAAAACCAACAGAACAAAAAGAAAGATGAGGAAGTCATCGATGGAAATACGCCACAAGAGTGGTGAGTGGCTCAGCAGAGGGAGGAAGGCAGAGACCTACAGCTGATGAAGGAGCTGAGAACAGAACTAGTTAAAAACCTACACGGAGCTTTCGATGCCTCCCACTACTTCCCCCAGCTTGTAGCACCAGGAGACTGTCCCTCTTCAACTTTATGCAGAAGACAGGAGGTTTACTCCCAAGAGAAGCTAAATCTTAACCTGAGGCCTTGACTCAAACCCCAAGTACAGCTAAGGGCAGGGCCAAGGTGCCATATTGGAGATGGGAGATTAATGAAAATATACATCTTGGATAGTGAGGCTCCTTCGGCCTCTTTTCCAAGTCTAGAATTGTATCCCTAGGCAGGAAACTGTAAGATTCTCCTCCGAGAGAACAGAATGGTTGAGAAGAGATCTACAGAAACTGGCATTTGGAGGTCTCATGAGGAAAGAGCTGAGGTTCAGCCTATTGAAGGGTGGCAGCCAGCCAGTGCTGCCCAGGCACACAAAGCTACAAATGAGCTTTTTAGAGCCTCACTCTTAACTAGGCATGGATAAGCATCCATCCTCCAAATATCTGAGGAAGTCTTTTAACACAAAACACAGACTAAAGCAAACAGAACAAAGCAGGAGAGTGAATTGGACTCAGAAGAAATAGAGATCAATGCAGTAAGCAGAAAAAAAGCTTCAGGGAAAAATAAACTTTAATAAATGCCTTTAGGAAGATGGGAAGATACTATATTTACAAAACAAACCTGGGAGACCAAAGTTTTAAAATGTTGTATTTTAAGCACACGGAATTTGTTGTATTATCCTTTATATCATTTTGTATATCTTAAATATCATTTAATAATTTGCATTGGGGGAAGCTAACTAGAACAAAATTGAAAAGCTCTATTACTAGTTTTAAAATATCAGTTTTCAGATACTTCAAAGGAATCTATGATAAATGAGGAACAAGGACAAACAGAGCTCACAGTTCATATTAAAAATGAACAATTAGAGAATAGATTAGCTCTCAAAATTAAATGATAGCAGGAAAAAAATCAAAGGAAGGGTTTTAAGATAAAATCAAGGTATCTTCCAGAAAACAGAACAGGAATATGAAAAACAGAAAAGAAAAGAAAGAAAATAAGGCAATCGATTCAGAATATTCAACATCTAAATAATAGGAATTCCTAAAATACAGAATAGAGCTCTAGCTACAATCCTATTTGTTTCTCCTGTTTTAGCAAAACTCCTTAAAAGAGTTGTCTCTACCCACTATTTCAAATTCCTTCCCTCCCCTCTCTTAACCCATACCAATCTGATTTTCACCCCCACCAGTCCACCAAAATTGTTCTTATCCTGATCACCAATAAAAAGGTCATTTCTCAGTCTTCATGTTACCTTGCATCTCAGTAGCACTTGACAGAACAGATTATTCCCTCCTCCTTGGAAAACTTTCTTTGCTTGGCTGGTGGAACTCCACATATGCCTGCTTTTCCTCCTACTTTTCTGCCTATTTCCTCTTATCTCTTTTGTTGTTTCTTACATGTCTCCCTGATCTCTAAATGTAGGCAGTCTACTCCAAGCATAGCCCTCAGATCTCTTCTCTCTATAATCTGCACTCCTCCTCCTGAGCTATGTTGTCTAGCCTCATGGTCATATAGACCACCTGTATGCTGTTGGCTTCCACTTTTACAATTCCAGCCTTCATGCCTCCCCTGAACATGCAGACTTAAATGTCAAACTGCCAATTTACATCTCTATTTAGTTGTGTTAAGAGCATCTCATGCTTCTAATGCCAAATTCCAAACTTCTAACTTACCTTCCTCCCTCCTTCCCCAACACTCCACAATCCCCTGCCAAAATAAAAACTTTCTCCTCTGTACTTCTCTCCCTTTTCCAGTTTTTGGCAACTCCTTTTTTCTAAGAATTGAGTCAAAACTTTGATGTTATCACTTCTTCCTTGTTATCTCACACCCTAGATATGATCTGTTAACAAATCATGACAACTCTATATCTTCATAACATACAAAGAGTTTGTATTAGTGCATTTTCACACTGCTGATGAAGACATATCTGAGATGGAGCAATTTACAAATGAAAAAGATTTCATTGGACATACAGTTTCACGTGGCTGGAGAAGCCTCACAATCATGGTGGATGGCAAGAAGGAGCAAGTCACGTCTTACATGGATGGCAGCAGGCAAAGAGAAAGTGAGAGCCAAGTGAAAGAGGTTTCTCGTTATAAATCCACCAGATCTCATGAGACTTATTCACTACCATGAGAACAGCATGGGGGAAATCGCTTCCATGATTCAATTATCTCCCACCAGGTCCCTCCCACAACAATGGGAATTATGGGAGATACAATTCGAGATGTGATTTTGGTGGGGACACAGGCAAACTATATCAGAATTCCACCACATCCCCCAATCCTCACTGCCACTAACCTGATACAAGTCACCTATTACTTCTCTTTTACTTTCCTGCAACAGCTTTCTAAATGGCACCCTTGCTTCTACCTTTGCACTGCTTCAGACTATTTTCAACACACTAGCCACTAAGATACAAGTCAGATCAGGTTACCCCTCTGCTCAAAATTGTCCAATGGTTCTTTTACTACCCAAGGTTTTAACACAATCTGAGCCCTAGTTGCTTTTAACCTAACCTCATCCCCTCAAGTGTCCCATTTGCTTCCTTCACTAGAGTCCCACTGGCTTCTTCACTGTTCCTTAAATGCATCTGTAGTTTGAGATGTTTCTTCTGCCTGGAAAGCTTTCCCCCCAGATATCTAACAGCTAACTCACTTTCTGTAGTCTTTACTCACACCTCACTTTCTCAGTGAAGCCTCTTCTGGCCACCATTTTTTAAATTGCTCTCTCTCTCTCGCTCTCTCTCTCTCGCTTTTTCTCTCTCTCTCTCTCTCCCTCCCTTCCTCCTCCCCCACAACACACACACACACACACACACACACACATGCACATATACACACCATATTATAACCTCCTTGTTGCCCTTATTTTTTTCCATAGCACTTATCATTACCTAACAGACTTTTGTTTCACTTATTTATCTATCTCTACTATCAGAATGTACATGAGATCAGAATGTACATGAGGGCATGATGTTTTTCATCTTTGTGTTAATTGTGTTCACTGCTATATCCCCAGAGCATGGAAGAATGCACAAACATAACCAAGACATTTAGGGGTGAAATAAATAATCAAGAAAATAGATAGCAGAAAATAATTAAAGAGATAATTTTAAATTTTTTCTTAAAACTTATGGACCTGAGTTAAAAATTGGCACCTGATGTTCTGTTGTTAAATAAGACCCACACCAATACACAACATTATGAAATGCAGAATGTTAGAGATTTTTTTAAAGGCACTAAAAATTCCTGTGAGAAAATAACTGGTAATACACAAAGAACTTGGGATTAGATTGGCATTAAATTTCTCAGTAACGATGCAATATACTGGGGTGAGGCAGGGAAATGCACAGTGCCTTTAAAATTCTGGTAAGAATTTATTTCGATCAAAAAATTCTATATTCAAATAAACTATCACTTAAATATGAAGGTTAAATAAAGAGCTTCTCAGATGTTTAAGGTTTTTTAAATATTGCCTACCCATACACCTTATCTCAGAAAGCTACTGGAGGATATGCTTTATCAACATGACATAGCAAACCAAGAAGAAGGAAGGTATTGGATTTGGGAAATAGATAACACAGAGGAAAGATACAAAAAGAATTTAAAGGATAGTATTGAATATCAGGTCTAAGGAACAACCAGTTAAAATTGGAATGAGAGAACACAAGACTACAGCAGGAATGTCAAAGACTGAAGAAAAACTGTTATATTACCTAACACTTTTGGCCACATTAAGAGTACTTTTGTACTTTGAGAAAATTTCTTTACTGGCATAGGACATAAATGCACAAAAAAAATCCATGCAATCTTAAACTCCAAAAACACCAAAGTTTTAGGAAACAAATTTAAAATCATGCTTACTGGTTTTGCTGGGATATGTAGCATATATATCATCATGATCATTTAAGTTCTGATTTTTGAATTAACCAAAAATTGTAACACATATACACATACCCAGGAGGGAAAGCATCTTAACCTTGAGTACTTTAAAAAAAAAATAGGGCCTAATAAAATGATTAAAGTGTGGAGGCTTTATTGGAGAAGTACAAACCCAAGTCAATGAGAGAAAAGAAGAAATGAAGCAAAGCAAAAAGAATGGGAAACAATAAAGGTTGTATGTTACATGCTGTCCTCTCACTGGCCAAAGTTCACCCACAGAGACCTCCCTCTTTTCTAAGGTGGGTCATCTGGCCCCTCCACATCCAGTCGGGATGCTGAATCTCGTGTACCGAGGATTGGAGCTTCATTTGAGTCTAGATGTGGTAGCATGAGCCTGAAATTTGGGTCATTAAATTAGCTGGCCCAGCTGTGCTACTAGCAGCCAAGAACAAGGGCCCAACATTCCCAGGACAAATGACTGGTTATCTCCTGGGAGGAGCAGCACTATCTGGGAAATGGACAGCACCAGGAGAAACTGAGGAGACACGTAAAACTGGTACCCAGTTCAGAGGCTAAACCAATGCTGTAGAAAGAGGGGTCAAAGAAGCCAAATTCTAACTTTCCACATTAGTATTTTGATGCACGTCTAAGATTTAAAAATAAGAGAAATGATAGATGATAGGTAGGATAGGATGGACGGATAGATAGACAGACAGACAGATAGATAAAGAGAAACACCAGAAATATCTAAGAGGTGAATGAATATAGTTGCCTCTGGAGAATATCACACTTTGCCATGAGGGCAGAGCAAAGACAGGCTTGTAGTATGGTCTGTATAATTAATATATGTTCATGTATTTAAAATGACAATTAAGTTTAAAGTAGAATAGTTGAAAGGCTTAAACTATATGCAAAGAAAAAGATCCACGGTCTGTCAGCAACAATGGCAGCCTCTGGAACAGCTGGGTATGTAGAGTATGAGTGTGTAGATAGGAATGGCTGGAGATATGTCTGGGGAAGTAGATTGACTACGGATTGTAAACCATGCTAAACACTTTGGACTTGATCCTATAGGACTTGAGGTGTCAGTAAAAAGTTTAAAGCCAGAGAGAGATGTGATCATATTTGTATTTCAGAAAGAGCATTCTGGCTGCGCTGCAGAGAATACATTAAATGGGGAAAGACCTGAAGGCAGGGAGTCCCTTAAGGAAACTGATGGAGTAATTAATTAGACAGAGGGTCTGAACAAAGTTTAGTAGAAAAAAGAGAAGAGGGTGGATCCATCAGGTGTGAAGGACCTGTAGACCAACTGAAACCAATCTCCATTATGAGCCATAAAGGAGGGGTTAGGGATGAGAGGAGCAGAAAGAAGCTGATACAGTTTGGATGCATGTCCCTGCCCAAATTTCATGTTGAATTGTAACCCCCAATGTTGGAGGTGGGGCCTGGTGGGAGGTGATTGGATCATGGGGGAGGATTTCTCATGAATGGTTTAGCACCACCCTCTTGGTGCTGTCCTCTCGATAATGAATGAGTTCTTGTGAGATCTGGTCATTTAAAAGTGTGTGGCACCTCCCCCCAATCTCTTGCTCCTGCTCTGTCCATGTGACATGCCTGCTCCCCCTTCACCTTTTGTGCCATAATTTTAAGTTTCCTGAGGCCTCTCCAGAAGCCAAGCAGATGTCATCATGCTTTCTGGACAGCCGGCAGAACCATAAGCCAATTAAGCCTCTTTTCTTTAAAAATTACCTGTTTCTCAGGTATTTCTTTATAGCAATATGACAATGGACTAATAGAGAAGCCAATTGTCTCTCACAGAAATCAAGCATATGGAATCACTCTTGGGAACATCCTGACCTGCCTTTCTATGTAATCTAGTGTGAAACTCTGTAAAGGAACCTTCTATTCCTGCGACAAATCTATCATGCAGTCTACCAACTTCAGTCACTGTTATTTATTGAATATTTTAAGTGAATATTTATAATGATTGCAATTGTTTCTTTCTAAATTACTAAGTGGGAGTGAGTTTCTGTAAAAAGTGACCTCTTAAAGGAAGATATATTCTTAAATGCTAACTCCTCCTTAGGTGACATTTCTTCCAAAGAAAAAAAAGCCGGCCAGGTGCGGTGGCTCAAGCCTGTAATCCCAGCACTTTGGGAGGCTGAGGCGGGTGGATTATCTGAGGTCAGGAGTTCAAAACCAGCCTAACAAACATGGTGAAACCCCATCTCTAATAAAAATACAAAAAATTAGCCGGGCATGGTGGTGCATGCCTGTAATCCCAGCTACTTGGGAGGCTGAGGCAGGAGAATTGCTTGAACCTGGGAGGTTGCAGTGAGCTGAGATCACGCCATTGCACTCCAAAATGGGCAACAAGAGTGAAACTCTGTTTCAAAAAAGAAAAAGCCTTGCTCTTACTTATACTGAAAGTGTTGTTTATGGCCCACTCATCTCATGCTGGATGTCCCTATTTCCCCTCTTCTATATTCAGCAGTTACAAAGTGAGGTGCCACACACTTTGAAATGACTAGAATGAAAGTTTCTTCTACTTCCATTCCATCATGCATGCTGCCAAAAAGTTCCTCTTTCAAAATTCCATTTTAATCATGTTATTCATTAATCAAAAATCTTCAGGATTTTTTCTTCCCTGTAAAATAAAGATATGCGCTCCTCACAGTGCATTTTCTGCACCATTATTACCATTAAAAATAAACCCAAAAATCTAGAGAGGAAATGATCATCATTCTCCACAGTCTATACATAAAAAATTTAAGGAGAAACAGCAATTTCTGCATGAAAATGGAATATTTTTCTACTTCTTCCCCTTACTCCTATTTTGTCTCTTTTCTAAGACTTTTCAAAATCTGTAACTCTTCTTGTTTATCTCTGTTGAAATGTTGTTTTTAAGAGATCTATGAACCCCACTGAGATTCCTTCTGATACACATGGGTAAACTGCATATACATAAATGCCTACACATGTATATAAAAGTTTGCATTTGGTTTTTGTTTGCTTGTTTGTTGTTTGAGACGGAGTCTCGCTCTGTCGCCAGGCTGGAGTGCAGTGGCGCAATCTTGGCTCATTGCAACCTCAGCCTCCCGGGTTCAAGTGATTCTCCTGCCTCAGCCTCCCGAATAGCTGGGACTATGGGAGTGCATCACCACGCCTGGCTAATTTTTGTATTTTTAGTAGAGACGGGGTTTCACTATGTTGGCCAGGATGGTCTCGATCTCTTGACATCATGATCCGCCCTCCTCGGCCTCCCAAAGTGCTGGGATTACAGGCGTGGGCCACTGTGCCCAGCCGCATTTGTTTTTATATGGTTTGTTTGGAAAGAGAATTCAAAGTACTTATCACATTCTTAAAGGTACCCATAGCCTTCCAAAAGTGAAGAACACTAGCCTGCAGGAAAACTACTCTGGGAGATGGTACTACTCCCTCTCCCATTCACTTCTACTCTTCCCTTTAGCCTTGGACTACTTCTCCACTCATAAAAAGCCAACTTTCTCTTCAAGACAGGGTCACATCTCCATGTAGTGTTTGCATGCCACAGTGGCTAATTTCTCCTTCTAGCACTCATGTCCTATATAGCAAATTTGGTAATTAATGATAGACCTCCTTGCAGCATTGCTTCTGTGTTCATATACCTGGTTACTAGGTAATTCTATTTGTGGGTTACTTGGTTCCTCATTTAGATTTTTAAGAATCTAGCATCAAAGACTTCCTCATACCCTTCATAGCATCTTGCCCAGAGCTCTGCACAGCATATATGTTTAATAAATATTGGCTGATTTGTTTGGGGACTAGCATCTTACCTTTCATAAAAGTCCAAGCATCATTCAGGTGTTTATTAAATACCCAGGATGTGTCAGGACCTGCCATAGAGATGGACAGATGGGTATTCTCCCCACCCAAGAAGGTGAAGAAACCATTTAGCCAGGGCCCTGTATGCACAATAAGTCTTACAATGAAAGACAGAGGGCACGAGAGGCCATACCCCAGGAGATGTTTAAGATGTGCAAAGATAGAACTTAGAGACTCACTGTGTAAGGACAGTGAGGGACAGGAGTTGAGGAGGTCAGGAATAGACAGAAGTGATTGCCCCCAAAAGAATCAATCACCTTGGGAGGTGATACAAATCAGCCTTCAATTTATGACATAGAGACAGATTTCAAAACCTGTATACTGCATTGGCTTAGGATCACACAACAAATATCTATGTGACATTTATTGTGGGACATAGAGACACATTTAGAGGACTGAAAATTTAAAATATATCACAACTTTAACATACTGGTGAAGTGAAAAATAATGGACTTCTGAGAGTGTCATTTCAATTTCTGTGAGGGTCACATCAAGTTGCTGGGTACATCCCATGCTGGTAGCTGTGATGAAGAATACCGCACACTCTTTTCCATCAAGATCCTTTAAATCTAGTTGGTGAAACAAAATTAGATACAGAGACATGGACCAACAAGATAACAGATACTAGTAGACTAGACAAAAAATATACAAAGATACTAATTATCTGAGGGCATTTGTTATTGCTTGATTATTAACATTTTTAATGACATCATGAAAATTTTATTGCAAAACCAAACTCCAAAATATTTATTTGGTAATGCTATACATGTTCTTTTCTAGATTTTATCTGAAGAGAAATTCATCAGAAGTACCGACTATTGATTAGAATCCTCCTGAATTATAATGTCCCTAGGATGAAAAGCAATGTTAAATCAGTAGAAAATACATTAGTTCTGACCAATACATAACATGGGTTATTAGTACTGAAGTTCACAGAGAATTATGATATACAATGAGCTCATTCAAATTGTATTTCAGGGTACAGACATTTTTAAAAATTCCCTAAAGCGATGTTTTCATTGTCTTAGAACCAGGAACAGATAATTAGATAGACTAATTTCATTGGAAATGAGCATTTCAGATGACCTTATATGAATAGGTTTTTAATTTATTACTCTTTATCAAAGCTAGTTTTTCAGAAAAAGCTTCAATGTTCCCAGTAGATTGTCATCAATAGCTTTTCTTTGGATAAAAACATCTTTTTATTCTTCTTTTTAAAAATGTTATTTTAAACAGTAATATATGTTTGCTATAAAAACTTTAAATATGACCCAAAAGTGCAGAGTGTAAAGTAAAACATTTCCTTTTCTCTTCAGCCCCACCCCACTATTGCAGCCCAAACACAGCTCCCTAGAATAGGGGTGTCCAGTCTTTTGGCTTTCTTGGGCCACACTGGAAGAAGAATTGTCTTGGGCCACACGTAAAATACACTAACACTAACAATCGCTGATAATCTGAAAAAAAAATCTCAGAAAAAAATCTTATAACATTTTAAGAAACTTTACAAACTTGTGCTGGGCCGCATTCAAAGACTTTCTGGGCCACATGTGGCCCCTGGGCCATGAGTTGGACAAGCTTGCCCTAGAATTAATCAAGGTATTGTCTATTCCTAAATTTAGTATTCATGCAAATACAAACACAGATATACATTTTTTTCATTCATGAATGGATTAATGTTTTGCATATACTTTTATAATTTTATTTTTCCAGTTAACAATATGTCCTGGTCATCTTTCCATATCAGTAGGCTGAGAGCTCTCTCACTTCTTTTAATGGCACATAGTAGTCTATTGTTTGAAGTACCATGATTATTTAACTAGTCTCCGATTAGTGGACATTTAATTTCTTTCTAATTGTCTCTATTACAAATGACAAAACAATGGCAATCCTCATACAAATATCTGTGCATTTTTACATAAACATTTTGAAGTAAAATTCTAGAAGTGAATGTACTATAAAATGCCTATATATACATTTTAAAATCTGATAGATTACAGCAGAATTATCTATTTCGATAAATTACTCCAAAATTATTGTGCCAACTTACAGTCCCACCCATAATATACAGGAGGCCCTTAATAATACCTTTATTAAACACAAATATTATAGCATAGCCCAGAAATCTTCAAAGGTCACCCAGTTCCTAGAGAACAGAGTTCAAAATCTTTAGCATAAGGTTCATGGCTTTCCCCAGTTTCACCTCAACCTAGGTTTTTTTGAGGCAGGGTCTCACTTGTCCTGGCTGGAGTGCAGTGGTGCAATCACGGCAGCCTCGATCTCCTCAGGCACAGGTGATCTTCCCATCTCAGCCTCCCCATTAGCTGGGACTACAGGCATGCACCAACACACAGCATGATTTTTTGTATCCTTTGTAAAGACAACATTTTGCCATAGAGCCCAGGCTAGTCTCAAACTCTTGGGCTCAAGCGAACAGCCACGTTGGCCTCCCAATCAACCTAGTTTTAAAAAATATTACTGCCTCCCACTTGGTTAAGGTGAAATTGAGGAGAGCCATGAACTTTATGCTAAAGATTTTGAACTCTATTTCCTAGGAAAAATTGTACTTTTTCCTATAGCCATACCATTTCCAGAAATGAAAATGGTACTTTCATACTTTCTTGCCTTCACTTTCCAATAGTTCATTCATTCATGGCTGCAAAACTCTATGTGACCTGGTGTCTTGCTACCCCTCCAACCTCATTGTTCTTCCTTTCTGTTCTACAACACATCAAACGCACCTGCTATCTCACAGCCTTTGAACTTGCCATGGCCTCTGTGTAGAACTTTCTTCCCTAGGTAGCCACATACCTCACTCTCTCACTTCATTCACAGCTCTGTTCACATGCTCCCTCTCCAGACCTTCCCTGACAAATTTATCCAAGGTAGCACTCCCAGGCCCTTTCTTACCTTTTACTGATTTATTTTTCTGCATGATTTGTCATTGCCTGAAATTTTACTTGTCTTCTGACTTGTTACAGCTCATACTTTTTCAATGTTATAATCATTTTATTATGAAAACAAATCCAAGGAAATATAGGCATCATGAGGACAGAGATTTTGGGGGTTAGTTCATTGCTATTTCCCAGTGCCTAGAATAGGATCTGGCATATAGCAAATGCTCAATAAATGTTGAATAACTAGTTCAATAAATATACTGAGCTTTATGTTGCCCCAAGCATCGTCCTAGGATAGGTATAAAAGATAAGGCTGATCGTGGTTAAGGTAAATTAGGGGGCACTATTAGAGGACAGAGGAAGATAAGTAACCTCTGAAGCTAGGTGAGAAATCAGGGATTGCTTCAAAGAGAAAGGGATGACTTCTTACCCCTTTTCTATGCTGACTCAAATGTTAACCCTTCTGTGAAACCTCTTCTATCTGATTTTCCAAGCATGTCAGCCCACTGCCAGTCCCCCTGTCAATATTACTTCCTATATCCCAGTCAGGCAGGAATTATTACTTCTCTATATTCTTATAGTTTTTTTGTTCATAGAACTGGTGGAGCACTTCACACATACAGGGATCACTTGCTATCTGGATTCTCACAACGTGTATATTTCCTAAATAAATAGCAAACATTTTTTACACAAAATTCACTATATAAATTAAAAATCAACTTTATTAAATATACATGGCACACTAGTGAAAATGTTCAAACTGTGCAAGATTACAGGCAAGAGGACACGTCTCAACAGTTTCCCCATGCTCTTTTTGCATAAATCTGTTATAATCATCTTCCCCACATTATGAGAAAAAAAAAAGTTTCCTAAAAAGTGAGAAAGGCTCTGAAGAAAGAAGTTGAACCTGAGAGGTCTAGAATAGCCATACATTTCTACATCTGAAAGAACATAGAAATGTAAACATATACATCAAATCAGAAGCTTGGCCATGCATGTGTTACCTTTACCACATAATGATTTTTCTAATTATTGTGCATTTTACAAAGTTTAATCATGTTACACTATTTTTTGGATAGCAGATAAATATCTTGGTGTATTGGCTTAATAGACACCAAAGAAGGTAAGGAAGGAGGGAATTCATTCAGGAAAGGAATGAAATTTAGAAGTATGCTCACAGGCCAGATGCAATGGCTCACACCTGTAACCCCAATACTTTGGGAGGCTGAGGCAGGAGGATTACTTGAGCCCAGGAGTTCAAGACCAGCCTGGGCAACATAGCCCATCTCTACAAAAAAATTAAAAATTAGCCAGACGTGGTGGCACATGTCTGTGGTCTCAGCTCCTCAGCAGGCTTGAGGTGGGAGAATCACTTGAGCCCAGGAAGTTGAGGCTCCAGTGAGCCATTATCATGCCACCGCACTCCAGCCTGGGTGACAGAGAAAGACCCTGGCTCAATCAATCAATAAATAAAAAGTAAGTCTGCAAAAATGTAAAATTTGATATCACCTACACACCTAAATATCAAAGATTTCTAAGGCTGCAAAGTATTATGGAAAGAGGCTCTAGATCCAGGCACAGATGAGTTAAAATCTTATCTCTACTCCTTACTGTTCACATGACTTTTTATATGTAAAGTAGGAGGATATTATCTACTTCATGGACTTTTAGTAAAAATCAAGTTAGACAAAGCAAACATGCCTTGCAGAGAACATGGGAGATAGGATGCATTCAACAAGTTTTGTTTCTTTTGTCCTCTAGACTCCATGCAATGATCACTAACTACATTTACCCAAAACATGAAAAAAATAAAACAAATCCACAATAGGTAAAAAGATTTAAGAGTATGCAACACTGCATAATTTAAAGCTCACAGCTGAAACAGCTTCCATTAATAGTGAGGTGGCAATCAAACAATTCATACCACAGGCAAGTTTTTAATGGTGATAAACCTGGAATATTTAGGAAATAAGTGTTGCATTCATTTCAAAAGAAGAGGTAAAAATAGTGCAGACATTATATATCCAAAGATAGAATTTTAGATATACATTATGAAAGCAATGTTAAGCTAATACCTTTGAAAACCCAAGCCCTTTGGAGAAATGTTGAAAATGAATTATTTTGCGCACCCAAATCACAAAGTAAGGATAGTAAAGGAAATAGTTAATGATTACATGAGGAGTGAGTTGTCACTGTTGATCAAAGTACATACAAAGAAGGAAAATCTTGCAAACAAAACTATTTTATAATAGTGCCCTCAGACAATTTTTACACTATTGATTTAGTGATAATATCTTAAGGATGTTCTTTTTGCCTTCCAAAACCATGTCACTTTTGTAACCTGTGGATCAATATGCCATCTCAACATGTAATATCTCGTGCAGAGGGCTGACATAGATAACACTACTTTGATGGAAAATTTATGAAAGAGCTTTGACATCTGCTCTACCCTCGATTACCTAGAAAAAAAGTCTGAAGCACAGATTAAGTATAATACTTTTTAATGGATGCACAATACCAGGACAGCATAAGTGACGGACAAGGGAAGTGAGACAGTGAAGGATTAGGAGCAAGACAATATGTGATATGTTACCATGCTGGCCAATGTAAAGTGTGCTGCAAGAAGACAAATGCAGTTGTTAGGCAGTTAAATTCTTTAGGCTGTGGGCAGGTCATGCAGATAAACTATGCTTTGGAGTAGTCAATTGGAAAGAAAACAGGAGCTAAAACTTATTTTCCAGTTCCTTCCTATCTCCTGTCTCCCAATGGACTTCTGGGTTTCCTCAGCTGTCCACATCACATGGGAAGACAGGTCTCTGCAACACTGTGTTTATCAAGTCTTGATGTTTTAATCAAGACATGTGGCTCATTGGCTTGAAGCAGAATGATGTAGCCCATGAGAGGGACAGAGGGCCAAAAGAGTCTGAGGAGGTACATGAGATGTGTCCCATGCCGTATCCAAAAAGCTCTCAGGTTCATCAGTCAGGCTTGGGAAAGAAAATCACAATAAGGAGTGAAGTTGACAGGAAACTGGCTTGGCTATTTGTTGTTGACTTGTGAGGTTTTGGGGAAGTGGTGCAAAGCAAAACTATTAGCTCTTGCTAAGGAAGTTGGATTTAGGGCAATGAAAATATTGAAAAACTGTTAGCATAACATGTACAGTACTTATACTTGAGGAACCCATTCCAGTCAGTGTTCATCACTGGTTATTTACTTGGGAAAGAGGAGGCATGAATGTGTAATATTGAAACTTTAAAAGAAATTTTAGGACATGCAAACAAAATAATTTCCACTGCAAGTGAATGTGGCCATGGCATGTGTAAAGCGTCACATTCAAAACCACAGACCTAAGCACAGTTGTAGAGTATCTATCAGTAGCTGTCCATGCCAATAGATGCCCATTTTGAGCTTGTTGGTTTGTCCCATTGCTTCATCTAAGACTTCAGATTGTGGTTCATAGTCATACACAGTCTTGAGTGTCAAGAAGGGAAGACTGTCCACTAATTCCCTGAAACTGAAGAAAAATAAACTTCAGGCATTTTCTGTTCTGCTCACTCTCCACCAGCTCATTCTTCTTCCATCAAATAGAACTATTGACCATGAGCTCCATTTTTCTTCTCTCCTCTCCTCTCCCTGCCAACCCCACGTAAGAAACTCTTCAATTAATAAGTAACTATTTTAAAACTGATTCATATATTTAACTTAGTTAAGTGTCATTTAAATTCATTATGTAACTTTAATATAACATTATTTCATTGTTCCTTTAAATTACAGTGCATATCCATTGCGGATGGAAATTACAATTCATGTCTACACATCATTATTTCATTCTGCACTCAAACATCCACTAGTGGTGCATTAATTATTAAATAATTAAATTCTTTGTTTTATAAATGCTTTTTATCATGCAAAGTATCCCTGAGAATTATTCTATAAGTATTTTAAACTGTAACAGCATTAGCTGGAGAAGTGGGATTTACTAGTAATCCATTATTTTTCCTATTTAAAACAGTAGAATATAGGCTGTATTTACCAAAAATTTATGTAACACATCAAACACACATTTGATTTGAATAACAAAGAATGCCCATGTATGTATATACAAAACTCATATATGTATTTGTTTATATATATATATGTGTGTATATGCATATATATGTACACTTATGTATGTGTGTATATGTACATACACATGAATATAATGTATATAAGACATGGGTGTATCTGTCTCATTTTCAGCATCCTAGAATAGAAAGAATCAGAGGTTTGGAAGCAATAGACTTAGCACTGATTTCCAGTTCCCCACTCACTGGCTGACCCTCAAGTTCTTAAGTGATAAATGGCTATTTAAGATAATATCTACCTCATAATTTTCCCATACAGATTAACAGTAATAAAGCATGTAAATCCCCTAGCAGATAGTTCAGTAGTCAACAGATTTAGCTTTTTCCTTGTTTATACTTATTACTCTCTCCAACTAAACTGTGAATTCCTGAATCCAGAATCGGAACATATTCATCTTTGTGTTGTCAGCACCTACCACATACTAAGCACTTAGTAAATGTTTGTTGAATACACTGGAATTATGATGAAGGCTATTAAAAACTTAAGTACTTGTCACCGAAGGATTTTTAAAAGTTTTCTTATTTTCTTCCCATTTCATCTAAAGTCAGTAGAAGAACCTTATTTTAAGATTGTCTAGGATCTTTCCAAGACACATCACAGACAAAAGTTTTCTTTTCTTGGACTTTTTAAATTTATTTTTTATCCGACAATCTACAAAGCAGAAGGTATTGCACTTTGTGGCAGTATTATTTTGGAGTGGCAATTTCTATAATATCCTTGAGAGAGAATTATCTGTGTTGTGTTTGTATAAGAATAGTATAAAATAAAATTTAAATAAGACTAGATCTTGGTACGAAATAATTTTTTTTTTGATTCAACCTTTTATCTAACTGATTTACTTACAGGAAAAATTTGTTTTAGTTATATATCACTCAAAATTTTGTATTCTCAATTTCCATCGTTGTAATTTCTTTTTAACAAATTAGTCCTTTAATTCCTTTCCTATTCACTAGTCTTTGATGCATCTAGCTTCCCATCTTAAGGCAGTACTCGCTAAGAAAATAGGCAGAAGATCCCGTTGAACACTATGTTTCGCAAACTTAGGCCTTAATTTCAATTATGCCCCTGCAAGGACAAAATATAACCCTGGTAAATGTGAAACATCTGATCATTATAGCTTTGAGACTGGCCAGATCACAATCAACTGGAACTTCCTCTTGCCTAATTTTAATTCCATTTGAGAATTGCCCATGATAATTTGACCCAGATCTCTTCACAACATAACATTATCTTAGAGTTTACAATTTCGTTAACCTCTTGTGATTAGAAAAGAGAGTATTTCAAGCCTTCCACTTGATTACTCTGAGCTATGAAGGTTTCCTTTGCATGGGATAAGCTTGTCTTCCTTTCATTTAACATAGCAAATTCAGTGTGACCAGTGCAATCTGATGCAATACCTTCACAGAAAAAAACACCGTGAAAGAGTCTTCTTTAAATCATACTCTGCAGCAGACTGGCAGAATACTGATTTTTTTTACATCAAAACTACAAAGTAAATGAGAGATTATTTTGAACAAATTCAAATAAAAAGATGAATTAATTAAGAATCATTTTAAAACTTCCATGATACTGACTTATCTGATTGAATAAACCTTAATAGCTTAGTCTCATAATCAGAGAAGAAAAAGTATTAAATTAAATCTGGTAATAACTTTTAAAATCTGAGCTAGAGCTCAGAGTAATGAGATGGGAAGTTTTAAATAATCCCTTTTTCAATCACAAGAGGTTAACAAAATTGCAAACTCTGAGATAATGTTGTTTTGTCAAGAGTCCTAGGTCAAATTATCACAAGATTAAATATGGAATTGAAATTAGATAGAAGCCCAAGTCACATTTTGGTAAATGATTATAGATTGCAGTATATATAAAAGTTATCCTATGTGATTTTAAATGTGATGTTGTTTTGATCGCTAGGGTGAGAAGAAATATTTAACACATGGAATCCAATCACTGGGGAAATGTTTAGAACTCTTTTTTTCAAAGGTTTAAAAAAAGTTAGAACAAAATTTTCTAATTCTCCTTTAAATACTTTTTGAAAATAACAACAATAAATAAATAAAATCATTTTTTAAAGTTTTAGAATATAATGTTTAAAGGTTATGAAAACTTCAAATAAAGTTCACACTTAAGTATTATGAAAAAAACTTTCATATTTTAACAATTAGGGTTATCTACTCTGCAATTCTTATAACGTTAGGAACGTCAGCTCTCAAGAGTGCAGGGCTGTGTCTGCCTGGTTTCTGGCTCTGTCTCCAGCAACTAGGAGTGTAGGGTAGTGCTAGCTCATATTATGTGTTTAAGTATTTGTTGAATGGATCAATAATCACATACATGTACTAATATAAGAGACCTCATGAATTCAGTAATTAATGGCTCCCATTTGCTCAGAAAAGGTAACTATATGAGAGGATGGGTATGTTAATTTGCCTGTGGTAGTCATTTCACTATCTATATGTAAATTAAGATAAGTATATATCAAAACTTCATGTGCTCCTTAAATACACAATTTAAAGAAATCTAACTGAACAAATATATGCTGAGGGCTTCTGCATGCCAGGCTCAGTTTTAGGCACTAGGGATACTGTAAACAAAACAGAAAAAAGGAAATTATTTATCCCGTTGGAGCTTGCCTTCTAGTTGGGTGAGACAAAGAATGAACACTCTAAGCAAGTAAAATATATAAGGGCTAGTTGGGGATAAGTTGTTAGTAGAAAATTAAACAGATAAGGCAGATACAGCATGTCAGGTATGGAGAACAGCCTGGAATGTTTAAGGTCTAGTGAGGGGAAGGCCAGTGTGACTGCAGCAGATTGAGTCAAAAGGAGAAGAGAAGGAGACAGGCTTGTAAACACAATGGCCATTATGAGGCTTTCACCCTGAGTCAAATGGAGAGCCATTGGAGGTTTTTGAGCAAACATCCAACTTATAGCAGACTCATTCTGGCTGCTGTGTTGAAAATAAAATGAGGCAGAGCTGGAGCCAAAGCAGGAAAATCTGGGAGGAGGCTATTTTAACCATCCACGCGAGAGATGATGCTGGTATTTATTGTACACCATGTGTCAGGCAGTGTGAGAACTGCTTTATATATTTGATATTTACATGCTCTATTATCTAATCCTCACAGCCCTGTGAGTTAAATCTTATTGTTGCCATTTTATAGATCAGGAAACTAAGGCTATCAATGGTAAGTTAACTTGCCTAAATGTACTAGGCTTGTAGGTGGCAGATGTAGGCTCAAATATAAATCTGTCTGTTACCTTACCCACTGCAGTGCCACTCTACATTTTCATACTCATTTTGCAAATATTTTATAATAATTTGTATCAATATATATCCAGAGATTGTGATAGCACCCACTTTATGGGTGATACAGCATTAATAATGAGACACCAATTCATCATTCCAGCTCTGTTCTCTGCTTCTCTATGTCGTAAACCTTCTGCACCATCCAAAGCAACTAGCTCATTATTTCCTAAACATTTATTGAACATTCCTGACTATTATAATTATAGGCTTTTAGAATTAAAAACAAAAAACTTAGACAACCTGACACTCAAAACAGGAGCTCTATCTATAGCTAGCTTGATAATAGGTCATTGGTCTCTGAATATTATCAAGTAACAGAGAAGGTGTTTATTGTTGGCTGTACCCATTCACATACTGACATGAGACACTTCCCGGAGAATCCCAGAGATTCTTGCAAAAGATCTTTCAAGGAGTTGGCCACATTAAACGTTTGGATACAAGGCAATAACATTCACATTAGAAAAGATACCCCATCAGCCAGGCATGTTGTAGTAATGAAAGCTGGGACTAAGAGTAAAAAAAAGCAAAATTCTGCTATCACCTCAATTCTGCTTCTGTTATCATTAGAATGCTAAGATTTCTTGGCTTGAATATCAAATTTAATATTTTTTAGATGGCAGTTCATTTTTACATTCCTCTATAACTCATGAAGAAAATAACTGTTGAAGGGACAGAAAAAAATGGAACCATGAGTTTTAAGATTGGAATCTCAGTCCTGTATTTACTACCACCTACACATGGGTTTCAGGAAGTGGCTGCCAACCAGATCCTATTACTGCTTTACACAATCTGCCTATTCTATGGCATGACACTAAATTAAATCTTGGAGAATGTACTAGGATGGAGAGGAAAAGAGCAAATAGCAATAGATCGAACACCTTGGAAATTCCAACTATTGGCCTGGCATTGTGGAGTCTTCTGGGTTCCCTGAATGGAGACTATTATTCCAGAGATTGGTAAAAACACAATACAAAAGGCTAGAGACAGGAGATAGGAGGCTACTATTGGTTCTTCCATTTTTCACAGTGCATCAGATAGTGACAACAGGATTATAATTACAAAAGCTCCCTCACTTCTTTAAAGTCCCATCTTGCTCTACCCCCTGGCTCAATGCCTGGGTGCCAAAAGCTCAGGAAGAACAAGATCAAGGCAAAATTAACAGGTGAAGTTTAACACAAAACCTTGGAACAATTATCTCCATTGAAGCCACATCAAGTGACTTTAGGAAAGCAAATCAACTACACATTTTCTTAGTACCTTTGCACAGAAGATTAAAATTAGTAGTATATCTGCTTATACCTGATGATCTTTAAATATCATTTTTGTGCTTTCCCTGTGTATTAGCATGAAAAGTTTAAGCACACTGACTTCAAAACCAGTGAACAGAGATAAGAGTCCTGACTAGAAGTCCAGGTTACTAAAATAAAGAGCTTTGTATGGTGGTTTCTCATATTGCTATTACACAATATCATGTAACAATTCTCTCCTTAAAATTTCATCCCAGGCTACTGCCTGAGATACAAGTGAAACACCAGGGTGGACCTGGGGCCGGCTCTGAGGCAACTTCTTTAGAACAGGATGTCCTCCTTCCTTTAGGTGACAGGTTACATACTGAGAGTTTTTTCATCCCTATTGAAAACATCTCATTTGCTGCCAAACTATATGTAAGGGAAAGAAGCAAGGTCTGCCCTCAAAGGCTCCTTGGAGACTGAAACCAGAGAATAGCCGGACATACACGCAGTATGAAAAGTCTAAATTAAACAATGGCTTTACAAGAGCACCTTCCCATGTGACTTTGAATCAGAGTAAAGGGAAGTTCACAAAAATCAAAGCAGTAAAAGGGATCTTTATTTGGAAAGTACTCATTAACTGGGCAAAGCCAACCTTTAGGAATTAGATCTGTGAGGAAAATCCTCCTGGCAATGAAATCAGGACTTTGAATTCTACTGGCTCATAAAATAAATAATAATATCCACTTACAGTTCTATATTACCTTTCAGTTTACAAAGTGGCTTCCCATAGATTATTTTATTTTATCTTCACAACACTCGTCTTACATAATGATGCCTGATTATTCCCTTTCATGGGTTAGGAAATTGAGGCTGGAGAAGCAGACCGGATTTCCTCAAGGTCACATAGTTATTAAGAAGCAAAGCCCAAATTGACATTTTGGTCTCCAGACCCCCATTTAGGAGCTGTTTCTTTGTTGCATCTCTAAAGTTAGTAAGCCATAATTTTATATTATCATATCTAGGTATACGTTCATTTGTAAAAGCCCCTGGTTACTTAAGATCTTGAAAAAGAGTTAGGCTAGGCTTAGAATAAGGCAGAATTTCAAGCTGTTTTATATGTTCCCTGTGACAATGGCAAGAATCCAAGGTACATTTTGAAGACAAATAAAATGAACAGTATTTTTTTTTTTGAGACAGAGTCTTGCTCTGTCACACATGCTAGAGTGCAGTAGTACAATTTCAGTTCACTGCAACCTCTGCCTCCCAGGTTCAAGTAATTCTCATGCCTCAGCCAACCAAGTATCTAGGACTACAAGCACATGCCACCACACCCAGCTAATTTTTGTATTTTTAGAAAAGACAGGGTTTCACCATGTTGGCCAGCCTGGTCTCGAACTCCCGACCTCAGGTGATCTGCCCACCTCGACCTGCCAAAATGCTGGGATTACAGGTGTGAGCCACCATGCCCAGCCCAAAATGAACAGTATTTTTGAATTTCATAATAGTAATATCAAAGGCTAAAACTACTGCACATATTAGAAGCTCTGTCAGTGGAAAAAAAATCAAATTTCCCTGATCAACTTATAAACTTGAAACAAGTTTTTTCTAGGGCTCTCTCTTCACTGAATTAAATACTATGATTTTGAATGTTGAAAATACTTGAATCTTGCTTTTAGTACACACAGTTGTAGAGTTGTGCTTTTCCTTTTTTTTTCATTGTTTATTTTTTAACTAATGTGAGCTATCTTAAAACAGAGAGCTATGGTGAAAGGGCAATGGTTAAGCAACCAGAGAGATCAGGCTTTGAACCCAGGCTCTACCTGGATGATCTGAGTAATTGATTTACTGAGAGCGTTATCTACTTAAAGGAAGCAAAACTATCATTGCTTGATTCCCACCAGAGTATGGAGGCAAGCCTGGAAAATAAGACATTTAAGAAGAAAGAAACAGTATTCTTAATTAAGGAGGGGTGCAAAATAGTGAAGACCACTGGAATTCAGCAGTTCTAATTCACTAAAGTCATTTCAATCTTTCAGGTAGCCTTTTGAAATAATCAAAATGCTATGGAAGAATGTTGTACTTTAAATGCTATGAAAGATGCTATGTTCCATAACATTTAAAGTACAACATAATGTTGTACTTTAATGCCAGTCATTGCCTGTGGCCCACAATTCATTTTCAGAAAGTCCATCCTGCTTGTACCAAGTGACACTTAGCACCCAATCTGATGGAAAAACACCCACCCAATGGAGAATCCATCCATAATTCAGCAAATCAGATTCTCTGACCTGGGTATATAGAATTTAGCATTAGCAACTGAGACAGTGAGATGAGAGTTGCTTGAAGGTGGCAGGGACACATTGACAGGTGTAGGACCAAAGTCAGGGCTGGACCCATTCAAGCAAAAGCTATGTCTAAGCAGAAGTTAAATGGAGCGGGGCAACCATGAGTAAGGTGGTAAATATGAAAAACACAATTAAGCACGTAAGAGGAGAAAAGTAGAGTCAAGAGGCTAGTAGTTCAGCAAGAGAAGAGAGTGGATTCAGGTACTGATTTTGCAGTCCCGGGGCCTTTCATGTCCTGGTTGTACTTTTTTCCCTCCAAAGTTTTCAGAGATGCCCTACTATCCTTTCAGCAAATTTTACTAAAACGTCTGAATGGCTTCCTGTCTCTTAGAAACAAAAGGCCATGAGCATAATGCTTTTTTTAATAAAGAGGCAAGACATTGATTAAATTAATAAAAATACATGCCAACAAGTCAAAGAATGAATTAAAAGCCACATGGGTGAGAGCTGGCAGAAGCAGAGAGTTGGCATGCAATCAGAGATGGGTGAGGTTCACCAGAGAGCTCTCCCAAAAGAAATGAACTGAAGCAAATTTGGAAAGAAAGAAGGTGATGTGTACAGTGAGAAAGGTATTTGGGGAAATATCTGCAAAAGATAATAAAGATCAAACCTCTGAAAGTGAGTTCAAAACCTGGCTAGTAAAATTGACTAATCTTTCAAAGAAATAAAAAATTTTAAACTAATTTTATTTCTAATGTAATATCTTCTAACCTAATGAAGATATTTTTAAATATTAAATTACATTGAAACTCATTTTCTCCAGTTGAATGAAAGTAGTTTGTTTTTACTAATTTTGATGTTTTTAAGTCCAAAATCAAGTGTGCCCTTAGTGTCTACTCAGCTGCTATCAACTTTCAGTGTGTCAAGTATTTACATATTCAAGTTCTGCTTATGAAATTGACATACGTTTCCTAGTCCATGGCTCAATTAGCAAAAAGAAGAACTGTTCTTATGATAAACATTCAACCAGTTTTAATGTTATGACTTAACAATTTAATTTTCTAATAGTTATCAAGTCTAACATTTATAACTGTTAAAACACCTTGACATAAAAAGATACATATTATTTATTTTAAATTCCAGTGTTGGCTTTGCCTCAAAAAAAAAGTATATACATTTCATATTAGGAGGATGCAATGGATTATCAAAAAAAACCATATGAGAGTCTTAGAGCCATGACCGTGTTTGACACAAGTGTTATATGTCACCAGCATGAACAGAGAGTTGACGGATCAATCAATAATTACTAGCAAAGTAAGAACAAGTGATTCTAATGTGAAGGAAAGAAAATGGATGAGAACAGCTGTTGTACAGCAGAGTCTTCCCTTTTGAGTTACCAGAAAAAATCATAAAAGCCATAGTAAAGCCCAACTGCAGCTACCAATATCTTGCTATCATTTGCAGAGGTAGTTTGAACTTATTAAGTTATGACTTCAGGTCATTCATTTGTTCCACAAATATTTATGGAGTTCCTATCATGTGCCAAGCTCTGAGTGCACACTGATGAATAAGAGGCTCTCTTTGTGGAGATTATGATCTAGGGAGGTATGGGACCTCCTACATAAAATTACTTCAGTGTGACATTCCCCAATCATGCCTCTGTGTCTTCTAATATACTGTCATTTCTCCACTGAGGACTGTCTTCCATACATAAACCACATACACAATGTGCAAGGGCACGCCCACAAGCATGCCTTCTTTAACTATTTCCAGTTCCTCAGTCTTCTGTATAAATATTACCTACACTAGGAATTTCATTCCTAATTCCCTTGCTTCTGATTTAAATGTTCCATCCTCTGTGCTCCTATATATCCTGTTAATGCCTCTATCAAAGCATGCATTGTAATGAATAATTTGTTGCTATTGTTACTTATTGTGGGCCTGCCCTATAAAGGCAGAGACCTGGATCTAGCACAATACTTGACACACAATAGGTGTCCCATAAATCTTCCTTAGATGGAAGAGCAAATGACCTATTGAGAAGCAGTGGTGGCTGATAAGCCAAAAAAGGAAACAATCTTTGACATTGAAAACATTGGTTTTAGTTTTAAAAGATTTTTATTTGTGAACAAGAAGAAAGGACTATTCATCTCACATTGTCTTAGAAGCTTGGAAACAAATTATATTTAATACTTGAGACTCTTCAGAATGTTATAGCCTGTCCTTCACCAACTCAGCACATTGATTTAACAGAAGTCCAGGAGTACAGTTAGTATTCCTTGTACTGATCTAGCACATGGCAAGCGTGTGTGCACACACACAAACACATGCTTATAGGGTACAAATCTTCTCCTTAGGTGAATTCACTGGATGTATAAATGCACACAAGGTATCACACAACAGATGTTCTACTGAGGAATTAAAAATACATAAATAAATCTTTAAATTTCAGAGGGAAAAAATCTATTTTAATAGTTTCCCAAGTATGAAATTTTAGCAGATGGTGCTAAATAACTTATCACATCTCTGGGACCTGGCTTATGCCACATCATGTTGGGCCACAGCTGAACAGCCTGGCCTCCTGATTTAAACGCAACCAAGCGATATATTTGGCATTTCTGTGACATTGAGTGAGAGGCTTTAATTCATGCCCAAGTTGCTATTACATAACCTGAACCACAAATGAGCTGAAGAAGTTATGTAGCATTCTGTCACTGTCATTAGAAAAAGTATTAGGCCCAGCGCAGAGGCTCACACTTATAATCCCAACACTTTGGGAGGCCAAGGCAAGAAGATCACTTGAGCCCAGAAGTTTAAGCCTGCAGTTAGGCGTGATCTTGTGACTGCACTCCAGCCTGGGTGACAGAGCAAGACCCAACTGAAAAAGAAAAGAAGAAAAAAAAGAAAAGAAAAAGAAGGAAAGCAGGAAGGCAGGAAAGCAAGAAGGCAGGGAGGCAGGAAGGAAGGCAGGCAGGTGGGCAGGCAGGCAGGCAGGCAGGCAAGTTCTAGTGTAGCAACTGCGAGAAGTAAGTTCTGCTTCTCCATCTTCATGGATCCTTTGCAGATTTCAAGTAATTTGGATTTGAATCATGAGTCATTAATGTGAAAGGTGCAGAGGAGACTGGGAATGTTTCTCTGTGCAGTTGAAAACTTGTAGGGGAGAGTTCAAAGCTTACAAAGCCTCCAGCAAAACTTGAGCAATGGGAAAAGGTGATGAGCTTTCTAATCCTGGGCTTCTCAGTCTATGTTCCAAAGGATCCAAATAGGACTAAGGCACAGCTTATGTCACACCCCGGAGTCTGACAACACCCAAACAAACTGATCTGTACTCTGTTCAACGGACAAACCCACTAACCATGCACTTGCAAGTCAGGGCAATGTCAAATTGCTATAAAAATGCTACATACTTACTATTTCTGTACTTTTTTTATTGCAGACAGATAACAAATAGTCCAATACTAGTCTGCAGGCCACGTTATGAGTGGCACTGGTCTGAAACTTTTGGGGTTTTTCTCCCTAATTTTAGGTTTACTACAAGGACCAAGCAAAGAAGTTGAAGGTAATTGATGATGATTTCTTCATAGTTTGTAGGCAATAGTCAGCTTATTGTACTTAGTCTAATGAATATTGAGAGCAAAAGATAGTTAACAAGGGACTAGCTTGAAAAATAGACTGCTTAGAACCCCTGAATGGGCAGTAAAGCAGACCTGCTTGTTTGCAGCAGCAGTGGCCATTTTTAAGGGTATTTATCTAGGAAATTATTAAAGAGGAGAAAACAAAAACATGCAGATCCAGTTGAGAAACCATCCTTACCAAGACGTGTGAAAGCTACAAAGATTACATCAGAAGTAAGAGGACATTTATCCTGTCTGCTGTTCGTCCCCTCTCTCTCTTTTCCTATGCCTTTAGTTTTCTAAATAAGAGGCCATAAAGAATAATTATTTAATATGGTTTGGCTCTGTGTCCCCTACCCAAATCTCACCTTGAATTGTAATAATCCCCACATGTCAAGGCGGGGACCAGGTGGAGATAATTGAATCATGGGGGCAATTTTCCCCATGCTGTTCTCATGATAGTGAGTGAGTTCTCATTTGATCTTATGGTTTTATAAGAGGCTTCCTCCTTCGATCGGCACTCATTCTATCTCCTACCGCCCTGTGAAGAGGTGCCTTCCACCAGGATTGTAAGCTTCCTGAGGCCTCCCCAGCCATGCAGAACTGTGAGACAATTAAACCTCTTAGACCAGACTAATACATTATTAATTCATAGGACTTAAAGGAATATTTATGAAGATAATAGATTTAAAGTGTTTTTTCCAGGCTGTGCTAACTCCCCCCTAAAATACCTGGGATGACATAAAAAATGACAAAAGACAAAATTTGTTATATCTCTATGAACTAAAACTGGCAGCCTGCCACAAGAATCTAATGGGGATTTCTATTCAGTCCAACAACGGGGCTGGATTTTTAAAATTCAGAGCCTACCCATGCTTCATCTGTTCAAACATAATATCTTAGCCACTTAAGAATCTGAAAAAATAACAAGTAGGAGTTCCCAGCTGATTCTCTAAGTTCTTCCTCCCGTCTCTTTTCTCTGACTTCTAGACACACAGACCTGTGTTTCCTGCTACTATTTGGGATTTTGAGGCAGCTAAAATCCATCGGCTCTTCTCTCTGCATTATCCTTCAACTATTTGGAGACCAATTAGAAGAGAAAAATAGGTGAACGTTCTAGAAATGGATGTACAGAAAGCATTCCAGCCATTTGTTTTTGGAATTGTAGATTTCCAAGTACTCTTATCTGTAGCAGGAGTTCCCAAAATAAAGTTCATAGAAGAAAGGATATTTTTAAAGATTTTGCAAATAAAGAATTTGGGGAAGAGATGCATTCCCTATCCCTGGGTGTTCAAAATGCATGTAGTAATTTTGATATTCTGCAGGAAGCAATCATGTTTAAATTTTTCCCCAGGTAAAGTTCATAGAAGAAAGGATGTTTTAGAAGATTTTGTGAACAAAGAATTTAGGGAAGAGATCCATAGCCTCTTCCTGGATGTTCAAAGTGCCTGTAACAATTTTGTGATATTCTGCAGAAAGTAATCATGTTTAAATTTTTATCCATCATTGCCTAAGTCCTTTTGCCTGGAAAATAAGTTTCTCACATAACAACTCTTAATACCTTACATAACAAGCATTTTTCAGAAAACACATCAAGAAAAGCTTGTTGAGAGAATAAAAAAGTAAGGATAAGTCCTGGTCCCTTTTCTGTGCACAAAGCTGCCCTAGATGAATGCCTGGCTGATCCTGAGAGGTGGGCAAGGAGAACTGTCCAGCAAGTACTAGTATAATCAAATTATCCTACAGTATGAATCTGAGGAGTGAATTTGTCAAGTACCAGAAGTGTCCATGAGGAAAACCTAAGTCAATCCACACACCCTGCCTGATCACAAAGACTGATTTAAAAAAGAGACTTCTCTCTGTTCTAGTATGAATAAAGAGAAAACAATTTAAAGTCTATAAATTAAGGTCTAAATAGAGGAAAGAAACATCATCTAGAGTACTCCATAGGAGATCATTTTCTAGAAATAATTCTGAGAGCCAATGTTTTATTTTATTTTATTTTTTATTTTATACTTTAAGTTCATACATATGCAGAACATGCAGGTTTGTTACATAGGTATACATGTGCAATGGTGGTTTGCTGCACCCATCAATCTATCATCTAGGTTTTAAGCCCCTTATGCATTAGGTATTTGTCCTAATGCTCACCCTCCTTTTTCCTCCTCACCCCCCAACAGGCCCTAGTGTGTGATGTTCCCCTCTCTGTGTCCATGTGTTCTCATTATTCAACTCCCACTTATGAGTGAGAACATGCGGTGTTTGGTTTTCTGTTCCTGTGTTAGTTTGCTGAGAATGATGGTTTCCAGCTTCATCCATGTTCCTGCAAAGGACATAAACTCATTCTTTTTTATGACTGCATAGTATTCCATGGTGTATAGGTGCCACATTTTCTTTATCCAGTCTATCATTGATGGGCATTGACTGGGTTGGTTCCAAGTCTTTGCTATTGTGAATAGTGCTGTAATAAACATACATGTGCATGTGTCTTTATAGTAGAATGATTTATAATCCTTTGGGTATATACCCAGTAGTGGGATTGCTGGGTCAAACAGTATTTCTGGTTCTAGATCCTTGAGGAATCACCACACTGTCTTCCACAATGGTTGAACTAATTTACACTCCTACCAACAGTGTAAAAGCATTCCTATTTCTCCACACCCTCTCCCGCATCTATTGTTTCCTGACTTTTTAATGATCATCATTCTAACTGACATGAGATGGTATCTCATTGTGGTTTTGATTTGCATTTCTCTAATGACCGGTGATGATGAGCTTGTTTTCATATGTTTGTTGGCTGCATAAATGTCTTCTTTTGAGAAGTGTCTGTTCATATCCTTCACCCACTTTTTTTGATGTTTTTTTTTTTTTGTAAATTTGTTTAAGTTCCTTGTAGATTCTGGATATTAGCCTTTTATCAGATGGATAGATTGCAAAAATTTTCTCCCATTCTGTAGTTTTCCTGTTCACTCTGACGATAGTTTCTTTTGCTGTGCAGAAGCTCTTTAGTTTAATTAGATTCCATTTGTCAATTTTGGCTTTTGTTACAATTGCTTTTGACATTTTAGTTATGAAGTCTTTGCCCATGCCTATGTCCTGAATGGTATTGCCTAGGTTTTCTTCTAGGGTTTTTATAGTTTTAGGTTTTAGGTTTAAGTCTTTAATCCATTTTGAGTTAATTTTTGTATAAGGTGTAAGGAAGGGGTCCAGTTTCAGTTTTCCAGTGTGGTGTTATTTCTGAGGCTTCTGTTCTGTTCCATTGGTCTATATATCTGTTTTGGTACCAGAACCATGCTGTTTGGGTTACTGTAGCCTTGTAGTATAGTTTGAAGTTAGGTAGCATGATGCCTCTAGCTTTGTTCTTTTTGCTTAGGATTGTCTTGGCTATAAGGGCTCTTTTTCAGTTCCATATGAAATTTAAAGTACTTTTTCTAGTTCAGTGAAGAAAGTCATTTGTAGTTTGATGGGAATAACATTGAATCTGTACATTACTTGGGTCAGTATGGCCATTTTCATGATATTGATTCTTCCTATCCATGAGCATGGAATATTTTTCCATTCATTTGTGACCTCCCTTATTTCCTTCAGCAATGGTTTGTAGTTCTCCTTGAAGAAGTCCTTAATGTCCCTTGTAAGTTGTATTCCTAGGTATTTTATTTTCTTTGTAGCAATTGTGAATGGGAGTTCACTCATGATTTGACTCTCTATTATTGGTGTATAGGAATGCTTGTGATTTTTGCACATTAATTTTCTATCCTTAGACTTTGCTGAAGTTGCTTATCAGCTTAAGGAGTTTTGGGGCTGAGATGATGGGGTTTTCTAAATATACAATCATATCATCTGCAAACAGAGACAATTTGACTTCCTATCTCAATACCCTTTATTTCTTTCCCTTGCCTGATTCCCCTGGCCAGAACTTCCAATACTATGTTGAATAGGAGTGGTGAGAGAGGGCATCCTTGTCTTGTGCTGGTTTTCAAAGGGAATGCTTCCAGCTTTTGCTCATCCAGTATGATATTGGTATGGGTTTGTCATAAATAGCTCTTATTATTTTGAGATATGTTCCATCAATGGCTAGTTTATTGAGAGTTTTTAGTTTTGGCCTTTGGATGGGTTTTTTGTGTGGGCATCCTTTTTGTTGATGTTGATGTTATTGCTTTCTGTTTGTTAGTTTTCCTTCTAACAATCAGGCCCCTCTTCTGTAGGTCTGCTTGAGTTTCCTGGAGGTCCACTCCAGACCCTATTTGCCTGGATATCACCAGCAGAGGCTGCAGAACAGCAAAGATTGCTGCTTGCTCCTTCCTGTGGAAGCTTCATCCCAGAGGGGCACCCACCTGATGCCAGCCAGAGCTCTCCTGTATGAGGTGAGGTGTCTGTCAACCCCTGCTGGGAGGTATCTTCCAGTCAGGAGGTATGGGGGTCAGGGACCCACCTGAGGAGGCAGTATGTCCCTTAGCAGAGCTTGAGCGCTGTGCTGAGAGATACTCTGCTCTCTTTGGAGCCAGCAGGCAGGAACGTTTAAGTCTGCTGAAGCTGCACCCACAGCCGCCCCTTCCCCAGGTGCTCTGTCCCAGGGAGATGGGAGTTTTATCTATAAGCCCCTGACTGGGACTGCAGCCTTTCTTTCAGAGATGCCCTGCTCAGTAAGGAGGAATCTAGAGAGGCAGTCTGACAACAGCTGCTTTGCCACACTGTGGTAAGTTACAACCAGTCCGAACTTTCTGGCAGCTTCCTTAACACCGTAAGGGGAAAACCACCTACTCAAGCCTCAGTAATGGTGGATGCCCCTCCCCCAACCAAGCTCAATTGTCCCAGGTCAACTTCAGACTGCTGTGCTGGCAGTGAGAATTTCAAGCCAGTGGTTCTTAGCTTGCTGGGCTCCATGGGAGTGAGACCTGCTGAGCAAGACCACTTGGCTCCCTGGCTTCAGCCCTCTTTCCAGCAGAGTGAACAGTTCTGTCTTGCTGAGGTTCCAGGTGCCACTGAGGTATGAAAAAAAACTCCTGCAGCTAGCTCAGGGTCTGCCCAAACAGCTGCCTAGTTTTGTGCTTGAAACCCAGGGCTCTGGTCATGTAGGCACACAAAAGAATCTCCTGGTCTGCGGGTTGCCCGCCTTCTGCGTTGGTCTCTCTGGGAGCTGCAGACCAGAGCTGTTCCTATTCAGCAATTTTGGCTGTGTCTCAAGCCAATGTTTTAAATTGTAAAATTTCAGTGAAATACACAATTTCCATCAAATGACAATATAAAACTTACAGTCTAAATATATTTAATAGACCTAAAATAAATTGAATATCTATCAAAAATAAAACACTCTAGTGTTAACCAAATGTATAATTACATTCTTTTTTGTCTTTGGTTTTTGATGTTGTTGTTGTTGTTGTTTGCACAACACAGTCTTGCTCTGTCACTTAGGCTGGAGTGCAGTAGCACCTTCATAGCTCACTGCTGCCTCAAATTCCTGGGCTCAATCAATCCTTTTCCACCTTTTCGTCCAAGCTCAAAAATCTTTCTCAACTGCCGTTAAGATCACACTCACTCCCCAACCTGGATAATAACCAATTAAATGCTTCAAATAATCTTTCTCTGTCTTTTGACCAGGGCTTCAACTTCCACTTAAAAACCTGAACTTGACACCTTTTTGCTTTCTTAGTGGAGTTAATTAGGGAATAATTTTAGGCAAAACAAATCCATTGAAACATACAGTGATTATATAGATAGCAAATAGTAAACATTTGCAGAAGACAATGAAATGAAATGTTATACTGCCCACTTGTAGGCATAGTTTTAAGCATCTTACAGAGAAATGAAATTGATTGAATTTTTACAAAAGTCTCATGTGATTAACACCTTCAAGAGTAGAGCCATCTTCAGAGAACCCAGAGTCACGAAGCTCAGAGATTCTCCCCCGGCATTAGGAAGATACCTTTAAATTTAACCCAAAGCTTGCATGGAGTCATCAGAGATCTGCACTTTCTTTCAAAAGAAATCAGCCAAATTATTTTTCTTTCATTTTTTTTATCTCATCATGAAATGAACATTCAATGCTATATATTCCCTCCCACTAATAAGGCTAAAATTTAACCAGAAAGATGTAATCATACTTTTCATTTAATAATGTACTTTATGGATATTTCAGACTCAACCTCGACTAAAATTTCTTCTTTTGTATCTTTGTGATGGTTAATTTTATGTGTCAGCTTAACAAGGCTAAAGGATACTCAGAGAGCAGGTAAAACATTATTTCAGGGTGTGTCTGGGAAAGTGTTTCCAGAAGAGATGAGCATTTGAATCAGTAGGCTGAGAAAGGATGCCTTCACCAATGCAGATGAACACCAGCTAGTCCTTTGAGGGCCCTTTTAAGAAGAAAAAAGGCTGAGGAAGGATGAATTCACCTCTTGGCTTAAGCTGGAACTTCCATCTTCTTCTGCCCTCAGACACCAGTACTTCAGGTTCTCAGGCCTTCAGACTTGGACAGAGACTTACATTATTGCCCTCCCTGCCCCCACCACATTCTCAGGCCTTTGGAATCAGTCTGAGACTTACACATTTGGCTCTCCTGGTTCTCAGGCCTTTGGAGTTGGACTAAATTACACCGCTGGCTTTCCTGGCTCTCCACCTGGCAGATGGTATATCATGGAACTTCTAGGCCTCCATAATCACATAAGCCACATTCTATCAAAAATTCTTTTGTTCTGTTTCTCCAGAGAACTGTGATTAATACAAACATATAGTCCTTTTTCTGTGTAGTAATAGGTATGTATTCTTTCATCTGCCCAGCACCCTTCCCTTTTCTGGCACAGACCCACCCATTCCTATTTCCATCTTCCCTCACGCCACTACATGGTTCCCATGAGAACTGCCAATCACAAGAGCCCATCCACTGTGCAGAGAGGCTGCGTGTGACCTGAGCTGGACCTTCCTGAGTATCTGCAAATTGGGACTTACAAAAACGGGACAATCCTTCTCTGATATCAAGGCTTAGGATCTGAGTCTGAGAAGGAGGTAACCTTGTGGAGGAGGTCTGTAGGAAAACATGTCGAAAAGAAGTGAAAGTTAAAAGAGAGAGAGACTGGAAGGCATGTAAGTCTCTGTTTCCAGTGATCCTGCAGACCCAGTTCTCTCCTTTGCTCTTCCCTTTTGCCTGCACTAAAAGGAGACATTTGAGGTTGCATTTCTGTTACTTGTATGAAAAGGGTCCTATTTAATATAGATTCTCTCATTATTCCTTTCATTAAGGTTAGACTACGAAGAGGAAATCCCAGCCTAATTCATTTTTCATTTGATTAGCATATCTGGACCAAAAAAAAAGTTTAGTTCTAAGAAAATCTGAACCATTGGCCAATTGGTAGTAAGAGCTTCCATCACATCAGAGCTTCCATCCAGGCAGATCTTCACATGCAAAAGCTCTCCTTTGCTCTTCTGGCTCCTGAATATAGATGAGCTCACCAACGTGACCTCACTTCAGAGAGCACTCAGATGAAAGGAAGTGTGATGTCGGTGAGTCAAGGGCAGAGGCGAGACACCCGCCTCTCAACTCAAGTTTCCAGGCAGAGAAAACCAAAGAGGGGGGCCAGGTGCAGTGGCTTACGCCAGTAATCACAGCACTTTGGGAGGCTGAGGTGGGAGGATCACTTGAGCCCAAGTAGTTTGAAACCAGCCTAGGCAACATAGTGAGACCCCATCTCTACCAAAAAAAAAAAAAACTGGGACAAGATTCTAAAACCAGCTCACACTTCAGGCTGGTAACTCATGCTTTTGCTGCCTGTGGAAGTTCAGCCTTGAGGCCCTGAAGCTGACTCCACAAACAGCTCAGCTGCTCCCCTACAGTGCTCATTGCTTTATGCTGCAATAACAGCCACTCCTTTCTCTGGTTTGGGTCCAACAAACAATCCTTCCCTTCTCCTCTAATACCAACCTCTCTGTAGTGAGCTCATGTCCTCCCTCTCTCTTCCTCTCCCTCTGACTCATGGTGCTCAAAGCTTTAAGAAATAAAAACCTGTTGGACCAGCCAGACTGGAATCATCAACTTCAAATGGGCCAGCCCTTCCGTGAAAGGGAATCTCACTTTCATTGTTAGCACCAAGGCTCTGAATTACTTAACCTGGTCATGAAAAGCCCCAAACCCAATTCTTTCTTTCACCAGTTAAAAACAATAGTTGTTATATGTCTTTAAAAGGAAAAGAAAATACACCTTTAGTAAAACAAAATTACCCTGGTATTTCCACATCTCAAAAGCGACGTCATTCATGTAGTTTTAAAACTAAGCAATGAAGTGATTCCTTCTTCCCTGTAGTGTTTTTAAACATAGTTTTGTTTTGTTTTTTGGCTTTGGCTATGAAACAAAATATTTTAAGGGAGCCAAATTCAGAAATATAAGAGCCGTCAGCAGAAGGGATTTAAACACAATCATCTTGAAACTTGAAGCACCAAGCATAAAACCTGTATATTTTATTTTTTCAATAAATATTTACAGAATTTATCATAAAGTGGTTTTCCAGTGGAGAAATAAGGATGAGAAATAAAAATGTGTTACCAAATATTTGTGGTATAAAGGAGTCACTGTTGTCCAAACCAAAAAACAATTCGCTAGATCTCTAATCTCTCAGAATTTTTAAATAAAAACCCGGATTTTTAATCACTTTGCTGAAAAATAAAATCTTTATCTTAGGTATCAGGGCAAATAAAAGCATTTTGGGGGGTGGGGGGGGCTGTCTCTGTCCTCTGTAAGCAGGACCTTTAAAATTGAGTTGATATGTTATTACCTCGCTCTCCCAGACCAAAGATGATTTCATCAAACAATTCTTGACAGACTCAGGTGAAGTTTATTTTGCTTCTGACCCAGTGGTGATGTTCCTGTGAGATCTTGGTACATATAGTTCTTATGATAAATATCTTTAGATTTGTGCAGGAGAGCAGAAGAAAAGAATTTGTTGAGGCAAAATTCCTTGATTTGAATTTGAACCTGCACTCATCATTAGGCAGTCTATAAAACAAGGTGCAATCAAATAAATTGAGCATAGCAATATTTTTTCAGCATTATTGTCCTAACTGGCCAGCGAGCTTTGTGGATGGTTTTAAGTGGTTTGGCTGGTCTTTTCTGTAGAGTAGTTATCCATGAAGAGATGATTAGCTTTCAATTACATGTAATGAATGCTCACTTGGGTTTCTTTGCACAACCCCCTTTTCTTCCCCTATATTCAACCTCTGGGATAATGAACTCTCTATAAACTATCCCAGTACTCAACTAAAAAAAATCATGACAAGGAAATACAATCATATGGCTAGCTCTGTTGGTATTTGGTGAGTTCTTGGGAAAATCATTTTCGCTAAATATTATTGAAAATGCCCTGGCATAAAGCTTGTAATTGGATTGTTTGTAACTCAAAGGACAAATGCTTGAAGAGATGGATACCCCATTCCCCATAATGTGGTTATTTTACATTGCATGCCTATATCAAAACATCTTATGTACCCCATAAACATATATACCTACTATGTACCCATAAAAATTTTTAAAAATTGAAAAAAAAATTAAAGAACAAAAAACATCAGACAATTTAAAAAGAAAAATTTTTAAAAAAAGAAAAGAAAAGAAAATTCCCTGGCAAATTCCAGCCAAAGAAAGATCTAGAAAAAGCTATGGTTTACTACATATTTAAGCTCCTAAATAAAGATGTAGAAATGTAACCCCAGCCTACTGAGGGTTAGGTCTTCCTGTATTTTGAAATGAGAGAGGCCAGGCATGGTGGCTGTAATCTCAACACTTTGGGAGGCCGAGGCAGGAGGATCTTTTGAGCCCAGGAGTCCAAGACCATCCTGCACAACATGATGAGACCTCATCTCTACAAAAAATATTTTTAAAACTTAGCTGGGCGTGTCAGCACATGCCTGTGGTCCCAGACACTCAGAGGCTGAGGTGGGAGAATTGCTTGAGCCCAGGAAGTCAAGGTTGCAGTGAGCAGTGTTCACACCACTGCACTCCAGCCTAGGTGACAGAGCAAGACCTTGTCTCTAAAGACAAATAAATCAATGAAAGAGAGGCAGTGAGTTCTTTAATCATCTTTACATTTTACTTTAAAATTCACTGGCATGGTCCTTCCTGAGATTGATTCACTTCTGATAATGCTTCTTGTAAAGAAAAGCCAAGTAAAATCAAAATTGAGAATAAGATATATTAATGAACTGAAGTAAGTTTGCACAGCTACACAATGACAGAGAAGGGATTTTTAAACCCAAGTCTTTCTGATCCCAGAACCTACATGTGATTTTGCTACTTTGCCTCTTATGAGATAATGTGGATCTGATGCATACACAAGATCTCCAAATGTTTTTTAGCCCCTTTGATTTCTTTTTAAGGATAGTGAGCATTTGCATAGGCACTGCTGAGTGTTTTTGTCAAGGACATAGTACAATCCATTAAGAGAATCCAAGCAAATGAATTTCCAATCTGTCTTCGGTCATTCAGTTCTCTATTCTCCCTATCAATCTAAAGCAGCAAAATCTGATCATTCTTTCTATTCGCCTCTGGAATGTGTTTTTTGTATTTTGAAAATGAGTGCTTCTCATGTTCCAGTAATTCACACCAACTCAAATGTTTTAAACGAAGCCAGACTGTGAAGGAATTTGAGAGGAAGTAGAAAACTGCCAATGATTGCTCCCAACTCATCCCTGCTCACTCCATTCCATGCACAGCTGGCCTGAACATAAAGCACCATCCCAAATTTAGTATAAAATTCATTCTAAAGACTCTTTCATGTCATATCATCATCTAGCTGGATAACAATATGGGCTTTTAATTCCCTTTTCTAAAATTTTACACTATCCAAAAATTAAATCAAAATGTTTCTTCAGAATCTCCTGGTCTCTTTTTTAATTTGATGAAGCTAGCAGCTTGCATCCACTTACCAAAGTGACAAAAACAAGATGAAAAATGAATCTAACTGCTATTTATATACAGCATCACAACATGAGCTGTGTTTTCTAAGTCGGCTGAAAGGGGTGCAATCTTGTTGAGCATGGCCAGCTGCTTTCAAATTTCTTGATAAAAGTTTTCTTCAGGTGATTATCTGTCTTTTGAAGAGAAGGAGCATACTTCAATGCCAATATAGTGTTAACTTAAAATATTTACATGTAACACTCTAAGAGGTTACAATAGTTAACAAAGGAACACTACACAACAATAAAAAGGAGCTAACTACTGATACACACAATAGCACAGAAGAATCTCACAGACATTAAGTTGAGTGAAAGACATGGACTGGGGCCTGAAAAGGGTGGGATTGGGGGGAGGGCGAGCATCAGAAAGAGTAGCTAATGCATGCGGGGCTTAATACCTAAGTGATGGGTTGATCTGTGCAGCAAACCACCATGGCACACATTTACCTATGTAACAAACCTGCACATCCTGCACATGTACCCCTGAACTTAAAATAAAAATTGAAGATTTAAAAAAAACATTGAGTGAAAGAAGCCAGACACCAAAGAATATGTACAGCGTGATTCCATTTAAATGAGCTCTTTCACAGAACTCAAAACTGGTTAACTGGTTATCATAGTGTGGAGGCTAGGAGGGATATTGTCAGGGAAGGGATTGAAGGAAGCTTTGGTGCTGGAAGTGTTCTGTATCTCTATCTGGGTCCTGGTTACATGGAATATATATAACATATATTATATATATAATTTATATATACATAAAGTCATTGAGCTAAGTACTTTAGATTGGTGCTCTTTAAGGCCTTTACTCAATGTACTTTATATTTATACATGAGTGAAAATATTTTCTAAAAAGTTCAGCCTAGTAATATATCAGAAAAAAAGATGAAATGACTCATGCATTGAACTTTACTGACAACTTTGTTTTTTTGTGTTACAGAAACTTCTTTAAATGATACTTACAGACCTGCAATTCCTTATCTGCAGTTATGAAATCCATAAACAAAAAGCTTGAAAACCAACAATTTTCCAACGGACATGAGGTTATTTAACTTATTCCACATTCTACCTAGTACAAATATTCACATGTCTCACTATGGAAATATTAATCTTTAATTCTTGGGTATTGTTCATACCTTCATAGTGGTGCTACATAACATATAGTACATGTACATTATTATCTTTGTGACATTCAGAAGTGTTCCAAATTTCCAAATGCATCTAGTCCAATGGTTTAAGATAAGGATATTGTAAAACTTTATTATTTGAAGGTGCATTTGAAAAGGTCTAACTAGTATACTAACCCTGCGATTTCACAAATATTGCTTAAGATGAGGTTAAATCTATTTAAGTAAACTGTGTGCTGAGTTATCAAAAAAAAAAATTTAAGTAAATTATAAGGTGGGTCACAGCCTAAACTGGAAAAGTGGCACAGGAATAACTAAAGTTTAAGAAACATCCTTCTAGCATGTTCAAAAAGATTTCAACATGTCCATACAAAGGGCCCAGTCACCTACATAAGACAGAGGGAGAAGGCAATGACTTCATTGCATTTTTCCCAGCACCAAACATGACCTTGCAGAGGGTATCATTAAACAAAGGCTTGCTGAATTGAATTGAATCTCCAACATCCTGCATCCTTTGACCTCTGTTATACACCATTCCTGAAAAGGAAAAATGAACTTTTCAAAAAAATAAAGTTTAAGACCTTTGGGAAATAGTCTTTTGGTTTCATTTAGCTGATTGTAAGAAAAAATAGAATTACATCTTGGTTTTTACCTTTTAACTTTAGGGTATGTCTCTATTTGATGCTCTCAAAGACTCAGATAAATCACTAAGTCCCTACTGTTCATTCTGTTCATACAAGAACAAAAATCTTATGAACAACCCACATGAAATTCACCACTGACTCAGGCTTGCTCTGGCAAAAGATTTTCTTTTTTTGTGCTCACTCTACATTGCACCATAACTTTTGAACTACTGCTTTCATATTTATTCCCTTTATTTCCTTGTGTATTCCCCCAAGGAAAGGAACTCATTGTCTGTATTCTGCCCAAATATATTCTGGAAGCACTTGAAGTATTTGCCTCATGCCTCTGTATCAGTTTCAGGGCGATCATAAATCAACAGTCTGTGGACCAAGGTGCTCAGACCAAAAACATGCCTTTGAAAAACACATAGCATCGCTTTCCACAAGCAGCTGCAGCCTCTTATTAATGGCTCAGGAGTCTTTCACACCTCCTTTTAAATCCAGTGCATTTGAAGTAATAAAACAGGGAGCAGTTTATAGACAGGAAATATTAAAATATTTAATTGCTTTTTTTTTTCTTGGCACAAGACAGCCTCAAGCTTTCTATAACACACGAATAAGGGACACCTGCCCATGCTTGAATGGACATGAAACAGAGAATTGCTAAATTGGATACATCTGTGACTAAACCTCTGCTTTTAAACCCATATCAAGCTCATTTCTTTTTATTAGTTCTAACCATTTCCCTCCAATTACCTTTCATTTTCTTATTCCTTCTCCTTGTCCAGGTTACAACAAAACACAAAAGAATAAATTGATATCATACCCAAGAGATCCCCTAATCTATCCCAAACAGAAACGGCATACAACTTGAACCTTGAATATTATTCCCATTGTCCAGTTTTATAACCTAGACCATTAAACCCTTCTCAGACTCTAAATGTTAAGAATACTAATGGAATCACTAAATTTTTTCACAAGCCTCTGTATAGGGCAGAGAAAGGCAGCCTGTTGTCAAGTCCCAGCTCTGTCGATTGCTACTTGAATGACTTTAGGCATGTAACTTTGTTTTTCTGAGCTTCAGTTTCTTCCTCTGTAAAATGGAGATAGCTGGGTGTGGCTCTCACATGAGGTGGTTTTGAGCACTAAATGAGATATCAGTTGTTAAGCATTGGTATGGTATTTGGCACTCTGTGAGGCCACAGTGTCAGTTGTCCTTTTATTATGATCCAATCCAAAAACAATTGTTCATAAAGCAAAAGGAGATATGACAAGCATCCTTCTATAAACAACTAAAAGTAATACAATAGTCTCTTGCTATATTTGTATTGGCTTTTTTATTGCTACATAACACATTTCCACAAACTTATTGTTTAAACAACACCCATTGATTAGCTCACAGTTATGCAGTCAGAAGTCTACCATGGCAAGACTGGGTTCTCTTCTCAGGGCATCACCAGCAGAAATCAAAATGTCAACAGGGTTGAGTTATTACCTAAAGACTCTGAGAAGTGACCTGCTTCCATACTCATGTGGTTATTGGCTGAATTCATTTCCTTGTGATTGTAGTACTGAGGTCCCTGTTTCTTTGCTGGCTGGCCCCAAAGGGGCCTCTCTCAGCTCTTAGATACCACTCTCAGTCCTTTCCCATGTGAATTCCTCCACCTTCAAAGTCCACAAAAGAGAATTTCTTTCATACTGAATCCCTCTAATGCTTCAATTCTCTCCAACTTCTGCGATCATCAAGAAGAAAACTGTGCTTTTAAAGAGGTCATGTGCTCAGGTTAGTCCAGCCTAGATAATCTCCTCATTTTAAAGCAAATTGATTAATAAACTTAATTTCATCTGCAAAAATCTCTCTTGCCATATAACATAATCATGGAGTAACACCCAAGAGCATAGATTATGGGGGCTGTCTTAGGATTCTAGTGACAATAAAATTTTAATACTGAGGGTCAGGATGAAAAAACTTAAATCATATTGTAAGGCAGAGCTAGGAAGAATTGTGGCAACCTCCTAACAACTCTTTCTAGTCTCTATTCTTGCTGCCTTCAAATTCAATCTTCATAGAACTGTCTGTATTAAACATCTAAAGCATATTTTGTAAGCTCCTCATTGCCTACAAGATCAAGTTTAAATAACTTAACCTGACCCACAAACCCTCCATGGTTTGACTGGTCTCTCGAGCCTCTTGCCAATTCCATATTCATGCTTTATGCCTCAGAAACACCAAACTGCATATAGTTTCCCTCATTCACCATGATATTTCTCACCTCTGTGCCTTTATTCAAGCTGTGCTCTCCACGGGGACACCCTCTGTGTTCTCACTACCTCTTTATCCAGGTAACTCCTATTCGTTCTTTAATTTTGCTCAAGTGTCACTTCATTTACTCATTCATTTATCCAAAAAAATAACCGTCAAACATCCACTCTGTGCCAGAGACTAGGGTGTAGTGATACATACCCCAGTCTCTGCTTTCAGAGAGCATGCACTGTAGTTTGGAGCATAGGTAATTCAACAAATGATCACAGTCCAGTGAAAAGTACAGTGACTAGAGGGGACCTGGAGCACCTACAACAAGGAACTTAGCCAAAGTCAGATATTTTCTGGAAGAAGTGACATCTAAACCAAGACCCAAAGCATGAGTAGGAATGGTCAAGTAAATGGGAGGAGAAGGGAAGTTTCCAGACAAGGGAATAGCATCATAATACATAAAAACATTCTGTATCAGAAAGAACATAGGTTTTTGTTTTTGTTTTTGTTTTGAGACAGAATGTCACTCTGTCACCCAGGCTGGAGTGCAGTGGCGTGATCTCAGCTCACTGCAACCTCCACCTCCCGGGTTCAAACAATTCTCCTGCCTCAGCCTCCCGAGTAGCTGGGATTACAGACACCTACCACCACGTCCAGCTAATTTTTGTATTTTTGTAGTAGAGAGGGGGTTTCACCATGTTGGCCAGGCTGATCTCAAACTCCTGACCTCATGAGATCCGCCTCGGCCTCCCAAAGTGCTGGGATTACAGGTGTGAGCCACCGCACCTGGCCAGAACATAGTCTTTTGTTTTTGTTTTGTTTTTGTTTTGAGACAGAGTCTTGCTCTGTTGCCCAGGCTGGAGTGCAGTGGTGCAATCTCGGCTCACTGCAAGCTCCGCTCTCCCGGGTTCACGCCATTCTCCTGCCTCAGCCTCCTGAGTAGCTGGGACTACAGGTGCCCGCCACCACAACTGGCTAATTTTTTGTATTTTTAGTAGAGACGGGGTTTCACCGTGTTAGGCAGGATGGTCTCCATCTCCTGACCTCGTGATCCGCCTGCCTTGGCCTCCCAAAGTGCTGGGATTACAGGTGTGAGCCACCGTGCCCGGCCGAACATAGATTTTTTAAGAGAGTCAAAACAGCTCAACCTGACTGGGGTATGGAGTGTTGGAGGCAGTACAGGAGCTTTCCCTTGGGCAACGTGGAGCCAGTGAAAAGTTTAAGGTTAGATTTCTGTTTTAGAGACAGCTCCCCTAACTGGCCTGCAGATAATAGATTGGAGGAGGGACTGACAAGAAGAGAAGAAACCAACAGAGAGGTCTGGGGCAGTCATCCAAAGCAGAGAGGAGAGTGACTGGTTTTATATAGGGGCAACAGAGATTGAAAGAGATGGACAGATTTGAGAGAGAATGCCACCTACAAGAACTTGGTGATGAATCAGATGTTAAGGATGAGGGAGGGTGATGTCCATGTTTCTAGCTTGGGCAACAGGGTGGATGCCAGTGTCTGTCACTGACAATGAGAACATGGGTGGAGAAGCGGTTTTGTGGGGGAAGATAATTGTTGCCACATGGCTTCTGGGATAGCCAGTAATTTACAGAGACTATTTCAATTCTTTCTAGCCCACCTGTATGATTCAACTACATTAAGCAAGAAAAGAAGCCCATTTGTTGAGTGTAGGAGCAAGAAGGGAGAATTTAGAAATGGCACCAGTCACTTCTTCCCCTAATTATCCACCTCTTGGCCCAAGGTAGAAGATTCTCATCATATGGGACTTCTTACTCAGCCTCAGTGAGGACAGAGGAGAATGATGGTGATGACCATTCACATTAGCTCTTTTCTCTGACAGCTGAGCTCTTCCCCCAGATATCTGCCTGGCTCCCTCCCTTCTTGGCTTCGTTCAGGTCTCTGCTTAAACGTCACCTGATTAAAGGGGACTTACCGACCACACTTTATAAAGAGAAAAATCTTTCTCCCACACCCCAGCACTCCCTCATTTGCTTTATTTTTCTCATAGCACTTTTCACCACCTCACAGAATATGTGTGTGTGTGTGTGTGTGTGCATGTTTCTGCTTTAGAAGAATGTAAGTTCCAGCAAGGGCAAGGACTTTATTCACTACTGAATCTCCATCTCTAAAACAGTATTCGGCACATAGTGAGCACCAGTAAATATTTATTGAGTGGATGAATGCAGGAATAAAGTCTGATGCTCAGAAGATTGATCTTGGCTGAAGAAAATTATGTGGAAATCATCAGGATAAAAACGGTATTACAATCATAATAGACAGGCTTTCTCAGGAAGAAAACACAGAGTTACAAGAGATCTCTGGGCAATTCCAACATTTACCAATCCTTAAATGATGAGCTGTAAAGGAAGAGCCTGCAAAACAATGAGAAGGCAGAGGCAAGGAAGGAGAGGGAGAACCAGAAAATTAGGGGAGTCAGAGGAACCAAGGGAGGAAGCTGAGCTTACAGAAAGTGTCAACAGTGGCAAATGCAACCAAGAAGACAAATAAGGAAAAGGCTAGAAAGTTTCCGTTGTATTTAACAACCAAGATGCCATTATTGACCTGGGTTGAGAGCAATTTGAGGGAGAGGTCAAGATGAGGGCCAGATTTTAGTGGACTTGGGACTGAAAGGCAAGAGAGAAAGGATAAAAAAAAGAAGTAGATGAGGGAGGTAGCTGGAGGGATGCTGGACTAAGAAGAGGGATTTTTCTCAAGATAGTGGAGAATTGAACAAATTTAAAGGTTGGTGGGAACGACACAGTAAAGAGGAAGAGGTTTAAGATAAGAGAAAGCAAAAAGATAATCAACACCGGGAGATCTCTAAAGTACAGGAAGGGAGGTTTCCTTCTTCAGGAAGCCTCCTCTGACCTCTGCCTACCCCTCCTCCTCTCCTTCCTCCATACTGCAGAGCTGGTGTCAAGTGTGCTTAGGTCTATTACTGTGCTTATCCAGGGGAATTGTAACTCGGTTTATGTCACTGTCATGCCACTAGGTTATGAGCTTAATTAGGGAAGGGATGACTTCAGATTCACCTTTTTATCACTAAGAACTAGCACAAAATCTGGTACATAAAAAATAATAAATATTTGATGAATGAATGAATGGATGAAAGAAGCAATAGACAAGCAGACACATGGACAGACAGACTCAATAAATATATGTATAATGCCTACTGTGTGCCCTTGCTCTGGGCTCTGATAATTGACCAGTGCACAAAACAAAACCCATGAACAAGTGAATTGAGGAAAGGACATGAAATTGTGGAAGAAAAAATAAAAACAGTCCAATGAAACATCATGAACCAGCACTTCATAAATTCAAGAATGTTGAGGTTTTAGAAGGGACACCATACTTCTTCACAGCCAATTTCTTTCACGTGGGAAGAGAGGATTTGCTTACCATTTATAAAGATTGAGTATAGCCTTGTTCCCTCATTTCCTGTTTCTCAGGATACTTGTAATCTATGAATCACTTGCTTGAATTTGCCTTTCTCTACAAGCTCTCAAAGGTGGGTTGCACTGTTGCCAGTTTTTACCAAGAGAGATGTATATCCAAGCTTCCAGGGTACAAAGCCCTGACTGTGGTTTACTCCAATGTGCCTTCCCACTCAGGATTTCAGTCATCCTTATGTTCTCCTACCAAGAATAAAGGGAAAAGATGGGAACACACATATGGACATTCCCCTGTAGTCAAGCAACCACTAAGAGCAGGGTATTCGGGGATATTGCTCAAACATTTCCAAACACGAATGTCTATGTTTGAATTATTAGTGCACATCCAGGAAAAACCCAGACCTCACAGACAGGAGTGATTGAGGCACCAACACACAACAACACTACCGTGATGTGATGTCAAGAAACTATTCCAGGTCACTTATGCAAGTGACAGAAAAGTCACCCAAACAAACATATAAAGAAACATGGCAGTCTCTGTGCAGCATTTAAGAATCCACATTGTAAAGACTCTTGGATATCAGATGCTAATCAAACACTCATTTTTTCTCTTTCCTTACTTCCCTTACTGTGGTCAGATTTTCAAAAATAAGAATTGAATCCTTTCTTGACTCTTCTTACTCTGAAACTCAGTTCCTCATCTTGGTTTGGCCCTTTACTTTTATCCAGTTACGCTTTTCTCCCAATGATATTATCCAATTGAGCAATCACTTCTACATAGATTGCTCTCAATTCTTTGGCCATGAGCTCAGACCTGTATTGTAATCTTCTAGCCGGATATCTGGATGTTTCTCCAATACCACAAAACAAACATGTTCAAAACCAAAGTCATCCTCTTCCTCCACAAAACCAGTTCTTCCACTTGACTTTCCAGCTTCTATTAATGGTGCCACTGTTCTACTGGCCAGAAATCTCAATCATCATTGACTCTTTCCTCTCTTTTATCCCTCCCTCTCGTCCATTCTTAAATTCTACAGCAAAGTTATCTAAGACTCATTTCTAATATTTCACTCCCATTTATCCTCCTTAATATTCAACTTTTTGTTTTATTTTCACTACCTCCACTCTAGTTCAAGCTCTTATGTCGTCTCACCTGGACTATTGCAAACACTATTACTGGGAAAATAACATTCCATAATCTGATAGATTTATATTCAAACTCTAGTTTTATTTCTTTCTAGGTGTGTGGTCTTGAGCAATTTTCCCAAACCCTCTAAGCTTCAATTTGCTCCATTAAATGGTGGATCATTTCAGGAGTATATAAGACGATGTAAAGTTAAAGCATTTAGTATATAATAGTTCAATGGATCAATTACTATTCCCCTAAAAAAAAGTGTTCTAATCATGTCCTTTCCATATTCATAAACCTCAAATGACTTCCTTGTTTCTACAAAATAGGACCCAGTTATTTATCTGCCTTCTACAACATCACCCAAGCTATTTTTCTAGCCTTCATCTCCCAAACTGGCGTTTTCAGTCTTCCCCAAACACACCCATGTGTTTACTCTGATGATCTTTACAACTGATACAACTTTCCCATTAATCTCCACCAGTCAAAATTCTACCATCCTTTTAGAAACAACTCAAATGCTACTCCCTTTGTGAGATCTAATTCTGATAATCAAATATGATTTCTTCTGCTTTTGAATCTCCTTTGCTTTCTTGATATTTTATTATAAAATTTGTCATATTTGTATTCATACTAGTCTCATGTGTGTCTTTGTTTTATTCTAAGTATGGGACTGTGAGCTGTCTAACTTCCTGTCATCTCTAAAGCCTAGTACTTTTCACTTATTTAACGCACAGAAAATGAGCTAAATTGATTTTAAGGACGTATCCCTGGAAGAATAGCATTTATTTATCTGTTAGAATACTAACTTGACAAGAGCAATCATTTTTTTATTATTTTAATCAATGATATATCCCAAGCTCTTAGAACAATGATTAGAATATAGTGAGTGCTCAAAAACTATCTTTTGAATGACTTTATAATCCAATATTATCCTTTAAGCCAAGAAAAAAATCCCATATAATCCAATTCTTTAACGTTATGCCAATTAGCAACACCTAAGCTCTCCAGAGTCTTATATTGGGGACATCATATCATTGACAGGAAGTGGGCACCAAGTGTCCACCCAGTGAGAGTACCCAAAGAAAGAGAGCCCTGTCCACTTCTACATGGATTGCAGCCTTCTCTACAGCTGCCTGATCCCTTCCAATTACCCAACATGCATCTTTCTATCTGGCTTGGACACTGGGCCTGCGCTTTGGCAGGGGCATAAATTAAAACCCAAGAGAACAATCACAGGAACACTGGCCTCTGAAGTCAAGGCCAGCCAGCAGTATGATGCAGGCACCGAATGTCACCTTCCTTTCCTTCAGTCAGAATCCTAAACCACTTGCCAGCCAAGCCAGAGACAGAAAAACACTGTTAGGCTGTTGGCCAAAATCCCCAAGCAGTCCACAGACATTATTTTGCTAACTCTGACACAGTTTTAAACTGTGCCTATATAGATCCAGCCTGTTCACTCCCTACCATGGTAGCTGGGGGAAAACAACAAGTGAAGAGATGAAAACCTTAAAGTCAAACAGACCTGGCTCTGAATGCTGGCTCCACCACCGACAGGCAATGCAGTTGTGGATATAGTTTCAATCTCCGGGGCTTCAGATTTCTTATCTCTAAAATAATACCCACCTTATAGCATTGTTATAAGAATTAATGCTAATATATGTAAAGCAGCAGGCACCTAGCTATCACTGTTGGTGTTATTACTATTATTAGACTAGAGATCAAAGAGAATAATCACAGGGATTAAGCCAGCTTTCCTAACACAATCCTAAGAATTCATCTTGACCAATTCTCTTGAATATGGCTCATTTTGTCCCTTTAAAGAATAATGCTAAGTTTCTAAGAAAAATAATCAAGGAAGGATACTAAGCATCTAAAACCCAACTGATGATAAAAACCTTCACATGAATTTTCAGAACTTATCTTTGCTATCCCTGGCAGAAAGTTTATGGGCTTGACCTCATTTTCCCTCATCCCCTGAACCTGAAGACTCTAACAGTGCCCTTGAGGTCTCTATACCTCTACGTCACTGTCATCTACAAGGGTCCACCTCTTCTCAGCAGTTTGCCTTCACTCCTTAACATCCCTTCATCAGCCTTGTCTTTCCTTGGCCCCCCCACCCCCCATCACACACTCCAGACTCCTTCAGCCACCCTGCCGCCTCCTCCACCCTTACTCACACCCACTCTCACCTTCATTGCTATGACTGCCAGGCCCTAGAGAGAGGAGTGAGGGGTAAAAGAATGAACTTCTTTTGTTTACAGCAACCACAACCTGCCAAAAAAGCCAGCAGCTCTACACCTGCTCAACTGTCACCCATTGTTTTTACTCTACTGACTGAAAATTAAAGTCCCTGGTCTGACTGCATCTGAAACACATACTTTCTAAGGTTTATTTTGTATCCTCTACCTTTTTAATATTTTTAAATTTTTTATTGTTGTGGTTACATAGTAAGTATATATATTTATGAGGTACAGGAGATATTTTGATACAGGCATGCAATGCATAATAATCATATCAGAGCAAATATATATAATTCAATCATATAATTATAATATATAATTTAATTATACTCTTAGCTATTTTTAAGTGAACAGTTAAATTATTTTTTAATATAGTCACCCTACTGTGCTAGCAAAAACCACATCTTATTTATTCTTTCTATTTTTTTGTACTGATTAATGGTCTCCCCTGCACCTCCACCCTCCAACTCCTGACTACCCTTCCCAGCCTCTTACAACCATCCATCTATATTCTATCACTATGAGTTCAATTGTTTTAATTTTTAGCTCCCACAGGTAAGTGAGAACATGCAATGTTTGTCTTTCTGTGCCTGGCTTATTTCACTTAACATAATGACCTCCAGTTCTATCCATATTGTTGCAAATGACAAGGTCTCATTTTTCTATGGCTGAATAGTACCCTCTTGCATATACGTACCACGTTTTCTTCATCCATTATTCTGTTGATAGACACTTAGGTTGCTTCCAAATCTTGGCTATTATGAATAGGGCTACAATAAACATGGGAGTGCAGATATCTCTTCAATATGCTAATTTCCTTTCTTTTAGGTATATATTTAGAAATGGGATTGCTGGATCGTATGGTAGTTCTATTTTTACTTTTCTGAGGGACTTCCAAACTGTTCTCCATAGTGATTGTACTAATTTACATTCCCGCCAACAGTGTGTGAGGGTTCCCTTTTCTCCACACCCTCACCACCATTTGCTATTGCCTGTCTTTTGAATAAAAGCAATTTTAACTGTAGTGAGATGATATCTCATTGTAGTTTTGATTTGCATTTCTCCAATTATCAATGATATTGAGCACCTTTTAATATACCTGTTTGCCACTTATATGTCTTCTTTCGAGAAATGTCTGTTCAGATCTTTTTCCCATTTTTAATTGGATTACTAGACTTTTTCCTATAAAGTTGTTTGAGCTCCTTATATATTCTGATTATTAATCCCTTGCCATATGGGTAGTTGGCAAATATTTTCTCCCATTCTGTGGGTTGTCTCTTCACTTTGTTGATTGTTTCCTTTGCTGTGGAGAAACTTTTTAACTTGATGTGACCTCATTTGTCCATTTTTGCTTTGGTTGCCTGTGCCTGTGGGGTATTACTCAAGAAGTCTTTGCCCAGTCCAATGTCCTGGAGAATTTCTCCAATGTTTTCTTTCAGTAGTTTCTTTTAGTAGATTGTTTGAGATCATAGATTTTGTAAGTCTTTAATCCATTTCTATTTGACTTTTGTATAAGGCAAGAAAGGATCAAGTTTCATTCTTCTGCATATGTACATACAGTTTTCCCAGCACTATTTATTGAAGAGACTATCCCATCCCCCAATGTATGTTCTTGGCATCTTTGCAGAAAATGAGTTTACTATAGATGTGTGGATTTATTTCTAGGTTCTCTATCCTGTTCCAGTTGTCTATGTGTCTATTTCTTTTTATGTTGGTACCATACTGTTTGGTTACTATAGCTCTGTAGCATAATTTAAAGTCAGGTAATGTGATTCCTCCTCTAGTTTTGTTCTTTTTACTTAAGATAGCTTTGGATACTCTGGGTCTTTTGTGGTTCCACATAAATTTTAAGATTGTTTTTTTCTATTTCTGTCAAGAACTTCATTGGTATTTTGAAAGAGATTACATTGAATCTGTAGATTGCTTGGGGTAGTATGGACATTTTAACAATATTTATTTTTCCAATCCATTAACATAAATATCCTTTCATTTTTCTGTGTCTGCTTCAATTTCTTGCATCCATATTTTATGGTTTTAACTGGAAAGTCTTTCACTTCTTTGGTTAAGTTAATTCCTAGGTATTTAATTTTATTTGTAGCTATTGTAAATGGGATTACTTTCTTGATTTCTTTTTCAGATTGTTCATTGTTGGCATATAGAAATGCTACTGATTTTTGTATGTTAATTTTGTATGCCGAAACTTTACTGAATTTGCTTATCAGTTCTAATAGTTTTTCAGTGGAGTCTTTAGGTTTTTCCAAATGTAAGATCATATCATCCGCAATCAAGGATAATTTGACTTCTTTCTTTACAATCTGTATGTCTTTTATTTCTTTCTCTTGTCTGATTGCTCTAGCTAGGACTTCCAGTACTAGGTTGAATAACAGTGTGGACAGTGGGAAGCCTTGTCATGTTTCAGATCTTAGAGGAAAGGCTTTCAGTTTTTTCTCTATTCAGTAGATACTAGCTGCAGGTCTGTTGTATATGGCTTTTATTATGTTGAGGTATGTTTTTTCCATACCAGTTTTTTCAGGGTTTTTTTTTTTAATCATAAAGGGATGTTGAATTTTATCAAATGCTTTTTCAGCATCAATTGAAATGATCATATGGTTTTTGTCCTTTATTCTGTTGATATGCTGTATGACATTGATTGATTTGTGTATATTGAACCATGTTTGCATTACTAGGATAAATCCCATTTGGTCATGATGAAATATATATATTTCTTGGAGTCTCCATTGTACAGGCTGGAGTGCAGTGGCACGATTCTCAGTTCACTGCAACCTCCATCTCCCGGGTTCAAACAATTCTCCTGCCTCAGCCTCCTGAGTAGCTGGGATTACAGGCATGCTCCACGACACCCAGCTAATTTTTTGTAGAGATGGGGTTTACCATTTTGAACAGGCTGGTCTCAAACTCCTGACCTCAGGTGATCCACCCGCCTTGGCATCCCAAAGTGCCGGGATTATAGGCGTGAGCCACTGTGCCTGGCCTGAATGATCTTTTTAATGAGTTTTTGAATTCAACTTGCTAGTATTTTGTTGAGGATTTTTGCATAAATATTCGTTAGGGATATTGGCCTATAGTTTTCTTATTTTTTTGATTGTCTTTGTCTGGTTTTGGTATCAGGGTAATATTGAGAATGAGTTTGAAAGTGTTCCCTCCTCCTCTATTTTTTGTAATAGTTTGAGTAGAATTGGTATTAGATCTTTAAATGTTCAGTAGAATTCAGCAGTGATGCCATCAGATCCCAAGCTTTTCTTTGCTGGAAGCCTTTTTATTACACCTTTGATCTTGTTACTCATTATTGGTCTGTTCAGGTTTTAGATTTCTGCACGATTCAATCTTGGTAGGTTGTATGTGTCTAAGAACTTGTTCTTTTCTTCTAGATTTTCCAATTTATTGACAAACACTTGCTCATAGTAGCCACTAATGATCCTTTGAATTCCTGTGGTATTGTTTGTAATGTATCCTTTGTCATCTCTGATTTTATTTATTTGGATCTTTCTCTTTTTTTCTTAGGTAGTCTGGCTAAATGTTTGCCTATTTTGTTTAACTTTTCAAAAAACAACTTTTTGTTTCATTGATCTTTTATACTGTTTTCTTCATTTCAAATTCCTTTATTTCTGCTCTGATCTTTATTATTTATTTTCTTCTACTAATTTTGAATTCAGTTTGCTCTTGCTTTTCTAGTTCTTTAAGATGCATCATTGGGTTGTTTATTTGAATTTTTTCTTATTTTTCAATGTAGGCACTTACAGCTATAAACTTCCCCCTTAGTATTGCTTTTGCTATATCCCATAGATTTTGGTATGTTGGGTTCTTATTATCATTTATTTCAAGACATTTTTCAATTTCCTTCTTAATTTCTTCATTGAGCATCTCCTCCGAGCCACAGGTCACCCAGTCTACATCATTTCTCATCTGTCAATCACACCACCTCTTAGCTCTTGTGTCAGTCTCCAGGACAACCATACTTCAGCCCCATTTCCTTCTGATATGCTCTGCTTAGCCCAGTGATTCTTCTAGGCAGCTAGTTCTCCTAAATTACTACATTGCTCACAAACACTTAATGGCTCCCATTGCCACATAAAATCCAAACTCCTCTGAGTAGTCCATGAAGCCCTCTGTGATCTCATCCTCATCTCTTGCCACATGCTTATGGCATCCTAAGCTAATCACCAAATACATCATGCTGTTTCGTGTCTTCATACCTCTTATCATGCTGCTCTCTCTGCCCAGAAAAGGAACATCCTTCCTCACCTACCTTCCAAAACTGAAAACCTCTTAGTCCTCTTTCAAGAATCTGCTCAAGCCTGACCTCACCAGCTAGACTTGCCACCTTCTTCCTTTCTGCCCCCACTTTTCCTCTTTCTCTTATTTGCCATTGTATCTATCACACTGAATGGCTTTTGTTTATTTCTGCCTTAACTCCTAGACCATGAGCTCTTTGATAGTAGGAATCAAGTCGTGTTTACCTATGAGTTCTTAGTACCATGCCAAATGCCTGGCACATAGTGGGTGCTCTATAAACATTTATTATGTTGATCTTTCCTAATTCTTTTAGGGACTCTTTTGACAAGAACCTCACTTAAAACTAAATCAGCTTGAAAAGACCAATATCAAAAGATTTATTCCTGCTTTAATTGGTTAGAGTATAATTTCACATTCCAGGAACCCCTGAAATATCTTTTTTTTTCATATTTTTTTCTTAGAAAGTCATTTCATTTTGCCAGTTGGAACAAGCCTAGAAGTTTGGTGTTTTGTTTTGAAACTGAAAATTGCTTTAAGAGGCACTTTGTGCACTTGGACGTGGTTGAGAAGAGACCCACAGAGATGATTAAAGGCTGAAAAACAGACTAAGAAAACTGGAAGAGAAAGCTAAAGGCAATTTAGTAATCAACGTCAAGCATATGAAAGGTTGTTATTACCAAGGAGGGTGACAAGCCCATGCTGTTCATACCCTCTAAGGGGAGAGCAACAGGAAATGAGGCAAGTTGCAGCATAGATGACTTCGGTTAGATAAAGAGGAACTTACTTGGCAGAAAACATTGCTACAAACTGAAGGGTCCAACAGGAATGATGCTTGGTCCCTCCTTCTCCAGAGGTATGTAAACAGGAAAAGTTTCCAACTGCCTGGAATGTTCCCTGTGCAATATTGCCTAAACTAGGGAATAGAATTAACAGTTTTGAGGGACAGTCTCCAGAAAAGACATAGATTTTTGGCACCCAGGACACAGGTGACCTGACAAAGTCCTTCCAACTCCAAAAATCTTGGAGAAAGTATTTCAGAGGAACTGAATTCAACAGTCACATCTTTTCACTACACATTTACTAAGCCTCTTTTCGAAGCCACGCCAGGTTAGATACCATCCCAATTACTAAGGCATAGTTTATGCTAATAGAGGAAAGAGCTGATTACCACATATTCTTTAGAGGCCTATCAGGCATCAGCTCTCCGAATTCTGTCTCACTCATACATGTGCACACATATACAACTACAAAGCAACCGCCAAAGCTACTTGCATTTCCTCTGAGTGACACCGACCCCTAGCTGCTCTAACCTCCAAACCTTTGCATGTGGTATTTCCTCTACCTCTAATTCCCTTCCCCCACTTCCTTACTTTGTAAATCCCTTCTTGTCCCTAAAGATACTGCTCAGGCATTACCTCCTCCAAGCTGCCCTCTTGCCACAGCTACTATTCCCTTCACCCCAACTCTAGATTATGATACTCTTTCATGATCCCTGGCTGAAAGCATTAGGAACTGAATCAAAATAATCCAAAAGAGAACTTGTTGGAAGTATAATGTATCAGCAGCTCAATAGCAGATAGAGGAACAAGCTTGCAAATGCCCAAGATTTAGGGGAGTTAAAGCCAAGAACCAGAACCAATAATCCAAAAGAGAACTTGTTGGAAGTATAATGTATCAGCGGCTCAATAGCAGATAGAGGAACAAGCTTGCAAATGCCCAAGATTTAGGGGAGTTAAAACCAAGAACCAGAGGGTATAATTGTCTTATATTTGAAAGCATCAGGACTGGATGTTTCTACCTCACTTCAGTTCAGAATGCCCTGAATATACTCTCTCCATCCTAGTATCAACATCCTAAAAGAGGGTCTCATCGGCCAACCTTGGGTCTCATGACTAGTCTGAACTAGCCTGTGACTGTGCTAGGGTGGGAGAGGAAGATCACTCTTTTCAGTTTGTCTAGTGAGCATTGGTCACTAGAAATTATCATCCCACTTAAATTCACACAAAGGAGGAGAGGTGATTCCCCCCAAAAAGAAATTGTAATAAAATAGGAGAGGCAAGGTAAGCTAAGCAGCTCTCTCTTACGTTCATTACATTGTGGTATGATCCTTGGTTTTCCTGTCTGTGTTCTTAGTAAGTTCATGTGCACTCTGAAGGCAGCAATTGTATCTTTTATTTGTGTCTCATAGACTATTGGGTACAGAATCTGTGATCAATAACCTTTTACAGGTTCTTGGTCAATATTTGTTGAATGATACATGAAGGCTAAGACCATATGTATCCCTGTGTCTGCCAACTTCAAGCTCAGTGCTTTTTCTACCATACCACAAGGTTAGCAGGGATTATGTGCTCAGCCTTAATCCAGTTACCTGTTTCTTAACCTAAGGTATTTGTTGTTATTGGGGTTTTTTTTTTAATAAATTAAGATTGGTATAGTAAGTCTTGGTTACAGCCGGCAAAAAAAACAAGTCTCAAAATATTCACAGAACTGAATCCCAGGATGTGCAAATGCAGTTTTTAAGCATCCATTTACCTTTGAGTGAAACTATGATATCCATCAAACTTCTCAGACAATACTATCCACAAACGTCAATTTTTACCTAGGTAATGGTGACTATAGGAAAAGAAAATAAGAAAAATAATACCAGAAGTTTGCAAATAAGCTCTAAACGTAGCAAATAACTAAACATAATAAAACATAGTGCATATGTGTTTCCGTGGCCACTATCACACAGGTAAGCATGGCTGACTGGCTTGGTAAGTCCATTTCAATACTACCAGTGTTCATTGACAGTGTCTATAGCCATTCAAGCTTGTGAATTTGCATGGTTTGTTTAATCCAATTTCAATTTTGTTCTGAATCATACTTGGCCTTGCACTGAGTATTGCTTCATTGAGATGAATAAATGCACACCTTGTTCAAAAGAAAAAAAAAAGAGTCTTTGGGAATTCATTGTCAGAATTTCAAAAGTTCAAGATTTAGAACTTATAGATGACTAAGAGGTAAGTTGATCTTTCTTTGGGGACACATTGTCATGGACATCGAGAATTGCAGTCTCATGTTGGCAATAAATCAACAATGCATTTTGGCCTTATATAGTATCTATTGTCTTAAGTTTTAAGCCATCAAGCTTATATTTAAAAAATAGGTTAGGACTCCAAACTTATATATCTATATCTGTATTGAATTGGCCCAGGAACCGGGTTCTGGGTTCTCCTTCAATAAAGATTTCACATGACGCTTACATATTTATTCACGTTTTCTATATCACGTAAAAGATATTAGCAAGAGTGTTACACGAGATTCTTATTTTGAAACTTGTCAGTTCAGATACATTTTACATTTTATATTCAAATTTAAGATCAAACTAGTATATGGTAGTAATTTTTGCATGTTTATACCAAGATTTCCTCATTTCTGCTGCATAGAACTCCACTTAAAAATCATTTAAAAAGCAGGAGAATTAGCTCTCATTGATCCAAACCTGGATTTACACGTCAGCTCCCTCTGGATATGAAGAATGTGAAAGAAACTCAAATACCCTGAAAGTATTTTGAAGTTGCTTTTGCTGATGTGATCTATGATGGTAGACCAGTTTGGCAACCCTGAATTGTTTTTACTGCAGCTGTGGACTACCTGTGGTTTCAAATGAACTACTGTGTGTGCTTTGTTTATTTTATCCCTTCTTCCTGTTGGAAAAACAGCTGGAGAACAGACATCCTGCTGTTCAGAGCCTCCGGCCTTGGAATATTAACAGGAAGCCACAATAAGCATCTTCATTACTTCACCTGTGGCATAAATGGCAGGGAGAATGGAGCCCATCAGGAGGAACTTATTTAAAACAGAATGAAGCAGTTTGTGGACCATATGTCTGCACATCCAAGTAACAGCCACTAGCCTAATAAATTGGATTCTTTCGTGCAGTGTTCAACCGGGGGAGGAGAAAAAGTCAGTGTCCTATATAAAAGAGTAAAGGCAGGCTTCAGTAGCCTTTGGCAATAAATGGAATACAATATTTGGCGCATTAAACCAAGAAGTAGTATCACATGATTTATATCAGGTGCTTTTAGCAAAATATATGGGAGTAGATAGTAGGGGTATGTGGATGGGAGAGGAGGAAGCTAATAGTCTTACAAGATACTTTCATGTGTTTTCCATTATGCATAATTACTCATCCTAAGGCAAGAGGATTATTGCATAAGCATTATTCCAAATAGCTTCCCATTTTAGGGGGAGAGGGAGGGGTGACTGGAGAGAGGACAAATAATTATAAAAGATCAATGTCCCTGTTCTCCAAATGAGGAGACGGGGCTAGAGAGGTATTATGACCTACCTAAGACTCTTTATGTAATGTCTACATTATAATGGGCCAGATATATTCCTGGAAGTGCATTTACCTGCTGAAGATTCATCTTCCCCTCTATAGAATGAAGCTGTGAAAAAAAAATATTCTGGAAAAAGTATTTCCCCTTTAAACGTAAAAATGAGCTACTGAACAGAAGGACAAAAGAAAGGAATAATAATCTTGACAGTCATCATTGAATACACACTGGAACCCTCGTTCTGACTGCACCTATATGCCGACAGGGCACTTCGTTTCTTAGATCCTTGCATGCATTCACTCTACCAACTCTGCAAAACACACTTAGAAAAAGAATGCGGCAGCACAAACACAGACACGATTTTTTTAAATCACAGTCCCCAGAACCGGGATTTTGGAAATCCATTATACCAATAATCACTACTAGCCCATAAAGCAGACAGACTTGGGTTCAAATCTCAAGCATCCCACTTTCAGATATGTGAACTTGGATAAATTATTGTATGCTTTGGAATATAAGGAATTCTTCTATTTTCCCAAGGAGAAGATTAAAAACTGTTTTTTCACCAACTGGAACTATATAAACTTTTAGAAATAGAGATAAAATAATCAAAAGTCTAATAATTTATTAATTTAGTCATAGATATTTAAAATCATGTAAAATATCAATTTAGAAATTTTTGTCACCCTCACATTTCATAAAAGTTTTCTTCTAATTCTTTTTTTTTCTAATTCTTAATACACGCCATTGACATTAGTGTCACCTGACAGTCTTCACAAATCATCTTCATTTTCACATGGGTTGTTTAATGCTGTCATCAGAAATTTTATCCTCTTGGAGAAAGAAAATGTGGTACATACACACCATGGAATACTCTGCAGCCATAAAAGAGAACAAAATCATGTCCTTTGCAGCAACATGGATGCAGCGGGAAGCCATTATCCTAAGCAAACTAACACAGGAACAGAAAACCAAATACCACATGTTCTCACTTATAAGTAGGAGCTAAACATTGGGTAATCATGGACATAAAGATGGGAACAATAGATCCTGGGGACTACTACAGGGAGGAGGGAGGTAGGGGTAAAGGACTGAAAAACTACCTATTGGGTACTATGCTCGCTACCTGGGTGATAGGATCGATCATACCCCAAACCTCAGCATCAGGCAATATACCCATAACAAACCTGTACACATACCTCCTGAATCTAATATAAAAGTTGAAATTATTTTTTTAAAGTATTATAAAAAAGAAATTTTATTCTGAACCATGAGCACCCATTCATATAACATTAAGACAATTGTTTTGTTCATTTGTCCTGTAGGTGGAAGTTTGTGCTGTTGTATCCACTTAGTGTAATATGATAACTAATATATTGCTTCATATATTAAATATATAAAATCCTCTTTTTAAAGGCTGTTTATGATGACATCCAATTCTTGCAATTGTAGAGTCACCACTCCACTCCCAAGAATAATGAATAAATCTGTCAAATTTCTAAATTTCTTTTCTTTTCTTTTTTTTTTTTTTTATAGACAGAGTCTCACTCTGTCACCCAGGCTGGAGTGCAGTGGCACAATCTCAGCTCACTGCAACTTCCACCACCCAGGTTCAAGTAATTTTCCTGTCTCAGCTTCCCAAATAGCTGGGATTACAGGCATGCACCACCATGCCCAGCTAATTTTTGTATTTTTCCTACAGAAGAGACTTCACTATGTTGTCCAGGCTGGTCTCGAGCTCCTGACCTCAAGTGATCCGCTTGCCTCACCCTCCCAAAGTGTTGGAATTACAGGCGTGAGCCACCACACCCAGCCTTGTCAAATTTCCTTGCCTCCTTTTTTAGAGTTTCTGCGGGTCACTTCTATAAGCTTTTGAGAACAGAATCATCTGAGGTCATCTCAGCCTTATGTGGTTTTAAGAAGTTGAATACATGCCCCATAATTTGAGAGACTTTATAAAGATTGAACTGCAATATAAGGTGACCCCTTCATTCCTGGGAAATAGGTTTGGAACCTGTCTCATCTTATTCTTTAGCACATACAGCACTTAATCTCTCTAAGCGTCTGTTTCCTCTGTTATAAAACAGAGCTAATAATAGCACTTTGCTTACAGAATGTGGTGAGGATTAAATGAGACAACACACTACAATGACACTCAGCACAGTGGTGTGCACCTAGAAAGTAATCAATATTATCTATTGACACTGCCCCAGTTTGGGGTACCACAAATTAAAAATGAAAAACTTGAAGACGTATGTCCAAGACAACTCACAAAGATTTAAAATGAAGCAGATGAGGACAGGTTAAAGGAACTTGGATTATTATTCCAAAGAGGGAAAAAGGAGTAATGTGACAAATTAGTTTCTAAAAGAGAAAGAACTCTTAAACAAAGACTAATAGCATTTCTGCTCTTCTTCACTCAGCAAGACAGCCATGGTATGAATCTGAATTACAGCACAAAGGACTTATGTCATATAGAAGGAAGAGTTTCTATTCAGTAAAGTTTATGAAAAAAAAATTGAATCACTTTCTGATAGAGCCTGTGACTCACTTTTAAAATGAGGGGTCATCTTGGTACAGTTCTGCCTAAAGGCAATGTTATTGGAGGAATGACTTTTCAAGGTCCCAAATTATCCATATATCTCTGCACATCAAGATGAACTACTATATGAAATTAAAGTATAGGAATGTAATGCCAGTAATAGAGCATGAAAACCAGAGTGGGGTTGAAGACCAAAAAGATGGCATATTTTGCTGAGTTCCTTGGGTATCAAGCAAATTTAGTTTTTATTGTCCCCGTTCAGGGGATTATTTTACTTCCAAAAATTGCCACCACTGTTAGAAAAAGCATAAACCTTGGAACTACAACGACCCAAGTGCAAGTTTCAGCTTTTCTTCTTACTGTGTTACCTTGAACAGGTCTTTAAACTCTCTGCTAGTGTGTTTCATCATCTGCCAACAATGCATAAAAACATCAATGTTACAGGGCTGTAGTGAGGATTAAATGAGATGGCTCCGTTCAGTATTTGGCACACTACGGATATTCTAAATGTTGATCCTGTTGTCTCCCAAATTGTGCTTCCAAACATACTACAGTTTTCAGAAGCCTAAGTTATCACATTGCATTGTCAGCTGACACTCTTACAACTACCGAAGGTTTATCCCTCAGTACCTAACAAAACCACATCACAGCTTGCTTTATTTTCAGGCAACAAATTCTCCAAAGACAGAACTGGATGGGGGTGAACAAACTTCTGCCAAGTATGTGACAGTTTTATAAAGTTTCTCATTCAGTAGTTGTGCTAAGAACGGCTCTGTCATTTAGACATACTCTTGAAGGGAACTGCATTCTTTATCAAAGAATTTCCTTATAGTTTCAACAAACATCTCCACAGCTTCTACTTGATTCAGGAATGAATTTGGAATGGTTTAAAACACACTAGCAAGGTACATTAATTAGGACAAGGTTTAGTAACATAACAGAAAGATTCAAAATACAATGACGAGACAGAAATCATTTCTTTCTCACATAACTGCTCAGAGGTAAGTGGTGCTAGGCTGACAGGACAGCATTGTCATTCTCAAGATAAGGCTTTCATCTCTGGGTTCTAGGCAACTCCAGTGAGAAAGGGAAGAAAGAGTCATTGAGCACGCCATATGCCTTTCTAGGAGCACAACCCATAAGAGTCACCATACTTCAGATCACAAACCCAAATTTAGTCACAAGGCCACACAGCTACTAGGAAGACTGGGAAATACAGAGTCATGCTGGGAAACCATGTGCTCAGCAAAAACTCAGGAAGAAGGTGATAAGAATATGTGGGCATGACCATAAACAGTATCTGCTTCACAGAATTAAAGAGGGAAACTTATCTAAATGGTCTAACTTTATATTGAAAGACCATTTAAGATTGGAAAGTGCAAACAATATACCGTTTAATCTGAGAGTTGATGTAGTAGTTATGAATCAAACACAAGGTATAAAGACCCTAGCAACATAAATTGAGGCAGTAAGTACAAACCTTCATATTTATACAACAGAAACTTGAGTCATCGACTCTTGCTGAGGCCAAGCTACATGTGGGAAAATCTGAATGTGCTGACCCAGAAAAGAGTTGGAGTAGAGCTGTGTTGGATTAATGACAGCACTTAGCCTCAATGTTTTAAAAATTCAGAAGTTATGGGGAGGGCCCCCTGAACAAGCCTGAGCTAGCCTGGAGAACTCCAAAAGAAGAAAGAGCCCCACTCTGACGCAGAGTTTATGGTTTATAAAACACCAGATCAGATGAAGTGACAACACCACCCGCCTCCCCGCCACATTTGACTGTGAGAAAATATCTCTGGGGCCAAATAATAATAATTCCTGTTTGCAGTCAAGAATGAGTTTACCAGATGCCATTTTGCAAATCTTTTTCAACCTATTTGAGAGACTTTAATATGTTGCTTTTTTCATTGTCTGAGCTTCATATATATTTTACTTCTGCAGGAAATCTAGAATATTTTATCATTAAGTACTCATTCACTAAGCTAATAGAGTTTGTCCTAATCTCATGAATGTTTTTATTAACAATTGTTCTGTTCCTTGACTATACATCTGGGAAGAACCTCCACACTTCGCAAAGCAGAGAGAGTTTTCTGTGTTTTTCCCAGTAAGAACAAGAGAATACACCAGAATCTCCAGATCCTAAAAGAATAAAAAGGAAACCACCAAAACACAAGCAAACCAAAGATCAGTCCCAATCACTTGTTTAAAACTGATACAACTGAGGAAGAATATCCCTTGTACTGCTTGACAGAGGAACTGGGGAAATTTGCTGTGAAATTAAAATAAACACATCACTGCCAGTTTTGAAAATTCTTGAGGTGGGGGAGGGGGAGACCTTCATTTTCTGATGGAGTAAATCCTAGACTAAGAAGCCAGAAAATTCGCTTCAGATCCCAGATCAGCCAATAGCTAACTACACGGACTTAGGCAAATTCCATAATGTCTTTGGACTTCAAGTTTCTTACTTGTAAAATTAGGAAGTTGAGAGATATTATTTCTAAGATCTTTTCTAATTTAAAGAGTCAATGAGTTTATGAAACTACTGCTTACTGAGATTTCTTAAAAACTCCAACATCACAAATATCACAGAATCATATTAATTTTGTTTTTATTTTACACCCAAATTTAGTAAATGATCAATTCTCCTCAACAATTGCAGGAAAATAAAGATTCTGAAGACATCTTGTAAAGTTAAATTTGGTAAAGGAAAAAGTAACCTGTCTTCGAAAGAGCCCTCTATATAACCTTTAAAAGAGATGCATGTGTCACTTTATTGATTTTTTGTGCCAAAAGGGTATTTGGATAAGGTGGCTGTTCCCTCCAAACTTGGATTATTTATGATTCATATCCTGCTGCCAGTAAAATGTTTATAGCAGATGATCTCCCCATTAATGTTAGTTTCAAAGGATTAAAGCTAATTATGGCTTTATTACACTTATGCTAACTTAAATTTGCTCCAGAATGACATGACAATGAACCCCTGACTCCAATCTCATCTCCCCCAGCATCAACCCATCAATCTTCCACAGAGACACCAGGGCTTTTCCTGAAACAGAGGTAATAAAGTGTGCCAGCAACTCCATAAGCTTCATTTCATGCCATAAAAGCTATGTCATCCCAGTTCACTTTTCCATGGCTTTGCAAGAGATGTATTCAATATCTAGAATGTCAGAACCAAGTCCTTTTTGTGGCTATAAAAAAAATAGTGCAAATATTTAGTAGTCCCCCATCTCTAGAAAAATACAGTCTCTATTAGTCTGTTCTCATGCTGCTGATAAAGACATACCCAAGACTGGGTCATTTATAAAGAAAAGAGGTTTAATTGACTCACAGTTCCACATGCCTGGGGAGGCCTCACAATCATGGTGGAAGGTGAAGGGGAAGCAAGACATGTCTTACATTGCAGCAGGCAAGAGAGAGTGTGCACAGGAACTGCCCTTTCATAAAACCATCAGATCTTGTGAGACTTATTCACTATCACGAGAACAGAAAAACACGTACCCATGATTCAATTACCTCCCACTGGTTCCCTCCCACGAGACGTGGGGATTATTACAATTCAAGGTGAGATTTGGGTGGGGACACAGAGCCAAACCATATCATAGTCCTAGAGGACCGAACCAGAAAGTGGAAGGAAATTTTGTCCAAAGAAAAAGGTACCACCTCCTCTGGGGAGAAGCAGACCTGTTTCAGCATATAGGTTGAATTTTCAGCAAAAACTGTGCAGTTGTTCTAAGTAGCCTGGGCTTTTCCCTCCCTTTCCAACCTCCCCATCTTCTTATTGCCTGCCATGCAGACCCTGATCGTCTTTAAGGATTGACTAAAATCTCACCTTCACTGCCTACTCCACCTCCTCCATGGAGACAGAAGTTTTCTCCCCTATGAACCCATAGAATCCCATCCCTGCCTCTGTATCCCACTCTATCATCAATGAATCACCACTGAATTCCTCAATCCCCTCATGTCAGGACTACTGGTTTGTTTATCATTTCACCCCCATAAACCATAACTTCCTTAAGTTGCCTAAGACAAGATATGTTCACTTTAAGTTCTTAGAAAATGCCTGTTTAAAGAAAAGTTGATCTTGTTGGTGTCAAAGTAGTTCCAGTACTTAAAATCCATACAACCAAAAGTCTAAGAGTAGTATCAAATGTTGGCTCATGTTCTGAATATATCTATTATGCACAGCCATGTCTCTTCTCAAAAAAAGATGGTGGATTAATCATTTATCTCATTTTTTTAATTGAGATGTGTATTAAGCCATTCTTGCATTACTATAAAGGAATACCCCAGACTGGGTAATTGATAAAGAAAAAGGTTTAATTGGCTTATGGTTCGGCAGGCTGCACCAAAAGCTGAGTGGTATCTGCTTTGGTGAAGGCCTCAGGAAGCTTACAGCCATGGCAGAAGGTGAAGAAGCAGCAGGTGCATCACATGGCAAGAGAGGGAGTAAGAGAGAGAGTGAGGAGGTACCATGCACATATCTAATATGAACTCACTCATCACCAAGGGGACGGTGCTAAGCCATTGATGAGGGATCCATCTTCATAATCCTCATAATCCAAATACCTCCCACCAGGCCCCACCTCCAGTACTGGGGATTACATTTCAACATGAGATTTAGAGTGGACCAATATCCAAACCCTATCAAGATGAAAGTTTTATTCACATGTTTGTGATCCCAGGTACTCAGGAGGCTAAAGTGGGAGGATCGCTTGAGCCCCGAAGATTAAGGCTGCCGTGAGCCATGATCATGACACTGCACTCCAGCCTAGGAGGCAGAGCAAGACCCTGTCTCAAGAAAATAAAAAGTGTTTAAGTACAACAATATATAAAATAATTGATTTTCAAATGTTTTATATATCTCTCTGTAAATTTCCCTGCTCCCACACCTTCAAAATCTTACTCTTTTTTCACAAAACATAAATCAGCTCCAGTCTAAAACAAAGAACTAATCCTTATTCACTAATAAAAATGTACTGCTTTAACACAAGAACAGAAGTTCCCTATTTCCAGAGATTAGCAATCTAAATGGATACAAATCACCTGCTATAATTTAGTGAGGGCCAAGGCATGTACCAATATTCTAAGTAGTAAGGCCTAACTTCTGTGTTTCTCAACTTTGACACCAATGATGCTTTGGGCCAGATAATTCTTTATTTAGAGGAGTCATCCTGTGCACTGTGGGCTGTTTAGCAGTCTCCCTGGCCTCTACCCACTTGACTCCAGTAGCATCCCCCTAGTTGTAGCAGTCAAAAATGTCTCCAGACATTGTCAAATACCCCCGGGAAGCAAAATTTCTCCTAGTTGAGAACCACTGCTCTCAACATACACAGATGGTAGATATAACAAGCTTTAGAACCAGTCAGACCAGTAGCAAATATCAGCTCCATCACTTAAGAGCTATGTGATCTTGAGCAAATTACTTAATCTCTCTGATCTTTAGTGTCTTGATCTGTAAAATGGTACTAATAAGACCCATTTTCAGGATTCTTGTGAAGTTTAAGTGAAAAAATGTACATAAAGTGCTTAGCATAGTACCTTGTAAATTATAAGCACTTAATAGCTAATATTTATTTTTGTTTGTTATTATTATACATTAAATATTAATTTGCTGGATTTAAAACACCACAAAATATACCCTAGGATAATGCTGAATATAATTTGATTTTTAAAGAGTTCAGAACTACTTCAGACTCTGCCTATTCCTTAACAGCCACATAGTGAACATCAATAGCTAGTGGTATTTTTGTTTGTTTGTTTGTTTGTTTGTTTGTTTGTTTTTTAGACAGAGTCTTGCTCTGTTGCCTAGGCTCTGGAGGGCAGTAGCTCAATCTCGGCTCACTGCAACCTCCACTTCCCGGGTTCAAGCAATTCTCCTGCCTCAGCCTTCTGAGCAGCTGGGACTACAGGCACGTGCCACACACCCAGCTACTTTTTGTATTTTTAGTAGAGACGGGGTTTCACCATGTTGGCCAGAATAGTCTCGATCTCTTGACTTCGTGATCCGCCTGCCTCAGCCTCCCAAAGTGCTGTGATTACAGGCGTGAGCCACTGCGCCTGGCCAATAGCTAGTGTTCTATAGCTAAGGAAAGTGTGCAAAAGTTTTAGGCAGCAGAATTAGAGGAAGCAAATTTTTCTACTTGTAGGAAAGACTCTTGTTATCCTCCAATATCTAGTCTCCCTTCTTCCATGATGATAAGAATCTCCAAAATTTATCAACCCCAAATAAATCATATTTCCCAGGCTCCCTCCCTCCCATTGTGACCAAGTTGTGATCAATAGGATGTAAGCAGAACTTGTAGGTACAACTTCTGATATGCGTCCTTAAAGGAAGAAGGTCTGCTCCTTCTCCCCCTTTATCCATCCTGCTGTTTGAAATATGGATGTGTTGGCTGGGATACCAGTTGGAACCATGCCAGTAAAAACCATACCCTAGACATGGTGAAGAGGAAAGTTGGAAGCAGCCTGGATCCCAAATATATGTAGTATGGCACTGCCATTATCAGCTCTGAATGGCCTACATCGTGACTTCAAAGTGAGAGAGAAAGAAAACTTCTATCTTGTTTAAGCCACTGTTATTTTGAATCTCTGCTAGTCATAGCCAAACAGATTGAATGTGTAACACTGGCTAAAAAGCGTGAGATCAAGCAGCAAGCATACAGACGCTGCAGGCCAGCCAGCTGAAGCCCCATATTATGAGATAGCACATTTGATAAAATTGTTTCCTGTTCGATCCAGCCAACCCAACCTATAGCTCTAAGCTGCATGGTTTAAAAATTCAAAATGTTGGTTCTCACCCAACATTGCCTAACCGGCTCTCAAACATGTTTTGTTTGTTTGTTTTGTTGTTTTTAAATATAAGTAGACAGTTTATTTGGACCAAGCTTTAGAATTGCAACCCATGAGCACAGACTCAAGTTTTCATTCTTGCCTTGCACTTAAAGAATTATGAAAAAAATTAGCTCCAGCCAGAGCTAACCAGTTGCAGAAATGGTGGATACACTCTTGCCCAGGGTTTTCAATCTAAGTTGTTAGACAAGCCTATTAAATTTGGGGCCTTTTAAGAATAGCAATGCTAACTGGTCCTGTCTGTACTCACCCTGAACCCTGTGTAAAGAGAATGGTAGACTTAGCAGGCAATAAATCCTATTTTCAGCCTTCATCATAGGGGAGTTTTCTACCAGACAATGGGAACCAGTCTAGCAGCAAAAATCATATTCAAGGTGTTGCCTTCCCATCTAAGCCTATTTTCTAGATAACCAGAAGGAGTGGTGTTATGGGTTGAATTGTGTTCTCCCAAAATTCATGTTGATGTCCTAACCCCTATATCTCAGAATGTGACTGAATTTGGAGACAGAATCTTCAAAAAGGTAATTAAGTGAAAACAAGGTCATTAGGGCAGGCTCTAGTCCAACATGACTGATGTTTTTATAAGAAGAGGAGATTAGGACACAGATACACGCAGAGGGAGGACAGTATGAAGACACAGGAAGAAAATGGCCATCTACAAGGAAGGAAAGAGGTCTCAGCAGAAATAAACCCTGCTGACACCTTGATCTTGGACTTCCAGCCTCCAGAACTATGAGGAAATAAATTTGTGTTGTCTGAGCCAAGTCTGTGATCCTTTCTTACGGCAGCCCCAGAAAACTCATACAGGTAGGCAGAATGGTAAACAGAGCACAGGGGTCAAAAAGTGAAAACAAGAGTCTTTAGTTTTAAAAAACCATGTGGAAATGAGTCCTTAGGTTTTGCTTGCTCAAATGAGTACCAACCAGAAACAAATAGACCAGATACTTACTAATTTGGGGAGGGAATTGCATTGTCAGAGAAACCACAAGCCTGTCCTGATAAAGATTGTGATCACTCAAGCCCTAAAACGAACCCGGAAACCCAGATCCTCCACTTCCAGAAAGGAGGCTGAGAAAGAAGGCAAAATGTCCAAGGCCTGCTTCAGATGTGATCAGAGAGGATAATGGAAGAAGACAGCTTCTCCCAGCATAGAGCCAAGAGCTTCCAGATGCACCAAGCCCGAGAATTTACTTCTTCACCAGGACCAGGCTTCTTCTCAATTCTGGTTCAACGATCTGAAAACTGCTACAGCTCAATTATTGGTAAGTATTTCGGTGCCTTTTCCCAAATGGGAGTTTTTGCAGCAGTTATTATGTTACAACTCCACTGAAGCGTATTGGATGAGATGGGGCCAGAAAATTATAGACCTGAAAGGAGCTCTACTCTGACCCAGTAGAAGAGACCAAGCATCACCCAGAGATCCTGGAATTAAAGGTCATTGCGATAACTAGATGGGATTTTGAGTTGTCTCCCCAGGAAAGGGGTGAGTGTATTTTAAGTGTGGGAAGAAGATACACATAGATATCTAGTTTTCCTCCTGGATCAACCATGGTAGAGATTATTGGATGTCTCTATTTGTTTTCCACTTTCTCCAAGAGCCCCACAATTTAGCTGGGTATGTGACTGCCAAAACAAAAGATATCTCCCAGCCTCCTCTGCTATAATATGGCCATTTAATTAAGCTCTGACCAATAGGATGTAAGCAGACATGATGTGTATAACTTCTGAGATGTGTTCTTAAAGGTAGGACACGTGTCCTTCTTCCCCATCTCCCTGTCCTGCTGCATAGAATTTGGATGTAAGGGCTAATGACCCATCCATGAGGATAAGGGTCATGTACCTAGTTCACCAACCTTGGTAAAATGGAAAGTTGGAAGCAACTTGTTCTGGAAGACTGGGAAGCCATCATTTCAGCCTCTATTTCTATGCCTTTATATGAGAGAAAAATAAATATATGTCTTGTATAAGCCAGTGATATTTTGAGGTCACCATTATTCACAACAGAACCTGTAGTACAACTAATAGATTGATAGATCGATCTTCTATGTTTCCTTTCAGGTCTACAGACCCAAAAGTAATTTCAAAAATTAAGAATAATGGTAGAAAACTGTCCTATGATTCTTAATTCTAATTCCTCTGATCCTTTGAGGAAATGTGTCACTTTTATTCTGCCGTATGTGTATAGCAAATGAGGCTGAGAAAGCCAAAGGAGACAAAGTGGAAGTTGAAGTCAAAAACAGAAGAGATGTACAGAATCTCGCTAAATAATCTGCCAGACCTGGTGACTCACCTCCCTGGATACTGTTCTCATACTGAGTCAAAAGGAAAGATGTTGATAAAGATGGAAAAGAAATTCGGATATGCATCCTGAAATGGACTATGCTAATTTTCCCAATTATCCAGGTCCATCTTTAACCATAAGTGATTTCAAAGTGAAATGATGACTTTCATAAAATTTTCATTTGGTTCTGAGATAAAGGAAAGGGAAATGGAAAATCATCTGAAAAGTGTTGCTTGGTGCATAACGCTTACCAAGGGGGACTATGGTTCTCATCCACACAATTCCTATTTCTATTAATGAGAGTTGTGGATAAAACCCTAGCCAGTATCTTCTATCTTTTAGCTTCCACAATGCTTAGAAAACTGTCTTGGGGATATCACAGAGATTGTTACAGCAGATAACATGTCCATTCATCCATATTAGACTTTCATAATCGTTTTCATGGACCCCATTAGCCAGAGCATTTCAAGAGACATATTATTTTGCCCAGTCATTTGGTAATAGTAACCACATAAATCAATGACTTTTTGGGAATAAAGCCGTGGAGTTACAAGTAGAGAGAAGAGAAGCATGAATTCCTTTAAGAAGAAATTACATGAATTAAATCAGAAGTCACTGCAATGGCCCAAATAACCATACTTCTTATTCTAGCCTGCGACATTTACCACAATACTTTTTGCCCCTAGCTGCAAGGCTGGTTATAGCCTTATTTAAATCCTTTACACATTATAATTCTCCACTAAGTGGGATAAAGAGCACATGGTCTCAGTCACCTGCTAAACATATGACATGAGGTGCAAATTCATTTATTTGAACCATAATATTAAAGGACCTTCTTGAATTTAAATCATCTGATACCAGGTTATGACTTCAACCCCAAGCAGACATGCCCTGGAGAGTTAAGAGACATTTTCAAAGTTTCAAAGACAAAGAAGGCTTCTAACCTGCTCACAGTTAGCCATTACATGCTACCAAGGACTGTTTAATTGGGACTGCCACTCTCAATTAGCCAGTGACAAGTGAATATAAGAGTGAAGAACCAAAATTAGGTACACATGTTACCAATTATTTCCATTAGGGATTATAATGAAATTGTACATTTTGCTTTGGTTTTTCTTTCTTCTCTAGCTCTAACAAGTTATATAAATTAAACTAGTGAGGGAGCAGAGCTTATAGATAACTTTGTCCTTCAAAGTGAGAAAGAACCACATTCATGGAAACTCCTGCAGCTCTTCAACTATGATATTCCATTCTGACCTCAGCATTTGCTCTACAGTGGAGCTTATCCAAATTTCATCTGAGGGCCTCAAGCATAACCAGATGAGGCTCTTTGTGATCCAAACATAGGGTTACTCCTCTTTTCTTCCCCTCTTGTTTACTAAAAAGCAAGAGTATTCAGTTTCTCTTTATGATTCACTAGGTTTCTGACTGGTAGTCCTTCAAAGAGTATTTTACTGGGGTGATAGAAGGGGAAAGGAGGGAAGGGCTGTATACAGTGATGATGCACTAAGCTAAAAAAAACCTTCAGCTTAGATATGCATTTGGAGCTGGTTTAAATAGCCATCCCCCAGAATTGCACTTCAAATTTGAATTTTCTGGTCCTGACAGCTTTAAAATTTATATTTAAATTTGTGTGTTTAAAGATATATATTTAAATGTACATATATATTTAAATATAGATTATTTTTAAATTTTTGGAATGTGCCAAGCACTTTATATAAATTGAGCATGAATTAAAGATAGATTTTAAAGAAAATGTATACCTGAATGTGACTTAATTACCATTAAATATTAACCTGTTTCCTATTTTCATTTGTAGTAAAAAAGAACTGCAAGAATCCAGATATATTTGGAAACTGTAATTTTTTTCATTGTAAACATCATCCAACTTTTTTAGAATCCATTGAAACAATCATCTTACTGTGGTTGTGCTTCTGGTAGGTTGACAGGTTACAAGACACTAAGGGAGTCTGTATGACTTTAAACTCTTCCACAGATCAGGGTAATACTATAATACGCAGCTGATTCTAAAGTTAAATCACTTCCCATGACAGGAACTTCTTACACCTGTCAAAAGCGTGAAGAATTTGAGTCTCCCAGTTATGGGTGGGGTCGAATCAAGTCATGCCTTTTCTCAAGCACAGAAACAGGAGTCTGAAAACTTTTTCTGTAAGAGCCAGGATAGTACGACTGCTGCTACAACTACTCAACTCTGCCACCATTGTAGTGAAAGCAGCCACAGGCAAAAATGTTACACCATTTGTGTAAACAAATGGATGTGGCTGTACTCCAGTAAAACTTTATTTACTAACACAGACTACAGGCTATATTTGGCTCTTGGGGTCATAGTTTGCCAATCCCTGTTTTAGCTTCCAAGCCTCTGATTCTTTTAGCCTTCCATTTCACCTTCCCAGAAAATAAAGAGACTTTGATGTTAAAGAACATGAGTTTAGAATAGAAGGAAATGATTTAGAATCATTTGGGGAACTTGACAAAAATATTGATTCATAGGCCCTACCCTCAAATTTTCATTTAGTAAATCTTACGTGGGTCCCAGAAATGTGAATTTTCTTAAAGCTCCCCCAGTGATTCTGATTCTAAGTCAGCTTTGTGATTCTCTGTTCTAGATAATGGCCCCAGCTTCTGCCATAACTTTATAACATTAGGAATATCACCTTTTATATTAGTCAGCGTAATTAATGCTAGCTGCTGCAACAGCAAGCCCCAAATATCAGTAGCTTAGCCTAGTAAAAATGTATTTCTGTCCCATATCACCTTCTCTTATTTCATACCTATGCCATATAGAACTCTTGGAAAAAAGAAATAGAGAAGGAACTAGAGGTTTTAGATGTCCTAGCACAAAAGCAACACACATGGTACTTCTGCTCACATTTCACCAGCCTAATGAAAACCGTTCATATGGTTTCAACCTAACTGCAAGGGAGGCTGGGGAAAGGAAAGGAGCACAATACCATCAATATTTGGTGAGCTCAAACAGATCACCTGACATGTTTGTATCTGACTCCTCATCTGCCAATCTGGGATAGCATCTGCCTCCTTTAGACCACACAGAAAGAGCAGATGTTCAAAACATGGTTGACCACTAATTAAACTCTGAACAATAGACAGCTTAATGCCCAAAACTATTCCTTATACCTAGCTTTTTGCAAAAATTAGGTTCCTGAAACTCTGGAATGTAATAAATTTGTGTTAATCAAATTAGGTCTTTTTTTAATTAACAAGAAATTCATTATGCAAAACTGGGGCTGTTGTTCTATCTGGCTTCTACAATGGATACACACTGATAGGTGTGTTGACAAAAGGAAACCGCAATTAGCAGATGTATAAATTGTCCTTATGTTTGCAGTTACAAAGGTTGAATGTTGGTCTTAGTAATACTGTGTGCATCCTTGATACACTGCAGTGGAAGATTAAGAAGAAATGTAGAAATTGCCAGTTCCAATCTAGCAGCCAGAGCAGCCAATTCCCAGTTCTCAGAGATGGGGGGAAATACCTGAATGGGAGGCAACTTCTTAACTATTTAGAGACATAGATATCATTTCAAAAGTTATCACCCTTTTTTAAAAAATCAAGGTAGGGGATGAGGAGACGCCCTCCACCAAAAATAAAAAATAATGTTATAGTGTTGTAGATCCTTAAGCTCTTAAGAGAGACAATAGGGATTTCTGCTAAAGTAGGACAGATTTCTGTTAGAAGTTTTTTAAAAATTTCTCAATATTTAGGAAGGTTTTCGTTCCCCACACAGAAACTAAGATAGCATATGAAACTTGACCGAGGAAGGTTTAGGGCTTTGGGAGGAAGAACTAATGAAGTACTTATGAAAATCACAATTTCATTTACCAATGATGACATGGTCTAGAATTGCCCACATACATGATCTGCTTATTCAAGGTCAAAATAAATGCTAATCAATAAAAGGTATTGTCCTCCAGGGCACAGCACTTAGCATAACCTGTGATCTTAAATACTACACAAGAATGGTTTTCTTTAACAGACCTGAGTGTTATAACCAAGTAAACTTGCTACGTAAGTCCTGCCTCTTAACCTTTCATCTCAGGGCCTGTATCTGAGACCTTTGTTTATTAACCTGATAACTCTCCCGCCACAGTTTATCTTGCAAGTGATAGAGCAGTCTCAATATTTCCTAGTAACCAGCCATTTCGGAGAAAGCACAAAACGTTTGTTCAGCCAACATGGTAGTGTCTGGCTGTCTGGCCATCTCCAAGGGGATCTTGGCTTATGTACAACTATAGATATGACAAAGCTGTCTATAATAATTTTAACTGTTGGATGCATTATCTCAATGCTGAAAACCCCTTCATAATTGTACAAACACATAAAACCTGGCAAATAAACTACCTTTTTAAATATAGTGGAATTATCTCTTATCCATTCACCACGGAACTAAATGTAACAAATAACTGTTATAGCACCACAGCATACAACCAGTGGCTTCCTCAGAAACTTCAATCCAATACCTTTTAAAGAAAATAAAACAAGATTTCTAGAGTATTAAACTGGAAGAATATATTTATTCATGTGGTAAGAGTGGTGTTGGGAGGAAGAAAAGGGTTGTACCTTCTTTAGAATACTACATGTCTATAGACTCGGAATCTCATCATTACCAAAAGCTTATATACAAGATTTATTTCCAATAGAAAACAGGTCAATAGCCTTCCCATAGATAAGGACTTGAAACTGTGAGCAATTATCTAATAAAAGCTTTTAAACTAAATTGCTAATTAAGGTGAATTTAATATGCATATCAGGCAGGAATGAGGAGCGTGTAATTTATGTATCACAAAGCCTAGAACAAGTATATTACAATTCAGTAGTTTAGAGATATTATTTTTTGATTAAAGTATATTACAAACAAATGCCCTTTCCCCTGATTTCAAGATCAACAGGAAGACATTGAGATTTTACCACTTTCTTAAGGCCATTGGTTTCATAAGTTACAGAAATTTAGAGCAGAAGTGATCTTAAGGGATTATCTAAAAACTGCTTCATTTTACAGATGAAGAAAGTGATGCCCAGAAAGGTTAAAGAACTTGTGCAAAGAACAAAATCCAGGCAAGACTTCTCTGGGCTCTACTCTTACATCCTCCATTTTCCAGCTGCACATAAATAGCAAAGGTTGGTTTTCCACATAAGCTTTGGGGAACTGTAACTAGAAAGATATTTGAATGATAGGCATTCATAAGCACTCCTAAAGGAAGCAAGAATTGTTAGCTTTGAAATAACACAACCGCTGTTCTCAAGTGCTGAATGACAACTTTTTGCTCATCTGTTAAAATTTAGTTGCTGTAGGCCGGGCGCAGTGGCTTACGCCTGTATTCCCAGCACTTTGGGAGGCCAAGGCAGGTGGATCACGAGGTCAGGGGTTCAAGACCAGCCTGGCCAAGATAGTGAAACTCCTTGTCTACTAAAAATGCCAAAAAAAATTATCCAGGTGTGGTGGCAGGCCTCTGTAACCTCAGCTACTTGAGAGGCTGAGGCAGAGAATTGCTTGAACCCGGGAGGCAGAGGTTGCAGTGAGCCGAGATCATGCCACTGCACTCCAGCCTGGGTGACAGAGCGAGACTCCATCTCAAAAAAAAAAAAAAAATGTAGTTGCTGTAAAAATAACAAACATTTTTCACTTGTCCCTAACTCATCTTGTTAACAGTGACAAATGACTCATTGAGAAATGACTTTTAACAGCTTCCAATTGCCTGATGAATTTTTATAACTGCCTTTTACTGGGTCAAGGAGCAGCCATGTGTAACCCTTTGGGGCCATTATTGGGTACAAACTCTGTGGCAATCGCACTTGCTATATCATTCATTCAGTTGATAAGCCAGAGGGATCAAAGTTAACATGCTCACACTTAGTACACCTCATCCCCCGAAGGAAAGAGAAATGCCTGCCCTTGGCTTCAATGAAAAACACGTAAGAGAACATGTAGGTGGATAGGAACAACATTAGCAATACTATAGCACAATCCCAAGAGCATGACAAGAGGCCCCTTGCACTATTATATCCATATACAAAAGTCCACATATATATTTCTAAAGAAAGGTACAAAATAGAATCCTTTGCATCGTAATACTTTAGAGCTCAGACAAAAATCCACTTCTCCTGATATCTATTCTAATGTTCTCTCCTTTATACTCATAGATCATAATGACTCATTAAAACTTCCAGCAAGCTTGTGTGTTAAAATAATCTTTTTTTTTTTTTTTTTGAGACAAGAGTCCCCCACTGTCACCCAGGCTGGAGTGCAGTGGTGCGATCTCAGCTCATTGCAACCTCCGCCTCCCGGGTTCAAGTGATTCTCCTGTCTCAGCCTCCCCAGTAGCTGGGATTATAGGCACATGCCATGCTACCCTGCCTGACTAATTTTTGTATTTTTAGCAGAGATGGGGTTTCACCATGTTGACCAGGCTGGTCTTGATCTCTTGACCTCAAGTGATTTGTCTGCCTCGGCCTCCCGAAGTGCTGGGATTGCAAGCGTGATCCACCACACCCGACCTAAAATAATCTTATGTGATGGCAACTTTTAGATTCCTAATTGTAGGTATTCTAATCTAATTCTAATCTATTCTTTTTTTGTTTTGTTTTTTTGAGACGGAGTCTTGCTTTGTCATCCAGGCTGGAGTGCAATGGCGCGATCTCTGCTCACTGCAACTTCCGCCTCCCGGGTTCAAGCGATTCTCTTGCCTCAGCCTTCCAAGTGGCTGGGATTACAGGCACCTGCCACCACGCCCGGTTACTTTTTGTATTTTTAGTAGAGACAGGGTTTCACTGTGTTGGCCAGGCTGGTCTCGAACTCCTGACCTCGTGATCCACCCGCCTTGGCCTCCCAAAGTGCTGGGATTACAGGCGTGAGACACCGCGCCTGGCCAATGCTAATCTATTCTTAAAGATTCTCTTTGTGAAAAGAACTATTGTGGCTTACTACTATAACTTCTCCTTTTTTTCTCTTCACTAAAAAACTAATTTAAAACGGAGTGACTAATTTATTGCTGTGCTCAATTGTGTTAATAATGCCTGAACTAAAATAAAAATTGCTTTGTCAGGGTGGAGGAAATATGAAAAAAATATTTTTAATTTTCTTTCATAACGTTTTAAAGTTGCTCTCATAATGATGAACTTTTGAAAAATTACTTATGCTCTCACTTTGAAAATTATTACAGGGTCTTTCTAAGGAAAAAGGAGGACCTGAATTTAAGAGTAACCTTGAGTTAAAAAGAAAAAGCAAAGTGATAAGATCAAAGGCAAAATTAGCCCTAAGGACTTCAGGTTCTCTGAAAAATTTGTTCTCTTCCCAAACATCAGTTAGAATAAAGCAGATGTACTGTTCTTTAGTCAGCCGGATACAATCAAAGCATTACCTTCTATATCAATGGAACAAGAATTTCCATAAATTATTAAGGACAGCCTATTTGGACTGAAGGTCAAAGACGCCCTTTTTAAAAGTATGTTTGCACTTCAGTTAGTACAGTTTTCTCTTTTTCATTTGCAGAAAGTAAGTGGTTAAAACTATAATGCTGAAGAAAAATGTCCTCCTGAGTCACAAAGCTAAGAATGTCTAGAGCCACTTCCGAATATAAGTTTTTTCTGGAGATTTATACCTCTGCTGATTCACAACTTCCCAAACACTGAGAGGATGAGGGGGGGAAAGGTAGCCGCCTCTTCCAGTTAACTATAAAATGTATTTTTTAAAAATCATATGGTCTTTAGAAATGTGAAAGCAGTTGGGCTCTTTATATTTACAGAAATTAAGATTTCCCCCACTTAAATATATTTTTATATGAGTTACTTATTGGGTAGGGGAAGATAGCACTGTGGAGGGAAGAGAATATTCCTTCTCATTTGATATTTTTAAGAATCACAAAGACAAACGGCAAACTAAGTTGCACAATGAAAGATCATCCCAACTGATGAGCTAAACTTACAAAGTGTGAACCAAAGAAATGAATGACAACTGGCAAAAAGATCCAACTGTGATGGACTCTTAGACACACAGACTAGTTACATGAATATAATGCTGTTTTCTTTACCAGCAACAATTTCTCTCAAGGATAAGAAAAAGGGAAACACACATTAACACAGGATCTGCTGTGCCAGAGGCTTTGCTGAGGTTTTACTGGACACCTTTAAACCTCAGTGTAAGCCTGCAATGGCTCCCATTTTATAAGGATAAGAAAGGCCCAAACAGAGATGAGGGTAACAACATGTACTAACTACCTACTACGTGCATTCATTCAACAAATATTAATTAATTGATGTATTCATTAAGTCCACCTGGAGTCAGGAAAATTAAAAAATATCCTGTTTCCTGAAAACTAAATTGACAAATCTAAAATGGCTTGGAGACATCAGGACAAAGGGAACACTAAACACCCATTTCAGTTTACCAGCGCTAGCAGCAGGGATGATTGACATGCACGGAATAGAGGACAATGATCTAATTGCTCAGAATCCATATGTTTGTGTGAAACCATCTAGCATTCTGCGCTGTCCAAGACAGTAATCGCTAGCAATATGTAGCAATTTAATTTAAACTTAAATTAGTTAAAAACTCAGGGAAGTTAAAACTTTAGTTCCTCGGTCACAGTAGCTACACATCAAGTGCTCAATAGCCACTTCAGACAAGTGGCTACTGTAATGGACAGTGCAGATATAGAACACACCACCATCACAGAATGTCCTATTGGATAGCACTGTTGGATTCTAAACATCCTAAATCAGATAAGGAATTTAACATATACTCTTGATTCAGAGGGCTTTTTTTTTAAAATACTACTTTACATTTATATAGCACTTCATGATTTTCCAAAGACTGAAAAGGAGTATTTATCTGATCCATGCTAAAATTATACTCCTACTATGGTGAAGGAACTTGGAATTTAGAGAAGTTATGTGACTGACAAGGTCATATATTAGTATCCAAGAGCAGAGAAGATAATCTCAGTCTCCTAGTTCAGCATTTTCAGAGCAGAGTGAAAATATAATCACTCAGAAGTCCAACACAGCTTTGAATCTCATCTTCAATACAGACCAGTTGTATGACGTGGAACAAGTATTTAGCATTCTGGGCTTCAGTTTCCTCATCTGAAAAACTGGGATGATAATGACAACTCCACAGAAAGTAATATTAACTACCAGATGGTATGAGCTTGGTATACTATCCAGGTGACTACCTTCGCCTGAACACTAAGCAGGATTTTTTTTTTAATCTTAATTTTCAAAAAAATTCAATGCTATTTTCTACAAATAGAATTAGCAGAAGTGGTTCAAAATTTAGGAAGCTGATTTTGAGTACATTGGCATTTCCAACTGTTATATATACTCTCCTCTCAGCTGCTATATTTGGGCTACCTCAGAATTGTTGTCAGAATTAAATGAGAATTTAAATAGCACATAAGATCTGACATGTAGATGTGTCCAATAAGTGCAAGTTCTCGCTTCACCTTCCTTCTCTACCCTAACGCCCTGTAAGTCTTCCTGGTGTGTACCTGCAGCACCACACAATTTAGGAAGCCTAGACTCTATCCTGCATGGATAAATGACTCAGCAAGCTTATTTACAGTGTGATGGTTTAACATACAACTTCCATAAGACTATATATTACATATTATAATAGAAAGCAGTAGGAAAATAACCTTAAGTATTCAGAAAATCACATTACGGGAAGCTTTAAGAATGTATTTATTCCATATATTGATTACTCAGCTAATAGAGAGGTATGTTCTAAAATATGTCTTCAGTTTTGCTTAGAAGATCTGAAGCAGACTTACCTTCTTAAGTATATTGGGTTAAAGAAACTAAACTTAATCTACATACTCTAGGTCAATGATTTATAATTTTAGGTCAGCTCTGAATTTTTTGAGCAGCTGTATTTTAACTACTTTAGTTTTTACAAAATGTATTTGTACTATACCGATCCACAAAAGAGTCCTGAAACAAAGAAATGATGACAGACTAGTCTACCCTCAAAGAGGTAGGTGCTTTAAGCATCTTCTGGTTGGTACTAAAACCATTTGGCCTCAGAATAGGCCAAAAGATGTGAATCTTAAAATACCTGGGAAAAATCTACCATGGATAGTCAACATTTATTTGTTCCTTAGAGCCAATAGAGGCTCTACATACACATTTCACTGGAATCTGATACCAATCCTCTAACGCCTAAAGTAGGGCAGGTGTTATTCTATTTTTCCAGGTGAGGAACTTGAGAGTTCAAGAGATGACATGATACAGATAATTATAAAACCAGGACTAGAATTCAGGAAGTTTGATTTCTCATCTGATGGCTTTTCTATTATCCAACCACCAAATTAAGTGAAGCTCTAATTAGAACAGGTCTAAACACAATAATGATATTTCATCTATTAAATCAAAACCAGTGTATAGAGAATGGCCACATGCACCAAACCACAGATGGCCAGTAAAGAGGAATCAGAAAAACCCATAGATATTAGACAGGCAGCAAGAGGGCATCAAATTGAATCAAGTTGTCTAGCTCCATACTTCTGAGCTCTGTGATTGCTTCTGTTTTCTTCTGCATTTTTATTAATAACAAGAAAGAGATATAGACAGAATGCACATTGAGTTTCAGATGGCACAAATTTGGAAGAAATGATGAGAATGCTGAGGAACAAATCAACGTTTAAAAAATTATCAGTCATCAACGGTAGATTGGATAAAGAAAATGTGGTACATATATGCCATGGAATACTACGCAGCCATAAAAAAGAATGAAATCATGTTCTTCATAGCAACATGAACACAGCTAGAGGCCATTATCCTAAGTGAATTAATAATGCAGTAACAAAAACCAAATACATATGTTCTCACATATGAGTGGAAGCTAATCACCGCATACACATGGACACACAGAGCAGAGCAATAGACACTGGAGACTTCTAGAGGGAGGAGGCTGGGGGCGGGGTGTGTGGGAAGAAAAACTACCTATCAGGTACTATGCTCGCTACCTGGGTGACAAGATCATCTGTACCCCAAACCTCAGCATCATACAATATACTCATGTAACAAATGTGCACTTGTATCCCCTGAATCTAAAATATAAGTTGAAATTATTTTTTTAAAGGTGCAGGAAAAAAAATTCTCAGTGAGCCATAGACCAAATCTAACAAAAGGAGAGTTTTAGTGAGATAAATATGAGACCCTCTGTGATGGACTGAATTATTGAATTATGTCCCCCCAAAATTCCTATGTTGAAGCCTTAACCCTCAGTACGTGAGTATTTGGAGATAGAACCTTTAAAGGGGTGATTAAGTTAAAATGAGGCCATTAGGGTGGGCCCTAATCCAAGCTGACTACTGTCCTTATAAGAAGAGGAATTTTAAAATTGTTTTATTTTTAATTATTATGGATATATAATAGTTGTGCATATTTATGGAGCATATGTGATATTCTGCTAGAAGCATTCTGCTGGAAGTGTAATGATCAAATCAGGGTAATGGGGATATCTATCACCTCAAGTATTTATCATTTCTTTGTATTAGGACGTTCCAATTCCACTCTTTTAGTTATTTTGAAATACACAACAAATTATTTTTAACTATAGTTACCCTATTGTGCTAATTGAACGTTAGATCTTATTCCTTCTATTTAACTGTATTTTTGTACCCATTAACTATCCCCTAAGAAGAGGAATTTGAACATACATGGAGACCCTAGGGATGTGCACACAGAAAAGAAAAACCACATAAGGACACAGCAAGAAGGCAGCCATCTGTAAGCCCAGCAGAAACCGACCATGCTGGCACCTTCATCAGAAGAAAGCAAGCCTGTTGACACCTTGATCTTAGACTTCCAGCCTCCAGAACTGTGAGAAAATAAATTTCTGTTGGGTAAGCCACCCAGACTGCTATTTTGTGATAGCAGCCCTGGCAAATTAATATGCCTGCATTTGGGAAACAAACAAACACAAAGCAAACAGAATACCTGTTGAGTGAATGATATCTTGCTCAACAATATGTGATGGCCAAGGAGAGGAAGAAGCTTCCGTAATAGTAAGCTCTATGTATGTTCATCATGTATTTAACTACCAAAAAAAAGTACAACACAGAATAATTTAGACAGGGTCTAATATTTGTAGCAGCAAGATCTCTGGTGCCAGACACAATGGTTTTACCAACCCTGTCATTTCCTAATTGTTTGATTTAGGCAGGTCATATCTCTCTGTGCCTCAGTGTCTTTGTCTATAAAATGGGAATGACATGTACTTCACAGGATGGTTGATAGGGCCCAAGAGGACCCAAGAGAGGACCCAAGGAGATAAGTGCTTAGCACAAAGCTTGGCATGGAGAAAAAAATAAACAAAAGCCACTTTTTTTTTCATTTTATTTTTAAGGTCAGGGGTACACACGCAGGTTTGTATATAGGTAAATTCATGTCATGGGGGTTTGCTGTACAGATTATTTCATCACCCACATATTAAGCCTAACCCATTAGTTATCCTTCCTGATCCTCTCTCTCCTGCCACCCTCCACCCTCTGGTAGGACCCTGTGTCTGTTGCTCCCCTCTATGTGTCTATGTGTTCTTATTATTTAGCTCCCACCTATAAGTGAGAATATGGGGCATTTGATTTTCTGTTCTTGCATTAGTTTACTAAGGATAATGGCCTCCAGCTCCATCCATGTTCCTGCAAAGGACATGATACTCTTTTTTATGGCTGCACAGTATTTCATGGTTTATATGTACCATATTTTCTTTATCCAGACTACCACTGATGGGCATTTAGGTTAATTCCATGTCTTTGCTATTGTGAACAGTGCTACAATGAACATATGTATGCATGTGTCTTTATGATAGAATGATTTATATTCCTTTGGGTATGTGCCCAGTAATGGGATTGCTGGGCCAGATAATATTTCCGTCTTTAAGTCTTTGAGGAGTCACCACACTGGTTGAACTAATTTACATTCTGGAGCATCAATGATATATAAGCATTACTTTTTCTCTGCAACCTCAATAGCACCTGTTATTTTTTGATTTTTTGATAATAGCCATTCTGATTGGTGAGAGATGATATCTTATTGTGGTTTTGATTTGCATTTCTCTAAAGATCAGTGGTGTTGGGTTTTCTTTCATATGCTTGTTGGCCACATGTATGTCTTCTCTTGAAAAGTGTCTGTTCATGTCCTTTGCCCACTTTTTAATGGGATTGTTTCTTTTTCTCTTGTAGATTTAAATTCCTTATAGATGCTGGATATTAGGCCTTTGTCAGATGCGTAGTTTGCAAATATTTTCTCCCATTGTGGAGGTTGTCTGTTTACTCTGTTGATAGTTTCTTTTAAGGTGCTGAAGCTCTTTAGTTTGATTAGACTCCATTTGTCCATTTTTGAAAAGCCACTCTTTTAAGTATTAGTATCATCCTTATCATAGGTTGAGAGTCTCACTCTACTTAGGGATGATCAGATCACATCTGAATATGGTATCAGTTTTGGTTCTTTAAACCCCTCTTTTAAAAAGTATAATGATAATAAAAATAACAGCAAATGCCATTTATTAGAGTGTCTGCACTGCATCAAGTGTTATATTTCACCTCTTTAATTAATCTTCACAACTTGCCTTAAACTGTGTGTAATTATCAACATTTTACAAATGAGAAAGAAAAACGAAACTGAAACACATAAATCCAGTAAGTGGTGGAGCTAGGATTCAAAGCTGGATGTGTCTGACTTCAAAGGACATTCTCTCCCCTTTCGTGCATGCTCAGAGTGATGAGACTTGAAACAATATCTAATAAGAAAAATGACAAGGGAATATCAAGAACACTCATAAGAACATAGCATTGTTTTTCAATGTTATAAAGCCTCTTACTAAGAAGATGAATCAGGATTTGTATGATAAGTATTAATAGAACCAAACCAAGGAGTAGAAGTTATATGGGGCAAGAGTACACTTCAACATAGAACGTTCTAGCAGAATAAGCAGAAGACAGAATAAGTATTCTTCTACTCTTTATGTCCATGGGTAGTGGAGTACTGGGGGTAGCGGGGGGGTGAGAATGGTTAATGGGTACAAAACAATAGAAAGAATGAATAAGACCTACTATTTGATAGCACAACAGGCTTACTATAGTCAAATAACTCAATTGTACATTTTTAAATAACTTAAAGCATATAATTAAATTATTTGTAACTCAAAGGATAAATGCTTGTGGGGATAGATACCTCATTCTCCATGATGTGCTTATTTCACATGGCATGCCTGTATCAAAACCTCTCATGTACCCCATAAATATGTACACCTACTATGTACCCCTCCAAAAATTTTTTTAATTAAAAAAAAAAAAAGATGGAAAAAGTTTCTTCAAGAATGGCCACATAACCACTTAGCAGGAATGTGGTAAAGTATCAGCCAAGTAGTTGTTAACAGGCGATGTTTGGGGTCCTTCTCAGACCTAATACAATCTCTAAAGCTATATCCATGCATCAAGGATACATAGGCAACAGGAATACTAAGAGAAGCAGAGGTCTAACAATTGGCAGTTATTGGGAGTCCTAGTAAAAAGTGACCAGCAAGAAAATGTACTGGATCACCAACTGCAGTGACTAAGATCTAGACTTCAGTCTCAGAAGAACTGGGGTTCCAGACAGGGAAAGAAAAAAGGCCACAACATGAGGGAGCATGGTCTCATTTCTGGTTGCTGAGCTACAAGTCTTAGGCAGAGTAAACAGAGTAAGGTCCTGTCTGAAGCAGGATGGCTCAGTGGCTCAAAGCAGTGAATGGTGTCGATTCAAATTTCTGTCTCACCACTGACCAGCTGTGTGTCTCTGGCCAGGTTATATTGTGAATGTTCACTAGATGTTGGTTCATATTATTATTATTTGTGAATATGGATATTGTCCCAGGATATGGGGCAAAACCAAGACTAAACACAGGTTACCTTTTTTCAGAAGATTATAGCAACATAGAAGGACATCAGTAAGCCATAGAATCTTCTACTTTTAAACCAGAAAATATAAAAGCTCTACTTCTGAGAACTGAGTCCTACTTACAGAAGCTTCTAAACTTAAGAAAAGCTAAGCTTAAATTGCAGTTAAAGTTTCCAGTCATGTTCTTTCCTTATGTAAAACAATTATATGTGTAGTTCAATTCAAAATGCATTCATGCATAGGGCATAAGGTTTAAGAATGTGGGCTCCACGACCATATTATCTGTGTCCAAATTCTATCTGGATAACTACTAGCTGGTTCATCTTGCCAAGTTATTTAAGATCTCTGGACCTCGCTTCTTTCATCTGTAAAATGGAGATGATCATAGTACCTACTTCAGAAGGTCAGGATAAGGATTTATAAGGAACAACAATGCCTGCCTGCAAAGCAAGAGTTGAGTTACCTATTATTATAATTCTGATTAATTGCCAGGCATTGTGATAGGTGTAGGAGACACAATGAAAATTTATATAATATATTGTTATGCTATGTTATATTACATTACATTACATTCTAATGTTATACTGTCTTATTAACTGTCTCACTTACTAGAAGCAACCTCCATGAGAGCAGGTACTTCAGATCCTAGAGGAGCTTCTGGGCTAGTAAAGAAGACAGATTCAAAAGCAGAACTCCACTGACGGAGTGTGGCGGCTCACACCTGTAATCCCAATACTTTGGGAGGCCAAGTTGAGAGAATCACTGAGGACAGGAGTTCGAGACCAGCCTGGGCAACATAGCAAAACCCCATGTCTACAAAAATAATAATAATAATAATAATAATAATAATAATAATAAAAACAAAAGAAGAATTTCAAATAACATGTGCCAAGTGCAATGATGGCTTAACCTTCCAGTGGGTATAGTGAGGCCAGAGTAGAAAGTAGCTAATTTAATCTGGGAACCCTTCCTGGATGAGGGAATGCCTAAAGTAAGTCTTCAAGAATGAGTAGATGGCAAAGTTCTGGTGGAATCTTTGGAATCTTTTAGTCAAAAGAGATTTCGCCCAAAAGGTTAGCAAGTAAAATCCTCTCCAGGTGTCCTAACTGATTTAGTATCAATAATAACAATAATCAACCATCAGATTAAAAGATTTGATGATATCCATTGAAACAAGAAAATCATTTTGTCTAATTTTGAACGAGCTGTTGCCCAGTGATTGACATGAATGTATTTCAGTTGGAAAGTATTGCCCAAATAATTGAAGAAGAAAAAAGTCACTGGAAAACAGGTAATAAGATTCACATCTTAGAGTATTTGGAAAAGGAAAGAATATGCAAAAGAAGCTAGCTTCTAAGTGGAAAAATATGAAATAACTAATGACATGTTACCTGTGACCCTGCAAGTGAACTGGATCCTCTTTAAGGGCAGCGGATGTTTCTTACACTTTTTGTAGCTCCAGCTCCTAAAGTAGTGCTTGGCAATAAAGGTCTAATTAATTAACACCTGAACAAATAGAGTTGAAATACTGGCTTTTTAAAAATAGGAAATGATAAAGTCATCTTTGAAATAAGCATAATAATTACCAACTTTTTTAAAGCACTTATTGCAAAGCCAAGCACTGCATTAAGACTGCACATGGATTATCACAATTTAGTCTTGTAAGGTCAGTCCTACTTTTATTCTCACTTTGCAGATTTGTTCACTGATTTAACAAATATTTATTAGAGAACTAATACTTTCCAGGCATTGTTCTGGGAGCTGTGGGCAGAGCAGTGAACAAAGGAGACTAAGTACCTGCTCTCACGGAGGTTGCTTCTAGTAAGGGAGACAAACAGTTAATAAGACAGTAAAACATTAGAATGTAATGTAATGTAATATAATATAGAATAATAATATAACATAATATAATAATATAATATGATAAATATAATATGAGTAACCCTCAGGGAAAGTGTTGGGCTATGATTGAGTCTGAAGAAAGTTCTCAACCAACCCCACAGGGAGCTCTCCAACTAGGATGGCCCTTCAGAGCTACCCAGATGGTTCCAGTCATGTGGACCTTTTTACCTCTGGAGTGACCAGACTTTGGATGCAGGCTGTGCTGGCAAGAGTACATGACCTTTCATGAGGTAGCTCTCTTCATCCAAAGGCAATTCCCAAAGAGGGCTAACAGACGAGGGCTGTCATTTGGCAACACTCCTAGCAGCTAGAGATAAGTCCTTCAGTCTTAACTATTGTGCTATGATTCATCATCAGTCTCTTGCCTACTAGAATGTAAGCTCCACGAGGGCAAATTTTTTCCCTGATGCATCTCAGGTGCCTAAAACAGAGTACCTGCACTTGACAAGCACTTCATAGGTGTCTGTTAAATTAAGGAATTAATGGCAATATATTATTCTATTATAGAACATACATCTAAACCAAAAGTTTCTAAAGGATGAGGTCACGATGGAATAGAATACGTTTTAATAATTTGTATTCATTATTGGCACAAAACTTTTCAAAATATGATTCTTTTTAAAGTCCTGCGTTAAAATTGTGATTAGTGATTTAAAAGTCTGTTTATAAGTTTAGTTTAATAGGCAATGTTAATGGCCATTGTAATGGGCTAAATTTTCTGCCCCCATCCCCCGCCCACAAATTTGCATGTTAACATTTTAATCCTCAGTAACTCAGAATGAAAACATATTTGGAAATAAGGTTTTAAGGAGTTAATTACGTTAAAATAAGGTCTTTAGAATGGGCCCTAATCCGATATGACTGGTTTCCTTATAAAGAGGAAATTTGGACACAGACATGCATGCACACAGAGGAAAGACCACATGAAGACAGAGGGTGACAGTGGCCATCTACAATCCAGGAAGAGAAGCCACAGAAGAAAAAATCATGCTGACAACATGATCTCAGACTTCCAGCCTCCAGAACTGTAAGGAAATAAATTTCTTTTGTTTAAACCACCCAGTCTGTGGCACCTTGTTATAGCAGCCCCAGCAAACACACAGAGCTATCATAGCTGAAAGAGGTAAGTACCAAAGCCACAGAATACTCAATATAAATAGAAACTTGGAGTGAGGACCCTCATTAACAATTGTGTGAATCCACATGCTCAATAATATTCTTGATCAATGAAAAAAAAGTTATGTTAATTCTTAATAGATCTGGCTCGCTCATTGCTTTTCTCTTGTCACATGGCAAAGTAAGCAAAAAGCCACCTCTACGATGGAATTGTACATTTGTTCTTACATTATTAGGTTTTTTAAATCTGCAGTTTCTCTGCAAGAGCCATTTTCTAGCTACTTGTCTATGTGGTGAGCATACATTTCGTTAAAACGAGATAGTGTAATCTGTAAAGCCACTTACTAAGCCCTACTTTGAAACTCTGAAAGCCAATAAAAAGGTGGAACTAATGGTCCCCTCCCTACCTCCACCTTGTGGAACTCCATTTCCCTCTCAGGCAAACTCCCACACTGTTCAAGATACAAGACAGTCTAAAATACAGACCTACAAAGAGTGCTGGGGTATGTCAGCACTAGGCCGTTCCATACGTGCTAGGAAGCTTAATCTCTTTCTTACATTTTCAGACAAAAATAAATAATATAATAGTTCTGGTATTTTCTCTCTAGACCCCAGATGATTGTCTGTAGCCAATCTCTGAGATGCATGAACCCCAATCTTGGAAACCAGTCTACTTGAATAAATAAGGAAAACAGCTGTTTCTTGAATTATTTCATAGACAAAAGCCATCTCTACCCTTGTTCTATTATGTGTAGAATTATCGAGGCCCTAAGTGATTTGCCACTCTTTGAAATGCCTCTTAAACAGTAAATGCCAGCCCTCACACTCCTTATTCAACGGCATTCACTGTCCTGCGGGTTGTACCACCTGATTGCCCAGAAGCATGCCCCTCTCTAGCAAGGACAAAATTGTGAAATCACTCAGCATTTCCGAAAGGAAATCTAGGGTCGAGTTTTATTCTTTGGTATTTGCATCTCTGAGTTAAACCCAGAGGATGCACAATTTAGAAGCGATATAATTGAATTTCCTTTCACCAGCCTGCCGGGGCTTGTTGTCTGTCACTCATCAAAGCCAATGTCTTTGTAAAAGGTTTTGAGAATCACATCTTAATGTCACTGAGCAGATAACATATTAACTGTTAATTGACACAGGAAAATGCCCCGGGGTTGTGTTCCTGTCTTTGTTGGGGGATGATAAGTGAGTTATTATTCATCAGTGCCATTTTTCTTATAGTTTTTAGTGAGGTTATAGTCTGAACTCCCCTTGCCCCCAAGCGTTGGTTTGGGTCATAGTGTCTCTGTTTGTACTAAGATTCGTTTGTTATTAAGTTATAATAGTATCTTTCAGAGTTTAAATGATTTTTAAACTGATTTTCCCTTGGGTAATGGTGCTTTGTTTTGTTTTAATCATACCAACAAAATTTCCTGGGAGGATATTATTTTTTTTCTCAGAATGTTTTTTAAATTTTAGATTCAGGAGGTACATTTGTAGGTTTATTACATAGATACGTTGTGTAATGCTGGGTATAGGCTTTTATTTAACCAATCACCCAAATAGTAAACGTAGTACCCAATAAGTAGTTTTCCAACCCTTTCCCCCTCCACTGTTTTTCGAGTCCCCAGTGTCTGTTTTCATTTTTATGCTCATGTGTACTGATTGTTTAGCTCCCTCTTACAAGTTAGAACGTGCGGTATTTGATTTTCTGTTCCTGCATTAATTCACTTAAAATAATGGCCTTCAGCTGCAACCATGATGCTGCAAAGGACATGATTTTATTCTTTTTTATTGCTGCATAGTACTCCATGGTGTATATATAGCACATTTTTAAAAATTCAGTTCACCAGTAATGGGAACCACAACAAAACAAAGATGTCCACTCTTATTCAACATAGTACTGGAAGTCCTAGCCAGAGCAATCTGGCAAGAGAAAGAGATGAAAGACATCCAAATAGGAAAAGAGAAAGTCAATTTATCCCTATTCTCTGGCAATATGATTCTATATCTAAAAAACCCTAAAGATTCCTCCAAAAGACTCCTAGTTGTCACAAACAATTTCAGCAAAGTTCCAGGATACAAAATCACTTTTTTCTTAGAATTAAAAAAGAATTAAGATAAAAAGTGTTTAGGTACTTAGGTCTAAATATTTGTATTTCTTCAAATTGTCTTCCATTCATTAAGGTCCTCATATTCATATATAATGTTAAGTAAAATGCACATACACCATTTTGTTTTTAGTTTTTTTCAACTCAATATCATTTTATGTAAGCATCAGTCAACTAAGAACTTGGGTGACTTTTAGTTTCCTATTTTTAAAATGGAAAGAATAACATCTACCACTTATGATTATTTTGTGGATTAAATTATGTTAACATTGATGAAATCACCCAACAAAATAAACTCAGTGAAATCTGAGTTTAATGTCAGTGTACTGATAGAGCCCACAACATTGTAATTTTTAAAAAGTAATTCCCACATTTTGAGACGGTTTATTTAGCTAGTTCATCATCAGTGTCTAAAAGGGAAATTGCTAAACACAATTAGTGCATTCATAAATTGTATTCCACATGCTTCTGAAAAGGATAAGTAACTAAAATTTGTCACTTCTCTTATTAATTTGTTGATTAAAAACACAAAAACATATTTATACAGTGCTTTGCCATTTGAAAATTTCTTCCATTCACCTATATGAATCTGTTATAAACTTCATAAGGTTGATAGATATTATTATCCACCCTTTATAGATGAGAAAATAATTGAGCTTCAGAAAAGTAAATAACTTGCTCACAGTTTGTGTTACATTTAAGTCTTCGCATTCCAAATGCAGCATTCTTTTCACCATAGCATACAACCTGGACACATTGCTCACAAGAAATAATTGAATTTTGGGGTTCTGTTTATTTTTGTGAGTTTAATAGGTTTTCAAAGACGCTATAACTTTTTTAATGTGTATTTTGTTATTTGCAAACAAAGCTGTATGATTTACCATATGTGAGCCTACTGAATTTTCTGTTATGTAAACTGTCTATTCACATCCTTTGAATAGACAGGAAGTAGAATCTTTCACCACATCCTCTTTAGCCTGCTTCTTTGCCCTTACAACAAACAAAATTCATTCCATCGTGCTCAGCTGACTGACAATAACACTTCAATGAAATAAGCTTGTTGGAAAAGGCCTTTTTCATAAAGGTAAGACATGCAACAAAAGTTATGAGAACCAATTCAACTAGAAACCTTTAGTGTACCCTGAATCCCACAGATAAATGACCCTCAGCGTTCAGCTCTTTGGAAAGCAGGATGTTTCTGTCTGTACATACGCAAAGTCCACCAACTTTAGTCCTATTTCTGACCATTTCAGCACTGTTCTGGATACCAAAACAGGGTTCCCATGTGTCTTTCAGAGAGGGAATTTCCTAGAACAGCAGCTGGCCTCCACTACCCCAGACTGCCCACACTCCCAGGGTTTGTCTAGAGCCCATCTGGCCTTTGAGTTGGGGGGGTCAGAGGGGGTTGGGCAGGGGTATAGTTCCCCAGGGCATTCATTCCATACAGTCTGTCTCAGCGAGGGACTTTTTATTGTTTGCTCCCAACCTGCAAGCCCTGCCAACTTCAGCATTAAAGCAGTTAGGCACAGTGATGTTTCCCAAAGGGAAAAGAAGGAAAAACTTTATCAAGAAAATTGCTCTCTTTTTAAACTCCTGACCTTATTAAACATTGGAGAGAACAAAAACTGCTGACAGTCTTAAATATGTTGAGTACAATAAGCCAAAATTAGTTCTCAGAGCTAAATCTTGGCTGTCTAACTTAAATGATTTAGTCACCATCTTTTGGAAAGGACAATATGAACAACAGAGTTTTCAATAGATCACTGAGACCCAAAAAGAAAGGCGGACTGGAGTGCAGTGGCGCGATCACGGCCCATTGCAGCCTCAACCTCCCAGGCTCAGGTCATCCTCCCACCTCAGCCTACCAGGTCACTGGGACTACAGGTGCACACCACCACACCTGGCTAATTTTTGTATTTTTTGTAGAGAAAAGGTTTCGCCTTGTTGCCCAGGCTGGTCTCAAACTCCTGGGCTCAAGTAACCCACCCTCTTGAGCCTTCCAAAGTGCTGGGATTACAGGTGTGAGCCACTGCACCCAACCCTAAATTATTTCTTAATTGATATTGGTTTACTGCCTTTTACCATGAGCTGATATGCATAATCTTATCTGGCTCTCATAAGAAATTGTCTGGGAAAATATGATTCCTCGCTATTTTTTTTTCCCATGGGGAGTTTTCTAGTTAAAAAACAGAAAACCTGTTAGATAAATTTTAAAAGAGCTGTAACACTTCTCCATTCTTTTAAATGAAAACAACAGAGGTTCAGAAAAAAAGTTAAGATGGTTTTCCTATGGTCACAAACTAGTGGCAGATCAAAGACTGGAAACCAGTCATATTGCTCTTATGTTGGTATTCTACTTCATCTTCTACCTACCAAAGGGAAAAATGTTAAATATATGTGTGAATATGTATCTTGCATCTATAAAACCTCCATCATAGTAGTAGATTATTCTGTATGAGTAGTTTTTTGTCACCTTAACACTTTATTAGCTTTTGCTATTCTCATTTGAATCTCTTTTTTAAATGTTTTGTTTCTCCAGGCCTATTAACACCATTTCAGAATGCTAATATCACCCAATGAAAAACACTCATGTTTTTTAATTAAACAGCTAATTTGATTATAAATCTAACAGCATAGTCGTGATTGATGAATATTATGGTTACATGAGGGTTTTACGTGGTTAATGCGCACTAAGCAAAACATACCCATCATTGCTAATTGAACTAAGCATTAATTATAAAAAATAAAATTTCAGGAATCATTTTTCCATTTAATTGTCATAGTTCTATTTTTAAACTTTTCCCTGTTTTACTTTAAGTGCAATTTTTTCAGTTGTCCTTTGTTGCTTTTTCCATCTCTATATGAAAATCTAAAGAAAATACAAAGGTAAGTATTTTCACCTTAGAAATTACAACAATTTTGTTCCATCCTCTAGCATTCACATTTTGCTCTTTCCTGTTTAAGTTGGATGACTTCTCACTTAGAGGAACTGAATGTATTCCACTGAGTTCTTTAGCTCACATTCTCCACCATGTGTGGTGAATTAAGTCCCAGCAGTATGGAGGAGTTTTCATTTAAACTACTGCACTTCCTGGGAAACAGTGGGGCTTACCTCTAGTTTCTAAACACTGTTAGAACTTGATGAGTACCATTTCTTCTCAATACTCTCAGCATAGAACGCATTCATGTTAGATACAACCCCATCTCTTTCTAATTTGGCAACGAATCACTCTCTTAAGAAACCGCACTGTTTTTATTAAAGATCTCAGTGATTTCTACCCATCATAGGATTGTCTTTATTTTCTGTAAATGCTTTCATGCAAATATGCACCCAGATTTTAAAGTGGGTGCATCATTCAGAAAAGCCTATATAAAATTACCTTTAGCAAAGTAAAATGGGAACACAAAACAGATGACTGGAAGACAATCATGAAAAAAATGATAAGATGGTGAAAAAATATTTTACACATATTTTAATGGAGATTTTGTTCTTGTTGGTAGTATAAAAAAAGTCAAAATCAATCTTCAAAATATAATAAGTAATACAATACTTTGTGGTTCTTTTTGAGAAATGTTCCTTAAATCTGATTATTGAAAAAGTATTTTTTCTTTAGGTTTTTAGACATCTATTAAAATGTGCCTGAGATAAACTAATGGTTGTTAGGTTACACATAAAGGAAGAACGTATGTAATTTATATTAGAGAAGGATACAAAATTTTTTACAATAAAAACTTCATTAAGGCCTGGCATGGTTGTTCATGCCTGCAATCCTAGCACTTTGGGAGGCCGAGGCAGGCAGATCACTTGAAGGCAGGAGTTCAAGACCAGCCTGGCCAACCTGGTGAAACCCCACCCTACTAAAAATACAAAATTAGCTGGGCATGGTGGCGCATGCCTATAGTCCCAGCTACTAGGGAGGCTGAGGTAGGAGAATCATTTGAACCCAGGAGGCAGAGGGGTTGCAGTGAGCTGAGATCACTCCATTGCACTCCAGCCTGGGCAACAAAGCGAGACTCCATCTCGAAAAAAAAAAAAAAAAAACTTCATTAATATGGATTTTCCTCTTTGACTATATGTAGCTATTCATCCGTGAGATATTAGCAGTTAACAATTTGCCAATAATTTTAAGTCATGCTACAGGGGATATGTATCCCTACTTAAAAATTCAAACCATGTTCAAAGCTTTGGATTTTTTAAATATTTATATTTATCTATATGTCATTGTATTTGTTACTTTTTTGCTTTTTATTTTTATACAGAAGAGTATTGCTCATCACAATTGAGCTTCTGTGAATTACAGCTGCTGCAACATAACCACCACATTTTGTTAACACTTTATCTTATATGTGTATGTTTTCAAGCAAAATTACTTTTCTGTTAAAATCATAAAATTTCAATAAATCTTCACCTTAAAGAGTTTCAGTTATAAAAGGTCTATTGTACTTGGTTTAAAATAGCAAGATATCAAAGAAGAATAAAGCCAAAATAGGAGAAAAGATTTCCTTGTTACATAATTCCAAAAAAAGCCAAGTATCTCAGCTCAATTATAATTGCATGCATTCCTAACACTTAGGTTAAAAATCATTTTAATAAAAAGGTCAAATTTGGACTGATTTTCCCAAGCAGTGACAGACCAATGATGGCTTTTACTCCATCATACATGACTGATACACACACACAGAAAAAAATGCATTCAATACAGCTGATCTGAAAAAGGTCTTTCCAGAATAAATGTTTGCAAGAAGCTAAAAGAATTGGGCTTCTTGAAAGGCCCTATTGCTCGCTATGGTCCAGCAACACTGGCCTTCCATTTATTCCTCAGACAGACCAACAGTCCCCCACACAGTCATGCACAAAATCTATTTTCTCTTTCTACCATGCTCTTGTCACCTCTTTCACTCAACCGGGGCCTTCTCTTTCTTCAAACTTACACATCATCTTGTCCAGAGGGCTTTCCACACCAACTAGTTAAAGCAGGTCCCCTGTTAGTCTCTCTCAAAACACTTTTTTTAGTAGTATTTGCCATAATGCATATATTCAGTATCACATAGAATTGAAGATGCCAGCAATTGTTAAACAAGCCACTATATGACACACCAAAAGAAAAAAGGGGGTGTCAATAAAGCTATAACACTCTTTCAATTTTAGGATGTATACTGATGTCAGAGACATTAAAATATAGGGGGAAAATATGTGCCTTAGAATCAATGGAACACTGTATAAGGATCTGTGTCCCCCCTTTGATCAAAAATGTCACACATGAGAACAGAGACTGTATCTATACTATTTCTTCTGCAGGCTTAACCACCACCAACACATTGTCTAGCATATAGCACATATTTATTGAATAAATAAATAAGTAGATGGAGAGATGGCCACGATGATATGATGATATTTTGTGGTGAAATAACATGTTGTATGAGAAGGTCTGATTCTCATTCACGCATTCATATTTATCACACTCAGAAAAGTAACCTTAATTTATTATAGTAAAAGACAGGAAATTAAAATTTCTGCAACCACACTTTACAACATGCAATTTTCGCTGGTTGCATAGTTCAACTCACTTGTAAACTTATAGAATCTGATCACCCCAATTAATTTTTATAATCACATCCTGCTTCATCTGTACAAAGGAAAGATTAAACTAGAGGATCTCTACTGTCCTTTTTAGCTATCAAACTCTGGTTGGGTAGTCCAGAAGTTCATGTCTTCTAGAGTGTAGGTATACTGCCTATTCCATGTGTCTACATTAACTTTAAAAAAGGAAGAGGAAGAAATTGTTTAGCCAGCCAATATTTAAACCTACACTGGCCTGTAGATCTATTTTTCATAGATTAGATACATTTTCTTAATTACTTGGATATGCTTTATCTGGGAAGCACATACATGATACTACTCTAGCCCCATCAGAATTCTCCTTGGAAGTCAAAAAAAGTAGAAATTTCTACTTAGCTTATAACATTATTGTTTTTGCTAAATAAAAATGTCCTTGGTGAAAATCCAGCTCCCACTGAAACTATCATTACTGTTTTTTAGCCTTCACTACCATGTAGGTATAAAAATATATATTAATAGAAAATTGGTAAGTCATAGTAACAGTAGAAACTGTGTGTTCTGGCATTCTCTGAAATGATATATTAATTGTTTCATGGCAGTATGCCTCTCTTTTCCCCTTATTTTCAGTCTATAAACCTTGACTCCAGCTCCTCTGGGACAGTAGAATAGGAAATGTCTTGCTAACATAATGAGGACAGCACCAAGGAAGTTGCTGGAAAAGATTCGAGGTTACTGGACTGGTTCAACTTATGCTAATGTAGGCATAGAATTATTTTAAAGTTTTTCAGTATTCTTAGCTTAAAGGAAAGATGACAAGAACAGCAATTTGTGTGTTATTGCTCTGTTGCTTTTTTGCTAAGTGTGAGACACGGCTCTGCCCTGATAATCAAAGCAAATAATGTTATAAAATCATTTATAGATTTATAGCTCAATCCAGAAGGTTGATGCTAACTGAGAAGTCTCCAGAATTGGATCAAATTTTCAATTCAAATGAATAGAGCAACCACACGTCCCATGCCTCATAAATCTCCAAATTTAACTCGAAGCCTGTTCCCTTCTTCCAGATGGCTAGTGGAGAGGGGAGGTGGGGAGGCAGAATTAGCAAGCAAACCCAAAGAGACACAGTTCCTCCATGTTCAGTGGTGTCTGTCTCCCAAGCGGCTTTTACTGAAGCTAGTATTACTACACAGAAATTACCCAGGTAGGCAAAAAGATTTAAATATGTGGAGGGTTTTAACCTCTTGGGAATTTCCTTTCATACAGCCATTAAACTAGAAGATTTTTCTTTCTTCAAAACTAAGCGATTAGGTGGACAAATCAACAACAGTCATTTGCCCAGAAAATATCTACCATCACCTCTTCACCATTACAGCATTATCTTCTCAGGGGCGACTATGTCACCTCATATCAGAGACTTCGCTCAAGTCATTGGGATATTTTATAGATGGTGAATCACTCTGTCACCCCCATGCAACTCCCCAGGGAGAAGATGTGTGAGGTTTAAAAAGAAAAAACAAAGGAAAGAACAGGAAGGAATATGACTTCACTTTCCTTTTTTCTCTTTAAATCTCCAATTTTTTAATATCAAAAATATTGTGTGAAGATGTTGTGTATATGCCTTTGACAGAAGTAGCAGACAATGAAGATACACAAGAGCACAGACTACAAAATACTTAATGCTAACTTACTACTTGTTTTATAGACTCTTCCAATAACATTTAGGTCTTACTTGGAGAAGCCCTATTAATTTTCTTCTATATTTTCTTACTGTTTTTATTTTACTTACCTTTGCCCCTTCATCCCATCTTTATACCTCAAGAAATCAAAGTTTCAAATCAGGTGGAAGAAATTTTCTTTCAAAGGGATTGAATTTTACTTTGCTTCTTCACGAGTGATAAAAATGCAGAACTCTCTCCTTAACTCAATCTTTTCCTTCTTTCCTATGCTTCATTTTTTATCTTCTTCTCTTCCTAAACTTTTTAATATTTATTTTCCATCTTTTCTATCTCCACACTCTCTGTAATGGCTGTAGATTGAATTTGATTGCCTCCTTCATCTGCCTTTATGAATATGTTAGATGATAACAAGGTATGTGCTGAATCTGAGCAAAGGGTAAGAAGTAACATCAAACGTTTACAAGCATATAGAGTAACCAGAATGTCCATACACTTCTGGTTGTCATGCAAGTTGGTACAACTACTTTGGAAACTTCTCTAGCTGTATCTATTAAAGCCAAATATATATATATATATACACACACACACACACACACTCCATGACACAGAATTCTGCTCATATAGACACTCAACACAAGTGCACACATACATGCACAAGAAACATGTAGAAGAATGCTTGTAGCAGCATTATTCATAATAATCAAAACCTGGAAACAGCCCAATTGTCTGTCAGTAGAAGGGATAAATACATCATATAATGAATACTCTATAAAAATTAAAATAAGGGAAATTACTGCTACACATGAAATTGCTGTTGCACATCACAGGGATGACTCTCACAACTACAACTATAATGTTTTTTGTTTTATTTTGTTTTGTTTGACACGGAGTCTCGCTCTGTTGCCCAGGCTGGAGTGCAGTGGCACGATCTCGGCTCACTGCAAGCTCCGCCTCCCGGGTTCACGCCATTCTCCTGCCTCAGCCTCCTGAGTAGCTGGGACTACAGGTGCCTGCTACCACGCCCGGCTAATTTTTTATATTTTTAGTAGAGACGGGGTTTCACCGTGTTAGCCAGGATGGTCTCAATCTCCTGACCTCATGATCCGCCCGCCTCTGCCTCCCAAAGTGCTGGGATTACAGGTGTGAGCCACCAAGCCCGGCCTACAACTATAATGTTGAATGAGAGAAACCATTACAAAAAAGAGCACTATAGAAAGAATAGCTTCAAAAACTCACAAAAATAGTCTGATGATAAAAAGAGTATTGGTAACTTCTGGGGGAGAACTTAATGGCTGGGACAGAGCATGAAGGAGGTTTCTGGGTTCCTGATAATGCAGTATCTCTTAAACTGGATATTGATTACCTGAGTGTGTTCATGCTCTAAAATTCATACAACTTAAGATCTATTCATATTAATGTATGTGTGTTTGTCAGGATTCTCCAGAGAAAGAGAACCAATAAGGTATATACATATATATTATCATTCACATAGGATACATACACATACACACACACACACACACACACACACACACACGTATTAAGATTTACTATGGGAATTTGCTCCTACGATTATGGAGGTCAAAAGTCCCCAAACTGCCATTTGCAAGCTGGAGAATCAGGAAAGCCAATAGGCGATGGGTGGGGAATGGTATAAGTCCCAGAGCCCAAAGGCCTGAAAACCAGGATCTCCAATGTCCAAGGACAGAAGATGGATGTTTGAGCTCCAAATGAGAGTAAATTCACCCTTTCTTCACTATTTTGTTGCTTTCAGGCTCTCAACAGATTTTATGATGCTCACCTGCATTGGCAAAGGCCATCTGCTTTATTCAGTCCACTCATTCAAATATTCATCTCTTCCAGAAACACCCCCACATACACACTCAGAAACAATGTTTTACAAGTGATCCAGGTATTGCTTAACCCAGTGAAGTTGACATAAATTAATCATCACAGTATGTAAATTATACCCTGAATTTTTAAAGCCATATTAACACTTTAGTGAACTTTGCTTTTCTCCTGAATTACTCCTAGATTCTCTCTAAATTGTACAGCTGAGAATTTGACCTATTATCAAAATGATCTGACTAGCACCAAATCTGACTAATTCAAGTCATCACATAATATCAGTAGACTTCCCAATTCAGACTTCAAACAGTGTTTGGTGCTAAAAAGTAAAGATTATATACAATAATGAGCTAATAATTTTTAAATGGAGATAAGAAAAAGAAAGCAGCCATCAAAGCTCTACTAAATTTAATAAGTATTGGAGGGACAACAGTAATAACTGTAAATTGAATTTGATTGCCTTCTCCCTCAAAGTGATTGGCTCAAACTTCCTGAATTATGTTCCCCTACAAAAGGTTTAAAAGATAGTGGTTGACCAGGAGGCAGAGCTTGCAGTGAGCCAAGATCGTGCCACTGCACTCCAGCCTGGGTGACAGAGCAAGACTCCATCTCAAAAAAAAAAAAAAAAAAAGAAAAAGAAACAGAAAAGAAAAGAAAAGATAATGGTTGATAGAAAACAGTTAGGATGGTGATATGATGATTGCTAACATTTATTAACTGCAGAGTTCTGCATTTAACCACCATGAATCAGCCTCTGCAGTACATCAGCATTATACTGCTGTTTTATCCATACAGAGTTCTGCAAGAATGGTAATATATCCCTGTGTCATGTTTGGCCTTTTTCAATAAAACTGCAGTTGACTTAGGCTCAACTTAGTGTCTACTCCAACACCAGATTCTTTTCTGGCAGAAAGTTACTTTTCCACAAGAAATGACATAAAAAGGTAGTCATCGGAGTGGAATATAATATTGTATATGAGTAAAATAAATGTGTAACATATTTTTATGACTGTTGAATGTACTTTAGTATTATTCAGATAGAGATTTTAGTCTGAGATTGGATTGAGATGACACAAACCACTTTGACTATGAGAACACAACGGGCCTGCAAGCAAACAACATACTACATACTTTTATTTATTTTTTTCTTTTTTGAGAGAGTCTCACTCTGTTGCCAGGGCTGGAGTGTAGTGCCATAATCTCCACTCACTGCAACCTCCACCTCCCGGGTTCAAGCGATTCTCCTGCCTCAGCCGCCTGAGTAGCTGGAATTACTGGCGCCCGCCACCACACCCAGCTAATTTTTGTATTTTTAGTAGGAATGGGGTTTCAGCTTGTTGGCCAGGCTGATCTCAAACTCCTGACTTCAAGTAATCCACCCGTCTCAGCTTCCCAAAGTGCTGAGATTACAGGCATGACCCACTGCACCTGGCAATATACTTCTGATTAATTAATATTATAAAGCAGCCAGGGCGCAGTGGCTCACGCCGGCAATCCTAGCACTTTGGGAGGCCAAGGCGGGTGGATTGCCTGAGCTCAGGAGTTCGAGACCAGCCTGGCAACATGGTGAAACCCCGTCTCTACTAAAATACAAAAAAAAAAAAAAATTAGCCGGGTGTGGCAGCATGTGCCTGTAGTTCCAGCTACTCAGGAGACTGAGGCAGAAGAATTGCTTGAACCTGGGAGGCAGAGGTTGCAGTGAGCTGAGATGGTGCCACTGTACTCCAACCTGGTGACAGAGCGAGACTCCATCTTAAAAAAAATAAATAAATAAATAAATATATATATATATATATATATATATATATATATATATAAAGGCTTATACTGTTAATGATCCATATTTTAATTCCAGAATGAATCTCTTTCTATTACTGTTATCCACCCTAAAATTTAGGGTATAAACCAACTAATGTTATAATAATATTAACCTAAGAAAAATATTTTAAAGGAAAATTTGCTATAAAATATATTACGTATTAATACAATATAGGTTATACATATTGTACCCAAAGCAAAATGAAATTGATTTTTTAAAAATTATTATGAGCTGACTATATCCATACCACTCCTATAAGACACTAACACAGATAATCAAAACATGTCAAAATTGCTTTGGAGGTAAGAGATTTTTCATTTCCCAATATCTTCTGGTCCTTAGGTTATTACTTATTATTCTAAACTGCAAAAACAGAAACCATCTTATTCATATGTTTTCACTTTCCTTTGGCAGATACATTTTATTCTTAGAGCCAGATATGTGACCCATACATGATATTCATTCTGCAAATTAATCAGCCCTCTTTGGGCTCAATTCTGCATTCTTTATTTTCCCATTTCCTAATTTTCAGTGCCTATTTTAAATGGCTTGATACATTACTGGCTTCCGTGTAAATTATTTTACTTTTTTTTTTTTTTTTTTTTTGGAAAAAGGCAGTTGTGCCAGTTGAGATTCTCTGAGAAGCAGTCCTCAAGATGTGATTATGGACATGCTGAGGGATATAACAGACACTGGGGACTCCAAAAGGGGGGTGAGGGCTTAAAAATTACTCATTGGGTACAATGTTCACTATTTGGATGATGGGTACACTGGATGCACAAATGCTACCACCACACAACATATCCGTGTAACGAAGGAAAAAAAAACAGGTGATTAGATATGCAAGATATCTGCTGGGGGAAATGCTGAAGAAGGAGAAAGAAGAGGGATCAGGAGTAGCCAGGGAGAGGCCCAAGTGTAAGATGTATGTGTGACTGCTGTGGAAAGAAGGGGACAAAAAAGAGAATTGGAGAGGAAGTGTCTCAGTCTGCAGGGCAGTGCTATGAAACTTTCAGCCAGATGGACAAGGAGTTGCTGGGCCAAAATTTGTTGTAAAGCCTCAGATCCCACCAATATGCAGCTATTGGCTGGGGACAGCCATCAAAAGTCTGAATTCTAAGGAAGGGTGGCTGAGACTCTCGGTCAGCTCTGCTCCCCACAGCAGTTCGCTTGAGAATGTCAATGGCAAATTTTCATGGCCATTACAACTGTATACAAAAAAATAAACCAGAAAGTTGTTACGGACTGAATGTTTGTGTCCTCTGCAAAATTCGTATGTTAAAGCCTTAACCCAAGGTGATGGTATAGTAATTGTATCCAAACAAATATTTATTACAATCTAACATTCTAATGCTTTCAGGTTATAATAGATTAGAATCACATACTGAGATTTATAGTATCTGAAACATGTTTGAATTTGCCCCTCTAGTATTCGACAAAAATCCATAGGTCGTAGGACTGTGCCTTCCCAACACTTGTAATATTGGATTTGCTGCAACAAGTAATTCTGCTGTTGTCACTGTGGTTATTTTTCATTGTGCCACACAGCGAGATAAAAAGGAAGGGAATCTCAGGTTTTGCTTTTCCTTCTGTTTCCATGGACACAGGTTTATAATTTTATATGAAAGTCAAAATCTGTCACTCTCATTAAGTCTGTTCTTAGAGCTACTTTGCTAACAGCTTAGACTAATGCAGTAAAATAATTAGGAACCAACAAAGAAAACACTCATAACGAAGGGAAATGAGCCCCTTCTTAAAGAAAGGAACAACTGGGAGAAGGCTGTGGAGTGAGCCCATGGCTTGAGAAAGGGATGAATAGAAGTTAATAAAGTACTTAATGAAAGCGGGTGTTGTGGAGCATTGGATGGAATCGCAGCATGCAATGTGGATATAGTTTGCTTTTAAACCAAAAACAATAGAATTAATGTTCCTTTTAAACATAACACATCCTAATGGCTAGCACTGTATCCGCCTCCTGCTGTCTCTTGCACAAATATGTGAATATATCAGCTTGACAGTTTCAAGAATCTTGCCTTTCCAAACATTTACCAGTCCAAAAATATTCACAATTATCTTCAGCATAATTAATTGTGGCCTACTGTACAATTTTGCAGGCACTGGGTCTGTGAAGCCATGTCATATTGTTCTTGTCACATAAGGTTTATTAAGGCTTTGCTGTGTGTGAAGGACACTGACAGATTATGACTGATACAAAGAACTGAAGGAACTGTTTGGAAGTAATATTACATTCAAAAATATAATGAAGAAGAGCAAAATTAGCAAGGAATTATTAAATTACAAAAAGTTCAGCTGGGTGTGGTGGCTCATGCCTGTAATCCCAGCACTTTGGGAGGCTGAGGTGGGTGGATCTCTGCAGGACGTTTGAGACCAGCCTGGCCAACAGGGTAAAGCCACTTCTGTACTAGAAATACAAAAATTAGCTGGGCATACTGGCATGTGCCTGTAATCCCAGCTACTTGGGAGACTGAGGTACAATCAGTGGAACCTAAGACGTGAAGGTTGCAGTGAGCTGAGATTGTGCCACTGCACTCCAGCCTGGGCAACAGAGTGAGACTCTGTCTTGGGGAAAAAAAAAAAGTTCTTTATTTTTCTGGAAGGATTTACTTCACTAATAGCATGTACCTATAGTGAAATTAAAATGATGAAATGTGTGTACTAGCCATGTCCCTGAAATGTTTGGTGCAAAACTGGGCCATGTGCATGTCATGGGCTCCTCCATGCAGAGCTGAGCTGTCCATCTGATTCTGTCAGGCTGACCCAGAATAATCTCCTTTCTTTAAGCAACTTAACCAATTAATATGGGACCTATATTCCATTTGCAAAAACTCTTCACCTTTCCTATATAACGTAACCTAATCACAGAGTGAAATCCATCATATTCACAGTCCTGCCCATAAGCAAGAGTAGAGGGTTATACAAGATAAATACCCCAAGGGGCAGGAATCTTGGAGGCCGTCTTAGAATTTTGCCTACAACAGTGAAGACTACAGCTCACTAGATAGACAGTGGTAGATTTGTATTGCAATACTGAAATCATAAATGGATTTAATTATTAATACCAATACTATGCAAGATGAGCATCATTACACATTTTTAGCTAGAGTAGGGGCTCCCATATATAGACTTTAATTAAAGGTAGCCATGGTAACTGGAAAGTTCATTACAGTCTTAGTATTAGTATTTTTCTTCTCCGTCATCCCAATCCTGAAAAAGTATGTTTATGTGTGTACGCCATTTGAGGGCAAGAATTAGGGGATGTATTTTGCCTATTTAAATAGAAAGGTTGTTACTTAAAATTAATTAAAATATATACTGAGTGCGGCCGGGCATGGTGGCTCATGCCTGTAATCGTGTAAACTTTGGGAGGCCGAGGCGGGCGGATCACCTGAGGTCGGGAGTTCAAGACCAGCCTGACCAACATGGAGAAACTCCATCTCTATTAAAAATACAAAATTAGCTGGGCGTGGTGGTGCATGCCTGTAATCCCAGCTACTTGGGAGGCTGAGGCAGGAGAATTGCTTGAACCCAGGAGGTGGAGGTTACGGTGAGTTGAGATAGTGCCATTGCACTCCAGCCTGGGCAGCAAGAGCAACACTCCATCTCAAAAAAACAAAAAATGTATATATATATATCTATGTATATACTGAGTGCTTGACAGAGGGTAAATGCTGTTCAGATACTATTTTTATGAAAGAATTACCTCAATATTTCTTCTTAAGAGAATATGAATGATCTCATTTTCCATATGAATTTTGTGTGTGTGTGTGTGTGTCTGTGTTCATATTTTTTTCCAAGCAAGTTGCAAAGATTGGTCCTCATTTAAAGTTAGATATTTAATACCTTATAGGCCAGAATTATCTCTCTGTGGGGAATCTCACTCCAATGAATTTTCTCTAACATTAAATTTGCTGATCTAGGCAATAGAATATTAAATTAAGCAATACAGTTTGCCACAACCTTTTAGATATCATGTTTGAGAGTTCATCAACCATTATTTTCAAGACCTACTATGTAACAGGCACTGTACTAGGCACTGGAAAATAGATCCCTATTTACTAAAAGAGGAAAGAGTACAGTCAAGTAAACAAATAAATAGCATAATTTCAGATAAAGATCCATGCTATGAAGAAAATTAAATAAGTTGATGTAATGGGATTGAACAAGGGGCAGCAGAGATGAGGGGAAGTTAATTTAGACTGTTTGTGAGATAAGGTCTCATTGAGTAGCTTAAGTTGTAACCTGAATGACAAAAATAAGGTCAGTCAAGAGAAAAACTGGGGACAAGAACTTCCAGGCAAATGGATCAACAAATGCAAAAATGTGCAATGGGAACAATCTTGGTATATTGAAGGAATACAAAGAAAGCCGGAAAGGGCTGTCATCCAATGAAGGAGGGAAGAGGGAGAGTGGGGTTGAATTATATGGGTTATGTAGGTTCTTGAGAGTCACGAAATGATTGGATGATTGGGTATTTGTTTCTAAATGCAGTTGGCAGTCATTGTAGAACTGATTTGAATTACATTGTTTTAAAAGGTACTCAGGCTGCTGTACTGTGAATGGCATTTGGTAGAGCCTCATCCATATCTATTGATTATAACTAAAACAAAAATGCATTACTAGTCCTAGGAGGACAATCAGTCAATTATATTCACTATTTAGTTTTTATTTTTAATTTTAATGTGTCTGTCAATTAGTAGGATATCTTTCTATTTGGCATAAATCCTGTCTATAGTTATTTCTGATAAAAATCTTAAAAGAGAACTGTTAAAAATTTTTATAAATTTTTTTCTCCACCAGCTGTTATTTTCAAAAATCCAAAAGAGGTATGAAGCCCAAACTTGTCCCTTTATCAGTTTGCTCTTTTTATTCCAGTAATATGCTATGGTCTGTTATTTTAAGGTTACTAAGGAGTACCAATCTAACAATAGTATAACCTTTTTAAAATTAACAAAGTCGGCCAGGCATGGTGGCTCACGCCTGTAATCCCAGCACTTTGGGAGGCCAAAGCGGGCGGATCACGAGGTCAAGAGATCAAGACCATTCTGGCCCACATGGTGAAACCCCGTCTCTACTAAAAGTACAAAAATTAGCTGGCTGTGGTGGCATGCACCTGTAGTCCCAGCTACTCGGGAGGCTGAGGGAGGAGAATCGCTTGAACCCAGGAGGCAGAGGTTGCAGTGAGCCAAGATCGTGCCACTGCACTCCAGCCTGGTGACAGAGCGAGACTCTGTACCCCCCCCCCCCAAAAAATTAACAAAATCAACATTAATATAACTATTTTGAAATTAAAAGAAATTAAATTTTTTCATGGTACAGGAAAGTCAAATGTGACAGTATTTTTCAATAATGTATCTTCAACACTAGGCTTTTCTAGCTGTATGTTTGTACGCATAAACATGTCCAGTTCATCTCTTCAACAAACACTGATCATTTTGTTGACTTTAAGTAGCTAGGATTTCAAATATCCAAGCAACTTACTTTGTAGTGCTTTTTAAAAAGTAGCAATATGAATCACTTCTCGGCCTTTTGGCTAAGATCAAGTGTAAAAAGTAGCAGTATGAATAAGTTTTGAAAACTGTCACTCCTTCAAAAAGTATAGAGAATGGAGAGTAAGAAATCAAAAGTCAGAAGTCAGGAACACAGGGAAATTTTTATTCTAGTAATAGTGTAATGAGGACAAGTTCTAAGGCATAAAAAGTTCTACTTGAAGACAATGAAGAATAAACACGGTAGTGAAGAAGGACCAAGATCCAGGAAAAGGCAGAAATCCAGAAAGAATAACGTTGCATTCAGGGCTACACTTCTTCTGGAGATTTGTGCCAATTCTGGAGAAAGTGGATGTGAAGCTGAGCAACTGAGCTGGGATGATTTTGACAATCTGCCAGAGCAAGAAGGACAAAGTCTGGGACCAGAGTCCACCAAGGAGAAGAAACCAGGTGAACCTTCATTGCTTTCTATCAGGACCCCAAAAGATGACACCTTAAGGATGAGCCAGAAATCGACAGGCCTTTTAAGGATTACAACTCCCTTTAGCATCATCTCCAGATGGCAAGCATATTCAGAAGCCTGGCAGAAGCAAATATTAATTATCTTTGAAATAAGGTAATATCATATTAGGCCTCCAATTATTTCTACAAACAATTGTGTACAACGTCCTAAATAAAACAAAATATGACCAGGTACAAGACAATATAAAATAACAAATTAAATACAGTTTACAGAAGGCTGAGGCAGGAGAATGGCGTGAACCCGGGAGGCGGAGCTTGCAGTGAGCTGAGATCACACCACTGCACTCCATCCTGGGCGACAGAGCAAGACTCTGTCTCAAAAAAGAAAAAAAAAGTTTAAAATCATAGAGAATAGAATTCAAGTAACAGTGACTTTAAGATATTAGACTTATCACATGCAGAGTTTTTTTAAAAAATAACAATATTTACTATATTAGAGGAGATAAAAACCCAAGTTTGAGAATTTTGGGAGAAAACTTGAAACTATTAACAAAGGGCCGCGTAGAAGCTCTAAAAACTCAATTGAAAATACAACAATTGAACTTAAGAATGCAATGGTTGAGTTTAATAACAGATTAGATGAGGTGAAGAGAAAATTAATAAACTGAGGGTTAGATCAAAAGAAATAGTCAGAATACAACAAGATATAGAAGTACGGAAAGACAGATCTGATGCAGTGAGAAATTCTAACATACATAATAAGATTCATGAAAGAGATAAAAAACAGTTGGATCCCAGCACTTTGGGTAGCCGAGGCAGGTGGATCACTTGAAGTTGGGAGTTTGAGACCAGCCTAGCCAACCTGGTGAAACCCCATCTCTATTAAAAATACAAAACTTAGCTGGGCATGATGGCGCATGTCTGTAATCCCAGCTACTCAGGAGGCTGAGGCAGGAGAATTGCTTGAACCCAGGAGGCGGAGGTTGCAGTGAGCTGAGATTGTGCCACCACACTCCAGCCTGGGCAACAGAGTGAGACTGTCTCAAAAAAACAAACAAACAAAAAAAGACACTTGGGATGGAAGCAGTATTTGGAGGATAATGGCTGAAAACACCAACCCCAAAATTCAAGAATTTCCACTTAATGGTGCAATAATTAAAACTTTCCCTTTGAGACTAGGTGTAAGATAAGACAATGATGCCTCTTGTCGTTACTTTTATCAACATTGAATTAAATTTTCTAGCCAATAAAAATTAGTAAAACTTAAAGAAAAGGGAAGAAATGTAGCTGTCATTATTCTCAGGCAATACAATTAAGGAAATAGAAAATCCTGAAGAATCTATGGTTAAATTATTAAAATTAATAGGTAAGATTAGAATCGTTACTGAGTACAAAGTCAAAATACAACAGTTCAATGCATTGCTACACACCAACAATAGTTAAAATAAATTACAACTCTTAGAACAGCTAGAACTAACAAATTCAGTAAATTTGCAGGATACAAAATCAACATATAAAAATTAGTAGCATTTCTGTACATCAATAATGAACTATTTGAAAAAGAAATCAAGAAAGCAATTACAATAATTATAGTAGATGAAAAAAATGCCTAGGAATAGTTTAACCAGGAGGAAAAAAAAAACCTCTACAGTGATAACTATAACATTGATGAAAGAAATTGGAGAGGATAGAAACAAATGGAAAGATATTCTATGTTCATGGATTGGAAGGATTAATGTTGTTAAAACGTCCATACTACCCAAAATGATGTACAGACTCAATGCAATCCCTATGCTAATGCTGACAATCTTCACAAAAACAGAAACCATCCCAAAACTTAAATGGAACCACGAAAGATCTTAAATAGTAAAAGCAACCTTAAGCAAAAGGAACAAAGCTGGAAGTATCATGCTATTTGACTTCAAAATATACTGCAAAGCTGTAGTAACCAAGACAGCATAATACTGGTATGAAAACAGGCACATAGACCAAAGGAACAGAATAGCGAACACTTATATAAATCAACACATTTACAACCAACTCTTTTTCATCAAAGGTACCAAGAACATGTAATGGGGAAAGGACAGTCTCTTCAATAAATAATGCTGAAGAAATTGGATAACCATATGCAGAAGAATGAAACTAGACACCTGTCTCTCACCATACACCAAAATCAAACTCAAAATGGATTAAAGACTTAAATGTGATAGCTAACCCTAGAAAACTACCAGAACAAAGCATAGGGGAAACATTTTATGACATTGGTTTAGATGAGAATTTTTAAAGTAAGAACTCAAAAGCACAGGCAACAAAAATAAAAACAGATAGATGGGATTACACCTCACTAAAAAGCTGCACAGCAAAAGAAATAATCAACAGAGTGAAGAAACAACCTACAGAAAAGGGAAAGTATATGCAAGCCATGCATCTGACAACGGGTTAATTTCCAGAATATACATGGAACTCAAACAACTCAGTAGCAAAAAAAGCAAACAATCAAATTTAAAAATGGGCAAAGCATTTGAATAGACATTTCTCAAAAGAAGACACAGAAAAGGAAAAGCACATGAAAAAATGTTCAACAACATTAATTACCAGGGAAATGCAAATCAAAACCACAATGAGATAACAGCTCACTCTAACTAAAATAGCTAATATCAAAAGGACAAAAAATAACAAATGCTGGTATGGATGTGGATAAAAGGAAACCATTATACATTGTTAGTGATTATGTAATTTGTTACAGCATTATGGAAAACAGTATGAAATTTCCTCAAAAACTTAAAAATAGAAATACCATATGATCTGGCAATTCCACTCCTGGGTATTTTTCCAAAGGAAATAAATGTTATAATAAATGTTATAAGATAAATGTTATAAAATAAATGTTAAAGAGACGTCTTCACTCCCATGTCTTTTTGCAGCACTATTCACAATAACCACAAAACAGAATCAACCTACGTGTCCATCGATGAAGAATGGGTAAAGAAAATGTGGTATAGAAACACAAAAGAATACTGGACATCCATTTAAAACAGTGAAATCCTATCATTTGCAGCAGCATGGGTGAACCTGGAGGACATTATGTTAAGTGAAATAAGCCAAGCACAGAAAGACAAACACCACATGATCTCACTCATTTCTCTAAAAAAGCTCATATCAAAGAAGCACAGAGTAGATTAGTGGTGACCAGAGGGCGGGGAGGGTGGGAGAGAGGGGGATGGAAAGAGGTTGGTCAATGGGTACAAAGTTACAGTTAGATAGGAATAATAAATCCCGGTGTTGTGTTGCACTGTAGGGTGGCTATAGCTAACAGTATTGTATTGTGTATTTCAAAGGAACTAAAAGAGAAGATTTTGAATGTTCTCACCACAAAAAAAAATAAATGTTTGAGGTTATGACTATGCTAAATACCCTGATTTGATCACCACACAATGTATACATGTATTAAAACATCACACTGTACCCCATAAATATGTACAATTATGTGTCAATTAAAAATAAATAAAAATTTAAGATTCCATTTAATTAACACTGTTTAACTTCAAAATAAAGTTGTAAATCTAACAAAATATCTAAAAAATCTCTCCACAGAAATTAACATACAGGAGATCTATATAAATGAAAGGAGAAATCATGTTCATGGATTGAGAAACTCAATGTTATAAATTTATTAATGTTCCCCAAATTAATCTATATAGTCAGTAAAATCCCAATCAAAATTTCATCAGGTTCTTTGCTGAAAATGACAGCTCATCCTACAATATATATGGCAATTCAAAAGACCAAGAAAAGCTAAGAAACTCAAAGAAGACAAGACTCTGCTAGATATCAAGACATTATAAAGCAATAGCAAGTAATGCAGGGTTGTGTTGGTAAACAGATATTGACCAATGAAACAGAATAAAGAGCCCAGAAAGAGATCCATGCATTCATGGACAATAGTGGCACTGCAGAATAACAGGAGAAAAGATGATCTGTTCATCAAATAGTGTCGTGCCAATTAGATATCCATATGAAAAAAATGAAACCTTGTTCCTTTCACTATGCATAAAAACAAATTATAGGTGGGTTATAGATATAAGTATAAAAATCAAATGATAAAGATTATTAGAAGGTAATATAAAATAATACATTTATTACCTCAAGATAAGGAAAAAATACTTGAATAGAAGACACAATAGGCACTATTCATAAAGAAAAAATTGATAAATTAGACTAAATTAAAATTAGTAACTTCTGCTCATCAAAAGGTATACTAATTAATAGAGCAAAAAAGTAAGCCAGCGTAGGAGATTTTTGTAAAACATATTTGACAAAGAGCATATTTCCAGAAATTATTATTTCTACAAATAATAAGAAAAAAACAAGAAGTCCAAGAGAATGGGCAAAATAGTTAAACAGAAATTATACTAGAGAAGATATGCAAATTATCGTAAACATAAGTTTCTCAACCATATTAATAATTGTGAAACTGCAATTTAAAGTCACAATAAGATAACACAACATACCTACCAGAGTGAGAAAAATTTTAAAGATTGACAGTACAAAATGCTGTCAATAATGTGGATGTACGCATTGCTGGTAGAAATGTAAATTGACATAGTATAACCACTTTGGAAAGCAGCCTAGCATTATCTAATAAAGCTGACAATATGTTACTATATGTTACTCTCTGAACTAGGAATTTCATTCTTACACATAACGAATAGAAATGGATGCATATGTGCATCAAAAATTCGTACAATAAATCTGTGGTAACATTATTCCTGAGATCAAAAAATAAAAACAACTATAAATTCTATCAACAGTAAAATGGGTAAATAATTTGAGGCATAGTCACAGAATGCAATATGCAATACTATTCAGCAATGAATATAGATGAACTACATATAACCATATAGAACAGCGTAGATGAATCTCCCAAATGTAAGCTAAGCATAAGAAATATGTTTCCAAAAAATACATACTCAATGATTCCATTTATAGAAGTTTAAAAACAGGCACAACTAAACTACAAGGATCCATGTTTGGTGATAAAACTATAAAGAAAAACAAAGACATGATTATCATAAGAGCCTGTATAGCCATTATTTTTTAGAGGAAGGGAAGAGCCAGTGATCAGAGGGGTATAAAAGGCATCTATAATGATGCTAATACTCTATTTCTTGGGTAATGATTATACCTGTGTTTTCTTTGTGATAAATTATTGAGCTACATATATATTTTTTTTGTGCATGTCTTTGTGTGTGTTACATTTCTCAGTAAAGAAGCATTAATAATTCCAATTAAAACAATTTAAATAATTAAGTTTTCTGCCCAAAAAAATCTTAATGCATAAGTAGTACCATCAACTCTAACTGGGAAGTGGGAAAATCTCAACAACCAGATTTGTCTGTCATGCTATGCAAAGATCCTTTCTATTCTTTAAAACCATGAAAATAGTGATTCATTTAAAACAATGCTTGGGCTGGGCACAGTGGCTCATGTCTATAATCCCAAAGCTTTGGGAGGTCAGAGCAGGGGGATTCATTGAGACCAGAAGCTCAAGTTTAGCCTGGACAACATAGTGAGACCCTGCCTCTAAAAAAAAGAAACTTTTTTTTTTAATTAGCAAGATGTGGTGGCACACACCTGTAATCCCAGCTTCTCAGGCAGCTGAGGCAAGAGAATCACTTGAACCAAGAAGTTCTGGGAGTGAGTTATGATAGTGCCACTGCACTTCAGCCTGGGAGACCATCTCTAACATCAATCAATAAATCAATCAATCAATTATTTAATATATATTTTAACAAGTAAATCAAAAATACAAATAAATAAGAAATTAAGCACATTTAATAAAAGGAAAAGTAGGTCAAATTATATATATGTGTGTGTGTGTGTGTGCGTGTGTGTGTGTGTGTGTATATATATATATATATATATATATATATATATATATATATATATATTTTTTTTTTTTTTTTAAGAAAAAAAGGTCGGCCGGGCGCAATAGCTCATGCTTGTAATCCCAGCACTTTGGGAGGCCAAGGTGGGCGGATCCTGAGGTCAGGAGTTCGAGACCAGCCTGGCCAACACAGTGAAACCCCATCTCTACTAAAAATACAAAAATTAGCTGGGCGTGGTGGCAGGCACCTGTAATCCCAGCTACTTGGGAGGCTGAGGCAGGAGTATCTCTGGAACCCGGGGGGCAAAGGTTGCAGTGAGCCAAGATTGCGCCACTGTACTCCAGCCTGGGCAGAGCTAGACTCCATTCAAAAAAAAAAAAGAAAAGAAAAAAAGGTCAGTATCTTCTCTACCACTTACAACTCCTAGCTGGGACACAACTGCAAATATTGGCTAACAATCCAGTACAGACTTACTTAGTCTCAGGCACTTTGAGGAGTGAAGAAATGGTCGAAAGTTAATCCTTCTCTGCCAAAAGCTTTACAGCATATTTGTAGAGACAGGACAACTGCAGATGCAATAAGTTGTAAAACAGTGTAAGTCTCAGTTATTAATTTGGCCATTTGTTCATGCAACAAAGGAATACCGGTTTCCTGCCTGCCATGAATCAAGCATTTTTTTCGGAGGCAGTAAGAAACATAAATATGGACAAGAGCAAATCCTCACCTAATATTAGATCAGAAGGGCTCAGAGAAGAGAAACAGACAATAAGGCTTAAAGGAGATGGAGTGCTTCATCAAGAATGTAGGAACTAGCAGGGGCGCGGTGGCTCACGCCTGTAATCCCAGCACTTTGGGAGGCTGAGGCAGGCAGATCACCTGAGGTGAGGAGTTCAAGACCAGCCTAACCAACATGGAGAAACTCCATCTCTACTAAAAAGCTATAAAATTAGCCGGGCATGGTGGCACATGCCTGTAATCCCAGCTACTCGGGAGGCTGAGCCAGGAGAATCACTTGAACCCAGGAGGTGGAGGTTGTGGTGAGCCGAGATCACGCCATTGCACTCCAGCCTGGGCAACAACAGTGAAACTCTGACTCAAAAAAAAAAAAAAAAAAAAAAGAAAGTAGGAACTGAGCTAGGCCTTCACTGGTGATAGAATTTGGATAGAGTCAAGGCGAAAAAGGGAATGGATATGTTGTGTTCACATATTCAATTGCAATAAACCAAAAGTTCAAAGGGAAATTAGGAGAAATAAGGATGAATTTGTTTTTAAATTTAAAAGCCTTAGCAGAGAAGTCTAGAATTTAGGCAGTAGAGCAATGGGGGTGAATTGTGAGCTTTTTACACATGAGCGATGTCAAGGCATACCCATAATTACCTTTACTCTCCATTTCCTAGAGTTGACAAGTATTCATTGTGTATCTATTTTCAGTGGATGGGCATGGTGGTTAGGAGCAAGTATTCCGGAGCCAGGCCACCTGGGTTAGAACCCACCTCCACCCCTTACTAACTGTGAACTGGGCACTTTCTTCTTGTGGAAAATGGAATAATAATAGTATTGCCTTATAGATAGTTTTTGAAAGCTAAATGAATTAATCCACATAATGCAATCAGACCAATGCCCAACACAAAATGAATACTATATAATTCAGCTATAGTAATAGTAATAATTAAGTGTTTCATATCCAACATTACCCTAAACACTATAGTAGATGCATTTTTCTTAAAAATCCCTACCCTCAAAGACTTTATAATTTACTTACCATGTATGGGGGTTGGGGAAGCGGCTACTTAATTATATGCCGAAGAAAAAAAACACTATGAGGAAATGTTCCAATATATTGCTAAAAGAAAAAGAATAAAAGGAAACTGTAATACAGAACAAAAAGTCTACTCCCAAATACTGTATCTGTGAAAATAGATGTGATTCCCAAAATTGTAGAAAATACAAGCAACTATCTCTGGGTAGTGGGATTATGAGTGATCTTAAGAAGCTTTATTGGATTATAAACTTGTATGAGATGATGTAGGTATAATGGAATTCATGAGTTTGGGGATCAGACAGAAGTGGGTAGCTATACCTGCTACACCTTTTGTCTTGAAACCTTGAGAGTGTTTTTATTCCTTTTTTTTTAAACATTCTCTGCCTGTTTCTTCATTTATAAAATGAGAGAGTACCTAGCACACAGCACACAAGAGATGCTTTATACACTATGGTTATTTCTGGAGGGCACACTAATTCCCTCATAGCATTCATTCATAGCATCCATCCATCGCCAGTTACACACACCAAAAGCCCCCATCCATACCATTGGCTATGAACTTAACAAATACTAAAATATGATCACATTGGTCTCAGATATTTTTTAATGCTCAGTCATATCGTTTCTCGGCCTTTTGGCTAAGATCAAGTGTAAATGCTCCGTCGTGTTCAAGGTGGTAGAAAAGTGTGTTTTTCTTTATTTATTTGTCGAGAATTCATGTTAAATACCTGAATTTGATGTGCTTGGTGCTGGATGAGAGACTTAGTAGATATCTTGCTTGTCACAAAGTATGAAATTAATATTCATTTTTCATGAATTAATTTACTCATTCATTTAACAACTATTCATGAATTGTGTTCACTATGCTAAGCAATGAGTATGAAATGAGTTTATTCCCAACCCATTTCTTCTAGCCTCTTGCAGAAACTACATTTGGTTCCGCTTGTGGTTTCAAAAGGAGACCTAAAATTATATTTACCTTTGACTATAAATAGCTCTGGAATAAGCACAAGTCAAATAAATTCCCACTGATTAAATCCTAGCAGCTCCTCTGTGACATTTCAATCTTTTCATGCTGTTTTTGAGCTATTTGAGTTGAGGTATTTGGGGTTTGCTTATTTTAAAAGCCAAGATCAGACACTGTCTCATGTTTTGTCACACTCACAGGCAGCAATGGAAGTTAAAGAAAAGCTTTAATTTAATACAAAAGCCATATTTTAAAAATAGTCAATGCAGAACTCAAGTGAGATAATATAGTCTCTTTTTCTTCATAGCAGGTTTTCAGATAATATCTATTTCTGAAACCCATGCAAAAATAGAAAGATTTAAGAAATGTTACCTAACAAAAATTTTGTCACCCACTTATTCTTCGCAGAATTACAACAGCAAAAACTGTAAAACAATCGAAACAATAAGATATATTATGTAGGAAATGTAATAATAGAAGACTGGTCAAATAAACTATTTCATTTGCACAAGGCATAATGCTATACAGCCATTGAAAATATTACAGCTGAATATTTAAAGACATGGAAAGTTCTATAAGATAAATTGGTACATAAAAATCAGTTTTTACGGGACATTTCAACCCCACCATTCCACCATTTTGACCCCATCATTTTTGTTTCTGAGGAAATTTTGACCCTGAGGATGTTTATAATATACTTTAATCAGAATTAGGCCAGCTCTTTTTTTCTTTAATTTATTGTAATACTATAATTTCATTCATCAATAAGGTTTTGTCTATTCAACTTTTATTATTTTCTATCCTTGCGAGTTTTCTTTTGTGGTTATTATTTCCACCACATTCAATACTACTGGGTAAGATTTTTCAGGTACAAGTGTTGTCAAGATCTCATCCTTCAATTAATTTTTAATCTATAACAAATTTTATGATGTGCAATTTAAGACATTGTCAGTTTTATTCCATGGAGGTTATTTGTGCCAATAATGCTTGAAGCAAATATTATATTTATTTCTTAGTTAATGCATGTGAAAATCATAAACAATTTAATAGAGAGAAGGAACAGGGAAAAGGTCAAAGGAGGGAAAGAATGAATAGAAAAGAGGAAAAGGCAAGAGAGAATGAGGAAAAGAGAAGAGACGATGAAACGCACAAAGAAAGAGACAAGTGAACACATCTGAATAGTCAAAACAGGATCAAAATGGTGGGGTAGGAGAGTACTAAAATATAGCTTAATAATGCTATCTGTTCAAGCTTAATCAAGCTAATGCTTTCCTTTGACAAAATGAATTCCTGAAAGACTCCTTTGGAACATTTTTGTATTTCTTACTTTCAGTCTCCCTATATACTGATCTTCATCAGAGAAAAAATGAATTTGCTGCAGCAATGAAAGACCTTTCTACATGACCATTGAATAATCGGTTAAATTACGTAACATTTCATATTCTTTACTCCACATGCTGACTAGTTAGCCTGAGGTTGTTCAACATAACAGAGTATTTTTACATCAACCTGCCTGGGGTAAGCAGAGGTTCTGTAGGATATGCAACATCCTGTCTCTCAATGTAAAATACAGAAATTTCCATGAGATCAAAGACAAAGCTAAGATCAAGATAATGAGTAAATCAAATGCTAGACGTTGGTCTGCAGGTAATGGTCAAGGGCATGGGGGTGAATGCAAGGGTAAGGAAGTAGAGCAGATGAGAACAGGGGTGGTATCCCCAATGGATGTGTTTACTTCTCTGAGCCACACTGTGAACCAGGCCAGGATCTAAATTGTTCTCCTTTTGTCCCCAGCCCGCATGTATGTAACTTTACTTCCCCAAATTGTTACTTAGACCAATAGTGTTCAAATATCTCAGCCCTTTTTTAAAAACGTGGATTCAAAACCTTATGCAAAAGCCTACATTTTTAAATCAGAAAAAGCTGCTGTTCTATAGCTATACTGGGGAACAAATGAGCCAGATTAAGGAGGCAGGGAATCCCATACACTTCCAGATTCCCTGTTCCTCCCCCCTCCAAACACCCCACAGTGACCTCAAAAGGAGCCCACAGAAGCCGCTTTGAACACCACTGGCTTAGATTTTATGTGCTATATTCTAGAATCTCTGAAGATAAATTTTACAAGTAGCCTTGAAAGGATAAAGATGCCACTGCTTTTGCTTTTTGCTTTTTGTTTTTTTAACAGAGCCTCCAAAGTTCAACCAGCCCATTACTTTTTTAGGGTTTGTTTTATTGTTCATTTAATGAAGAGAAGCAGATGTTAAATAAATAAACAAGAAAAGAACTGGATAGAATATCTTTACATGCCCCTTACGTATGTAAAGATAATGTAATATGATAGCCAAAGTCCAGGTGACTACTTTAGATTGATTAGTCAGAGAAGGTACTTCTAAGAAAGCGATATTTTATTTAAACTGAGACATGAATGACTAAAAAGGGGCCAGTGCTCTGAAGATGAGAGGGAAGAACATTTCAGGTAGCAGGAATGGATACTGAAAAGGCCCCGAAGTGAAACCAAACTGGGCTTACTCGTAGAACAGAAAGTGAACCAGTATGGCGAAAGCATTCTGGTCAAAGGAGGAGAGTGAGGAGAAATGAGGCTGGAGTTGTGAACCTCACAGAGCAATGATAAATTAGACGTAGTGAGAGACGGATAAACAACGCATTATAGTACCTCCATGGGATAAATGTTTTAACAAATATCAAAAAGGACAGTTTTCTTCTGGAACACAGAGGCACCTAACCTACACCAGGAAAAGTGATGTTGACTTTGAGCCCTAAAGGATAAGAGGAGATGGACAGACAAGGCAAAATTAAAAGGCACTGTAAGGAAATGTCTAGAATAACAGATAGTGAATTGCAGCTGGAGCCTAGAGTCTGAGGCAGGAGCGGCGAGAGACGCACCTGGATACATAAGCAAGTGCCAAATGAGAGTTACCAAGAACTCAGAACAACCAAAAGTTCATCTTTCAACTGAGTAGATCAAACAACAAACACAATGGATACAGAAACAACATATAACTCAGATGTAAACAAACACTTTAGAAAAAGTGACCTTCAAGCAGATCACCTGAGGTCAAGGGTTCAAGATCAGCCTGGCCAACATGGTGAAACCCCATCTCTACTAAAAATACAAAAATTAGCTAGATGTGGTGGTGTGCGCCTATAATCCCAGCTAGTCGGGAGGCTGAGGCAGGAGACTCACTTGAACCCAGGAGGCAGAGGTTGCAGTGGGCCAAGATAGCGCCACTGCACTCCAGCCTGGGCAACAGAGTGAGACTCCGTCTGAAAAATAAAAAAAAAAGAAGAAAGGAAGGAAGGGAGGAAAACGAAGGAAGGAAGGAAGGAAGGAAGGAAGGAAGGAAGGAAGGAAGGAAGGAAAGAAGGAAGAAAGGAAGGAAGGAAGGAAGGAAGTGACCCTCAAAAGCCTAGTGTTCCAGACAGTGAGACCCTCTACCTCATTTATGTCTACTCCCGACCCCCAGAAAAAAAAAAGTTAAAAAAGTTATTCATTCTTCCCCAAGTTCAGTCACAAGATTCAGTCCTTGTCTGAAAATGTCTTACTTCGTGTTCGCTGTTACCAAGTGAATGTCAATGAATCCCCACTCTAGTAGTCTGTTCTCCAAATATTTGGGTGCCCCTCCCTGAGGGGTCTCTCTCTGAGGGAGGAATATATTTCACTGCCTGTCAAATTCAAAAGTGGTTTGCTGTCTACATCCCATGTCATGCTTTTGGTTGTGGTTGGAGTAGTTAGTCATTAGCACTGAATTGTTTGGTCATTAAAATTCAAAATGCTTCATTTCCACGGTTCTGGTGTGAAATCTGCAGGGGAGACTCCGGAGTAAGTTATGCCCCAGGTACTCACCTGAAAAAGGGTACATGGTGTGTCCTCAGCATCCCTGGCCCCATCCCTTCTGAAATGTAGACAGAAGAGATGTGTGTCACTTCCACACAGAAGCTTTTCGAGCCAGGAAGTGGTTCACCATTTTTCCTTTCCTTCTGCCACAGTGACCAAGTGTTCCAGGGAGAGACTGCTCCAGCAGGATGACTGGAAGCAGAGCAACAGCCAATCGGCAAAGGATGTGGTGGAGAAGATCTGTCAGTCTCTAAGTCACTAAGATTTGGGAGCCACTTGTTGCTGTAGCATAAACTAAACTAGCCTGTCCTGACTAATATATCCACAAACACAGAATTCCAGGACAGAAAGGATGGGGCCAGGGATGCTGCGGACACACCATGTACCTGGAACCCTTTTTCAGGTGAGTACCTGGGGCATACCTCACTCCGGAATCTCCCCCACAAATTTCACACCACAACCATGGAAATGAAGCCCACTGAATTTTACATTTTCATTCTTTCCTGCTCGTGACCAAACACTTCTGTACTAATGACTAACTACTCCAACCAAAAAAAAAAAAAAAAAGTGTGACATGGGATGTAGGCAGCTTGTCTGTGCTCCGTTTTCACAGCCCACAGCTATAAATAATACCATTAGGAAAGCACACATTGCCTTAGATGGAAGGCACAAAGAAAAGCACTTTCTCTGATAGTTTAGCAACACATTCAGATTTCATGTTTCAAGGTAAAAATAGGCCTAACAAATGAATTAAATTTGGAAGCTGAGCTGAAGTGAAGAACACTGGCATTATAAAGCACGCCATAGGAGGAAAGAGAGACTTATAAGGCTCTGTATTCTCTCTGCTGGTGGGCAGGATAGAAGGGTGGAAAAAAAGATTTTCCTGAGAAACAAAAATAATCAGCAAGAGTCTGAAATTAAAAATATCATCCTTATTAAATTGGTAACCAAAAGAAACTCTGAAAATCATGTGAAGGATAAAACAAGTCTCAACACAAAGGTTTTTTTCTACTGTGTACTTTCAACATCGGGGGGAGAAGATACAAGGACAATAGATGTCAAAGAAGGTTTGCAAATACATCATAAACTTCCAATTCAATAACTCATGTTTTGATTGGTTAGAATTTTTTTGTTTCAATAAAACCCATTCATTTCTATTATGAAGTTTTCAGTGCTATTTTTTCATGGTTCTAGTACCTAAGCAAAGGAAATGTGAGAAGATGCTATCTTTGCCAAAAGATTTTTTTTTTAACCATCAACCAGCTGGGCACATGGCCCGTGCCTATAATCCCAGACTTGGGTAGACCAAGGTGGGAAGAAGGATCACTTGAGCCCACGAGTTTTAGACCAGCCGTGCAATGTATTGGGATCCTGTCTCTACCAAAAAAAAAAAAAAATAAATTAATTAATTAATTAATTAGCCAGGCATGGTGGCAAACGCCTGTAGTCCCAACTGCTCAGGAGGCTGAGACGGGAGGATGGCTGGAGCCCAGGAGGTCAAGGCTACAGTGAGCTGTGATCATGCCCCTGCACTCCAGCCTGGTTGACAGAGCAAGATCAAGCCTGGAAAAAAAAAAAAAAAAGTCATCAACCCATCAACCTTTGTTTTTTTCTTTTTTTCTTTTTTTTTTTTTTTTTTTTTGAGACAGAGTCTTTCTCTTTCGCCCAGGCCGCACTGCAGTGTCGCTATCTCAGCTCACTGCAAGCTCCGCCTCCCAGGATCATGCCATTCGCCTGCCTCAGCCTCCCGAGTAGCTGGGACTACAGGTGCCCGCCACTGCGACCTGCTAATTTTTTGTACTTTTGGTAGAGATGGTGTTTCACCATGTTAGCCAGGATGGTCTCGATCTCCTGACCTCGTGATCCGCCCGCCTCAGCTTCCCAAAGTGCTGGGATTAGAGGCATGAGCCACCACACCCAGCCCCTTTGTTTTTTTTCTTAATGCTATAGTCTAAGGAAAGGAATTTCTCTACCCTATACCATATGAGAACTTAAAAATATACTAAATTGTCTTCTTATATCAAAATATATGCTATTTATGTCAAAATATAAATGTATTTAACACTGAATTGTCAGCTTCTTGAAAGTAAGAATCATTTTTTGCTCCTTTACATCCATCTCAGGACCTACGTAGTACAGTACTAATACCCAATAGGTGCTCCATACATATTTTTCAATCAAATAAAGTCACTTTCTCTATCAGCCCCACTTTGCTTTAAGTGGCCTACTATCAATAAAGTGTACACCATGTTGATGGAAATTGGTGTAACTTTTATGCCAGGAAAAGATCAGTAGACAATAACAGCACATCCTAACTCTATGTCTAAATCTATAGGCCTGAAATATTCCCTAAACTGCACCACTGGCATCATCAGCGAGTGAGAATAACTCAGTTTAATTACTTCACTGAACAGCTGAAAAACTGCCTGAATATGCCAAAAGTCCCATGGCCATGGTGATTTGCCCAGATCTCAGTTGTCCAAGCCCAGCCCTTAAATACAGGTGATGCTTTTCCCAGCGATCCAAATGGTTTGGGCATGCAGCTGAGATAACTCACAGTCATAATCACGAGAAAGCAGAGGACTTCTGTGTTCATTGTAGACACAGGCCTGTAAAAACTTATTCCTGGATCTCTGGGCAATTCTTCTGGCCACCTCCTCCAAGCATAGGAGATCTAAGTAACCTGTCATCCCATGCAGTCAACAATGGTTGTGCAAGTTCTCAATCACAATGCAAGGTATTCTTGATTAATTTGTGAATAGTTTGCTTCTGCCGCTTCAAGACCAACTAGCATGTTGTAGCATGTTGGGACAAGGCACAGTTTTAATATCATAAACTGAAATGTGAGTTGCAAGAAACCTTATGTTTTACATTTATTAAATTATTAGCAGAGATTTCCAGAAGACTGAAAACCCCAACTCCAGCAATGGTGTTTTCCAGTTTAACAACAGAACCTAAATTAAGATAAAATAATGCAGACTAGGCCTGCCACAGTGGCTCACACCTGTAATCCCAGCACTTCGGGAGGCTGAGGCAGGTGGATCACCTGAGGTCAGGAGTTCGAGACCAGCCTGGCCAACATGGTGAAACCCCATCTCTACTAAATATACAAAAAATTAGCTGGGTGTGGTGGCGTGCGCCTGTAATCCCAGCTACTTAGGAGGCTGAGGCAGGAGAATCACTTGAACCTGGGAGGTGGAGGTTGCAGTGAGCTGAGATCATGCCATTGCACTCCAGCCTGGGTGACAAGAACAAGACCCTGTCTCAAATAATAATAATAATAATAATGCATACTAGGGCTAAAAGATCTTGTTTGTTTTTTCAAAATGAACAGACCATGAACTATATCATTTTTGCCTGGGGTTTAGTAACTTCAAGATCATTTATGCAAAGACTTAAAGCAAAATTGGAAATTCCAGATTTATCTTTCATACTGAACAGATTCAGCAAATACTAATAATGCTCACCGTGTGTCAAGTACTGGGTCAGGGCCAGGCGCAGTGGCTCACTCCTATAATCCCAGCATTTTGGGAGGCCGAGGCGGGCAGATCACCTGAGGTCAGGAGTTTGAGACCAGCCTGGCCAACATGGTGAAACCATGTCTCTGCTAAAAATACACAAATTAGCAGGGCGTGGTGGTGCGTGCCTGTAGTCCCAGTTACTTGGGAGGCTGAGACAGGAGAATCGCTTGAACCCGGGAGGTGGAGGTTGCAGTGAGCCAAGATCACGCCACTGCACTCCAGCCTGGGCAACAGAGAAAGACTCTGTCTTAAAAAAAAAAAAAATGTGCTGGTCAGGCACCAAAATAAAATTATGAACATATGAACAAGGTGTTATTAAAAGTTTGTAGCACTTGTTAAATGTTGCATACATTTATCTTGCATTGCCTTCACAATCAGGATAGTACCTGTCCAACCCCAGAAAACATGCTCTCCAATTTTCAAGCTCAAAAAAATTTTTAAATAAAGACATAACTCAGAGTTAACCTCAATGAATGTGGTTGCTTAGGCATCTATAGTAATATCATTGACAATCAGCCATTGTTGATAAGCCTATGCAAGGTCAAATTCTGCAGAGATCTTGAATCTGGAAGGAAGAGTAGAAAGCAAGTTGACTGCAGAATCTGGATGTGGATTCATTCATCCATTTATTTTTTATAAATTTATTTATTCAACAGATATTTGGTGAGTCCCCGGTATGAGCATATCCCTTGCTAGGCATTGGAATACCATGGTGAATAAAATTATAAATCTTCCTCTATTTGCATTTATATTTTAGTGGGAGTGACATAATATAAACAGGCAGGCAAATTAAAAATATATAATTTCAGTAAGACTAAGTGTTACGATTAGGTAATAGAAACCAATTGATGTAGTGGGAGGCAAAATGCATGGTGAACATCTCAGGTGGACTGTATTTTGGCAGAGAAAACGGCACACACACACACATACACACACACACAATGAGGTTACATTTAGTTTCCATTTTAATTAAGCAAAATACCAAGAATATTGCTGAAGCAAGGGGCCCAAAGAAAGAAGGAATGGATCCAATATGTTTCAGCTCAACTCCCCAACCTTCCCTGACGTTTCCAAAGAGATGTTACAACCACCAGTGATACTATTCATGGTATTTTTTGCAGAGCAAATTCAGGGTGTAGTAAAGAATTATCAGCTTCTGAGATGAAAAATAAAATACACCAAGACAACAGCCTTGCAAGTCATATTATTACATTGAGAAAAAAATTCAGATCACTTTATTCTTTCCGTCAGCATATAAAAAATTGAGTCTGGAAGGTTTAGATCATAGAGGTCTACCATGATGTGGAAGAGAAGCCTACCCTCCTATCACAGCTAGGTCATCTCTATGGTAAACAGAGTGTCATAAAGGAAGTGAAAGAAAGTCTGTCCTTTTCTGGACATAATATTGAAGAAAAAGAGAGAGAAGAGAGGAAAAGAGACCAGTTAATTTGTGCCTCCAAATTTTCTTCATCTTGGCTTCATCTAGGAAAAAAAAATGTTAGAAAAGTGAGATACCAATGAGATCAGCTACCCCAAATTGGAAGTTTGAAAGGGGCTGCTTAGCCAAGTATCCAATCTGAGGCACAGTCACCGAAAGTAACCATAGCAGTACCCTGTGGTTAGGCAAAAAGCCTTGAGCTTCAGTGTTCCCAAGTCACACTCATTTCCCTGTTGCTTAGGTTCAGAATGAGTATAATCCAGTAGGCTAACTATGGAGCCCACCAGAGCAAAGCATAAGGACTCCACAACAGAAGCTGAGTACGACCCCTGGAACACAAGGCCAGATGGAGGACCTGCCAGAGACTCTGTGGTTGATGCCAAAACAGCTAGGGGCCACATTAGTAGCATTGCCTGAGCCAAAAGAACAGTCCACAAGTTTATATGCTACAGTCCTCAGCTCTGAAAGCCAGGAGATAACTTAGAGATCAAAAAACCAAAGGCCATGACCTTAGGGCCCAGAAGACACCATACCTAAAGACCCGCAAATCTTCTCTTTGTTTGGACTGTCCAAGCTTCAGCAATACTCACGTCCACACTCACATGGACTCAATGCTGTAGACAGGGACAAGAGGCAGTGAAAACTATCTGAGAATGAATATTTTTATTCATATGAGAGACTAAATATTACCTAAAGAGATTGTTTAAATTGTCAGATTGAACGAATTTTAAAACATACTAGCAATTTAATTAAGTTTTCCCACAAACCAGTAGGTAGGAGGTCCTAGATGAGACAGGCTCTAGACAAAATAAAGGAGCTATGTTTCTTTGCACATCTAAATTGTGCTGAGTTAAATGCTGAACCCTGCCACACAAGCTACAAGATTTGCCCAGTTTCTCTCAGACTGCCTGTAGGGCTAATGTACTGGGGTCAGAGAAAGAGCTGCTGCTAGGCATGAGTCCGAACTATGCAGAACTGAAATAATTATTTGCAGAATAGTCACTTATTCTATTAAGAATTAAATTAAGAAGTTCCTTCTAAATAGAGAAGGCAGTGACTACTTTCTGAAGCCTAGATGTTTGACAGGTGTCAAAACTTTTTTTTTCCAGGGGTTGAAAGTTAGAGGCTTGACAATGCAAGGCACATCATCCAAGAGACAACACTTTCTAGAAATATAATGGTTTCAGAGGGGTTTGTTTATGAGGAAAAAGAGGTGGGAATAATCAAAGCTCCCATAATAAGTACATCTTTCCACAAACGTGGACCTCAAATTATTTTAGTTTGTTAGTTTTAAAAGATCACAAATGAATTTAAGAAGTAAATAAGAAAAATGCTCTCAAATATCAAACCCTGGTTTGTTTTGGAGAAAGTTAAATATAATAATGAATATGAGTCAGCAATGTAAGTGTGATTTTTATGAATTCTCCTCATATTATAAAAGTTCAAATACTAAGATAAAATAAGATGAATGGACCTATTTTTAAGAAAAATATAAAAACCATACTATAAAACAATGATTTTCTAAAGCTAAAAGATTCTTCTTCCAAAGAGAAAGAGGAAAAAAAAGCCAATTCATTGAAACCATTTAAGAATATTTATTTCCATTCATGTTTTTTTCAAAGTTGTATAAAATAGGTCTCTGCTAAAATAATTGAAAGTTAGCTTGCTGACAAAAATACATCTCAGAAAGAAAAGAAAACAGTGGCATTGTCATTAGTCCTTTCCTGTTTCTGCGTAGTAAAAAATAAAAATAAAAAGCGTCTGTCTCCATTGTTCTTCTAACATCTTTTTATAATCAACTTTAATGTTTTCACATGATATTACGTTACATCTTCTTAAACGGAATAATAAATATATCTTTTACTCTGCAAATCAATCAGGTATAACCTGTGGTTTCTGCTTTCAAACTAAAGTTTTCCTTCTCAGAGCATGATTTGTTGTGAAGTAAGACACTTCAAAGGGCTTCCAGCTTAATTTTTAAGACGCCCTCTCACCCAGCAAAACTTTCCATACTTGTTAAATCTTATAACCTCCGATAACCCTTAATACTTAGAGGTGAGGAGGTGACTGATCATTCGCACTTTCCCAGAAGAGTTCCCTGCTCCTACTTGCCTGAAATAATGTTTTAATATTTAGCTTAATCTTCTTGCTCACAAATTACAAGCCTATAACCATTACCTAAGGAGTGACACCAGGAAACAAGGGTGTATTATTACTGCACCACTGCCCCTTAATATTTCCAATTTACTCCTTTCATGCTGGGGCTTTCCAAGAGACCTCACTTATTCTTAAATTCTAGGAACACAGGAGCTAAGAAAAGCTCTGTTGTGTGGCAGACAGCTCCAGATCTGGTGTTCATAGGGAAGGGGAAATCAAATGGGGCCATCCATTAATGGGTCAGTCCAGAGTCATTATGAAACCCCTGGCTTTTCAAATGACCGATGGGCCTCTTGTCCTTTCTTGGGCCCGGGCCTCTCAGACTGCAGGCTGTTTGCATTCAGTCAACACCTCAATTTTATAGGTCTGTGGAGCCAAAGATTACAAGACTTTTGAACTCCAGGCTGCCTTCTGTCTGGCTACACCCCCTGTTTCTGGAGCCCAAATCTTTTTTAACAACTCTACAAAAACAAGCAATTAGGATAAGGTCTGTTAATCCTCTCCTTTCGACCTCAAGGTAATTACGTATTCAGAACCAACCAGTGGGGAAGCAGAAAGAGCACTACCAATGCCTGCAGCTATTTAGAGAGGGATCCAAATGTGCTTCAAGGGAATGACCAGGACTGATACAGGTCCCTTAAAAAGGTTCTACTATTGTTTCATGGGAAGCTAGGTACAGGGCTAAGCTAGATTTTTAAGGAAACAAAGAAATGTAAAAATTAAAAATGAAAAGAAAAAGTCAAGGAGACTTTTTAAAAGGCTCAAAATGTACTGGAGCATTCATTGATCTGGTAACTGTCTTCCTCCACTAGGTAACGGCACATCTGGTTTCTCCAAATACAATAGCCCATACCTCTTTTTTTTTCTTAACTCACACTGTTAGTGAACTTTAGTCCATTAACAGCTATGAAATTTTGTCTAGGCAATTTATATTAAATTAAGAACACAGTCTTTTTAGTTACTCAAAATAAATGATAAATAGTACAGGAAAAATGTATAATGTTCCTTTACTTTTAAAACTGTATTTTATGTTGAATCTAAATTAGTAATATATGTGATAACAGTAATTAATAAAAATCATAATTAATAATTAGCAATATACAATCAGCAAAGGGTAGAGAAAGAAAAGGAATTTTTTTATTCTTGTCAACAAATATTTATCTATAAAATATGTCAGTGGTCATCTCTACACTAATCTGGCATCTTTTCAAACAAGTCTGTGGTTTTTCTATAAACCTTTTTTTTTTTTTTTTTGAGACAGAGTCTCGTTCTGTCACCCAGGCTGGAGTGCAGTGGCGCGATCTCGGCTCACTGCAAGCTCCGCCTCCCGGGTTCACGCCATTCTCCTGCCTCAGCCTCCTGAGTAGCTGGGACCACAGGCACCCACCACCACGCCCGGCTAATTTTTTGTATTTTTAGTAGAGACGGGATTTCACCATGTTAGCCAGGGTGGTCTCGATCTCCTGACCTCGTGATCCGCCCACCTCAGTCTCCCAATGAAAGCATTCTACTGATAGTCTTTATCTCTTTCTACTTCATATAATACTTTTATGAAACAGTTTTATATTTCCTATTGTACCGATTAGGTTTCTGAGAGCAATATCATATCTAGCTTGTCATTGTATCTGCCCAAGATGTCTCGCATATACATACATATACATATATATAATGTCTCATTAAATTGCACCAACCAACTCAATATTTCTCTAGTGAATGCCAGATACGTGGGATATTAAAACATTTTATGGGGGAAGACATTTCTATATTTAAATAAGATCGACAAGCACTAGATTTTAAAAAGAGACAATCATTTGCTTACTACAGTATTTTGTAAAGTCTTCACTATACTATACTAATGTGCATTGTGACAAAAAGTGGGATTGAACATATGATATTTCTCAAACTTATCTGACTCCTTATCTCTTTCACACTGATCATCCTGAAGAACGAATGTTACAAAGAACATATTTGGGAAAATATTACTGTATGTCATAATGCACCTCAACTATGCTAAGAACTCCAACTTGATGGGCTTTGAGGAATAAGAAGGAAGATAAGAAGGAAGTTTTCCCCTCAATTCCTAAAGTCTAAGACCAGCCCAAAGAGTAGTAGGATAAAAGTGTCCTGACCTACAATGAAAATTCCCTTCCCCCGCAAACAATTGAGATGTCCAGAGGAAAACAATCTGAGTAAATTGTGTAACATTATGTGTAAAAAGCCAATTCTGTGTCTCCAATTCCTAGAGATATTATACTTTTTAATATTTCTATTAACACTACCTTCTCAAAAATATCCCTAGATAGAAGAGAATAGATGTTAATAGTACAAATTGAAGTGTAGGGCAAATGTTTTTTAACAAAAAGTGATGGTATTTGAATGAGATCGTTATATGTCAGATCTTTGTTATAGAAAATAAAGAACACTGAGATTGTCAGAATCATTATCACCATCATTAGTTTTAATAATAGTAATTTTTATGCTATTCTCATCTGGTAAGCTTTGTTTTCATAATTTCTCTGTCATAATTAGTAATATTTCCCTAAGGCGTACTCTGTCCTGAATAGTCTTCTAAGGTTGCTCTATTCCTATTGGTTTTTGTTGCAAAACAAATCACTCCAAAACTGAATGGCATAAGCTTTTCATGACCCATGAGGCTTCAGATCCATCAATTCCAGCACGTTTATGTAGTCCTTCTAATCCTTATGACCCTTGTTCCATAAGCCTGGCCCTCCTATCCCCCAGGAGCTGCCTCAGTCCTGAGCCACGTGTGATGTGCTCAGACATGCCCTGCTTACTGTTGGCTTTGATTCTGAAAGCCTACAGCTGCCAGAGACAGCTCTGTCCCAATAGACGTGGGAGCAATAGCGAGAAACTTAGAAAATCTGGCCAAAATGAGCATTTCCTTATTAGATCTCCATCTACTGTCAACAGCATAATAGCAGATAATATTTCTTGGTGGATTTTTATGCACCAACATCTGTTGAAAGTATAATGGAATTTTTTTCTCAAGACATTGATATGATTAGACCTAATATTGTAAACCACCTACTAACCCAGGAAGTAAAAGAGTATAAAGGAATTTTCCTGGTCTCACTTGAAGAAAACTTATATCCCAAGAGGAAAATGTAAAAAAATTCAGCAGATTGCATCTTTATTCTTAGTTTTCTCTAACATGAACATCATTAATTTAGTTTACAAATTTGACCTTCATCCGTTTAGGAATGTGCCGCAGGTGCCATTTGAATTTTTGATAGTATTTTTAGCTTTTGATCCCCTCTGCAGTGAGAGGGAAGTGAAACAGCTTGCTTAGAGCTGTTCTATAAATCTGTGGTACCAGCATATCCTTTTGATTTACCTTTCATTGCTTAAATTTCTTTGCCAATGAGGACTTTTGCTTTATAACAACAGTTTCAGGAGTTTTGTCAGGCAACAATATCAATATCACCATTTTATAAAGCAAAATTTATGAAAACTGCCTTAGATTGCTAGCTAGTCATTCAGATTCTTTTAAGCATGCAAAAATAGACTTCTTAAAAATTGCAATAGATATAAGATTTGAATGGGATAGTGAATGTGGTATTTTAAACAAACATGCCAAAAAGTAGATATTAAGTGGCATACAGCACCAATGATTTATTATTTCTCTTAGTTCTGGTCTGAGTCAACTTGACACAAACCAAAGGTCTAAGATGGTCTCAGTCACATGCCTAAGACCTCAGCCAGAAACGCTGAGATGGTTGGTCTCTCTCCACATGGTTTCTTATTCTCTCTCTTTTTTTTTTTTTGCCGAGATGGAGTTTCACTCTTGTTGCCCAGGCTGGAGTGCAATGGTCTCCGCTCACAGCAACCTCCGCCTCCCAGGTTCAAGCCATTCTCCTGCCTCAGGCTCCGGAGTAGATGGGACTACAGGCATGCACCACCACACCTGGCTAATTTTGTATTTTTAGTAGAGACGGGGTTTCTCCATGTTGGTCAGGCTGGTCTCGAACTCCGGACCTCAGGTGATCTGCCCACCTCAGCCTCCCAAAGTGCTGGGATTACAGGCGTGAGCCACCGCGCCTGGCGGTTTCTTATTCTCTAATAAGTCAGTTTAGTTTGCTTCAAAAGGTGGTCTCCAGGTTCCCAGCAGCAAGGAAGCAAACCTGAATGTGCAAGTACTTCTCAAATATCTTCTGCGTCATGGTTGCTAATGTCTCATGGGGCAAAAAATAAGCCACATGGTCAAATCCATATACAAGGAGTAGAGAAATAAACTCCTCTGTTTGGTGGAGAAGTGGCAAGTCACATGGCAAAGGGGCATTTGGATAGGGATGGAAGGAATGGTCATAGCCTTCTTTGCAAAACATCTACTTAGCTACTGCTGTGGCCACAGTAAAAACTGAGATGAGCATTCCCAGCTGAGCTCAGCACAGATTGCTGACTCACACAATTGTGAGCAAATCAATGATGGCCATGTAGGCCACTAACTTTTGGGGCCCTTTTTTCTACTGCCAAAGCTAACTGAAACAATTTCTGAACCCATATGGTAGGTAAAAGTTCCAAAATTTTCTCAGTTTCCTTTTTCAAACTCATCTTTTTTTTAATGCTGATGAATTTTAAATTAGAGACATCACGTGACTTTCCCCACAATTTCCAATAGGCAAGATGGAAAACAAAGGGTGGTTCCCACATGGAAACCAAGTATAAATTAGAAACTCTACTTGAAAACTGGGGCATGCCTCTCTTGCCCCCATCCACACCCTACTCACCAATGAAGAGAAGGAAGAGAGTTTTTATGGAACAATCACAAAAACAAAACACATGTTTGGCTTAGAAATTTTGTAGGAGAAACTATGCCATGACAGACAGCAGCACCTGATACTGGACTTCCCAGCCTCCAGAATTGTGAGCCAATGAATTTTCATTCTTTGTAAATTACTATCAGGTATTCTGTTATAGCAGCACAAAACAGACTAAGACACGCCTTCATCCTTAATATGACATATTAAGTCATGCCTTCATCCTTAATATGACATATTAAGTCATGCCTTCATCCTTAATATGACATATTAAGACACACCTTGATCCTTAATATAACATATTAAGTGCCATATATGTCATATATGACATATTAAGTGCCAAATATAATATGACATATAGTGCCAAACCATAAGCTATTCATGTTCTTATAAAAGTGCTCAGAATTCATAGGACAGGTTACAGGGCAAAGACAATGTTGGGAAACAAGAGAAGTTGGCAACTCTGTTCCTAGTTTGAATTTTAAAAGAAAACATTTCCACTTTCCCTGCTTGCCATTACTTAAACTGCATTTCCAAACTGGTTCTTCATCAGAATGTAGTAGTATAAGTGCCAATACAGATTCTAGCACACTTGGGTTCTAGTTTTGTTATTAACTAGCTGCTTGACCTCAAACAAGTCCTTTGATACCTCTGGGTCTGTAACTTCTCAGCTAATGAACTGAAAGGGTCAGACTAGGTGACCTTTCTAAATGTTGGTCTTCTAGAAATTAAATGAAATAGCTGCCCCAACTTTGTACCAAGTACTCTCGGAAAGCTGGTCAGTGTAGAATTGTGGCCAAAAGTGTGAACTTTGTTATCAAAAAGAATCATTTTCAGATTCAGCTCAGAATTAACTAGCTGTAATATATTGGGCAAGTATCTTAAATTCTCAAAGTCTCAGTTTTCTCATCTGTAAAATGAGAACAACAACTGTATTAGGATGTATGAATTATGAGTTAACGTATAACATATGTTCAGCATATGCCTGACACATTAGCAAGTGCTCGGGAAATGTGTCTTGTTGTTGACAAGAACCTAAACCATGTCTGTTAATCCTATCCGTGCTGTCATAAAGTACATAAGTCAGGTCACATGTTCAACAAAGAGATCCTAAGTTTACTCCCCTCACATTTGCTTGGATTCCCCCTCTGCTTAAATGTTCTGGGAACAAAGCAAAACTTAAACATCTAAACACAACAGAACATTCTAGATTCACTGTTCTCCCTGCCCAAGCTATTTCATTTCCCTTTTTTAAAACTCCTAATTTCAAGCCCAAGGAAGAAAAAGTTTCAAGACCTGGGCTTAAAAGAGATGGAGGAAAAAAAAACAGGACATATAGATGGACTGGTTTCTTCTCCAATTTGTGAAGGAAGTCCTAGCCCCAGCTCCCAAAGTAAAGAATGTCTTCCAGACATCTGATTGAAACAGGAAACTTGCTTTAACCAGTAATTCTGGTCTTTCTGTCTTTTTCCCTCATGTGCAAGGTATCAAAGAAGCAAATGATGCCTAAAACATCAAGATATTTTTATTCTCCACCTTAAAACACCTGTATCCATTCACAAACTGAGAAGTAACTGAGAGCATATTTAGGCAGAAAAACTCTGCTTCTCAATCTTTCAGGGTCCCCATTACGTTGCTAAAGATAATAACAAAACAACAATAATAATGCAGGGGTTAAGGGATAAAGGGAACGCTCATCACCCTAAGTCAGTAGACCCAGGAAAGAATGTATACAGAGGCAGGGCTAGGGCAGAAGAACAAATGAATGCTCACATATCAAATAAATAAATAATTCAAAGTTAAAGAAAGAAGTGAACAAATGGCTAAATAAAATATATTTTATTCTCCTGCTCTGATAACTATATCTTCTTAATAACAAGAAAGGTCAAGTTCAAATTCAGCCTCCTTGGACACTCCAGAATTTCGCACTGGAACATGGTGACATGGGGAGATCACTCCCTGATCCATGCCCCCTGCTTCCCCACTTCCATAACTCCCAGGTCCATCCCACAACACAAGCAGCCTCAAGGGCATATCTGGGGGTAGTTCAGCCAGCCCTTGGCCATCCTACAGGCTAGAAGTGCTCAAAAGTGGGACAAACTCAGAGAAGGAACCCAGTCGGTATCTGGAATCGAGCCTGGGAGTTCCAGTGTCCTCAGTATCTGGAACATGGTCTCAAAAGAGGGATTGGCCTTCAGATGGGTTTGTCCCCTTAACCTCTCAGGCTCTTTCCCCCTTGCATCCCAAGGAAGGTCAGGCCGGGACTCCTCGAGGATGGGGCCCAGGCCAGGGGCACCTCTTCCTTTGGTCTCAGGGCAACACAGAATAGACCACAGCCTTTTCCCCAGAATCATCCCAGATCTTAGTCCCCGGGGACTGAGAGATCCCTCTGCATCCCTTCACACTCAGACAGATGGCCCATAGAAGTTCTCTGTGCTGTAACTACTTTTAGGTGACAACTGTCCTCCCACAACCTTAGCCATAAATCACTAACAAATGTCAGGCAACCAACTTCTTTCTAATGTCTCATTCCTGACATTATTCTACAGTCTGAAACCAAAGCCCAAGTTTCTCATTTTCTCCAAATTCAGAGAGCTTGTCTTTTTTTGTTTGACATTTTATCCTGCCCCTGAGTGCTTACTTTCATTTTCCCCGCAATAAAAAAAAAGATGATGATAATGATAGATAGATAGATAGATAGATACATAGATACATAGATAGATAGATAGATAGTGAGATAGATAGATAGATAGATAGATAGATAGATAGATAGATAGATACCACATGCACACAATGACCATCCTAAACTCATTACTTCTCCCCATTTCCCATAACATCAGTAGACTAACTCCCAGTTCCCCTTCTTGATTAATAATTACTCATACCTAACTTCGCATCTTTATTCCTGGGCCCTGGTTATTTCCTGATTTTATAAATATTCCCTTTTCTTTGATATTATCCCTGCCACTAGCCCTAAAACTAAAATCAACTCAACCAAAACCACCAGTGTCACCATTATCAGCCGTTGTCTCTCCCTCATCCACTCCTCATCTGCTTTCTCTCTTTCACTTAGAATTACATTATATGTGTCTCTCCTTTGTCTATTTCTCTCATATTTCTCTGTGCTTTCTGATATAACCCTCCTCTTTTCTAAGCAGTACCATCTTCTCAACCAGCATTTGCTAAGAGCCTCCTTCCATATAGGCAGTGTGAATTGTCACCAGGCCAAGGCACAGCGACTTCCCTCAGGCCCCAGGATTATTTCTCTCTTGCAATCGTCCTTTTATTATCTCCTACCCCAAGGCAAGGCTAGTTCTAGAAAGAGCGGGGTGAGCAACAGGGCAAGCTTCCTGGGCGTGCAGCCTGTGCTTCATGCACCATGAGCTTAGTTTACTGTTCTGATGTCACTGTCCTAAAGTTCTTAATAATTCTGTCTTTGAGCCTTTGTTTTTTAAGCAAAAACCAATGGGGTAATGTGGCATGTAAATGAGCAAAGGAGAGACCCACACTGCGCGTGTCCATCGTTTATTACCATTCCATTCACATAGAGCATTTGCAATGCCCCGTAAGCCCAGAATTCTAATGGATCTACAGTTTGGGAGATTAAGACAGAAAGTGAATACAAGGCAAGCATGTTACATCTATGACTGAGTAAGTGGGGGTGCTGACTACACTCTACATTCTAACCAGAACTTGCTTCTAATGTAGGAAGAAAGCAATGGCATCCTGAGAAGCCTAAACAACCAAGGAAACTTATCCTTTGTTATTCCTAGTACTTTGCTGTTATTAGCCAACCACTTATCCTGAAAATGATGATACAGAAAAAAAGGAAAGATGGAACAACCAATAGTTCCTTTTCCTTTTAGTTCTTCCTTACTCATCAGTAAGCACAAGGTAATGTTGGTAGAATGTTGCATAGCAAGAAATAAAAACAATTGAATCAATTTTGTGTAGCATTTCTTCTGCTCTGGTAAGAACTACATATGCATGTATTAACTACAAAACATGGAATGTATAATCTAATCGATTCGCATACAAGTACAAGATTCCTATAGTTGCATTTAAAACTGGCATTGCACAATATAAAGATGAATGGTAAAATTCATGCTAATAATTTTAAATGTGAATGCTTCTTTACTTAGAATTATATCAAATAGCATATTTAAAACACCATTACAAGTTGAGAGCCAGCTGCAGAAGGATGGAAAAAGCCTTATATTTTAGGACCTTCAACTGTACCCTGTTTTTCCAGCAATTTGAACAAGAGGCCCCACATTTTCTTTTTGCACTGGGCCATCCGAGGTATGTAGCCATTCCTGGTGAACAATGAAAAGAGATTGAGTGGGATCGAGGCTGGGATAGAAGGGGTCAGAGCTGGGCCACAACCCAGCAGGGTGCAGGCATTTGTCTAAATGCTCTTTCAGATACCAGCACCCCATACTCAAACCCCTCAAGTGGTATTCTGTCTCACTCGGAGTTAACACCAAAATTCTCACTGTGACTCTATCCCACCAACACTCCCCTGCCCACCTCTCTGATCTCCTCTCACCTCCTTCCTCAGCTCCAGCCAGGCTATCTTAACTGCATTTCTTCTAGCATGACAAGTATTCTCCCAACTTAGGGCCTTTGCACATGCCAGTGCCCATCTCTAGAACTGCTTTGCCCACAAATATCTGGAGCACCTACTTCCTCAATTCCTCGGGTATCTCACCAAATGACACTGTTACAGAGAGGTGTTTCTTGATCACCTTATATAAACTAGCAATACTTTACTCATCTTTCTTTATTTCTGCCTCAGCACTTTTCACCAACAAACCTATCATGTATTATTTGTTTCTATCTTTATTCTTGGTCACTTCCACTGGAACGTAAGCTTCATGAGCGTGGGGGCTTTCTCTGTTTTATTCACGGCTATGTACTCAAACTAGGACAGTGTAAATATTTGTTGAATGAATGAAGCTATACACTTCCTAAAGTCATTTAGATTGAGATAAGAAAAGCTTATATAAAATGGAGGCATAAAGCTGGAGGAGCTTTCCTATTACAAAATAATCTCTAACTTGGATCCACAAATGTTGCCTGATGTCCCAAGTCAGGAAGCATTCTGTTTAAGGAAATATATCCAAACTGGGCGCCAAAAATCCTGGGGCTGGGAGGGAGGAAGTGGCCCCTGCTTTTAATGAGCTGTGCAATCATAAGCGATAACTAGAACCTACTAAAAGCTCACGTTCCTCAGCTATAAAATGAACATGATTTAATAATACCTGTCCTTCTTATCTCACAAGTTTCTATGTGTGATAAATGAGATAGTAAATATAAACATTTTGCAAGGCTGAAATGTTAAAGAAATGCTAGGGAATCCTATTTGCCCTGCTAATTAAGGAACCAGTGTGTGGCAGGGAGAGGGAGGCCTGGTGGAGGGGAAAACAGGGCTGTTGGGCCATTTAGCCGAGAATAGTATTTCCAGAGAATGGAATGAAAGAAGCAATGCAGAACAGCAGATGCGGGCTCCTGTTGATCTTTCGCAGGGTGACCCCCATACATCTCCCATTTGACACGAATGTCACCGAGCCCAATTAGAATTAGCCTTTCACATAACATTCAAATTCCTGGACTTCCGAGGACAGCCATATAAGGGAGGAACAGCCACAGCAGATAAGAGGAGAGGAATGGAGAGGCAAAAGGTTACAGAAAAAAAAATGGAGATTTTGACATTCCCCCACACAAAGGACAAGATGTCTCAACAAACCCTAGAATTTTGGAAAAGATTTAACTAAAGAATATTTATCCAAGTGGTAGGCCCTTCTTTTTCCCAGCATTTCTGTGTGTGGTGGGGTATTTATTGTTATTATTATTTGTTTGTATTTCCAGAGTGTATTTTTATGTGTTTGGTTTTTATTTGTTTTGTCTTCTATTCATTGAATTTTTCATTTCCTTTTGCTGCACTCACTATGCAAAGCTACTCTGTGCCCCCCAACTTGTCAGCCTAGACACAGAGCAGAGCTCTTCATGTCAGGGTGTTCACTTCCACTAGAATATATTTTTAAAATTCATTTTCATGCTAATGATGCCCCTGCAAAGATGGTGAAGTGTGGAAAATCAAGTTGCACATGATGTTAAATCATGAAACTGAAGCATTTTTAAGGTTCCCTAAGATGCTTTAAATGAGCCTTTTTGGTAATTTCAGGGCTCCAGATCACTTAAGCAGAACATTTTTTAAATAAAAATAAAAATTCTTTGATGTGTACCGAAGAAGGGAGGTAGAAGAAACTGTCAAAAGTGGGCAGCCTGACAGCTCTCCTGACAAGGGAACCCCTGCACTCTATTTTTAAACCGACCTGTGTAATTTAGGAGAGAAGTCACCATGTCTCCTGATAAAGGTTTTGGGGGCGGCTGGTGGATAAGTTTGCAGTGCTGGAAATGGCAGTGCCACCCACACTGAGAAGGCAGAGCTGCAAGATTCTGCCTTTTAGTAGAACTGGAAAAAAAAAACAAAAAAAAAAAACGCCAAAAAGTGTGCATTTCCTGAGTAAAATGGAAGCAGCCTCTAAAAGAGAAAATGCAGAGGCCCCCCAGATCTTCTGAAATTGGTGTGAATGCCACCTTATTGGTGTCAGTAACAAAGAAGAGAGGTTAGTGATGCAAAGCTTAACTGAGTGGCATGGAGAAATATTAGTCATGGGCATAAATAAATACGGTTGTTTAATGTCATTCCATTGAGAGAGATGGCGCAAACCTGATAGTTTCAACAACGCCTCCAGTACTCCAATAACTGGTCCTTAGAGGGATGGTGAAGACGGAGATTCATCTCCACAAACAGAACACAAAATAATTTGAGTTATTTAACCTCTGAGTTGTATAATCTGAGTTATTTAACCTCTCTGAGCTGTAGTTTTCGTCGTCTTTAAAATGGACTGTAGCATTGTGCCTTGCAGGGTTACTGTTAGAGTTAAATAACAGCACAGAGTAAGCAACACTTAACAAAAACACAGGGAAAAAACTCATGCCCTGAGCATCTGCCAGACCTTGAATTGGTTGGAAGGGCTCTCAGTACGAGGAATTAGAAGGGGTTTTCTTGGAGGCACCACATTATTCTTCTTTGGCAATCAAATAAATGACCCAGCTGCCTCCTCCAGCTTCTGGTTAGACCAATGCCTGGTCCTGAATCAAGATCTGACAAAGACCAGTCAGTACCTCTCCCTCAACACCCACCATACTCACTCTCACTCTCTCTCTCTCTCTCTCTCATTCTCTCTCAGGCCACAGCCAAAAGCACACTCTGTGCCAGTGCCCAGCCTTGGGCAACCGACCCCGACATGGGCCCCGAAAGGCAATTGTTTGACTGAATAGAGCCTCTTATTAAAAATTAATTTCTGTCAAACCCAATTGCATACGAACACAGCCTCATTGTGATCACTACCGTGACTTCTGGAAACAAACATAAGCCCTACTGTTGCCAAAAGCAAGGGGCAGTTTAGGATAGTTCTGAGTCTTGATCTATGAATGCAGCCAGCAGATTCCCTGAGGCTCACAAAGGCATTTGTCCCCTGGAGGACAGAGACCAGCTCCATTTTCTACTGCCCCTCCATGCCCCACACCCACTCCCTGGGGCATAGTCATAGAGACCAGTGAGCATGCTCCTTAGTGCAAACACACACACACAAAATACAAGTTCCGCCACTTCTAAGGGAGTGTGCTTGCCCTTTAAGAGCTTAGGGTTTCTCCTCTGTAAGGCTAAAATAATGATTAACACCACTACCTAACCCACAGGGTCGATGTGGGAGATATGAGATAATGTAAGTAAAAGCATCTGGAATACAGAGAGCAGGTGCTTAATAAACAGCCATCCTATTCCCATAACATCCTGCCCTGGGTATCCCTCTATGGGATATTGTCTTCTACAATGTTTCTTCTAAATTTAGAGTACTAAATGGGGATGGGAGTCATTTTCTTGATAGCAATGGGTTGAAGAAAACAGAGACCTCAAGTTAAAATGCTCTAGATCCAATTTACGTATCCCACACATCTCTAATAAACTTTGATTTTTCTCTTCTACATGAATTGTCTCTTCTATTTCCATATCATGAGATCAAGGAGAATCAAGAGTTAGAGGTGGAAAGCTTATCATGTCCTCCTCTTCCCCCTACTTTGCATATTTTCAACATTTTTGCCATTAAAAACTTGGACCTGACATTGCATGAACTTCTAATATGGTGCAGAGATGGCTAGCTTTTAAAACGAGTGCTACCCTACTGATGGAGAAAGAATAAAAATAGTAGCCATGTCCAGTGAGATGAGGGTAGCGAGTCTGAAAGAGGGCAATCAAGCAATAGGGATCAGTGTAAAATGTGGGAGGCTGTTGATGCAGTCATTCCACTTTCAGGAATTATTGAAAGGAAATAATTAATGAGGCAAAATCAATAACTTACATGATACTATTGCTGATCATAGTAAATGACTGCAAAGAAGCTAAATATTCTAAAATAGGAAGTTGATTATATAAATTATTAGACATTCATACAATAGAAAACGATGTAATAAAGTTGTTTTTAAAGATGAGGTAAAGCTATGCTCAGTTAAATGGAAAGACATTCCATAAATTGTTAAAGTTTGTGGGAAAAAAAATTTGTTGCAGAAAAACATATGAATATAATCCTGCTTATGTAAAAATATAAAAATATATGTTTCTATATATTTATGTAAGCATTTTTTAAATCCTAAATATGCTTTGTCAAACTTTTGAGTGGTTATCTCTGGAAGGAAGATTATAAGAGGGCATTTTTTTTTTTTTTTTAGACGGAGTCTCACTCTGTCGCCAGGCTGGAGTGCAGTGGCACAACCTCGGCTCACTGCAATCTCCGCCTCCTGGGTTCAAGGGATTCTCCTGCTTCAGCCTCCCAAGTAGCTGGGATTACAGCCACACACCACCACACCCAGCTAATTTTTGTACTTTTAGTAGAGATGGGGTTTCACTATGTTGGCCAGGGTGGTCTCTATCTCCTGATCTGGACCTGGAGATCTCCTGATTATGTGTCTGGAGTCCCAGCTACTCACCCACCTCGGCCTTCCAAAGTGCTGGGATTACAGGCGTGATATAAGAGTACTTTTAAAAAACATTTTATAAATGTAGGCATGGTATGAATTGTGTAACTTAAGCCTCTACACATTTATAATGACCCAAACAAATTTTTTTAAAGCATGTTGCAAAATTTAATCTTTCTCATCTACAAAATTTTTAAAATTTGAGAGTATATAACTAATAATACAGTTTCAAAATATACAAAACAAAGCTTGGTGAAATTAAAGGGAAAGACAGACAATTCAGCAATAGAAGTCATAGATTTAAACATCCCCTCTTTGCAATTAATAGACCAACTAGACAAGATGTCAGTAAAAATATGGAAGATCTAAACACTGTCAACTAATTACAACTAGTTGACATTTATAGAACAATATACCCAACAACTGCAGAATACATATTCTTTTCAAGTGCCCATGATATGTTCACTAAGATAAACCATATGATACACCATAAAACAAGTCTCAGTTATTTAGAAGTATTGAAATTACACAGAGTTTGCTCATAGCCACCATGAAGGTAGATTGGAAATCAATAATTAAATGTCTAGAAAAGTTCTAAATGTTTAGAAATCAAATAGTACAATTCTCAATAATCCAAAGGACCAAGAAGAAGTTACAAGGAAAATTAGAAAATATTTTTAGCTGAATAATAATGAAACTATAACATCAAACTTTGTGGATGCAGCTAAAGCAGTGATTAAAGGGAAATTTATAGCTTTGAATGCTTATCTTAAAAAAAAAAAAAGAAAAGAAAGAAAGGTCTAAAATTAAGTATGTGAGCTTCCCACATTACAAGCTAGAAAAAGAGCAAAGTAAATCCAAAGTAGAAGGAAGGAAATGTTCAAATAAGAGCAGAAACCAAAGAAATGATAAGAAAACAAACAAACAAACAAAATTAGCATAAGAAAAGGGTTCAGAAGAGCTTTAAGATCTCTTTCTCCAAAAAGTTCTGTAATTCTAAGTGCATTTAGCATATCAGATTCCTAAAGACTTTCTTCCTATCTCTGGGTGAGAAACAAATGTTTATTTAGCAAACATTTGTTTATTTGCTTGTTTCTTTTAGGCAAAACCCTAAAAGAAATGATATAAGACATATACCATTCGTACCCCAGAAAATAAGCAAGTACAGTAGGCCATCCATATTCTGAAATTTCTCATCCATAGATTCAACCAATCTTGAATCAAATATATTCAGTAAAAAAAGATTAAAAATAGCCAGGCGCAGTAGCTCATGCCTCTAATCCCAGCACTTTGGGAGGCCAAGGTGGATGGAACAATTGGGCCCAGGAGTTCCAGACCAGCCTGGGCAGCATGGCAAAATCTTGTCTCTACAAAAAATACAAAAATTAGCCTGGTGTGGTTGCATGTGTCTGGAGTCCCAGCTACTCAGTAGGGTGAGATGGGAGGATCGCCTGAGCCTAGGGGGGTGGAGGCTGTCTTAAAAAGAAAAAGAAAGAAAGAAAAGAGAAAAAGAAAGATTAAAAATACACCATAACAACTATTTATATAGCATTTACATTGTATTAGGTATAATTAGTAATCTAGAGATAATTTAAAGTATACGGGCGGATGTGGATAGGTTATATGCAAATACTACTCCATTTTATATAAGGGACTTGAGCATCTCCAATTTTTGAGGGAACTATCTGAGGGGAGTCCTGGAACCAATCCCCGAAGTATACTGAGGGATGATTGTATACATTACCTATCTAATGATATGCAGTGACTTATTAAGAGTCTAGAAGCCGGGCATGGTGGCTCACGCCTGTAATCCCAGCCCTTTGGAGGCCGAGGCGAGAGTATTGCTTGAGCCCTGGAGCTTGAGACCAGCCTGGACAACATTGTGAGACACTGCTTCCACAATAAATACAAAAGTTAGCCAGTCATGGTGGCACGTACTTGTGGTCCCAGCTACTCAGGAGGCTGAGGTGGGAGGATCACTGGAACCTGGGAGGTCAAGGCTGCAATGAGCTGAGATCACCCCACTGCACTCCAACCTGGGCGACAGAGTGAGACCCTGCCCCCTCCCCCTACAAAAAAAAAAGAAAGAAAAAGAGTCTACCAAGTACAGGGCACTGAGCTTTCCATATGCATTTCATTAATATGCACAGTGCTTCTATTTGTTCATGCATTCTACAGATAATTATTGTAGTGCCAGGCACCATCCTAGGTGATAGGTCAACGTTAGTATTTATGAGCTAGGTATTACTGCTCCTATTTTATAGTTGAGAAAACTGAGTTTCAGAGAAGAAAAGTAACTAGCTCAGCATCACAGGGTATTGTTAAGCAAAAATGTCCAACCTATCTGAAAGCCTAGTTTTTAACAACTATGCTACATGAAAAGACACTAAGCCACAAAGATGAAGGCACAGAGTTGAGCCAACATCTATAATAGAATATGAGAAACTATACAATGGCAACAAAGACAAATTGCCTTGGGACCATGTTAAATCAACTCCTAATCTTTTCAAAGAATTCAGAAAGCTTCTGAGAAGAGGTGACTTTTGAGCTAAGACTTGAAGAAAAATTTGTCAAGAACGGTAGTAAACACATCATCACATTTAAAGTGTACAATAACCCTGAAAAAAATAGCATTATGGTTCTTTCACAGAAGAGAAAACTGAGGTCAAGAGAGATGAGGGGCTTGCTCAGAATCAGTCAGTTACTATGGTATATGCCAATGTCCATGCCAAGCATTTCACAGCCATTGGTCTCCTGACAATCCTGACGTTTAGGCAGCACCACCACTAACATTGTTGCCACTTGGTCTTGCCTAGGTCTTGGCAATAGCTTGTGCTTTAGTGGTGAAGCTGAAATATACACCCAATTCAGCCTTACTCCCAGACCCAAAAAGTAGGTTCTGTGAAAGTTTTCTTGCGTATGAATCCAAGTCCTGGGTTCTAAAGGGAAGAGTGACCTTAGGAAAGAAAGAGATAAAATTAATTTATTTAGGCACATGTCAAGAAATTCGCTCAGTCTGACCAGGCACAGTGGCTCACACCTGTAATCCCAACACTTGGGAGGCTGAGGCAGACGAATCACTGGAGCTCAGGAGCTCAAGACCAGCCTGGGCAACACGGCGAAACCCCATTTCAACAAAAAATACAGCCAGGCGTGGTGGCATGCACCTGTTGTCCTGACTACTTAGGGGGCTCAGGAAGGAAGATCAGTTGAGCCTGGGAAGTCAAGGCTGCAGTGAGCCATGTTCACGCCACTGCCCTCCAAGCTAGGTGACATATGGAGACCTTGAAAAAAAAAAAGAAAAGAAAAGAAAAGAAAGAAAGAAAGTGAGAAAGAGAGAGGAAGGAAGGCAGGAAGGAAGGCAGGAAGGAAGGAAGGAAGGAAGGCAGGAAGGAAGGCAGGAAGGAAGGAAGGAATTCCTTCTTCCCACCAAAACAAATCTCCAGTGCACCTAAAATAAAAAAAAAAAAACAACCTAAAAATGCTGATTATCACTTCAAATTAAGGAATAGGCTTCAAAACATTTTTTTAAAACCTCACTTCTCCCCACCCGTCCCTACAGGTTGATTTACGCACACTTCTTAAGCCAAGTCAAAGAACTGGCTTAACTCTAGTTTCCCTTAGAAAGCATGACTCCAGGCTGCCTGAGCTTCCTCTGTCCTTTTGTGACCTCCTGATGACCTGGGAGTTCCACCCACTTTTTAGGGCCTCTCGGAGCCTTGAATCTACACATCAGTGGGATTTAGTTTCCCTTTTGCTTTAATGACTCCTCAGAACCTTACTCATGTAGCAATCTCACCCACTTCCTTTCTTGTTTCTCTGGTCCTTATGGGCTATAGCCCACCTCTCCTTCCCATGCAGGCAGGTTCTCAGGGACAATGGTGATTTATTTATTTACAGTTCTCCTTATATTTTGTTTGGTTAGCTTTTATTTATTTCTTTTTCTCAGGTGGGGGAAAAAGCTAGGTTATGTCTTTGGGTGTCAGCTAGTAATCTTTCACTTTTCTTCCCATGTAACCACCCCCACCCGTTTTTTTTGTTTTGTTTTGTTTTTTGTTTTTTTTGTATAATTATAGGTTTCACCTCATCAGACAGTTAGACTTTAAATTGGTCTATCTTTAGGCTGAAGAAATCATCTTGAAAATTCAGAATCAATACAAGAATCATGGTACTAGATTAGTATCACTAAGACTCAACATCTAAAAATGAAATATTTAAAAATATATACATGTTTTGAAAAGAAAGAAGAGGAACAGAAGAATTGGAAAATGTTTGACTCAACTAGCTCATGCATGTACCTTTCCTATCTGTCCTCCAAGGAGTGAGGGAAAGACTTTGTTAAGAATAACCACCATCAGCAAAACCCCACAATTCTGAAGCTCAACCACACAAAATGCAAAGGGATATTTGGCATAGAGGAAGTGAACTTCACAGAAATTGCATGTGGCCGTGCAAAGAATTCTGCAAATTTAACATATCACAAAGAATGTACTGAACAAATTTTGTTATGAGTTTTCAAAAGCCTCTCACATCTCTCAATGGTCTCCAAAGTAAACACATCTCCCACACTGTAGCATCCATTACTATAGTTTTGAGTTTCTGCTCTGAAATGATGCAATCTTCTACTCAGGACGGCTTCGTAAATATCTTTCCCAAATGATGGAGAAACAGAATTCAACTTCACTTCTTTCATTCCTCAAAGAACATGTCATGCAGGGCTGCACGTTAGTGGCCATCAACCAGGAAATATTTCGTAAACAGAATTTGTACTCCATTTATTCTGAGTTTACTT